>NC_000015.10:47651874-48276874 GCF_000001405.40 Homo sapiens
ATATACCAGTCACTCCCTTATGCTTTACAACAACCACATCTTTCCCCTGCCTGGATATATCTTGGATGATCAGAAGTCTACGTGTCCTTCAAAAATGGCCTGCTTAAAAAAGGAACGTTTCTCTAATTTCCCAAGTCAGTGGTGATCTCATCCTACTCTTAGTATTCATAAGCTTATTTTCTGAATCATTTTTTGCCATACATAATATACTGTTCTACCTTTACTGGGAAATTATAACTCCTGGTGGTCAGGAAATATTTCTTACACTTGGAATTCCCTGCTGTCTTTAAAAAGTACTTTGCATGTAGAAGCTTCATTCAAGTAATGTGGAGTGAATGAGTGCTTCTGATATATAGAAATATGAGAGACAAAGAGGAGAAAAAACCCAAAATCTATTATTTTCAAGGGATATTCCCACCTGGTCTTTGTGTGGTTTTCTGTTTATAGGGAGCTAGTACCTTAAGGGTTAAGATCAGTTTTACCAACAACAGCAGCTGTTCCTGGAGGAGCTCAAGGACATTATGAGATTAGCAGGAATAGGACTTTGAAGTCTGTGCTAGTCTCTGGAATTCCCCAGACCCCCTCCTCACCCCGCCTGCCCGCTCCGCTCCCCTTCTTCAAAAACCCACCCGTCTCCAATTTCCCGAGAGTGTTAAAAATGTAACTGTGGAATGGTGTAGCTAGATAATGTTGAGTGTTTTTGCATCATATATAAACAGAAAAGCCTTGGGGGCATTATTTAGTCCACTTCACGTATAGACTGCTTTCCCTTGGTGCTTGCCATTGCCCAGTGAGACGTACAGATTTTACATGTGGCTTGTGCCCAGCCTGTCTCTAAAGAAAGCAAGGTCCAAAGGAAGGTTCAAGGACTGGCTTCGTGCTATAATTGGCTCATTGGTGTTTCTCTTATTTAAGGAAATGATCCTTTTTGTCTCTGCTTTGCTTCAGAGTTAGATAGACACTCATAAAGCTGTTCCCCATCAGTGAGTGGAAAGTATTTTTGAGGAGCTCTCAATCCAGCTGCAATAAAGCTAGGGTTAAATCAAATCATTTTTCAGTGACAGCAACCAAGATTATATAAATTTTGAAACATACAAGAGCCTAGCACTCCTCGTACCTGAGCTTATGGTGCCAAGAACTTAAGAATGTTGATGGACTTACTCTCCATGCGTACTTATCACTCCCAGTTCTCCTTGGCTAGGAAAGGGTATGATAAAAATAGTTCTGTCTTCTTAGCAGGTAAACATGCCCATACACCTGGCAAGGTATAATTGAGAGAAGATCAGTTTGCAAGGAAAATGCAAGATAATGAGAAATTTTCTTAAATCAAGGCTGAATCACTCTTTACATAGAAAAACTTCAAATAGAACTTTAACCTGAAGCTATTCGCATGTAAGCATGCTTAATGTGTGATGGAATCTGCACATAAAAAGAAACTTGACTCTGCGGGAAATAATAGAGACTCTTCAAATATGCAATGAAAATAAAAATCACAAAAAGCAGAGAAAATCGACTGCTGGTGCTCATTCCCTAATACTCACGCATTCTTCTCAAACCCAGAGAAAATGCCAACTCTTTCATAGCAAGACCTTTAGAGAACAGAGCTGATGCCTCTAGTGTTTCCTTCATTTGTTGAATGTTCTTTTGATTGACTTGCTCCTTTCTGGCTAAGCAGAGCTTAGTGGTTCTCTAGGAGCCACTTAGAGACCCAGAGCCATTGCAAAGCTTTGCCTAAACAATTGCCCAATACTTATTATCTTTGTGATTCAGTGAGGTGCTTTTAAAATAATTATTTAACATGGATTACTAATATTTCATATGCCTTGCCCATGCAACAATAATGTACTTCTTAGTAGTAAAAATGTATCTTATATTTCTCTTGTATGCCGCATAGTAAACAGCCACCCAGAGGGCATATATGTACACAGAAGGCATGCTTGTCATATCCACGAATGAACGAATGGAAAATTAATCAGGGATTAAAGGCCCTTGCCGTCATTCATTTCAGAATCAATGCAATGCCTCATTAGTATATTCAGCACAAATCTAATGAGACTTACATTGTTCCTGGCACTGTGCTGGGCTCTGGGAATTCAGTGGTGAGCAAAATGGCGATAATCCCTAGCCTTGGGGATTTATAGTGATATAAAATCTTATCTTCCATGTTGGTGTGATTATGAATCTTCTACAAGGGTCCCACAAAATTAGTGTTGTCTTCACCTAAAATGAAGAAGAAAGAAGGGATGATGATCATTTTTCCATCCCGAACTGCAGGGCTCTTCCTCTTTTAGTTTAATTCAGTGGTGCTAGATCACCATTTATACCACTTTTTAACCAGTTTTGTAATTACAGTTGACCCTTGAACAATCAATGCGGAGCTTAGGTCTGCCAACTCCCTGGTGCAGTCAAAAATCCATGTATAACTTGACTTTCCCAAAACTTAATTACCAATATCCTATTGTGACCAGAAGCCTTAGTGATAACATAAATAGTTGATTAGCACATATTTTGTATGTTATCTGTATTCTATAGTGTATTCTTATAATAAAGGAAGCTGGAGAAAAGAAAATGTTATTTAAAAAATTATAGGGGAGAGACTATATATATACCATTCAGTAAGTGGAAGTGGATCATCATTGATATAGTTTGGATATTTGTCCCCACCCACATCTCATGTTGAATTGTAATTCCCAATGTTGGCGATTGGGCCTGGTGGGAGGTGATTGGATCATGAGGCTGGATTTCTCAGGAATGGCTTGGGCCATCTCATTGGTGATAAGTGAGCTCTCACTCTGAATTCCCAGGAGACCTAGTCATTTAAAACTGTGCGGCTCCTCCCCCCACTGCCTTTCTCTCTTGCTCCTGCTTTTGTCACATTAACATGCCTGCTTCTGCTTCATCTTCTGTCATAATGGTTAAGCTTATTGAGGTTTCTCCAGAAGCTGAGCAGGTGTTGGCACCATGCTTCCCATAAAACCTGCAGAACCATATGCCAATTATACCTGTTTTCTTTATCAGTTACTCAGTCTCACATATTCCTTTATAGCAATGCAAGAATGGCCTAATACAATCATAAAAATCTTCATCCTCATCATCTTCTCACTGGGTAGGCTGAGGAGGAGGAGGAAGAAGACGAGAGGTTTGTCTAACTGTCTCATGGTGGCAGGAGCAGAATAAGTGGACCCATTCAGTTCAAACCCATGTTGTTCAAAGGCCAACCGTATATGATACATCTTTACTCTTTCCCTCCATACCTTTCTTGATCTCTTACTGAAGAAGATGTAGTGAATTTTCTTGAATGGTTTCTACATCCTGCAATTCAATGGATCCGAACCTAGCTGCACATCCAAATAAACTGGGAAGCTTTTAAATACATTACAGATGTCTTGGCCTTCCCCATAAGGATTCTGATTAAGTGGCCTGGGCCAGCTTTGGACATTTATGTGTATATTTTTAACTTCCCAGGGATTTTGATGTGAAACCAGGGTTGAGGACTGTTGTCATAATTTCTCTCTCCATAATTATATTCTTAAATCTCTCTGAACAGAAAGTCAATAACAACAAGAAAATAATATGTATATGTGCATTCTTGCTATAAACACTTACAAATGTCTTAAATAAGACCACAAGAAGTCCAAGAAAATCAATATCTTGTTTTAAGTGAGCATTGCACCTTATTTTAAATATTGCAATTACATTCGCTTCCTTCAAAGAAGATGAATTATAAGTTCATTATTAGTATTTAGAAAACATGTGGGAAGAGCAAAGGTCTTAGAATTACACAAACAAAACCTTACAAATTATTAATGTGTTCTTGAAGCTCTCTATTAAAAAGCATCTCTACACCTTAGCTTTTTCATCTGTAAGCTGGGGATGCTAAAATGAAAACTCAAATACAGTTAATCCTCATTATTCACGGATTCAGTAGTTGGGAATTCACCTACTTGCCAAAATATATTTATAATTTCAAAATCAATGTTTGTAGCACTTGTGCAGTCATTTCTGGATTTGCACAAAGTGGTGAAAAATGTGAGTTGCCTCACGCATTCATTACCAGGTGAGGTTGAGCAAGGTGATGCTCTGCCTTTTTATTTCAGCTCTAATACTGTAAACACATGTCCTTTCAACAGTTTATTTAATGCCACCTTTTCACATTTTGCTGTTTTAAATGGCTCCCAACCATAATGCTGACATACTGTCTAATGTTCCTAAACACAAGAAGGCTGTGATGTGCATTATGGAGAAAATATGTGTGTTAGATAAGCTTTGTTCACATTTGAGTTATAGTGCTGTTGGCTGTGTGTTTAACACTAATGAACCAACAGTATATACGAAATAAGGTGCCTTTAAATAGAAACACATATCAAACAAGGTTATGTATTGATCTGTTGACAAAAATGTGACCAGAGGCTCACAGGAATCTAACCCTGTAGCTCCCCTAAGAACAATGGTTCAGTATTTGCTAATGCTGTGTTTGTGGTGACTTTATAGAACATAGCTACCATGAATAATGAATATTTACTGTGTAAAGTGTCCAGCGTGGTACCTGGCATATAATTCTTAGCTAGAAAATTTGGTTTCTGTGCCCTTCTAATACAATATTAGGATTTTCACCTTAAAATTATTTTAAAAATAAGTTCAAATAGCAATGAACACACTTACTCTATTTGTATTTAACAATGTATTGTTTCTTTGTCTGTAAGGATAACTCTATGATTGAGCTTTTGCTGTCCAGAATTGAGCCTCTGGAATGGCTAGGCTTCTAGGAAGCCTTCAAACTTGTTTGCTTGTTTTTAAAGCTAGCAACTTTTTAGTGGTAAAGCATTATCTCAGCATCAAATGCAGTTGATATAAGCTGCATGCACATGAGACCCCTTTGCTCTGTGGAAGGGAAGAGCCCCTTGATGATCAATACTAAGCTTGCCTTTTGCAAACAGCTACAAAACATGCACAAGAGAGGATGGTGATCAGCATGGTGGCATCAGTTAGAAGCAGAGACAGGAGTGGAAACCAGTATACACTCGGATAGTGGAAAATAATGAGTGACAAAAGTGACAGAAAGAGAACAGCTACATACTATTAAGAGGCAGAGAATACCCTGTGTAATGTCTATAACCCCAGAAAGCATCAGGCTGTGTTGTTGAAATTGTATCGAATGCCAGATTCACCTGAAATATGCTACTCTGTATAATGGGATGTATGCAATCTCTGTAGTGGATCAGAGCATTGAAGAAATTGTACAGTTTGATTCATTTTCCTTTAGTGAAAAGCAAAAAGCAGAAATTAAAAAGTAATGCTAACATTTATAGAAAAAAGTGATTGAGCACAGACAGATGATAAAGAGTGAACTGAGCAGTAAGTTTTTAAGTCTTACTGTTAAAATTAAGAAGAGAAAGCTGTTAAATATTTGTAGGTTCTGAGTGCCTTAATACTTAAGAGTTCTGTATAAAGAAACAATATGATTCTCCACGTGTATATGCTTTATGTATTTGAGCAGAATTTCATGATTTTCTTCAACTCGTTTCTACTCATTTTTAGCTTTTTCCTATGTTTTTAATATTATTAATTTTGTCATGAACAGAATTTTCTTCCATTTTAACTTTGAACTAGGGATTACAGGTATATAAGGAAGTTACTAATTTTTGCATTTCCTAATATTCTTATTACATGTATTTTACAATTTAATTCAGAAAGAAAGAGAATATATCTAAAAATTATAATGCATGTTCTCCTTTTTCTCAACATGTATACCTTTTTTAATCATAGGATCAAAACTTTTTTATCTAAATGTAGGCTAGGATTCATACAAAAATTTAATCCATTTAGTGACAGAGGGCTTCATTTCTTTTTTTTTTTTTTTTTTTTTTTTTTTTTTTTTTTTTTTTGAGACAGAGTCTTGCTCTGTCACCCAGGCTGGAGTGCAGTGGCAGATCTCGGCTCACTGCAAGCTCCGTGTCCCAGGTTCATGCCATTCTCCTGCCTCAGCCTCCCGAGTAGCTGGGACTACAGGGACCCCCCACCACGCCCGGCTAATTTTTTGTATTTGTAGTAGAGACGGGGTTTCGCCTTGTTAGCCAGGATGGTCTCGATCTCCTGACCTCATGATCCGCCCACCTCGGCCTCCCAAAGTGCTGGGATTACAAGCGTGAGCCACCACGCCCAGCAGGGCTTCATTTCTTTACCCTTACTTTAATGTGATATTTGTAATGTCTTATTATAAGAATGATAGTGGCAGTTGGTTTGAGATATTTTTATGATGCAAATGAAGTTTTATTCTTTATATATCATGTTATTGACTTATAAAAATAGTAAGATGTTAAATTTTATCCAAAATTTTCAATACCTCTTAATAATTTCTTACATTGTATCCTTTGAACAACAGAAGTAACTGATCATATTAATAGATAGGCTAAACTATTCTTGCTTTCCTGGGATTAGAGGTAGAAACCTATGTGGCTATAATATAATATTTTTCTCAACTCTTACACGCCATCAAGTATTATGGTAAGGGATTTTTCAGCAGGAAAAAGAAACATTACTACAAAAGATACATAGATGGACTGTAAGATGCTTCTCAATTTCAAAAATATTAAAATGTGAAAAAAATATGTAGCTTAGACTTAAAGAAGTGATATAAGACCCCTGAATTTAAGTTTCAAGCATTTATTTTGAATTTTAGCAACAATATTCATAAACGATACTGGACAAAGGTACTTGTGTCCAATTTTGGTGTTGGACTGCGCAATCCTTCCCCCCTCAACTAACATCTAAACATTCAGTCTGTCATTTTCTAGTGTCTGTTATGATATCTTACATAGCAATTGTTCATCACATTAGTTAGTCACAATAATCCACATTAAGAGTAGCAATTTGTATTAAAAGAAGAGCTTAAATTATATTAAGCAAATTATATTTAACAAGGCATAGGAGACTGTCATTTAACTTCCCTAGATCCACAAACACACACACATATGTGCACACAAACACACATACCCACACACACAACAGTTTAGAAAATATAAAAGGAGAAAAAATATCCTTTTAAATAACAACAAAAATGGTAAAGAATGTGCTTAACAAGAAAGCTTCATGATTTTTACGAAGAAAACTTTAATATTCTATTGAGGACTAAAAAGGGCATACTTTATCAGTATTGTAAATAGGTCGGTTTTCAAATTAATGAACTTATGGAATCCAAATTAAAATACCAATGTAATATTTTAAATTAGAGAAACAAAATCTAAAGTTGTCATGAAAAAATTAACACATATGAATAGTCAGAGCATTTCCAAAATATACAAATAATGTGATATATCACTCAGTTAGTATAAAAATGTATTTCTACATTAAACAATTTGATTTTAGCACATTATATACAAATGGGTCAATAAAATAGGATAGAGTCTGGTAATAGATCCAAGTCTATTGAGAATATTTAGTATATGATAAATATTATATTAAAATCAATGAAGATACAGGAATTGATCAATGCAATTGTATTAGGAAAACTAGCCAGTCATCTGCAAAAAAAGTAAAAAATAAAAATAAAATACCTATGTCTGTGACTAAATACAGATAGATATATGAATCAAATGTTAAAAAAAATTAAAGTATTATAAGAATAAATAGGATCATAATTTTTACAATGTTTTTATTTTTTGTCATTTACAAACTTGGAGTGGAGAAGTTCTTTGTAAACAAGAAAATGACGACTAATAAATTTGTTTATAAAAATCAAAAGTTTTCATGTGTCAAAAATATTTCTAAAAGAACAAATGACAGATTTATATTTGCAGCCCATGACAAAGGTCTGATTTTCCTTTACATATACAAAGTTCTTAAAGTTCACGAAAGGAAAGGACTAAGGTCATGAATACACAGGTTACTGAAAAAATATGAATGGCTTCTAAATAAATGAAAGATGTTTAACCTCACAATTTAAAATGTGCAAGTTAAAATAAATTTTTATACCCACAAATTAGAAAAGTTTGATTATACATATTGGTAAGAGTATTTGAAAACAGATAACCTCATTTTAATTTGATGTCCCTTCTTGAAGAGTAACTTAAGTGATACATATTAACTTTGATCATTACCAAAAGGGATTGTCATTGTCAATCTTGCTATAACCAATCATTGTTTAATCTCATAGGACTCCATTTTTTTTTTGTATTATAGACTCCACTTACCTGAGCATGTTGTGTGGCCACCAAGACAAAGTAAGAATATTAACACTTTAAAAAGGAGGAAATAGTTGCTGAATAGGCAATCAAAAGTGTCTGCCTTAGATATGTACTACAGTTATCCCCAATCAACATAATAAAAAAAAAAAACCTGAGAAATAGGTAAAGTCACTTTGTATGTGGTCATACTTCTTGGAAGGGACCGTAAGATATTTCTTGAAAAGTTATAGTAAATGCCTGGGAATAATCTAAATGTGTATGAATAGAGGAGGCCTAATTGAATAAATTACAGACCTCGACACAATGTGATAACTTGCAGTTACTTTTTTAAACATGGCAGATCTATATATAACTATATGCAAAAACCTATGGTATGTATCTAAGGTTAAAAAATAAGAGTAGCAAGGTACAGGAAAGCATATATGGGATGTGGACAAACACGTAGACCCAGGCGGATGCAAAGGCTTGTATGGGATCTATTTGCCTATTTCTGGATAGATAAACAAGTAACTATTAACAGAATTTGCTCTAGGAAGTGACTGGGGTCTTGGGAAATCTTACTTTCTGATGGACAGTATTTTATAATATTTGATTTTTTACTATATGCATGCATTACTTTATCAAGTAAAACATCTAGTTTATTTTAAAACTATTTTTGATATTAGAAGTGATTTTTTCTGAATCTAGAGTGATTCATAAATTTGCTGAAGATCTTGAAAAGTTGATTTTTCATTTTATTTCTTTACACTTGTTTGGACAGCATAAGGGAGCACGTTTTCAAATGAAAATTTGAAATGAAATGAAAATAATTTGAAAAGCAAGCAAAGTCTGCTGCTTTCATTTCTTAATAAAGTTAGGTTTTGGATAAAGAAACACAGTAGCATTTGCCTAATGTCTTCTTTGAGCAAAATGGAGCAGGTCGGTTTTGAACCCTCAGCCACAGTTATCAGTTCGTTTCCATATTCACTTAATTTTCTAAGAAAAGCAACTAAAGGAAAAGTGGACCTTCTTTCCTGGTCAACTTTAGATACCACCTTGTTTCTTGCACATTTGTTTAAGAGAGATTTACCTGACAGGCGTCTTCTTCCCTTCCTACTCAGTAACATCTCCAATATGCAATTCCCTGGGGAAACTGTTTCCTAAGAAATGTATACAAAGATTGGCTTGACTCTATTTGGTTTTGAGGTAGCCTGTTGTAAATGCCTCCTTTTACATACTTTCACATCCTTCTTTTTTACTACTTGAACAAAAACAAAATAAAAGTTGGTGATGATGCAAATAACTGATGATGTAATCTCTGCCTATGTCAGAGTTAAGATTTCTGAAATATATTTTAGAATTAAGATTTCTAAAATACATTTTGGCTTTGATACCTTGGCACTGCTCTGCTAAATCTACAATCCTTAAGATTTTCTGGGTGAGGGGTGAAGCTATGGAAACTGCATGAAGAGCTGGCTTCTCCCATTCTCTCCTGAAGGGAGGAACTCAGAGAGAAAAACAGTATTAGTGAAAAGCTCATTCCAGGAAGTGAACAGAGGAACTGAAGCTTTGGCTCTGTGGGAAAATGGAGACTTTGAAGGTAAGACTGTTTGTGCGTCCAAGAAGAATAATGACCAGCTTGTGTCCTGAGAAGGTGATGCTAGAGTCCTTTTGTGCAAAGCAAAACCGCGTTGCCTAGTTACAGAGAGATTTTTGCTCTAAATGTCAAAAGTGCGGGCAGGAGTAGAATTAGAACCCATGTCTCTAAAAGGAAGCAAATGTTTTAAAAAGCAATGCTAACACAGGTATTTCAGTTATTCAAACACTCTTATTGTCCCAATTGGAGAATCAGCCTAGATATCTTGCACAGATCACTGTTGAAACTGCTCAGTTGCTTCATTTCATTTCTGGCATTCCTAACAGCAGCAATTAATGGAGGCTCCTTCCCAGCCGGTTGTTACAGTCTTCAGATGTGGTCTGCAAATCCCAGCTATGCATCTGACTTGCCTCACTGGAAGCAAAAATGGAGTGAGTGGAGCTGTATGTTAGAGTGTATCAGTGGGTGTCTGCGGTGTCTGGGAAAGCAAACATGGAGGGCAGTAGGTTGCAGTAGTTCCAATAGGCTCTGCATACAGAGATGCAATGTTGGAGCGGGGTTACTGCCACCATCACTGCCCCATCCCCTCACCCCCCACCCCAACAAACACACACATTGGCAGTCAGAATACTGTGCGTGTGGCTGTGTTGTTTCCTCATAGTCTTTGAGTGACATCTCCAAGAGCAGGACTAGAAGTGGCAGAATGACAATGGCAAATCCATTTCTGTGATTTTTGCCATCTTCTTTGAGTGCACCACTGAAACTTCAAAATAACCAAGTCTGTATGCTATTCCATAAGCATTCATCTCAGTTTTATCTTCTAGTGACAGTGTTTTACAATCAGAAAGGCCAGAAAATTCTGTTATTAGTTCACAAATTTTTGTGCATCTTTCTTAGAATTTATATTCCTCTGTCTCTGAAGGGAGACCTAAATGTGTCCAAATACATTCCAGCAATAACCTGCCCCATTAGGCATTCTCCACGTATACATATTTACATCATTTGTTGGGAGTTTATTTCTTCTAAACTTATACTTTAAAGAATACACGACTTCAGTTCAACTCAATGCATATATTTTGGATACCACTCTTTGCAAACTTTGAGTTGAGTAGAGCACAAAAGACTGTTTTAAGCAGATGGCATTTCACCTAGATTGAGGGGGTAGGTCGTGGGAGAGAAAAAGGAGATAGAAGTAAGCAGTCATTATTCATGCGTGTATGAGCGCACACACACACACACACACACACACACACACCATGAATCATTTGGAATAATAAAAGTTATAGAAATGGCAAATCAAGGATGTGTATTTTGGGCATAACAAATAGTTTAGCCAGGAGGAAATAGGCTATACTACATGTTGGCAAGAAGTAGGCTGAAAAGGTAAGTTGAAACCATATGCCAGAAGGCATTGAAGATCAGAGTAAAGTACTCGTAATTAAATTTCAAAGCAATTTTAATGATCAACGTGAGATAATATTTAAAAACGTTTATAAGGCATCTAACAGTGTATGTTACAGTGCAGGTACTCAATAAACATCAACTCCCTTAATTCAGTGGGCAGTGGGAGTCCTTAAAGATTACACAGATGCTAACAAATTCCAGGAGGAATGTTCCAAGAACATTGCTCACTGTGAAAAAGGCTAAGTGTGTTCAGTAATGGAAAATTACTTTGTTCCAGCTAGTAAGATGCTTGAAATGTGTAATTCCTTTTGGCCAGTAAACTGTTTATCCTGACTCAATTCAGTGTCACTAGAACCAAATTACCTTATTTCCTGATCCTGAATTAATCTTGGATTGATCTCTGAAGTAACAAAATTAGGATTTTGCTTTGTTTTGTTTCTGCAATAGTAATAGGGTTGGGAGCTTTGAAAAGAGGCATTTACTTGTAAACTATTGCTAGTCCTAATGGTGCCCAGAAATGAAAAAAATATACAACTTAGCATCATAGAATATTAGAACTAGAGGGGAGTATAGGGAATACAGTGATCATAGTTCTTCACCAGAATTCTGGAAACGACACCCCTCAGAAGATCCCGATGTTTTGTGAATTCGAGGCGCCTGTGAATGTAATTCGAAAACAGAGTTGCTAGAAATTCCAAGATATTCTAAGAGTTTGGATAGGAGAAGAGAAAGAAAGCTAGAAAATGTCACTCTCTTTCAGAAAATCCAGGCACATGGATGTGGTAATTAAATTCATCTAACCCAGCTCTTTTGTTTGGAGATGCAGAAGTTCAGCCCTAGAAATGTAAAGTGGTTGCCCGTGGACACTCAGACTACTAGGAGCGCTTGTGGGATCAGAATCTGAGTCTTCTGACTTTTGGATCTATTCTTGTTTTACTACCAGACTTCATCGAACTTTTTCATTTTGATGAAGTAGATATTCTTCTTATGAATAAAAAATCCAGAAATCAGTGTTAGAACAAATCTGAAGATAAACGGCATTGAATATATTAACAGAGCCTCAAAGCAAAACAGTTTTCATCCCATGGTATTATATCTACTGCAGATACCATTATTTATTTATAGCTATTTCTGCTCAACTATCATACATTTATATATACACATACACATCAAATGATGACACTTGTCTTACTTTTTTAAGGTGCCTATCTTATGCTTTACAAATCCAGGCACAACAGAGGAATTTGCTCTGCTTGGATTATTTTGGAAGATTCCTCACCTATATAATAACTGAGCTCTGTTTATAGAATATTTAATGAGCTCTTACCACATGTGCCAGGAAACATTCTAGGTAATGATGATTCCACTTAAGAAATCTTCTTAACTTAAAAAGACAATAAAATAATTATTTAGACCGGAAACCACACTGCACTGTGAACTGAACCACTTGTCATGTATCACAGCTATACAGTATTCAAAAAGCATGCAAATGTCACTATAATGTGTATCACAGAAATGACCGTCCCTCCTCACTGGGGTGTGACATAGGTGGATCATTGAGCATCCCCATGAGGGGAACCTCTCCAGAAGGAATGAGTCCCTCCCTTGGTCCTACTTTCTGCCTCCCTTTTCCTTCCTGCCCCGTGTGTACCTCTCCTGTCCTCTTCACTTGAAACATGCCAATCTGCAGTGATTAGCCACTTCCCAAGATTAGGACTGAGCATCTGATTGCAAAGTTTTCAAGCTTTCTCTTTGCAGTTGTTCAAAGCTCATCTTGAGAATTGAGTTCCCCCAATCAACTCTGCATGCAGTTCATAGTCTCTGCATTAATGAGGCAGGTAGGCAAATGCTGGGCAGCCCCAGTGAATAACCTCAGCAAGCATGGCTGCTACAAACCTCCCACTGCAATTTTTGTGGGAGGACTGTATTTACCTGCCCTGCTTTAATGGAGGTGGGGGGGCGTGGTTAACAATTCCAAGGCTGAGTATTACCGAGAAGATCCTCTTTTATATTTCAGAGGCTCGTTATTCTTCCTATTTTAATGTCTTCCTCTGTCAAACATACCTATAGTGGTAGCATGTACCTGTTGAGTTGGTGGGGTTTCTTATTTGACTTCTTTCTTCAAGTCATAGTAGGAATGATTCTTGCTTGATATTATCAGCCCTTGAGTAGGAAGAAAGCAGGGACAAAGAAAATCTATTCTCTTTCTTTTTTCTTTGCAGCTTTAGATCATTTCCTCTACGTTTAATTGTTCTAAACTATTGCTTTCCATCTTCCTTTTCATTCTTCTTGCCTTTTCTTCCCTTTCCTATCTTTATTTATGCTTTTGTCTTTTGTTTTCTGCATTTCCCTTCCAGTCTTTCTTTATCCTGTAAGCTTTTCAGGAAGCCAGAACAGCAACTAATCAAATAATAAGGTCATGGTTAGAGAAAGGGCATGGGCAGACTTGGGCTGGACAAAATACATTCAGTCCCTATTTAAGAAATATTTATCCAGGCATGGTGGCTCACACCTGTAATCCCAGCACTTTGGGAGGCTGAAGTGGGCAGATCACCTGAGGTCAAGAGTGTGAGACCATCCTGGCCAACATGGTGAAATCCCGTCTCTACTAAAAATACAAAAATTAGCTGGGCATGGTGACATGTGCCTGTAATCCTAGCTACTCAGGAGGCTGAGGCAGGAGAATCACTTGAACCCAGGAGGTGGAGGTTGCAGTGAGCCAAGATCGTGCCACTGCACTCCAGCCTGGGCGACAGAGCAAGACTCTGTTTCCAAAAAAATAAATAAATAATAGTTTACTCATAGTGACTGGCCTAAAATAACTAGTCAGCATTAGATCACCAATAACACTCCCATTTTTGCAGATGAAGAAACAACCTCAGGAGGCTGCATTTGGCAATAATACAGACAAGAGTATTGAGAATAAACTCGGAGTTCCAGGTTTTTTCTGTTGTTAGACATGTGTCCCAATTCTTCGACTGCAAAACATTGCTATCCTAAAGTTAGATGCTTGCCAATAATAATGGATATCCCCAGCAGCATGAGAGTTCAGACATCCCGAACATTTCTGGTGAAATTTTTAGCCAGCTGTTAAAGGAAATTTTGTATGACATCTCAACCTACAAAAATGTTTTGCGTACAAACTTCTATTCAGATTTCCTGCTCAGCTAGTGTTTACATCTTCACTGTGCCATAAGAGGCGGTGAAAAGAAACAAGAAATTAAACTGCCTTCCTGTTTCAGGAAGCTGGGCCCAGACACGTCTCTATATGTAATGGCAAGAGCCTTGCCCTAAGAAAACCCCTATTTTGCCCCTGTTGAGTAATTGTGCTAGGAATTATATTTAGGACCAGCCTGGCTGAGGGCAAAATTGTGACATTGAAGGGATAATCTCCTGCTTAGTCACCAACTACTTGATTTTTATTTAGGAGGAGAATTGGGGAGACTGCAACTAAGAGAATGCTTTCAAACAAAGCAAGCCTTACTGGTTTGATGGCATCTTTCTGAAACCAGAGCTGTGTAGGGGGAGCAAGACAGACAATAACCATGAGTATATATACCACTAAGTGGGTACACTACAGTGCTGAATTTCTGTGTTCTTACAGAATTTTTTTCTTAGAGTTATCAAAATACAGCTAAATTGCTCTCACTGTGATCCACGCCTGAGAATTCCCTCCTTGTTTTGTTCTTTCTCCCTATTCTTTACATCTAGGGAATGTATGTTCCTCACATGAACAGCAAATGAAGCTACTCAATGTAAATGTATTTTAAGTGTTTGAAAGAAAAGTGCTTTCCAAATTATCATCCCATGGCCTTCACATGGCTCTTACACGACCCTAAATAAGTTACCATGTAGGATGTCCAACTACCCTGAGGCCACCATGCTGGGAGAGTGCCCAAGCCACATGGAGAGGCCACTCGTAGATAATCCAATCAGTAGTCCTGACTGGACTCAGCATTGGAGTCACACGAGCCCACCCATCCAGCATATGAGTCCAGAAGCCTCCAGAAGATTCCAGCAGCGAGCCAACCCATTCCGTCAGCCTCCACGTCTTCCCTACTGAAGCACCAGAAACCACAGAGCACAACCAAGCCCCTTCTGCCATGGCCTTTCCAAATTCCTGACCTACAGAATCCGTGGGCATAAGAAAACAGTTATTTTACACCATTAAATTCTGGAATGGTTTGTTATAAAGCAAGAATAACTGGAACCATCACCATCATCAACAAGTTTTGATTTTCTGAAACACTAAGTAATTGTACATAACACTAGGAGTAAGTACAAACACCATTCAAACACAAAATCACGTAGATTTGTATAGAGCTACACATATTCTCAAGCACGTCAGGTCTCAGGCTTCCTAGAGGGCTGCCTGAAGAGGGCAGCCGACTTGGGCTGGAGAAAATACATTCTGATAAGAGGTACTGAGAACACACTATCCCCTCTGCGGTATTCCCATCAAATAATCCTTCAGACAGTGTTTTAGTCTGATCGGGCTGTTCTAACAAAATACCATGAACTGAGTAGCTTATAAACAATAGAAATTTATTTCTCACAGTTGCAGAGGCTGGGAAGTCCAGGACCAAGGAAGACTTGATGTCCGGTGAGAGTGCACTTCCTGGCTGATAGACGACCATCTTCTTGCTGTCCTCACGTGGCAGGAGGGCTTAGGGAGCTCACCAGTGTCTCTTTTATAACAGCACTCACCTCCCAAAGGCCCCACCTCCAAATACCAGCCCATTAAGGATCAGATTTCGACATATGAATTTGGGGGGATGTAAACATTCAGTCTATAACATTTAGGGTGAACCTGTGAGAACCCAGATAGCTTCGTAAACTGGAGCACTGATGCAGGTTCCCAGAGTCCTAGAGCTGCACTTGGGCAGGTGCCAAGAACAGGAAAGTTTTTCCTTCTCTATTTATTCCTATATATTTATTCTCTGTTCATTCTCTGAATGAATATATACTATTATTACATGAAAATATTTGAATTCTTTAACGTTTTCTGAAACAAATACAATTAGTTAAAATTTTCTTGAAAATTGCTTTGGAAAAATGAATGCCTTAGAGTACAACTGTGGTGTGTCTCTTTATCTCTAAGATTACTTAAAAGTATCACTTAGACTGAACTTCACTGACTTTATTTCCTCTTTCATGTACCTGGTGGCCTGGAATTAACTCTGTTAAAATAATAATCTAAAATAATGCACACTGTCAATGGCTTTCAAATAACTTGGGTCAGCTTGTTCTTTCTTTTACTATAAACAGCCAGTAGATCTAACACTGGAAAACATTAAGACAAAAAACAGTCTGACCTATTCCAGCCTGGTCATGGCCATCTAATTTCCACTCCACTGTTTATAATGTATACACTATTCCAACATCTTGGGTATAAAGAGCTGCGTAATATATGAGCTCTATTCTGCTCCTAGCTGCTTACCCTGGTTTCATACATCTCAGAAATTACAAAATCAATGAGATAAAGTCCACCCTAGCTTCCATTCCCCCTTCTCTGCTGCATGTTTCACTTCAAGAAGCCAAAGGCATGCCTGAACCTACAGAGTGAGACCCTTTGAAGATTGGAAAGGAAGAGTCTCTTCCAACACCTTGATATCATAGTTCCCTGACCTAGCGAATGGTCCTCTTCCTACCCGTGTCTGGACCCTCTCTGCCTCTTCAGCCTTATCTCTCCCCATCCTCCCCCTTGTACCTGGGGTTCTAACCATTCTGAATGTGGGTGCCTGCAGTTCCCACCCAGGTTGAGTGTTGCCTCTGGGCCATCATCACTGCTCTTGCGGCAGTACCCATCTTCCAGCCCCACCTCCACCCTCAGCCCTTGTGTACTGGCAGGAAATAAATTACCGCAGTGCAATTCTGACGTTAAGGTACATCTTTTTGTTGCCTCTCCTTTTTTAGTTTTAAAAAAATTCAAACTTCTAGAAAAGTTGAAAAATATTATAATGAACACCCATATAGATTCACTAATGGTTATCTTGCTATGTTTGGCTTTATCTCTATTTTTCTATCTCTCTTTTTTTTTCTCCCTTTGGCTAATGATTTGAAGGGAAGTTGGGCAGAGCCATCAGGCCATTTCATCCCTATATGAGCAAGTAGCTCCTCAGAACAAGGACATTTTTATAGTACCACTTCTTGAAGGCCTTCCTGGCATCCTTTTCCTCCACATAAATGAATTCCTTACCGCTTATTTTAAAATTTCCTCTCCACATTTTTCGCATATACATCTTTATCTCAGCACTTATAACCCTTGCATGGAGTTGTTTATAAGTCTGTAACTTCTTCATCAGCTGTAAACTCCTATGGGCAGGGCTTCTTTTATTTTTCTCTGGATCATTAGTGTTTGGCATAATGCCTGGCATATGGTGTGTGTTTAACTGTTAGCTAAATGAATGGCTGAATGATGATAGCCCTCCCTTGCTTTCCCATCCCAAAACTCCAAAGCCCCTGCTCCCCTTGGCCATCTGCTATGGCTGCCTTGACAATCCATAGAGACTTCCTTTATTATTCTCCATGGCTACTATTCAAAACTCTTATCCTTCTCTTACCCTAGCCTTTTCCATTTCACTTTCAAAAGATGACCCCACCGATCTCCTTATGCATAGATATAAATTCCTCTGTCAATCTCCTTCTCCTCCATACCTGTATCTGCCCTTTCCTTCTCAACACTTTCAGGGAAAGAAATGTTCTTCTTCCTCAGCTGAGCCATACTTCCATCTGTGCTCGATCACATCCCTTCTCATGTGGTCTACAACAAACCGCCTTGAAGTCTGACCTGGACTTGAAGCTGAAGTCTAACGCTTAGCAGCTGTTACCAACCCATCTTCTTCCAGACAAAGGGAATTGTATTGTTCTAGGAAATTGTGAGGTTTTGATAACTTTTGTCAAACAACTCCTGACATCCAGTCCCTGTCCTTGTTCAGTTCCCCAGAGCACATCAAGTTCTTTCTGTCATTCCTCGCCTGTGGACACACTGTCCTCTGCCTTTCTTCTTCTCCAACTGGAGAAATTCTGTGCATCCTTCAAGACCTTGTTCAAATGGCATACTGGCTGTGAAGCATTTCTGGAGCATCACTCCCTCCTCTTGGCCA
Source organism: Homo sapiens (assembly GCF_000001405.40). Lineage (NCBI taxonomy): Eukaryota > Metazoa > Chordata > Mammalia > Primates > Hominidae > Homo > Homo sapiens. The sequence goes on from NC_000015.10 coordinate 47,670,144, forward strand.
CCCTGGCGCAAAATAGAATTAGTCAGTCCCTTCTCTATGCTCCCTTAACTTCCCATAAATACTGTTAGGAAATATTCTTTGTGTTCCATTGTGAACACCAGTTGAGGGTCTGTCCCACACACCACATTATGAATAGTAATGTGTTCTTCATGACTGTCTTACACACACAGATGCTAACTTCACCGCAGAGAACATGGTACCTTATCTGAGAAGTAATTAGCCCTTAAGAAATTTCTTAAGGAAGAGGGCATGATTTCATGATTTCATTGTGTCTGTCCTTGCCTGCTTAGTGCTGTGCCTGATCACAGAACCAAGGTCAGGAGTCTTGGCTAATGCATAGCGGGAAGCAAGCAAGACATGGGGGAGAATGCACATGGGGAAGGCATTGTCTTAATGATTTCTTCCCAGCAGTGTAGACTCTCAATGAAGCTTAGTAGGTTTTCTGTTCCTGTGATGAGCACAAGAAAAATCTTCAAGGGATTAAAGTATTTAAGGGATTAAGTTTGAGGAACAAAAGGAATTTCCAGTGCCTTTTCCCCATACAAACACTTCCACACTTATAAATCCTCTCACCTCCCTCTTTCCTGACTCCTCATTTTTAAAGGGCTGCTATTAAATTCCCAAGTCCAGTGGGAATTTTACTAGTGGATATCTGGTCTTTTCTACTACTCTGTCAATTTCTAAGCATTAGGCAATCTTTTTGTTGCAAGAAATATTATGCAGTAATGTTTTGTAGGGATTTTGGTTTCCATTTAATTACTTTCTATAAGTATATTTCCTAAACCAAGTTTATATTCTTAAGGAAAAAAAGTGATATTGTTGAGATGATAGCTTTGGATTTAGATATTTTCGTAATAGAATACAGAAAAAAATTGTGTTTTTATTCCATTTTCAAAGAAATCAGTGGTGGGTTTTTTCCTTCTAATTTAAACATTTCCCTGCAGTGTTGATAACTCAAAGCAAATCTCATTACACATAGCACATAAGAACCAGAAAATGATGCTGAATTGAGTTAGAAAAGGAAACTGAGTAGTTTCAGCTAGATATGATAGTTGTTCTAAGATTTTTTAAAATACGTACCATTTTGTTTGTCACTATGCTGGGCAACATAGGGTTTCCAAGAGAGCTGTCAAAAGTGATCCAGATCCTTAAAGGTATATACAAAATGTGGACATATTGTAAAATACAAAGTGATGCAGTCTAGTGTTTGTTCCTGTTGGCAAGTATATAAAAGGTGTAGGAAAGACCTACGAGAATCAACATAATGAGAAAGCCTAAGGGCTAGGAGGAGAAACTTAAGTAGGAAAACAGGTAGGATTCAAATTGTTAGACAAACATCAGACAAAGGAAAAGTGATGATGACCACTGGGAATAAATCAGCCTGGCTGGAGCACTGGATAATGGAACGTATTCGGGGACTACAAATGGAAAGCTTCAGTTGATAAGGAATCTGGACAATGGATTCAAGTAGTCAGTGAGCAGGAAAAAAAAAATCATGTTTTTTAATACCACAAAGGATGGATTGAAATGGGAAAAGTTTGAAGGCAGGAATAGCAGTTTGAAGGCTATCATGATATTTTAAGTTTGAAAACCTGGTGGTGGTAGCAATAAAACGGAATTGAAGAGATGTGAAAGAAGCAGCGATAAGGCTTGGAAACAAGATCAATATAAGGGCCAGCAAGAGAGAAATAATGTGAATGGCAGGGAGTAGAATAGGAAGTAAGGACATTCTGCTTTGTGGATGTGTGTGGGTGAGGATGTTTGTAAAAATAACAAATACTACTATTTATTGAGCATTTACAGCATGCCAAATAGTCTGCTAATAATATTACAAACATTTTATATTGTGAGCATTGTGTACCAAACATTGTTCTAAAACCATTACCTCTATGAACTCATGGAAGACTGCTAACATCCCTCTATGATATTATTATCACATATAATTCTTATAATATCCCTTTGTGATATATTTATCTCCATTTTACACATGGGGGATCCAAGACACAGAGATGTAAGCGACTTGCCAGAGGTCTCACGCAGAGCCAGTATTCAAAACCAGGAAGCCTGGCCTCAGAGCCTGAACTCATACCACTGTGCTTTCCTGCTAAGCATTTTGTGTCTGACGTTGTCATACCACTGCAAAACCCAACCACAGTGAGAAATGGCTTTCCTGATCATCCCCATTTTCCCTATCGGAAACAGATTCATAGAAAGTGAGGTATTTGCCGGAATATCTAATCTTCTGTTGACTACAGACCACAAAAGCTTATAAGAGAAGAAAAAGCCGAAGTTATACATAAAAGTCAATCACATGGTAACTTAAACTCTAAATAGTGCAAATAGGAAGGTAGGGTTATATCCTCAATTTTAAGAAAAATATTATATATGCCAATAGTATTTTAATTAACTTGAAATAATTATATTACTGGTGTAATTTATTCTGTCACCAGGTTGTATTAAAATTTTTATCAGCAATCTTGAGTATGTGTATTGATGATATCAATAAAAACATTTGGACTAGGCTTTCTTTTCCTAATTGCATTCAGCTTCTCTTTCTGGTTCAATAATGGTAATTATATAGCATCAATATGAAAATTTCACTCAACTTGAGGTGTTCTTTTTTATTTTTCTAGTCCAGGCAATGTATTAATAATTAGCATAATAATTCAGTGTAACATAATATAACCTAATAATATTTAATCATATTAATAATGTAAGTGGCAAAACTTAAATGATATTTGGAAATGTTCCTAAAATTTTTACAAATTGGTTGGGTTACCCAAAAGGCAAGGAATTTTTTCAAATGGGATTTTTATTGCGAGCCAACCCCTATAGCTTCTGGTGCCTACGGCAGAAAGATCCTTCATTTCCCTAGTTGCTGTCTAAAACACAGGAGGACCATTTTCGTGGGTTTCATCAGGTCATGAATGACATATGCCCCTAGCTTGGTGACTCTTTTCTCACCCCGAGAAAATCCCCCAAAGGCCAGCTATCCACTTGAGCCACGTCCCTACAATTACTCCTTGCAAAGGGAAAAAAGAACTAAATTATTTGCAAGAGTAAAATCTGTACCCAATCATAAGAAGCCTGAGGCTAAAAATCTGTTGTACACTTTTCTTCTTTCTGAAATAATATTAAGCTCAGGCATATATAATTATACAGGAACCACCAGGCTGTGAAGGATGAGAAAATATAACACAATTATCTCTTCACAAACCTCAGCTGAAATCTGACAGAATCAACATGAGCTGAAACACTCCTCCCCCTCCTCCTTCCCTTCTCCAACTTAACCCCTGCCTTCAAATGGCTGTCTCCCAGAATCCACGTCTGGGAATGCTGCCTACATGCTGCCTATCACAGAATGACCGGGCAGGTCCAGAAAACATTCAGTGGAAGATGTCACATTCCATCCAGGGATAAGGTTTGCAGGGGAACCTCGTTTTGATGCAGTGGGAACACTGTAAGCTTCATAATCAGCTGAAAAACAACCCAGTCTATGGGGCAAGACCAGCCCTGCTCAGGAACTTGCAGCAGGAAGGAAAAGGAGGGAGCTGTCACGTGGGGGGAGAATTAGCCTCAGAATAACTGGAAGACAGATTACGGAGAGAGACCAGGGAATTAAGTTTGCAAACTAGCCTGATGCCTGCAGAAGTGCCCTCCTACCCCCAGGATAGCTTACAGGCATATCACTGTAGAAAGGCCTCTGCAGGAGGAGTAATGCTACGCTTCCATTCCTTAGGCTATGTCCTCAGGCTGTGCCCTCTGTGCAGTGCTTTCTCAAGCTAGTATTTCTATGTCTTGACACCTCTGCTTCTTATGTCATTGTCTCCTATCTGATTCAATCTTTGCATCCATTCCTTTTGGCGGGTTTGTCTCATGTTGTCCCCGGACACTCTCTTTCTATCTCTCTTCACACTGCAGCCCATGGGACAGCCGTGTCTCAACACAAAACCAGCACTGGCTCCTGGGACCCCATCTCAGATCAAGTGCCCCAGACCCCCTTGGGTCTGAGCCCAATTAAAATGAAATAGGGAGAATATGCTGTTGGCAACAGAATATTTCCAAATAAGAACTGAGTGTCTATTTCAGAAATCAGTTTTAGGGTAATTTTCACATCTGAAATGTCAAGCCTGGCTTTCTTTCACAGAAAGGTGAGTGTCGAGGAAGGTTGGAAGGAAAGACGTAGCTTGTGGGAAAAGCGACTGATTCCTCAGACACCATTATTGTCATCAGAAGTCACTGGGGCCATTTTAAACCCTTGTAATTCAACCTGACTAAAGCATGGTCTTTGAGAAAGCTTGATCCATGTCGAAAACATTGTCAATAAACTATTCTTTGATTAAGAGGATAACTTGAAATTTCCACCCACAGGGTCACATTTGCCTCCTTTAGTGACATTCTGACTGCCTCTGCTTTCTCTTATTCTATGTGCAGCCACTGTGCTTGGAAGGGTGAGGGTTCTGCGTATCACCACTCAGGATCACTCATTAGACCTTGCCTTTTAAACCGAAAGGCTAAATTACATCTTCAGAAGCAGTGCTGTGTAGCCAAAAGCAAGCTTAGGGGAAAGGGCTGGCAGCTGGAGGAGGATGGCGCTTTTGTAGTCTCAGAAAGAATTGTGTACATGAGGATTAAGGTGCAGCTAATTATAGGAGCAGACTATGGAACTGACACCATTTTGCAGCTGCCCCTTTATTGAGGATTCACTGCGCATCCGAATCCCTTCCCCAGCAGAAGTGGGAATTCCTGTTAGTTGAGGGGTTAGCCAATAATTAGCACCTGCCAAATTCTAGGTCTCTTAGAAGACCTCCTGGCTCAGTGATCTAAGTGAAAACGAATGGTGAGCCTCCGCATGAGCAAATAAAACAGGCTAAGTTACATAACAGCATATCAGCAATGTAAGCCACAGAGGTGTTCGATCCAGGAGTGACCTTGGTGTCATAAAGCCACACAAAAATGTTTCTGAGGTTATTGGCTGTTTGGCATTATCAACACTATTATTTTCTAGTTGGCATACATAATTTAGGATGATTTAACTCTCCAACTTTCTGATTCTTTTCCTTGGCCCTTGTGATGGGTGAAATTGTGTCTCCCTTGAATTTGTATGTTGAAGCCCTAATCCCTAGGACCTCAGAATGTGACCATATTTGGAGAGAGAGCCTTTAAAGAGATAATTAAGTTAAAATGAGGCAATTAGGGTGGGCCCTCATTCAGTCAGACTGGAGTCCTCGCAAGAAGAGGAAACTTGGACACACAGAGAGACCAGAAGGGCACACACCGAGGAAAGGCCCTGTGAGGGGCACAGCAGGAAAGTAGTCATCTGCAAGACAAGGAGAGGGACCTCAGGGAAAACTAGCCTGCTGACACCTTGATGTGGGACTTCCAGCCTCCAGAACTGTAAGAAAATACCCAATCTGTGGTATTTTGCTATGGTAGACTTGGCACACTAATGTACTCCCCTCCCTAAGAGGCATTGATATCAATTAGTATTGTGTTTTTCTTTATATAAGAAAAAAATCAGAATAAATGACAGCTTGCAGAAAACCAGCATTTATTTTGTATGGCAATTCCATGATCATCAGAGCTCAACTTCCTTCTGTCTTTCTGTTTCACCATCCTGGCACTGGCTTCTGTGGTGGTTCTGGGCTTATTTGCCCTCAGAGGCATCCCTACCCCTTTCCCTGATGTGCCCTGTACTGCAGGGAAGCTGGCCCCTGTAGCTTGTATTGCTCTGGTTCTTGAGATTATTGGCTTCCTGCTGAGTTTTGCCAGTGGGAGGCATTGGCCAGAGTTTGATGGAATGGGGAGGGGGGAGGGGGGAGAAGCCTTTCTGCCTTGGGCTGCCCCTGGCAGTGGCTGTGTCTATTTGGGGCTCTGGCTCCTACAGGCTAGGCCCACTGTGTTTCAGCTTCTGTTGGGTGACTCTGCAGTCGGCTCCAGCAAGACACTCTCTCTCCTTTGCCTACCCGCGGCATTGGTAGTGGCTAATCTCTTGCTAATCTCTAGGTTTTCTCACCATTTTGTTTGGCTTCTCAGCTCTTCCAGGATCTGTGTAACCACTTCCCCCCTTTAAATTCAATCAACATTAAATGTGAAGTATGATTTTGCTTTCCTGGTTAGACCCTGCCTGATGCAACTTCTATACTGGAGATCACCTCATTATCCAAGCTAGCTGCTAAAACTGCACCCATCATGTCTAGTTCTAGGACATAGGACAGAAGGAGAGAGAAAGTAAAGTAGAATGAAAAGGTCTTGCTTCTTGGCTAACTCAGCTCCTTTAAGCAATCTTTTGGAAAAATCGCACACATTTCTGCTTATACCTCATTGGTCAACAATTAGTGCCATGACTACCCCTAGAAGCAAAGGAGGCAAGTTTTCCATATAAGCAAAAGATGGGAAGTTACAATTTCTGCAATTTTACGAATTCTGACATTAAATTGTTCCTCCAGTCAAACTGAGATTAATGGCTCTCACTTGCAGCAATTGAGGTACCCTGCTAATCCCAAATAGTTTACTCAGCAAGAAATAGTGTGAACCCGAGAGCCAATGCAGGCTAGGGTACTGTTCAAGTTACCTATTGCTGCAAAACAAACCACCCCAACACATAGATCTTGAAACAGATATTCATTATCTCTCATGGTTCTGTGGGTAGGCTGGACTCAGAGAGTTCTCTCCTGAATATTTCATGGGGTCATAGATGGTGGTTGGGGCTTCAGTCTACGAAAGCAGCAGTCTCCAACCTTTTTGGCACCAGGAACCAGTTTTGAGGAAGACAGTTTTTTCATGTGGGGTGGGTGGGTGGTTCCGGGATGAAACTGTTCCACCTCAGATCATCAGGCATTAGATTCTCATAAGGAGAGTACAACCTAGATCCCTTGGAGGCACAGTTCACAATAGGGTTTGCACTCCTCTAAGAATCTAATGCTGCTGTTCTGACAGGAGGCAGAGCTCAGGTGATAATGCTCGCTCACCCACCACTCACCTCCTCCTGTGTGGCCAGGTTCCTAACAGGCTACAGACTGGTACCAGTCTGCGACCTGGAGGTTGGGGACCCCTGTTGTAAAGGTTGAGCTGAGATGGATGTCCAAGAAAGCTTCACTTCTTGACTAACAGTAGGTGCTGGTTATAGGCTGGGAGCTCAGCTGGGGCTGTTGATTGTATTGCCTGTATATGGCCTCTCCATGTGGCTAGAGTTTCCCATAGCACTGGGGCTGGGTTCCAAGAGGCATCCCAAGAGACCCAGGGAGAAGCTGCTAAGATCCCTCATGACCTAGCCTTTCAATTTTCCAGTGTCACTTTTGCCACATTCTATTAGTCAAGCAGATTCAAGGAGAGAAGAATTAGCCTCCATCTCTTAATGGAAGAGTGGCAAAAAGCACATTACAGAGAAGCATGTGGAATGGGAGACAGTGTTACAAATATCTTTGAAAAAGGCAGTTTGCCATAGTTACTGCTTATCAAGAGATCTGAAGTCCATTCCTGTTTGACCTTGGTTTAGATGCTTTCCCTCTCTGAGCGCCAGGATCTCCTATTGTTAAATGATGGAATTGAATGAGATACTTTTTACAGTCATTCACATTTAAAAATTTAGTGTTTGGCTCATTGTGAACACCAGTATCTGTATCTACCTAGCCATAGGTCTTGAAAACCATAAAGTCATATGAAAGGAAAAGCTTAAATTGCTAGCAATTCTCATGATGTCGCTTTTAGACAGAGAATGTAAGAAATTAGATGATTAAAGACTTTTCACAAAAGCACACCCATGTTTGAAAGTTGTAGAGCAGCAAAAAAGCATTATAATTCAACTAAATTAAAAACCTCAATAGAAAAAAAGGGAGTGTGAAAATGGGAAGTATCCTTTCTCAACAAGAACCACCCTGTGAACATTAATTTTCTCCTGCAAATCTCAGAGCATTTGACACATTCACTAGCCTAAGGTTTTACTATTTTCTTTTTATTGGAGAGGCACCACTGGCAGAGAGAACATAATTTTATCATAGAAAATTAGAGTTGAAGGGGACCTCAAGGTCATCTCATCCAATGCAGTGACTCTGGGCAGAAGAGTACAAATTATATACACCCACTGAGATAGTCATCTAGAGATTAAATTATTTCCCCAGCATCAAACAATGAGTCAGCAGCTGAGCTGTGGCAAAAAGGTAAAGTTCTCGACTTTTCAGCCACAGACAAGCAGAAGTCCCCAGTCATTGAGAGTCAAAAAATGCTTTATGGTTTCCAAGTGTTTTCATAGCTTCCCTCCCTCCCATCCTTCCTTTCTTTCACAATATTTTGTTATGGATATATTATATATCAGAAAATGCTGTCCAGGTTATTTTGTTTGATCCTTACATCAACACTATGATACTTCTAAATACTATTCTTTGCATTTCACAGCTGAGGAAAATGGAACCCATTCGAGTTGAGAGACTTCCCAAAGGGCACATAGCTAGTAAGCAGCAAAGTGCCATGGATGGGAGTGGCAAAGTACTGATTTCTTATCCTAACCTTTTTTTTTTTTAAGCACATTTTCTATTCCCCTTTAGCCATAATATTTGTTCTAATGGCTAAGATTTATTTAGTCCTTTCTATGTGTTGGGCTCTGTGTGAGGCACTTTATTTATAATATTTTATATGTATGTATTTGTGTTATTTAATATTTATATATTGTATTTGTATCATATTTTATTTGATCTTCACATAGTGTTATTGTGCAGTGTTTTGCTATTTTGGCCCCATTTCCAGATGGATAAACTGAGGTAGAGAGAGGCTAAATTAAGATGTTAAAATGGGAATGAAAGCCAGGATGTCTGACTCCAAATGTCAGCTATTCATAAGATATTTTCTGTCCTTACGAATGCTGGTCCTCTGAGAAGGTGACATTTCATACTTACATTTAGACTCTTCAAAATTTGATATTAAAATATGTCCGATGTTATACACTGTGTATTCATGCACATAGAATTGATTAATATTTGCTGCTGCTGCAAATAAGTGCCTAGACTAACTTTTATACTACAGATATGTATTTTGTTTTACTATAAATTCAGTTGACATGAGATTAAAACATTGGATTGAGAATCAGAAGACCCAGACCTGGGACTGAGCTCTGCCGCTTAGAGCTGTTTGACTGTGAGGGAGTTAATTGCCCTCTTTGGTCAATTAGGCAATTGCCTTATGTATAAAATAAAAGGATTGGACTAAGTAGTGATAATTACTCTGAAATCCAACAACATGATATAGTTTTCCATACATATTTTCTGGCTGAGAAATAAAAAAAAGTACTTCTTTGGCCTTGGTTCTTTTATTCTTCCAAGTGGATCTCTTCCATTTTCACCAGGAGAAAAGAAAATGCCTGGTTTCCCAGGAGCTTCACTCTGGCCCCTCGGCAGCCCTGGATCCCTTGTCCTGCTGATTTTTAGCCTTGCAGAGAGGCAATACCCTTTTTTTGTTTGTTTTTGTTTTGTTTTGTTTTTTGCTTTACAATTTCACTGTTCCCCAAAGTGCTTCACAGTGTGTATTTTATTTTTTAACTTGATAAAAATTGAAATAAATTTCTCCATGGGAAATTTTGCAGTGTTGAGACATCTGAAGGAAAAATAAGCACAATGCCCATCAGTAATGTGGCTGTAACGTTCTGCAGATATGAAAGCATTTTTGCAATCTTTGGCTGTTTGGTCCCCATGCCAATCCTGGTTTTCATAGAAGGGAAAACTGGAGATCCAGTTGCTTTAGGTGATTTGCCTGAGTGGCCACCCAGATTGTCTCATGTCTCCAAGCTATTAAATGACAAAAGTGGGCCTCAAAGCACCACAGAATTTGGATTTCCATGCTAAGGGTTAAGGGTCTGAGAATCACCAGATATTCCCTTTCATAGAATTGCCCCACTTACCTGCATGAGGACCCCAAGAAGCCCCATTACAAAGTGGCTCCCACATAAATCTGATTAGAGTGTAAATAGGCCCCTGTGCTGTCCAGGGTAAGATTAGGGAAACCAGTTTACTCTTATCAGGACAAAATGACAAAAATTTTCCTTTGTTGCCCTTTTCATCACCTGCCCGTAGCAGCTCCTAGCATATCACATGTTCATAATCTTCATATTATTCTTCCTACTGTTTTTTATAATTCAGAGGCCCTCACCGAAATCCATCCCCATATCCCACAGCCTGTCTTCCTAGATATACTTTATGCTTAACTGGCTTGATACACTTTCCTCACCAGATTTCTCATCTTTGGGGTCACTTCGTTTATGAATCCTGCTCTGAGCCAAATAACAGGATGGAAACTTGATTAATGAATTTATTATTATACAAGAACATAGGTACTAACTGGTTAGCATATTGCCCTTTCCTGGTGATACACATGCATTGAAAAGACTTTTTACCCTTACCCCTCAAAAAATGAGGTTGATGACACAAATGTGGAGACATGGACACATCAGAAAATCAGGTCATTATTGACAACATAGAGCTTTGCCTATTGCTCAAATGACTCAATCTAAACAATTACTAGATGGTGTAATACAAAAAATATATGTGTAAACCATATATCTGAAAAGGGGTTAGTATCCAAAATATATAAGGAACTTATACAACTCAATAGCAAAAAATAAATAACCTGTTTTTAAAATGGGCAAAGGACTTGAATAGACATTTCACCAAAGAAGACATACAAATGACCAACAGGTCTATAGAAAGATTCTCAACATCACTAATAATTGGGGAAATGCTAACCAAAATCACAATGAGGTATCACCTCACATATTAGGACAGCCATTATCAAAACAACAGAAAATAACAAGTATTTAGAGGATTTAGGGAAATTGAAACTCGTCTGAACTGTTGGGAATGTAAAATGTTGTTGCCGCTATGGAAAACAGTATAGAGATTCCTCAACAAACTAAAACTAGAACTACTATATGATCCAACAATCCCACTTCTGGGTATTTATGCAAAGGAATTGAAATCGGTATGTCAAAGAGATATTTGCACTCCAATGTCCACTGCAGCATTAGTCACAATAGCCAAGATATAGAAACACTGTAAATGCATATGAAAATATGAATAGATGGATTTATGAATGGGCAGAGAAAATAGTATGTACATACATTGAGATATTATTCAGCCTACAAGGAAGGAGATCCTGTCATATCCTGCCATATGGATGAACCTTGAGAAGATTAAGCTACGTGAAATAAGCCAGTCACAGAAGGACAAATACTGTATGATTCCATTTATCTGAGGTATCTAAAGTAGCCAAACGCATAGAAGCAGAAAGTAGAATGGTGGTTTCCAGGGACTGGGAGGAGGAGAAAATGGAGAGTTGCTGTTTAATGAGTAAAGAGTCTCAGTGATGCAAGATGAAAAATTTCTAGAGCTGTACTGTACAACATTGTACTTAGAGATAGCAATACTGTACTATACACTTTAACATGTTAAGAGGATAGATCTCATGTGCTATTTAGCAAAATAAAAAAATAGAATGAATGAATAAATGGATAAATGAATGTCTGCTTCAGACCAACCTTTATTAGTCAATCACTATATGACATTGGACATAATAATTAACCTCTCCAGTCCTCAAATAGCAATATCTTCTTTACAGTGGTGATATGAGGTTGAATTGAAATGATGATTAATTGTAAAACATTGTGAAATAAAAAGTAGATGTATTGTTGTTATCGTAAATTGTATAACTGCTTCTCCATCTGAAGAAGAGATCATCATGGGGATATAGCTGATGTTGGCAAAATTTCTCAAGTGTAATCAGTAATAAAAATATTTGATCATAAAAATTACTCTTTAAAAAAAAGCTTTTAGGTTCAATGGTCTAGTTGTTTCAAATAATATTCAATTTTTATAAAAGCCAAGTTTTAGCTCCATAACATTAATCTTCCAAAATGTCACTGAGTAAGGCAGGATTTAGGGGATGTATGTAAACCCCTAAAGGGTATATTTAGCCCGAGATCTTTTCTCAACGAGTTACTATGTGAGGAGACAATGGTGCACAGCCTGATCCAAACAGTGCCACTTTTTTTTTTTTTTTGATACGGAGTGTCACTCTTTCACCCATGCTGGACTGCAGTGGCGCTATCTCGGCTCACTGCAAGCTCCGCCTCCCGGGTTCATGCCATTCTGCTGCCTCAGCCTCCCGAGTAGCTGGGACTACAGGTGCCCGCCACCGCGCCTGGCTAATTTTTTGTATTTGTAGTAGAGACGGGGTTTCACCATGTTAGCCAGGGTGGTGTCGATCTCCTGACCTCATGATCCGCCCCCCTCGGCCTCCCAAAATGCTGGGATTACAGGCGTGAGCCACCGCACACAGCCAACAGTGCCACTTTTGTGTCAGTTATCTTTGCAATGGTCATATCATTCTGATGTATATCTTCAAATCACAACTGAAAATATGTAAAGAATTGGTAACCTCAGTGACCAGCTTCCCTCTTTATTAGCCCATTTACAGGGCTTGGTTTACCCACCCTGCACACCAAATCTTGGATGCTTCTTTTCCAGGATGGCTTTGCCATCTACCAAATGAGTAAAAGACCAATTAAACTACTGCAAATCATTCGGTACCATTGCTCTAAGAATAGCACAACTCTGCCAAGTAATAATATTCTAGTTAAACTGACTACTCATTTTTTTGAAATGAGTTCATTTGCCCGCAGTACGTAAAACCCTCCTCACAAATGTCCACTGGTAGAGATGAAGATAGAAACCCTGGATACCACACAAACACCATTTGAGAGAAGAGGGACAGATTTCCCCAGCAAAAGTGCATGCTCATCACTGATGCTAAGCACATAAGTGCTGTTGATTGGTTGCCTGAATACAGTGAGCACGTTCAGGTTTAATTCTCATGGCTGCATTGAGACTCTAAAGAGCAGACCATGAGTAGAAATGATTAGTCTGTGCACATATTTTTTATATTTTTTATAGATTTGGGGGTACATATGAAGGTTTGCTACATAGATAAATTGCATAATTGTGAGGTTTGGGCTTAGAGTGTACCCATCACTTGAAGAGCGAACATTATACCCAAATGGTAATTTTTCAGTCCTCACCTCTCACCTACCCTTCCCCTCTTGGAGCCACCAGTGTCCATTATTTCCTCGGTATGTCCATGTGTACCCATTGCTTAGCTCCCACTTCCATTTGAGAGCATGCAGTATTTGATTTTCTGTTTCTGAGTTATTTCATTTAGAATAATGGCCTCCAGCTCCATCAGTGTTGCTGCAAAGGACAGGATTTCATTCTTTTTTATGTCTGCACATATTTTTATGTCAAGATTTCCACCGAAAAGCGCTAATGTCCAAGTTCTGGAGATAGAAAAGCTAGTAGTTTATGAAAAATCTCAACATCCTTAAATTTGCATCATATTATAAACTCTGTACATGGAAAACTCAGTGCTTTTATGTTTTGTATCTACTGTTTTAACTGAATGTGATATATTTGGTTATATATCTTGTCTGCATTTTTTTAGAAAAAAAATCAACCTTGCACATTTTACTTAATTTGTATTGATATTTACCCTGTTTTCACAAGCAGACATCATATATAACACACACAAACGAGTTATTTAAGTATTACTAGTATTGGTATGGCTTTACCAGCACATGAATGATTCCTATTCCCTGGGAGTCCAGGCATTGAGGCCATGGCTGAGTGAAATATTGACTGCACAATGGGAAGACATTGTGTCTTCACTGAGTTCAGGCCTTATAATGTATAACTAGTGTTACCTTTTTCTATCAACATACGTTTAGTGACCCTCCTCAAGTTTAATACCTAGTGATAGCAAAATCCAACAGCTGCTGAAGATAGATAATAAAGAGGCAGGATTCTTTAAAGGATGGATTATGTTTTGTATCAATTGATATGGAGTCATCTTCAAGATGGCAGACTCAAAGGTCTTCACGTCTAAGCAGATTTGGCAGAAAGAACAGCATTATAAGCCCCATTTGCCTCTCCCTGAAAGATGCTGATGGCTTCCTAAGGCTACATCAAACACTGCCTACACTAAAATGGGTGTTCGTGTTTGCATTATCTTCATGTGGATTATGCAGTTTTATGGAATATGCCCCAGTCTGCTTAATGATTACAATAATAAAAAAAATTAACGACAATTATAAAAAAATTAACAACAATAATAGCACCTACTAACATTCATTAAGTACTTAGTACATGCTTGATACTGTCTTTAAAACTGGAAAATTATACCTATATATTAATTATATATAATCAAGATATATATATTCTTCAAGATTATATTTAGTTATCGCTGTATCAGATATCCTCATTTTATCTTTTAAAAAGGTTGAGATAGGAACTATACTCATTTTACAATTCATATTAAAGCACAGAGACATGATATAGAATGTAAGCTCCATAATAGCAGGAAAGTATGAGTATTTAGTTCACTGTTGTGTTTCCTGGAGTTTATAATAATGCCCAGTACATACCAGGAGCTCAATGACATTTGCTGAATAAATGAATGAATGAACATAGGTTACTCTAAGGTTACTATGCTAGCAGTTGCCCTATAATAATTTCAAGTTAAATACTTAGAAAATTGTAAGAACTTTTAAAATGGTAATTCCCTTTTTTAAAAATGTGTGTGAATTGGAAGATTTATCACAATTAGCATGAGTTTCAATTATTCAATCTTTATTAATTTTGATAGAAAAAAATGAAAGGTACTCCATTCATTCATTCATGAACTGATTTGGAAATATTCACTGGCTGTATTCTATACGCCAGGCTCAATGCCAAATACCAGAGACCTGGGGAAACTTACCGTGGAAACCAAGGCAGGGAACATAAATGATAAAGTGAAGTAATAATTATATCACAAAAGAGGAAGGAAGAGAAGGAAGAGGAGGAAAGAGTGGACTAAATTTCAACCTTAAATATAGTATTGAAAAACTCAGAACATATTCTAGTCCTCTTCAAATGTTTCCACCGAAGAATCCCTAAGAGCAGATGAGATCAAACCTGTCTTTCCAAGCGGTCTGTTTCTCTTGAAGAGCCCATTGTGAGCATTAAGTATCTTTGAAGAGTCATATTTTATCCTAAAATTCATTAAACTTTTGTGCAATACCATCCAATAGGTTTTCCCAGAATCCCTAGAAAACAGTGCCTGAGGCAAATGCTTTCACACTGACACTTTGCTGAGTAGCACAATCCCAGAGAGGCAGGAGGGAGAGAGAAGGGGGATGAGGCAGATTAGGTGGAATGCAGATATAAGGGACATCACCAAGTTAGCCTTCCCTTTCTAGCAAACAGAGTTGATGGCCTGGTCTGCTGGATGTCTTTTCAAAGGCCATGTGGAGACTCTGTCATTGAAGGGGTGAGGAAGGAGATGGGAGGGAATTTGTGCACTGGGTCCATTTCATATTTATCAAACTTTGCCCAGTGAGGAGTTAACACTTCTGCATTCTGGGTTAGGGCCACATGACCCCCTTCAAGACACCACAGAGCAAGCCACATCACCCATAGGGCAGGGACTTCTTTGAGTCTAGAATGGTAGGAGCATCCTGAGACCCCTAGTGGGAGTCTCAAACCAACACAGCTATGGTAGAACATGTGAACAAGGATCCTGGAGACAGGTTGAATCCCGGGTATCTAGAGCTAACCATATGAGGAATCTAATACAACCTGTGAGCAAGATTGACCCCAGAAACTTGTGCCATGTTCTTGTTATGGCTTTGTATCGCCTCTAGACTCAATACCCCTGGGAGAACTCAAAACCAGAGGGAAACATTGCCTGATTAAAAGATGCATATCTGAGATTTAAAATAGGGAATGGATGTGATTTCTGACACAGAGAGCCCACTGGAGAGCAGGTGGGTGTGGATTTGCAGAGAGGAATAGAAATTAAAACATTGCAGACATTCAGCTACTATCAGGTGGGGAAAAAAATGAGTAGTACTCTCAGCTACTATCCAGGTGGAAAAAAATGGATGATGCATTCCTGTGCAGTGGCAACATATATTAAGAGGACTTCAAGTCATTTATTTACTTATACTCTACCTGTTCCCAGTAAGATGTCATATTATAGAATCATTTGCAATGGTTCACAAGTAAAATAAGAACTAAGTCATGAATTAAGGCAAAAAGAAAAAAAAAACTTTAAATATTTAGATGTCTCAGAAGAATTACTTAACTAAGTTCTAACCCTCTGAAACTTTCTTTAAGTGCTACCGTGACAGTTTCAGTCCTACACGTGAAGACTTACCTATCTAACCAACTTCAATTTTGACGAACTTCAAAAAATGTTCAAAGGAAAAATATATATGATTACATGGTATGACCTTCTGCAAGAAAAGCCATCTCAAAGAGATTTAGAAAATTCTCCATCATCGTGCAAATGCACAGTACCTAAGTTGCTAACATTATGGATAAACAAAAGATAGCACACAAATTTACTCTTACCAAACTTGGTGAGACCCTCAGGATAGTTCCAGTATCATTTTCTCCTTCTTCCTGGTCACCCACCCTCTCGGGCCCTCCAACACTCCAATCATGCATATTTCTTAGCACATGATCTCATCAGCACTTCAACATGTGTGTCAAATTCCTTGAATGAACACGCAAAAGATAGAATTATCAAAATTGTAGATGAGTTAAAATTGTAGATAACTTAAGCCAGGCATGTGGCTCACACCTGTAGTCCCAGCACTTTGGGGGACTGAGGAGGAAGGATCACTTGAGGATGGGAGTTCAAGACCAGTCTGGGCAACATAGCAAGACCCCATCTCTATAAAAAATGAAAAAATCATCTAAGAGGGATGGCTTGTACCTGTAGTCCTAGCTACTCAGGAGGCTGAGGCAGGAAGATCGCTTGAGCCCAGGATTTTGAGGCTGTAGGGAGCTATGATTGTACCACTGTATTTCAGCCTAGGTGACACAGCAAGACCCTGTATCCAAAAAAAAAAAAAAAAAGAAGTACTATTAATTATGACATACAGAATTCCCAAAAAGAACATGGAAAACTTCGACTAAATCTAGAAATATGAAGGTTTTGTAGAGATAAAATGAAAGCTCCTGGACTTTCTTCTTGCCATGAATAATTTTGAGCCTCTGTGATATGCCTGCCACTGTACCAGGCACTATGGATACAGTGGTGGGCAAGACAGATGCTTCCGTGCCCTTGAAGCACTTAGAATGCAACAGGGAAGGCAGATCTTTAAGCCAGCAAAATTAAAATGTGTGGCCAAGTGTTATGATAGTAGAAATAGTGTTGGGGTCCCTAACTTATCTGGGTGATGTCTTCCATGCCCCAAGAAGCAACGTTTAGGCTGGAATCTAAAAAAAAGAAAGAGAGAAGATTTGGAATTAGCTAAGTGAAGCAGAGAAATAGATATTCAAGGAGGTGGAAAACGTAGCAAAATCAAGATCATGAAAGGCCCCCTTAAGCCATATTAAACGATTAGATCTTATTATAAAAGCAACGGAAGCCCACTGAGCAGTTCAAGCGGGAAAGTAACATGATCAAATATGAGCTCTAGAAGTATCAATCTGGAAGCATGTGGAGAATAAGCATGTTCAGAAGGGATCCCGGCAACAGAGGCTGACAGCCAGCAGCAGAGAGAAAAGTAGCAGAGAGAGATTTGTGGAGTAGAAGCAACCAGATGTGGTAAGTTTTTGGATTTGAGATGTGAAGGATGGGGAAGACATCGATGATACTTATATTGAGATTTCTGACCATCATTATAGGATGGTACTGTTTAGGGAGATGAAAATATTGGAGGAACAGCAGTTTAAAAAGAGAAAATAAGGGCTAAAATTTAGGACATGTAGAATTTTGATAGCTCATGTTCCTGTGCGCTATCCAACTACAGATGACCAAGATACAGTTGAACATAAGAACCTGGAGCTCACAAATGAGGTCCAAACTAACTTAATGAGGTACATATTTGAGAATCAACATATATGTAGTAACTAAAACCATGGGAATAAATGAGACAAGAGAATTAGATATAAAATATTAGAAATGAGTTTGAATTTACACTAAGTTCATAGAGTCCACAGTGTGACAGTGTGATGATAGTATGTGTTAACCCAGAATGTATTTGGCTCTAAAATAAGATAGGGATAGTTGTATTCTCCTTGAAGCTGATCAGGTCATGCTGAGCATCATACTGACTATTGGGTGCCATACTAGAAGCAGCTTCAGAAGGGAGTCCTGGTGATGAGAAGGCTGAAAACCGAGATAAAACCTAAAAAATATTGAATAAAGCATGAATGTTCAATCTAAATACAAGAAAATTCTTCAAATATTAAAAGGACAATCATAATAGAAGCTGGAATAAAATTATTATGTCTTCATTCATTCAACAATTATTATTGAAGGCATTGTCATGGGAGTATTTAAGCATAGGCTGGGGAAGAGCTGTTAAGGGTTTTATAGAGTATGAAAAGATCAGATAAATGAGTAGGTTAACAAACCTTTAAGGTATTTTCCAACCTTGAGACTCTGATTCGCATTGACTAGAGATGGGAGGGACATTGATGAGGCAACATAATTTCAGCAGACTACTTGGAAGAGGACTTATTTTCAAGTTTTGAGTCTACCGTTTCATAATGTAACCTGGCAACTTCACCAAACTGTACTTCAGTTTCTTCACTGAAAGATGAGGGATTGACGAAATCTTTGGTAAGGTCCCTAATGAGAGTTTCTACACACATTACCAATATATCTCAGTTATGTAAATTTTTCACAAGCATATTTTGGTTGGATGAAAGGACTGTTTAAAAAATGAGGGCTTTCAGGGAGGCAAAGGAAATGACTCATGGGCCATCGTGCAAGTTGGCAAAGACAGTGTAAACCAATTTTGAATCATGGATAAACAATTTTGAATCATTACAAATATAATGGATTTAATATTCCTCAAAGATCCACCCAGGAAAAGGAGGGTCTGGGAGGCAGTGGCAGAAATATGGATCATACAGTAATGCCCTTCCCATACCTGGAAACAGATATGAGCTTAGACTTTACATGGCATAATTTATCAGTAATATCTGTTCACATTCACCATGCTCAACAATACACTCATATTCAGATTCTTAAAATATATCCTTCTTGTTTCAGTCACCCCTTTGAATTTCATTTTTATATGGATAACTGGAATATCTCTAGGTTTGATAACCTGTTCAGAAAATGCTGAAATCCTAGAAGATGCTATAAGAAGGCAGTCTTGGACAGCATGTAACTGAATTCAGTAGTAAAAGCTGATTGGCTCTTTCATAAATAAACACATATAAAATTACACCAATGAGATGGCAATATCCAGATAACTTTGTCATGCTTAGCCAATTGGCTATATCTTAGAATAGGAATCCTGGGCTTATAAATCAGCTTCTAGCTCAGTGAGATGATAGGAAAAAAGAAAATAAGCAGACCTCTGCATTGCTTTCTTCAGGTCTTGCCTTGGACACTGGGTAAAATGAGGAAGGGCCTCTACTTCCTTCAGAGCCTTTAACAAAGAGCCCCAGACAACCTAAAGGCTCTAACAAGGAGAGAGACTGGTCTTTAGGAATCCTAATTTTCTCTGGCCCTGCCACCACCTTCAGATGCCCTGCCAACACACTGAGAGATGAGGACTTCCTGTTTCAGAGCAAAGTTCTTACTCCATTCCCTCCCCTTCTTCTGGGCATGTCTCTCCGCAGAGGACTGACTTCCATGACAGTCTGATGAAATGAGCTTGCCGGGGCACACAGCTTTTTGGTATGCATAAATGTGCTCATCATCATCTCTTTCCTATTCACAGCTCCTCAGGGGTTTCCTGGACAGCAAGAGATTTGCTACGGGTGGGGAAAGCAGGGATTTAGAGCAAAATGTTTCCTGGGCAGGCCAGTTCTGCTGTTAAAAACCCCCTCCATGGCCATCCGCCTCCCTTTCTCTATGCAGGGGAGTGTTTCTGTCACAGGGACAGAGGCTCTGGCTGCTCCAGCAATTACACCTTGCGCTGCCCATCTGCAGACATGGTGTTTAGCCCATTGATGAAGTTATAGGCAGTAGGAAACAAGTTGCATCTACTGAAAAAGTCAAAAGCCTCAAAACGTAAGTGATTCCCTCTTAGGGCCTTAGGTCATTGTACTCAGAGGCTGGCTCCTAATTAAATTATTCTGAGATTTTTCCTGGTCTATTTCAGGTAAAGGAATAAAGATGGGAAAGGAATAGCATTTGACTTAGTCTTTAATGATAGATGGAAAAAAAACGCAAATATTAAGAGATATTATAGTTGTAAAATAGACAATTAGCATCCACTTCCTTTCTTGATTTCAGACTTTGTCCACTATTCTCCACAAAGAACTCATTTTCCCAATAATGCATTTACAAATGAGGGGTCCAAAAATTGTCTGTTTCCCTTCAAATGTGCACAGATGTTCTCATTTGAAAAATGATTTCAAAATCATTTTTTTCTTGATTCCTACTCTAACAGACCAAATAATAACAAAGCATTACCACCTTGTGTCTTCAGAATCTGCTAAACAACTTCTGGCACTACAAGGTAGTTCCCAGTGTCAAAAATTTATGCAGAGTCCCCAACTTACACGCAAGCTTGTGCTAAACTCCCTTTGGTAAGCTATTGTTTTAGTTTTTAGTTTTTAGAAATTGAAATAGTCTTTTGTAGAAACCGGGCTATTTTTTAACACTTCATTTTGTAGCAATTTTAAACCTTAAAAAGGTATAAAAATATATATAGAGTCCCATGATACCCTTTGCCTAACTCACCCTCATGTTAAGATTGTATATAACCATAGGATAATTTAGTTTCATGTCGCCTTAGTCTCCTCTCATCTGGAACTGTTCCTCATGACCATCATACTTCTGAGTACTGGCTAGTTATTTTTTAGAATATGCCAGTTTGGCGTTGTCTGTGTTGTCTCGTGATTAAAATGCGTTTATGCATTTTTGCAAAGGATACCAAAGAAGCAATATTCAGCCCATCTCAAAGCATCCCATCAAGAAGTACTTGATATCAATGTTTTAATATTGATGATGTTCACTTTGATCACTTGGTTAAAGCAGAGTCTTCCATGTTGCTCCTCTGTAAAGTTACTATTTTTCCCTTTGAAACCATGGTTTTTCAAAGCTAGAGTTTCAGGATGATACCTGAAGACCTGTGTAACCCATGATAGTAATCACTTTGTCCCTCTGGGCTTGAAGGGAGGGCAGGAAGTCAAATCATGTTGTTTCTCCTTTGGATCTACATTTACTAGAGGTGGTAGGCAGTATAAATACTTTCTCCATCTTTGTCACTGTAGTCAAAGAGGAGTACAGAGACTCAAGGGACAATTGTTAGTCTCATGATGAAATGAGAATAATATGGGTTAGATTGTCCAAGGTTTGAATCATAGGTCTGCAGTGTTGGACAAGTCTTTAACCTTCTCTTTAACAAAATAGTGATAATAGTTTCTATCTTGCATGATTGATTTGAATATTAGAGATTATAAATATAAGGTTTCCATGTAAGGCCAGACCAATAGTAGGTACTTAATTAAAAGTATTAGCCGTATCTTTTGGGAGATGGGATAGATGTCTCTGTCCTGGTGTAACACAGGTCATATTCATGAACTCTTTGCTAGCCTAGTTCATTCATTTATTCAAAAAAACCCTATATTGAGTGCCCACCATATGCCAGGTGCTGGTTTTATAGTCCCAGCCCTCATGGAAAGTATACCTTCGTGGAAGAAAAGACAGTAAAAAAAAAAAAGGAAAATACATAAAATGTGAAATGCTTTATAAAAGAAAAATGGGAGAGGGAACATATTTAGATGGAGCCGTAGAAGAAAACTTCATTCAAGAGGCAACATTTACAATGAAACACAAAGGATGGCAAAAACTGCTCTATGCAAAGAGCAAGAGGAAAAGCATTTCTAGCAAGAATAGTGAAGACAAAGACCCTGACATGGGAAAAGAGCCCAGGATGTTTGAGAAAATGGAAGAGAGCCAGAGTGGCCAGAGCACAATGAATAATTTAAGAGCTATGGGTGTTTAATAGCCAAAACTGTTTAGGAGGCTTATATGCATATTTGTTCCTTAGCTAATGACATCTAGACTTCTGCCCAGTTTTAAACATTTCTGTAAGTCATTGGTGGTAGAAAGGTACTTTCCTCCCGACTCCAGCCCATACCTTAATTCCGCTTGTAGTTAAAAGTGTTATTTATTCCACAGAGGTTTCCTTCCTCTACTGTGAACATATCAGAATATTAAATGTGCACCCACTTACTTTCTTTGCTTTCCTGCATCTCCCATACCAGCTCTGTTCTGCCGACCTGGTAACAATCTTGTTAAGGTCCACTTGCTGATTGCACAATTTGCTCTGCTTAAAAAATCCCTAAGCATGCTGCAAACATAGAATCCCTTCAGCCCAGAGTGAAGCTGTAAAAACAAGGTTGTCTGGTACCTTAAATATTGTCACGTTACATTAAAAACATATTATACCTGATTCTCCAATGCTCAAAGCAAAGCAGACTCATGTAAACCTGCTGGAGAATTCTTGGCTGGCTAAACTGGCTGAAGTTTTCTTGGGGTCTGTTTGCAGACATGGCTGGTGGTGTCTCCTGGATGGGCTTATCACAAATCACAACAGGTGCCAGTGACCTTCTCTTTTCTAGTTGTGTAGCGATGACCCTGGGGTCTCATTCTAGTATCTAGCAGCTCTGCTTCAAAAGCATCATATGAAAAGTTCAGAATCTGTAATGATAGGCTGAAAAGACAATGTTTACAAAAGACTGACTTTCTATTAATATGATTAGGAAAGGCTCTGGTTTTAATGGGAAATCTTACAAAAAGGAGTAGAGAGTATCCCTCTCCCACCCTCAAATATTTTCAGCTTTAGAGCAGAATTAGTGTTATGAATTGAATTGTACCCCTATTCCTCCAAAACTTATAGGCTGTAGTTCTAACTCTCGGTACTTCAGAGTGTGACCTTATTTGGAGATAAGGTCCCTACAGAGGTAATCAAGTTAAAATGAGGTTGTTACAATGGTCCCTAATCCAGTATGACTGTTGTCCATATAAAAGAAGGAAATGTATACACAGAGACACACACAGGGAAAGGCAATGTGAAGAGACATAGGGAGGAGACCACCATCTACAAGTCCAAGGGAGAGCCCTGGAACAGACTCTTCCCTCAAAGCTCTCAGAGGGAACCAAGCTTGCCAACACCGTGATTTTGGACTTCTGGCCCCTAGAACTGTGAGACAGTAAGCTTCTGTAGTTTAAACCACCCAGTCGGTGGCACTTTGTTACACCAGCCCTAGCAAACTAATATAATTGTTTATAACCTTAGGTGGAAGGAACAATTAGATGGCTAAATATATGAAAGTGAAAGGGATCACCTATCACCCTCCATTCCCCTATCATACTATCACTGTGACAGTCCCCAAGCCCTAAGACAGTGATTCTCAGTCCTGCCTGCATATTATTAGAATCACCTGGAAAGTTTTGAAAAATTTCAAATGCTTGGGGACCCCAGATCAATTAAACTCAAATTTCTGTGGGCCAGATGCCATGGTTCACATTTGTAATCCCAACACTTCGGGAGGGCAAGGAGGGAGAATTGCTTGAGGTCAGGAGTTAGAGACCAACCTGGGCAACATAGTGAGACCGCATCTCTACAAAAACATTAAAAATTCAGCTGGGTATGGTGGCTCATTCATACCTGTTGTCCCAGCTACTTGGGAGGCTGAGTTAGGAGGATTGATCACTTGAGCCCAAGAGTTAGATATTCAGTGAGCCGTGATCGCACCACGACACTCCAGCCTGGCAACAGAGCAAGATCCTTACTCTGGAAAAAACAAAAAAATCTGAGAGCAGAGACAAGCACTTGATTTTTTCAGAGCTCTTCAAGAGATTCTAATGTGCAGATAGATTTGGAAACCCTTGCATTAGTTTAAAGGAGTGGTCCTCAAAGAGTAGCTCCCAAACTAGTTGCATTAGAGTCAACTGGGAACTTGTTAGAAATGCAAAATCTTCGGCCCCACAAACAGAGCTATTGAAACAGAAACTCTTGGGGCAGAGTCTAAGAATCAATGTTTTAACAAGCCCTCAAAACAATGCTGAGAAATGCTCACATTTGAAAAACATTAATCTAATGCAGCAATACTTTACATGTTAGAAGGTCAAGAGAATCTGAAAAATTATGGGACCTTCCCACACACATACACAAAGTATATGTGCAAAAAGTCTATATTTAATATAGAAATTCATTGGTCTACCTCAGTCAGGTACATGACACCTCAATGTCTTTAAGCACCCCAATTTGAGAACTTAAGACTCCTCGCCTTCACCTCCAACCCACCAAACCATACATTTAGAAAAAAAGCTTCTTTCTTATTACAAAATAAACCTCCAAAGGAAAAGTCTTTCTTCCTGTGCCCCTCTTCAACTAATTCAGGGCCTGCTTGGGTGAAACATATGCCTCCTGCTTGTGGCCATCAATCTGCATGCTGAGGTTTACAGGCCTGTGGCTTAGCTGTGTATTCATTCACCTGATACAAATAGCAATATTTTTCCTAGGCTCACATGAATACAAACAACCCAGCTGTGAAAAGATCAAGGCATGTGTCTGTTGTGACCAGTCAACTGCAAGTTATTTTTTGCAGCAGGGCACGGAAAGAATATGGCAGCTTTTCTCAAATCAGATCATTTTTCTATGATAGTGACAAAGATGAAAAGTCATGGCAGGGAAGGTTGGTAATTAAAATACATCTGTGTCCAATTAGAGTATGTATTACAATTATTGAGTTGGTAGTGATATATGCTGGTACCAAGGAGAGGATCCGAAGCCCTGAACACCATAGGCATGTGAGCAGGGCATTGCGTTAGGCAAAAATTAAAGTCAATATGGATGGAGATTATTTATTTATTGAACAGCAACACTGTGCCTGGCATATGCCCCCAGGGCTTAAGACCTAAGTTACATAGACAGGCAGATTGCCTAGCCACTAGGTGGTCCATGCTTGTTGGTGGGCCCACTTAATGAAGTTCCTCATCTGTGCCCAAATGTAAATCAAGATTCTGTGGACTCAAGCTGATTTATAATATTAATGCCAAAACTGAATTCTCGTTTTTCAAAGGCAGAAAAGAAAAAAGATAATGTGCCCCTGTTCACCTTTAAGAATCTTGCTAGAATAGCCGTGCAAATTAATATTCTTTTCAGTGAAGCTCTGTATTGTTTCCTAATAGGTTATAGGGACAGTTTGAGCATCTTCCTTCCTTTGCAAGGTGCCAGTAATCATCTCAGCCAACACCAGCTGGAAGAGATTTGGTGCTCCTGGCTTAGCTTTGTTAATCTGAATTATGGAAGCCCTGATAACCTCTACATAGGAAAGAGGGAAATGTTACACACACACACGCATAGACACACACACGAACACATGCACACACACACAACACACACAAATTTATGGGCTAGGTCTTGTTAAATGAAGTTCTTAATTCATATTATCATCTGATGTCTGCCCTTTGACTATCAAAATTTCCAAAGAAATAGAAGCATAATATTTGTTATCTAACAAAATACAAAATGTATTTTAGTCCCCAAAACTAGTATAGGAAGGGAAAATGAAGAGTCACATGACTGAAAGTACAATTGGTGTGACATTTGAATGCCTGGATGTGACAGCAAGTTGATTTATATTGGATTTTATATATTCTGGAGCATGTAATGAGTTATTGATTTGTGATAAACCAAGCTGACATTTTTGTAACCAGTAAAGCATCAGTATATCCACTAAGCATGGGTTTCACTAATGTATTGTTATAACCTGGTCATTGGTAGTTTTAGTACACATTTAAAACATTTAAAACAGTTTTTGCAAGAAGGAACATAAACATATTTACCGATGTGCATGTATGTTTATGCCGTTTAATTCTCTCCTTTATCTACTAGGAAATCTATTATTTCCTTAGCACAAACAAAGGTCTTCTCTTCACTCACCCTTAACGCGCTTCCTTGACCTAAGTTGATGATGGATTACCACGGTGATCTGAACTCCACTTTTCCAAGATTTTGTTAGGGACTGAAAAACTCGTTTTCAATTCAAAATTTCATTAGATGACTCAGTCTTCAAATCCACCCATTTATAGTATCTACTCCAAGTATAGTTGGACATTCAGCATTCTCTACCTCTCCCCACAAGCCAAAGTTGTCTCACATTGCAATTCTGTAAGTCTCCTGAGCAATGGGGTTTCTTGCTAAGTTCACGCAGAACAAGGGACATCCAGGAGTGTCTTTCAGTCTGAACAACACACTTTAGACATTGTCTTCAGGGACTGCAAGTCTCAGCAGTTATTTTTAGAAATAGGGGCTGTGGGGAAGGAGAGAGAGGGCCCCTCCATGGTGGTATCTCCACTTGGCAAAAGCCCCTAGTGACTTGTCTTGCTGCCAAAGATGAAAAGAAAGGATGCAGGGAGTGGTAAGGACCTGACATCTGCTGTGCAGCTTCTTGGCAGCCAAGTACTGTGACAGGCCCTTCACCCAAATCCTGCCATGGGGACAGGGGCGTGGGGATTGTTACTTCAATTTTGTAGGTGAGAAACTGAGGCTCCAAGAATTCAGTCCTTTCCCCTAAATCACACAGGCAGTGACACAGCTGAGCATTTGGAATTCTGCATTAGGGACTGGCTGCACAGTTCATAGATGTAGGTACAATACTGGTGATAGTAATATCTGTCTCATAGATTTGAAGTTATGTCTCATAGTTATGAAGATTAACATTTATAAATATCTAACTGAATATTTGACACAATAAGGACTTAATACATGGGAACTGCTATTATTGTCATCATTCTTGCGGTTGTTGTCATCTTCATTATAATCATCATCATCTTTTAAGTCCTACCTAGGCCTCTACTGCAATGGGATCAGATGGTTGGCACTTCATAGGGGTCCAATAAATTTTTACGAAATTGTTGAATAAGGGAAAAAATGTATTTACTGCTCTTCTCAACTTCCTTCTTGGCACCAGATTTTAAAGAACTTAGTAGAACAAGTCAGCTGCATTTCCCTTCAGTAGGAAGGGCAAGGGCAATGCACATCTGTCAACTTGCAGGAAACAAGGGAGCAGGATGGAGGGCCCTGAATGTCTCTCTTCACTGCCAGAACAGAGAACTGCAGGAAGGACATGTCTGTTCACAGGTGTTCATATCTTGATAGGAATTCTGGCGTTTAATAATTATCGTGCTCTCCCAAACAGCAAGCCCTGCCTTGATTTCCTCTCTGAACTCCCACAAGAACTTCTCAGGACACTGGAAGTATCCACAATAATGGTTTGTTGCCCTAGTTTACCTCTTGCCTCATCTCCTCTCCCACTAAGAAAGGCTGTAGCAATTTTGCCTATTGGTTGAATATTGACTAGTACTTATTGAATTCCAAGATTCATCCTATTTTTACTTCTAAATTCCAATTATTTTTAGGTAATAATTTAATAAACTGGATTTGTTAGAAATCAAACTCCAAAACCCTTTTAGCCCATTGTTTGATATTTTTAATTGTCCTTTAATCTCTTTCAAAATCTCTCCTTCTGTATAGGGAAGGTCTGATGAATTTGAAATTAATTCTAATTAATCTAATTCCATCACTGATTAAAGCTTTCTGATGTTTCCATCTCAACCTGCGCCCCCACTTCCCCCCGCCTTAGGCGAAGGGCTTATAGCATCCTCAGCACGTACACCACCATCTCATGTCTGACACAGTTCTTTTGAAGATCAGTAACATTTGTTGGAAAATACTGAGAGCCATGAAACTTAGATTCCATTCCAACCCAATGCTTCCCTAACTTGCTAAGGCCAAAAGATTGCCAACTGCTCTGGGTCGCAGTTTTCCCATTAGTAAAATAGAAGACTTGGCCATAGGTGATCTTTTAGAATCCATTCAATTTTTTTATTCTATCAGAAGTCACCTAATGTTTAACATATGCTTGTAGGATAATTCACTTTTTCATTTCTCCTCAAAATGGTTATTTCCCATTATTAAAATATGAGTTTAGGGAGATCCCTTTGAGATTACATATTTTTTCATTATCCAAAAATAACACTTAAATATTTCTCATGGTGAAGTGAGGAATGGTCAATAAACAATGAAATGCAAGCTGTTATAGATGTTCTGCCACTCTATGGAAGTAAGTAACCAATAAAAGAGATGAGAAAAAAAGGGCCAGTATCAGCTTAGGTATTATTTAACAGACAAAATGATCAAATTTTCCAATGGCAAGAGCAAAATTTTATAAATGCTTTTTGCTGCTACTGCAAAACCTCTGGCAATAAAAATAAAACTCTCTTAAGACTTCTTCAAGGCATGGCTTCCAGGCTACTAAAATCTTCCTACCAGGGAAATCTTCTCAAGAGGGAAATGAAAAATGTGTTGATATAGGTGGGACCTAAAAATGTGAATCTAATAAATGAAGAAACATTTATAAACTTGATTATTCCCTTCCTGCCTAGAAATCACCTGTTACTTTTTCCCTTCTTCCATCTTTTCCTCTGATATAGCTAATTCACATATATAAAGTAGAAATACATGGCACACAGGTATCTAGTCTGTCTTGCTAAACCCAGGGCAGGCATAACTAATTAATGATAATCCTCTTTTCCTATGAGTTCTGCTGCAGCCACAGCATCTTTGTCAATGCAACATTCCATGCAGTCACTATCAGAGTTGCCACAATATACTATACTTACTACTTACTTGCCTCCCATGAACTAGAGACAAACTAGATCCCTAGACAGTATGATTTTCCAGCCGCTGTCATAACCTACCACCACCATTCCAAGGCGTAGCTATAACATTCTCCATTGTATGATTCAATAAACTTAAATTTAAAATGGCTGTGAGAGCAGAGGCAGGCAAAGAGAAGTGACTGATTTTAAAAGAAGGAGAATATGAAAGAAGAATAATCCCTAAGTTGCTTTTTATATTAATTATCTATACTCTTTATTGAGCACCTACTCTATACCCAGTCTAGTAAGGACAAGAAGGGTGAGCCTATGCCAGCTTTTTAAAGGCCTTTATTTTACTTCTCCTTTTATTCAACACTATTCAGTGGGAACCTATATTTTACCTCAAATTAACCTTCACACAATCATAGGATTTAGGTCAAAGAGCAAGACAACTAATTTATTACAAGCCTACTGTGTGCCAAGCACTGTGCAAAGTACTTTGCCCTTGCTATTTTGTCTTTTACAATCCTATGAAGATTGATATTATCCCTGTTTTATACATGAGGAAATTAAAACTCATCAAATTAAAGTGACTTTTCTGAGGTCAAACAGCTGTTAAGGAGTGAAGTTTGGCTTTACTTGTCTCTATGCAGTGCATTTTCACCACATCAAATCACCTCTGAAAAAGACCTTAGACATTTGTTGTTCTGTTTAATTAACAGATCGGCAAAGCAAATACTGAAAACATAAGCTACCAGCAACAGACAGAGGATAGTGGCTGTCTCTCCATGTTGTGCCTAGGCATATACCTAAACTGCCCTCCTGCATTTCACATCAATTCCATTGCAAAGGAAGGGGAATATTTGTGGGAGAAAAGAAAACAAAAGAAAAGCAAGCAAATTCAAGACATTTCACTTTCCCCATGAAGACCAAGACAAGACAAGGATGTCACTTCTCGCTACTGCTTTTTGACACATACTGGAAATATTAGCTAATGCAATAAAAACAATAATATGAAATAAAACCGCCTTTGCAGATGACATGATCATTTATGCAGAAAATCTGAAAGAATTGATGAAAAAACACCTCCTAGAACTAATAAGCAATTATAACAAGGTTGCAGGATGCAAGGTTAATATGCAAAAGTCAATTGCCTTCCTATATATCAGCAATAAGAAAGTGGAATTTGAAATTTAAAACACAGTACAATTTACATTAGCATCCCACAAAATGAAATACTTAGATATAAATATGTACAACATAGGTACAAGATTTATTTGAGGAAAACTACACAACTTTATTGAAATAAATCAAAAAGGAACTAAATAAATGAAAGGATATTCAATGTTCATGGATAGGAAGACAATATAGTTAAGATGTCAGTTCTTGCCAAATTGATCTATAGTTTCAATGCAATCCCAATCAAAATCCTACCAAGCTATTTTGTAAACATCAACAAACTGATTCTTGGGAGGCCAAGGTGGGAGGATCACTTGAGGCCAGGAGTTTGAGACCAGCCTAGGCAATGTAGGGAGACCTTGTCTCTACAAAATATTTTTTAAAAAACAAAAATTTGCCACGCATGATGGCACACACCTGTAGTCCTAGTTACTCAGAAGGTTGAGGTGGGAGGACTGCTTGAGCCTAGAAGTTAAAGGTTACAGTGACCTATGATGAAGCCACTGCACTCCAGCCTGGGTGACAAAGCAAGATCCTTTCTCTAGTGAATAAATAAATAATAAGTAAATAAATAATTTTTAAAAATTGATTTCAAAGTTTATATTGAAAGGCAAAAGACTCAGAATAGCCTATTGAAGGAGAAAGTATAGACTAGGTGCAGTGGCATGCACCTGTAGTCCTTGGTATTTGGGAGGCTGAGACAGGAGAATCGCTTGAGCCCAGGGGTTCGAGGCCAGCCTGGGCAACATAGCAAGTTCATATATCATTTTTTAAAGTATAGTATTGGCAAAAGAACAGACAAATAGGTCAATGGAATGGAATGGAGAGCCCAGATATTTGACAAAGAAGCAAATGTAATACAATGGAGAAGAGACAGCTATTTCAACAAATTTTACTGTAACAACTGGATACACACTTGGAAAAAAACATTAATCTAGACAGAGACCTTATACCTTTCACAAAAAGTCACAGACCTAAATGTAAAACTATAAAATTTCTATTAGATAATATAGGAAAAATTCTAGATGACCTTGGGTTTGGCAGTGACATTTTAGATACAGCACCAAAGGCACAGTCTATGAAAGAAGGAAGTGGTAAGCTGGAATTCATTAAAATCAAAAATGTTTGCTCTGTGAACAGCACAGTCAAGGGAATGAAAAGATAAACCAAGGATTGGGAAAATATATTCCCAAATGACATGTCTGATAAAGGACTGTTGTCCAAAATATATAAAGAACACTTAAAACTCAATAATAAGAAAACAAACAACCCAATTAAAAAATAGGCCAAATATTTCATCTGTATGTGAAATCTAAAAATGTTGAACTCATAGAAGTAGAGAGTAGAATGGTGGTTACCAGGAGCTGAGGGGAGGGGGATTGGGGAGATGTTGGCCAAAGGATACAAAATTTCAGTTAGATAGGAGGAATACGTTCACTATATTTATTGTACAACATGGTGACTATAGTTAATAACAATGAATTCTATTCTTGCAAATTGCTAAAAAAGTGGATTTTAAGTTTTCTCACCACCAAAAAATGGTAATTACATGAGATAACCCATATATTAGTAAGCTCAATTTAACCATCTGCAATGTATACAGACTTTAAAACATGTTGTACAGAATAAATATGCACAATTTGTATTCATCCACTTATAAATAAAGTTAAAATTAAAAAGACTTTTGTTCCAGAAAGAAGGTGAAAGTAGAAATATGTAATGTAGCATAGCGAAAATTTCCTCATATGGTATTAGAGAAGCTGCTTTAGTGATGATATATCCCCTTCCATGGCTAATGGTATGAAATGCAGGAAGCCTTGCTCTGGCATCCCCCACCTGGTTCTTCAGGCACAGTACTGCTTTTAACAATGAAGTTTGAGGGAAACCTAGGGAAGCTGTACCCTCTCACCCATCCTTATTGTGAGCACATCCTCTGAACTGTTAGTTTGCTGGTTCTATAGTAGACAGAAAAAGTGGCCCACTGCGGTCAAAACTAGTCAAAAGTGTTTCCTATACTCGACATTTTTCTTCTTCTTTTTGGCCAAATTTTTATTCAGAAATTTATGTTAGCTTTAATTTTTCTTGCTTATAGAAACACATTTTCCCAATGATTTTTACCTACAGCCAGACACTGATGGTCATACTTGGCTGATGGATGCCTGTGACACAGCATTAATGTCTCTTCCCCATTCCTTGCCCCTCAGAAAAATGGGCCAAAACCTTCAGAAACACCTCACCAAAGAAGATATACAGATAGCAAATAAACATATGAAAAGATGCTCTACATCATATGTCATCAAAGAAATGCAAATTAAGCAGCAGGATACTGCCACACACCTATTAGAATGACCAAAATTCAGAACACTGACAACAAGAAATGCTGGAAAGGACGTGAAGCAACAGGAACTTTCATGCATTGCTGATGGGAATGCAAAATGGTACAGCCACTTTGGAAAACAGTTTGTTGTTTTCTTACAAAACTAAACATATGCTTACCATACAATCCAACAATCGCACATTTTAGTATTTACCCAGAGGAGCTGAAAACTTATGTCCACGCAAAAACTTGTATATGGATATTTATACAGCTTTGCTTATAATGGCCAAAACCTGGAAGCAACCAGAATGTCCTTCAGTAGGTGAATGGATAAACTATAATACATTCGGACCATGGAATATTATTCAATATTAGAATGAAATGAGCTATCAATCTATGAAAAGACATGTGAGGAAATTAAATATATATTATTAAGTGAAAGAAGCCAATATAAACAGGCTATGTACTGTATGATTCCAAATATGACATTCTGGAAAAGGCAAAACCAGGGACACAGTGAAAAGATCAGGGGTTGAGAGGGGAAAAAAGGAGGGATGAGTAATCAGAACATAGAAGATTTTTTTAAGGCAGTGGAACTGCTCTGTATAATACCATAATAGTGGATACGTGTCATTATGCATTCATCCAAACTCCTAGAATGTACAGCACAAATAGTGAACTGTAATGTAAATGCAGTGTGTAGGTGTTTATACAAAAAAACAGATGGAAAGATTTTGTACATAGCTCTATGTGAAAATGTATTTATTTATTAAGAGCAAAAATATGCTTATTTCAAATTTCCACGTACGACTTTTTCAAAAAGACACGATCCACTGAAATAACCCTCCAAAAGAATTTCTATAATCTATAGCAGGTGTACATGTTGTTAATCAAGTGCTTAATGTTACTCGAGCTAGCCCATTAATTTTAGATCACTGCAATATATGGCATGGGTGAAATTATATTTTTATAGGCTATACATTCATTTTATTGTACTTTGGGGCCTTTTGTAAAATCAATAAAAACATTTTCATGCTTTTTTTCTAAGACATGAAATACAAGTTTGCTATTTAAATATAAAGGTGCACATTTGCATAGTTAAATTTATGACATAGGCTCTAACTGTGATTTATGCCACAGTATCAATAATAACATATTTTTGTGCAATATGCAAACTTTCACGTGCATCACTATTCCTGTGGAAAAAAAAATGAAAGGAACCCACTACGTAGCAACCCAATTTGTGACAATTTCCAGAAACTCCTGCAGAGAAAAATGATGACTGTGAAAAACAGTTCCTGTTCTTTGAATTTGCATTTACATAAAGGAAAGTAGAAAATTAATATTATTATATAGATAATTCTGGCAAAAGAAACCACAAAAAACCCTGCAATATCCAAATCAATAATGGAAATAAAAAGTATGGTTAGGTCCAATACTAAACAATGGCCTAGTTCTCTCTCTTTTTCAGGGCAAGGGGAGATAGGGAGGTTTAACTCTGTGTGTATTTACCATCTGATGTTGGAATATTTTGAAAAGTTTTACAAGGCTTCAGATTTTCTTAATAAAGATTAAGTTGTCTGCTAATAAAATTAATCACTCTTAATGAAGGCAAAACCTTTTCACAGTACATGGGGGTGTGTAAAAGAAAGAAAATTATCTGTTGCAAAAACCCAGGGATTTTTGATATTTTGATATATAGCTTTACAGAGACACACATACATATGCGCTCATATATGCAGTCCTCATTTTGCTTTTGTTTTTCAAAAATGGAAGCACATGAAATAAGCTCTTCTATGGCTTATTTTTATCTGTCAGTATATAGTGGATATCTTTCTTTCTTTTTTAAAATTTTTGTAGAGATAAGGTCTTAGTAAGTTGCCCAGGCTGGCCTCAAACTCTTGAACTCAAGCAATGCTCCCTCCTCAGCCTCCCAAAGTACTGGGATTACAGTCATGAGCCACCATGCCCAGCCTACAGTGGATGTCTTTCTATGCATTAAGTGTTAATATATACCATCACTTTATATTTTTAAAATATTTTGTATAGTTTTAATGTATACCATCACTTTAAATAGTGAGTTTTTGCTGCCAATCTCAGAATATACATGATAATTCATATTTTGAGGCCAGGAACAGCAGCTCACGCCTGTAATCCCAGCACTTTGGGAGGCCAAAATGGGCAGATCACTTGAGCCCAGGAGTTCAAGACCAGCCTGGGCAACATGGCCAAACCCCATCTCTACAAAAAATTAGCTGGATGTGGTGGCATGTGCCTGTAGTCCCAGCTACCCAGGAGGCTCATGTGGGAGGACTGATTGAGCCCAGGAGCTCAATGCTGCAGTGAGCCATGGAGCCATGATCATGCCACTGCACTCCAGCCTGGGCAACAGAGCCAGACCCTGTCTCAAAAAAAAAATCTTGTCTTACTGCATTGATTAACACCTTCAAAATAACGGTAAATAACAGTAGCAATTGATGATTGATATCCATGGCTCTTATTTTCTTTTAAAAAAAGGATTCTTGTATTTTACCAGTAAGAACTGTTGGATTTTGAAATGAGAGGTTTACATTTTGAACATAGCAAAAAATTATCCTATTCTAGTTTTGTATAAGAGCTATAATCAAGTTGTACTTAAAGTTTTTTTTAAAAAAGGTTCTATAATAGTAAAAATACATTCACTTTTCTGGTAAGCATCTTTGTGTTACCACTCAAGCCATCCATTCAATAAATATATATTTAGCTAAACATTGTCCTAAGCACTCGGGATAAATATAAGGCCCACACTTTCTAGCACAGTTGAAGGCAATTACTTTTACTCTGAAGCACCTATGGGACACAGCCCAACAGTGGGGCAGGAGAGCAATGGTACTAAATGGAGAGAGGGGGACACTAACTAGAGGGGCTTATTGTAATGGAGAAGGGAGGCAGATCAAAGCACCCCCAAGTGATTCTGATATGGCCACCCAATTGGGCACTGGACTTTGGTAATATCTAACTTTAATTTAGGGTTTTACGGTTTTACTTTATAAAACTTACACGATGTTTTTACCAACATCATTTACTTTACCCCTAACAATAAACTTCACGTTAAACATTATCTCAACATTACTGAAGAGGAAACTGAAAGTTGGAATTGTTTAGAGGTCAAAGCTAAGCCGAAAATCAAAACTTGTGCCCTTTGTACTTACCCTTGTAAAATAATTGAATAAATGTAATACATGACTTAATAATTTTCATAATTTTTGGCAGTGGGATCTAGAATTCATTCTTCCCTGATTTTTTACCCAATCTCTCTCATTTCCTCCTTCAAGCAGAGAATCACCTCTTAATCACAACAGGCCTTTCCAACCAGTGTTTTTTCCCAATTCTTCTGAAGTACAGGAATACCTAAGACCAGTTCCCCAGGAAATTCCTGGGTTCTTGACGCACATTGACTTACGCTATCAAGAGGTAAGAGAGAAAGTGCAGGGCCAAAGTCTGTGCTGCACTACGAAGCATTTTGGCTTTCTATCAAGCTCTCAAGGCTTAAGGCCATTACCAGGGAACCAACACCTTCAGTGGATAGCCACACTCCTATGGCTTCCAATCAAGGGCAGCCTGCTTCTTCTCCAGAATGAAGACTGCTTCAGTCCCAGAGCCCTTGTCCTAATCTACCTCAGTTACGGGGCACATGTGAAAGACTGTTTGGGCAAAGGATGTTGTATTTTTCTGCCTCTTTGCAACTTAAGGAATATGAGAGGAAGAAAAGTGGTAGAGGGAACTCAGGAGGCCAGATCAGAAATTCAGTCTCTGCTGAAAACTGCCCCAGATCTCACTGCTAAAGTGGGATCTTGAGAGCTCTCTGGCATATTAAATATTCATCAAAAGTCAAACACTATTTTTTCAACATTTGACTGAATAAAAGTATAAATTTGTCCCATCTCTACTCTTGGATTGCTGTTATACATAGCACTAAATTACAGTTTTAATGAAGTCAGTTTAAAAGATGAGGAAAAAATCCTTTGTAGTTTATTCCTGCATTTCATTTTCTCTTAATTTAATCATAAACTAAAGAGATTCATAAATGTTTATGGAGGGTAATAAAGTGATATTTTTAATACAAAGGTTGCTTATGTAATTAAGCATACATTCTATGACATTCTATGTAAGTTGAAATGGTTTGCATGAAATTGACAAATACTTATATCTGTTTTATTTCTCTCTGCATTAATGACAAATCATAAAACAAAAAGAAAAGAAAAGTAAGTTCCTGGCAATGTAAGTACCTACAGTTCGCAAATTGAAACTGCAGATGCTGCTAAAGACTGTATCTTTTTCTTGGAAATGTTCCATTAAATTTAATTAGATTTCTCATTTGCTTTCCTTTTCACTCTGTCTCTGGACCTCTCTCTCTCTCTTTCTCTCTATTTTTCTCTCTCTCTCTCTCCTCTAGATATTAGGAGAACACTATATAAGTTGTTTTAAAATGGCCCACATAATATGAATGAAGGAACAAATCACCATAAGAAAAAAAAGTGCCCATTTTGTAATCCTATAACTATTACATGATAAATTGTCCTGAACGTACTGCTACCTCAAAGCACCCTGACCATTAACTAATACCGTGATGCTCACGATATCCATACTCACTCTTCATAAGCTTTCCTTTTTGAAATAAAATGGAAAACTCTGCTTAAAGAATTAAAATTATATCCTATACATTTCAGGGGTTTTTTTGTAAAGAGAATTGGAAGTGATCTAATCTTTTATTGTTATAGCATTTTATCATCTGGCTGTCAAGAGGTGATTCTTTTTCCTCTGAAATGATCCACTCTCTTTTATGTTTCATGTTAGCATTTCAAATCAAGTAAAATGACATGTTCATGATGTCCAAGAAAATTGAGAGGAGCTACTGAATTGTGTTTCCCTAAGTTCATTTACACTTTAGCAGCAAATCTTGATGATCAGAGCCTAAGGATGCCTAAGTTTACATGGAGTGGTAATGGTTAAGTAAATTGATTTGGGTAATTTTTCAACCTCATCTACACCACACTAAGACCAAAGTTCTCTAAAAATTTCTGAAATAATGATTTTTATATAGTTTCATTAAAAGTTTTAAAAGTATCTATCAGCATTTTCTGTAAAAGTGTCAGGCTGAAAAGATACCACTAAACAGTCAGCTCAAAAAAGATAGTAGATAAAATATGATGAATTGCCACGTCTGCATTTCCTATGTTTGCAAGCCACCAGTAAGACTGCATGATTTCCAAGTTGGAGGACAGAGTCTAGGAATGTGAAGGATGAAGGGTTTCTTGTGCACGTTCTCTTGAGCACGTACGCCTTCAGAAGGTAGATAGGCTAACCTGCATCACTGGATAAAAACTGGATTTCCTCTTACTTTTTCATGTGTATGTGGCTCATGTAGATTTTGGTATTTTTCTGGAAAATATGTTCCCGCTGTCTACTGAAGTAACTGTGTAATAATTTCCAATTTTCTGCTGGGCATCACCTCATGGACACCATGCCAACCCTTTAAACTCCATTTACCCAAAACCATACTCAATTATCCCCCCATTAACCTTTTCCACCTCATGTTTCTTTTATCAAAATTCAACTTTTCTTAAATTTGGCCAGACTAAGAAACTTGGAAAAATCTCCCACATCCCCTTCCCTGACACTCAAACATCTACCAACTCTGCTGTGTCTTCTGGTGTATGTTTCCACTTTTCTATAGATTCTACCTCCATTAAAGTCATCTTCTGTCCTGACCCCTACATTAGCATTCTTACGTCTGAAACCTCTTGCTTCTCCAAGCTGTATATCCTCCGGCTTGAGACAGCTTGAGAGCTGTCTCTCACTCAAAAGCATTACAATCATCTTTTCCTAAAAAAATCTGTCTTCTAAACACATGAGGAAAACATTCAAACTCTAGCACATGCCAATTAAGGAACTTGGTACAATGATCTCATCCTGTCTCTTCCGTCACATTTCCTGTTACTTGCCTCCAAGAACACTAATCGTGGCCCCAGTATACCATGCCCTATCACCCTCCCCTGATTCTGCTGCCCTCTCTGCCCAAAGTACCTCTGTTAGAGTTTCTACCTGTAGACATTTATCTTCCAGTGTGACTCAGCTTATAGGCCCCACATCATGAAGCTTTTACAACCTGCAGTATTATGCATTTCCCCTTGTCCTATACATCCAAAGTACATTTTCTCTACCTCTGGATTTAGTATTTACAGTATTCTGCTACATGTGATGTTAACTCTTTGTACATCTGTCTCTTCAGTCAGGTTGCGTGCTCTCTCACTTATTATTCCATCCATCAAAAGTCTCCTAGGTTCATATCTCAGCCTCTAATTCTAGACAGTAAGGATACCAAGACCTAGTTCCCTCTCTCAGGGAGCTCTGTCTAGTAAGTAATAAAACATGTTAATAAAGTTACATGGTGAGATAACTGTAATAAGGAAGTCCAAAGGGCAGAGAATAGGGAGACAGTGTGATAAGCACCAGACTTAGATTCAGAAGACCCAAGTTCAAGGTCTGGCTCTGCTATGTAACTGGGTTATCTTTATAGTAAGCAAATTTCCCAGTTGCAGCTTTCTCATTTGCAAAAGGAGCACCCCTACCACATAGTGCTCTATAAGAACCAAAATAAAATTAAATAGTAAATTTCCATTTGTGCCACCAGATCTACTCTTAATCCTTTTTTCCCTACTCCCTAGAGGTTGACCATTAAGGGCTGCATCAGTGGGCCTTCTTGCCCTTTGTCTTCAAGTGAGGTTGAACCAATGAAGAGCACCTGCAGGGGATCAGAAAGAGGGAAGAGAGTGGGTGGTGATATGTATTTCCCCATCCCCTTCCTACATGTCACCCTAGGATGAGAGAGTCCCTTGACTGAAGGACACAGCTGCTGCAAGTGGGTCCTCTCTACAGTCTTCATATCTCCAGGTTCTGCTGGAGCAATTACCTCCCCCATCTGGCTCCTTAGGACCTAGAGGTAGTAAAGGCCCCAGAGTAACTGGCCCCTGTGGTCTCCCTGTACTCTACCCACACCTTAATAAACAGTCCCTTTATTAAAGGCTCCTTAAATTACCAAAGTCAGGTTTGCCATCTGTTCCCTGCCACGACTCTAAATGATAAAACTGCTTTTGAAATTTTAAGTTGCTGTCTAAATGCAAGGTATTTCTCGTTTATCTCTGTGTAGCACTTTACACAAAGCAGATTGCTGCTATTAATAATAAATGGTGAAATGAATATATGCAAGAATGAATGAGTGAATGATCCTGCCCCCTTCCACTTTAGTTACAGTCTTATGCTGGGGATATATCCTTGTCACCTTGATTAGATTTTGTAATGCCCTGATTTGATTTGGGAGGTCCCCTTTTCCCTTGGAACTCACCGTCTCTTAGAGTATCTGCAGAAATGTCAGCCCTTGTATATTTCTAGTGGTTTAACTTGAAAGGGCCAACTTTGTTTCCAATTTCTAGAATTATCCCCCTTCTCTAGGCTGCACATTTACTTGATACCAAAAATAGGTTACTTATTTGTTTATTCATATTTTTTCTTCTTCAACATAAAAACTGGCAAAAAAAAAAAAAAGTCAAAAGCAAGCAAATTGATTGTTCCTTTATTACATGGGAACCAAGATCATATTTAAGGAGTCAGCAGCCCAGACTGGGGTAGTTTTCTCAAAGCACAATAAATAAACATGAGGCAAATAAGTTCCTCTACTGCCCCCTTTTACAAGCAAAAGCCTAGCCAATGACTGGGCAATTGGATAGCCTAACCAAAAGATCTAAACAAAATAAATCACAGAATCCAGTAGCTTGATATTTATGAGGAACTGAAATAGAGGCTGATGGATTAGCTTTTTATATTAAATTAATTTATTTCCATCAATTATAAATTATCCTTGTCTCCTGAATGCTCACCTATCTCAATGATATAAGAGACAAGCATTTCTTCTTATTTTAATATGACAGTTACTGAGGTTGATGGCTTACAAATGAGAAACCGACCCCTGGAAACTGTCTTCAGAAAACAAATTTTTGAGTTAACATATTTAATAGTATGCCTTGAAACTGAGTGGGTATTATTCATTAGCAAATAATTGCATAACTGGAATTCTTAATTAAAATTTGTGACGAGAAATGAATCTGTTTATTTTATAATTATGACCCAGAAATTCAGAACATATTGTGGTAGTTTATGAACATAATTCCAAAGATTTTATTATAGCAAAAGAATTCATAACGCCTTAAACAGAAACTCTTGGAGGAAAAATACACACGCACACACACAAACACACACACAGTGTGTGCAATGATATAGTGGCAATAAGATTTGAAAAGCCAGCCATCGAATACAACTATAACCAAAATATTCAAATTTAATGGGTGCGTGATATTGTTAAAAACCTCTAACCAGTCCTTCTGGACCTTTTTGGATTTTCCAGAAAAGCTCTCAGCCAAAGAGGTTTTCATTTTAGCTGTGTAAGTGAATCTCAAAGGCAGACGACGGCAAATTCTGTGAGGCTCCTGTTTTAAGCTTTCCTTAAAAATATCAATTTGAAGTGATTTTTTCAGCATATATCACAATTCAAGCTTCTAGAAGACAGCCACCAAGGAACATACCCTAGCAATTGTCAAATGAATCAGATAATGTTTAAATCTAACTTGGTTGCTGGGGCCAACCTACTGATAAGAAAGTTTGTTGTAAAAATGTATAGGCGTGGCCGGGCGCGGTGGCTCACGCCTGTAATCCCAGCACTTTGGGAGGCCGAGGCGGGCGGATCACGAGGTCAGGAGATCGAGACCATCCCGGCTAAAACGGTGAAACCCCGTCTCTACTAAAAATACAAAAAAATTAGCCGGGCGTAGTGGCGGGCGCCTGTAGTCCCAGCTACTTGGGAGGCTGAGGCAG
The DNA here is from genome assembly GCF_000001405.40 of Homo sapiens. Classification (NCBI taxonomy): domain Eukaryota; kingdom Metazoa; phylum Chordata; class Mammalia; order Primates; family Hominidae; genus Homo; species Homo sapiens. The sequence continues at coordinate 47,711,218 of NC_000015.10, forward strand.
GAGAATGGCGTGAACCCGGGAGGCGGAGCTTGCAGTGAGCCGAGATCCCGCCACTGCACTCCAGCCTGGGCGACAGAGCGAGACTCCGTCTCAAAAAAAAAAAAAAAAAAAAAATGTATAGGCGTGAATTATTTTTACTCGCTGACTGGCAATTGATTAGGTTCGAAGGCCAGAGGGGTTTGGGAACCAGAACTTGAGCAGTACACTTCGTGGAACCAAACAAAAGTTAAACAAACTAAGTTTCTCTTGAGCCTCCTTCTAGGACATAAATGAACCCCCCGTAACTGGGACTGGTGGAGGGAGCACTTCTTGCCACTTCACCACAGCTTAAGAGGGCATTTTGGACTTTAGACAACCCCTATTATTAAAGCCATACTCTAACAGTGTTTGCTTTTGATTTTTATCCCAGAACATCAGCTGCTTCCTGTCCCCCAAACATACACCACCCTTCACTCCCTTGCATATTAGCAGTGTAATTTTAATAACTTCAATATATTCAATGTTAATAAAATGTCCATAATAGTAAACATCCTATCTGAGAAGGCAAACAGGAAAGAAAAGATTGTTTTCATTTTTAGTGCCTCTTATTTGGAAAGATGGAAATTACCCAGAATTCTATTCTCTTTTCCTTAACCAGTAGGTGGCACTAGTGGTTTCTGGCAATGAATCAGCTCCCTGTACCTATAATGTAGGGGTTTTTGGGTGTAAAACAATCAATGCTTAAGATTTGGGGGAAGATGAGGAGCATGTGAACATATGGGCCTAAACAGTAATTGAAACATTTATAGCTTAACCAAAGAGGTTTATTTTAATATAAATCTGCATGGTGTGAAATAGGTCTTATTATTCTTTACAAGTGATTCAGAGCAGTTATATGAATAATAGAATGTATATAATATACAGAGGTTTAAACTATGCTATGAATCCTATTGCAGATGTCCTTACACTGGATTTTATGTGACAAGCAAAAATTATTAAAAATTTTGACATTGAAGCACACATTTACTTGTAGTTTAGCTTTGAATATCTAATTGTGGGTTTTTACATTTATTTCCTGTGTTATCCAAGACATAGTTTTTAAAACTTGTGCTTATATCATTTTTCATAGAATGGTATACTAGAAAAAAAATAAGGATTGAGGGGCAAACAAACCGGGATTAGAATCTAGGCTACCACCTACTAGGACAGAAAACCCTAATAAGATAGTTATTTTAACCAAGCCTAGGTTTCTTTGTTCATAAAATGATGTCTGTCTCAAAGAGCTGTGGTGAGAATTAATACTATTGTATCTGGCCAGGATCTGGGATGAAACAGGTATCCAGTCAGTTCCTTCTCCCTTTGTCAGTTTGAATTTTGAGGTTGGCAGAAGCAAATAATAATAATATTAGGTGGGGAGGTTTGTTTTTAAAAACCAAGTTTTAAGTATATATTTTTAGAAGTAAATAAACTTTTAATTTCTACCACTTTTAATTAGTTTCATTATCTTTCTCCTTGGTTAAGACAGTCTAACATTTAATAGGTATTATTCAGCTCCAATTCTTCAAGGTCAGAGGCTTGGTTACTGTAAATTTGTAGAGAGAAGTCTGTCAGGAATTTGGAGTCTCAGCTTTCTTTTTGTTGGGATATAAGCTGGCATTCCAGTATCCTAAGTATTCCTTTTCAAAGTACAGATAAGCACAATTTAGTGACTGACTGAGTTGCCAGCTTTTTGTATGACCCACCCTTCAAAAAGTTCGTTTTGCTTCTGTTTGTTCAAATATCTTTGATAAAATGATAGTCTTCATATCTCTTGTCTGTTTGCAAAAGAGCTAGTGTTATTAAAGGCTGTTTGCTGTTCATCTTTCTTATGGAAAAACAATATTTTTTTAAAGCCTTATTCTTATTTCGCTTGGGCACTCAGTGTCCTTCCACACAGTGACACCTACAGAGTCATTAGCAAAATTAGATAAGTAACTGATTTATTAGTTCCATAAATGCATGGTGTATTCCCTTTCCTCAGAGTGTAGAGCAAAAATTATTCATGCTGAGGTAGAATAATCAAAATGACTTTAAAAAGCACATTTTTATCATTCTAAACATAAGCACTGCTGTGGTGGTATACTATCATACTACATAATAATAGAAATGAATTATGTCAGTAAAATCTTGAGGCTTAAGATTTACTGTGATAAATATTTTTCATTAAAGTGAAATATCTTGGCAGAGTCACTTTCATATGCAGACTGTTGACACAAGGAGGCCAGCTGTGCCTATGCAGATGCCGAGATTTGGGTCTATATTATTAATGATTTATCATGTCATGGAGAGCTTAGATTAGTTTTGAAAGCAATCCCTTGCCACAAAAGCACTTTCTATAATGTGCGAACGCAAGGAATACTATATGTGCATTCCAAATCAAAGTAATCACAGAAGCTGCAGCAACCTTTGAAATTTCAATACCTCTTTTTATTTTGAAACATGAAATTCTACGTCCTAAATTTTATTATTCATTAAAATTCATACAAAATGTTATTTCATATCAACTGGATAGTGAGTGGTGTGTGTATCAGAATTAATAGACATATACACATAGATAAGAAAATGAAGGAGATGGAATGGAACAAACATTTATTGCAAACCTATTGTGTAGCATGGACTTTTGCCCTTAATCTCACATTTAATGTGAGGTTGGATTAAGTTTCAAATTCAATTCTGCAGGATTCCCAGATTCTGCTGCCTTTGGAGAATCTATAAAAGCATTGTTTAATATTTATTCAGTGCTTGCTTTGTTCCAGGTCAGATGCTAAACACTTTACATGCATTACCACATTCTGTTTTTATAAAATCAATTTGAATATTATTATCATCATCCCTGTTTTCCAGATGAGAAGACTGAAGCATGTGTGGCTAAATAAATTATCCCAAGTCACAAGTCTAGTGAGAGGAGGAGCCTGGGTTTCAATCCAGACTAATATTCCAAAGACTTCATTATCATCTATTGCTATTAACTATGACCTCACTATTATTAACTACTATTACAACTAAGTAAGGGGTAGAATTCAACTCCTACTTGCTTACTACTCTGTGACATTAGGCAATTCACTTAAACTCTCTAAGCTTCAGTTTTCTCATCTATAAAAATGATAATAATAATAATAGTACTTACCTTGTAGCATTGTTGCAAGTTAATATTTGTAAAATGCTTAGAACAGAGTTTGGGTGCATATTAAGTACTGATGTTTTGTTTAATAACAGTTAAGAAGTTGTACTTTCTGATGACTGATGAACTTTTATTAACAATTACACACACAGATTTTCTGTAATTTTCAGATGACCGTTATGCTTCAAACTGGACTGTAAACAAAATGACTACTTTCCACTGATGGGAAATGTATGTAGATAATGTTTAAGCATAATCACTAACCATGTAAAGCATTGAGCCCTTTACAATTTCTTCTGGTGAAAACACTCAATTATCTCCATTCATCCATACCTTCCTTCTTTTACTCATTTAACAAACATTCTCATGCCAGTACTTTGCTGAGTCCTGGGGACGCAGGATGAATAAATGGAGAAGGATCCAATCTAGAGCTGACTGTATTCTCTGGTTTAGCACATAAGGGAGTGTGAGAAAGTCGTAGGTTCCATTGTTAGATCTGTTTAACAAGTATTTATTGGGCGTCCATTAAATGCCAGGCACTGTGGTGGGCACTGGGACTGTCTAGGTAAATAGAGATTGCTGCTGTTAAGGAGTGTCGAGTGGGGAAGACATGCTAAATCGGTAATTTGCCTTCAATTTACTTAATTACGTAAGTGAACTGGTTAGGGGAGCACAGAAGAAAAGCACTTATGCCCATGGTAGGGGCTAGTGGGATGAGGCAAGTTTTGACATTTAAACAAATTGTTGGCTAGAAGTCAGGAAAAGCAGAAATTAAACTACATACCAATATGGGGATGGAGTACCCAGAAAGCAGAGACACCATGAAACAGTGTGGCACAGTGGTGAACCGCAAGTTTCTGGGTAATGCTAGCATCTAAAGCATAAGGTAGGGAGAGGGGGGAGTTAGACTGGAGAAGTAGCAAAGTTAAAAGGTTAAAAGTGTGTAAAATCAACTGATGAGACCAAATGCTAATAAACCACAACAATGGTAGCTGCATAAAGAGTTAGCAGTTTTCCTTAGACTTCTTTCCACTAAAATCCAAATAAAAGGAGCGTTGTTTTCCTATCAAGATTCTTGGAACCAGGGAAATGATAAATGCTTAAAAGTAATATTTTGGTCTTGACCAAAAGGTAAAGGATACCATTCGTACCATGCCACAGTGAAGAGCCTACTTCCTACCTCTCATCCCCAGCAAGCCAAATATAGGGATCGACTCCGAAGTCTTCACTGATAATGTAGACTGAAAACACGGCTAATCCATGGCTTGAAACGACCTACCAGCATATCCTTCTGCAATCTAAAAGTTTATTTTTTCCTGGATTTAGGAACTCAGTCTAGGGCAAATTGCACTCTTCAGGTGGCACTCTGGAAAGCTGACGATTGTGGAATTTTAGCAAGGAATTTAGGAATCTCCAGAATTTAATTTTTTTTCCCTCTTTGCTGCTACTGCAGATGCAGGACAACTCAAGAGCTTTCTGTCTCCAGGTGGGTGGCGATTTGACTCCTCATCAAGCCAATGGCCACCCCCTTGCAATCTTTATGCAATGCACAGTATCCTCTGCCTGCAACGGGGGCTTGCTCCCTTGATGGAGAAAATACAGAATAACTGGACGCCAGGAAACAGGCACAGCTTTCTGGGTCAGAAGTTGGCTGGGGAAGGGCCCTGACTGCCAAGTAACTTGCAATGATGTCAGAGCCCAGCACAACCAGAAAACACCAACTAGCCGGCCAACAAAAGACCTAATAACAACAGGAAAAAAATCACAGAGCTGTGTTGCCAAAGCTGTTCTTTCCGCCCCCTACTCTTTTCTTCTAATTGGAAGAACAGCAGGAAAGAGTCTATATTTTAAAAGACTCCTCATCCTTCTCTCCCCTTCTTTCCTTGGGTTACACAGTGTTAACTAGGGAGGAAATAGTTCTCCGGATGAGTCCTGCAGCAGTTGCTTGGGGTGTCTTTTTTGAGTTCCTTTTCAAGGCTGTCCTTGGAAGTTTCAGAAACAACGAGGACCAGGGTATTTTTCCTAAATGTAAACATGTAACTGTGTTTGGGAGAAAGCAGGAACCATTGAGGAAAGGAAGTCCTTTCTGCGCCCCTCTCTTCTCTCTTTCACGGTAATTAACCATACTCAAATGAAAATTAAGTTTGGCGGAAAAAGCTCTCTTCTTTTTCTTTAAACAGGGGCATCATGGTTCATTCTAGCCATTTAGAGCCCTCAGTGATCCATAATTCAACTGGAAATTAATAAAACACAGCCCGTTCTTGGAAATGAAGTTTGAATTAAAATCCTCTTGTTTTGGAATATGTGACTTTTTTTTTCCTTTCATTTGTGACAGTCAATTTTAAATGATGTCACTTCAAGGACATTTTCATTTCTCCCACAACATATTACATGAAACACTTGCCTGTAAAACCGGGTCATTAGCCTGCAAAATTATACTGTACAGAATGGCTTTCATTCAAAGTAGAAATGGGATTTTTAGTAGGCAATTTCTGTATTTTATAAAGATAAAGCAATGTTTGATTGCTTTCTTCCCAGCTGTTTTGCTTAGTGGTTATAAAGAGAAATGGGGGGCGGGGGGGTAATGTGGGGGCGGGTTTGTAAAGATGTGCTTAAAAAATAAATCTTACACTGGAAAACTAAGGCAGAACTTCACGGAACAACTGCGCCCGCAGCTCTCCTGGGCTGCAGTGATTTGTCCTCTGGGTTCTGGAGGAAAGCTCTGAAAGAAGTGAGCGAGAGGGAAAGAGGGAGGGAATCGAAAAGGTTGCTTCGCAGGCTGCAGCACCCACTGCGAGCTGGATGACTGAGGCACTGGGAGTTGCTAGAAGGAGCAGCTACTCAGAGGTGGGGAGAGGGAGGGTGCGCAGCAGAGCGCCGGAGAGGAGGGACGCGGAGGCCACCGAGGGGTCAGCAGGGCCGCGGCGCCAGGGTGGGGGCCTCCAGGCGGCGCTGGCCACGGTTCACCCGCGAGGGCGAGCGCGCCCGGCCGGCCGCGCCTCCTGCCGTCCGTGCCCGGGGGTGGGACCCGCGCCGGGAGCTGCCGAGTGCGTGGAGGGAGCCAGGCTCCGGCTCGCCTGATGGATTGACTTGGAGATGGATCGAATTACACCATTTGCCGTGCATCGGTTTGTTTTGCTCCTGCTCTGTCCCGCTGCTGCTGCTGCTGCTGCAAGGGGTGGTGGCGAGTTTCAGGATTCTATCAAGGAAGCCAAGACCTAAGGAGACAGAGGGATATCTATTTTTACAATATTTTTCTTTATTTTCTTTCTTCCTTGCGCGTGGCAAGCTTTTTTTTTTCTTTTTCTTTTTTCTTACCAGCCTCCCCCCAATGAGGTAAGACCGTTTTCAACAATTTGCTAATGCTCTTGTGGCGCCCGGTGGGGGTCGGAACCTGAGATCCCGAATCGCTGTGTGTGTGTGTGTGTGTGTGTGTGTGCGCGCGGTGGGGGTCGGAACCTGAGATCCCGAATCGCTGTGTGTGTGTGTGTGTGTGTGTGTGTGTGTGTGTGTGTGTGTGTGTTGCCACTGGACAGTTGATTTATTTTCCAAGCTGCTCTCTCTGCCTGCCGTGCAAGGGACGCGCAAAGGGCTAGAGAGGTTTGGCGGACGCGTCAAAACTGGCAAAGCTGGCGGCTTAGGGGGAGGGGCAAGTGGACTTGGAGGCCCTCCTCCACTGTGCACCCCCTTGGAAAAAAAGCGGAGGGGGCATCAAGTAAAAGTTTCTTGCCAGGCAGAGCCAGCTCGGCGTCCCCCGCACATAGCTGGGGTTAGCAGGGGTTGCTTCTCTGCCGGGCACAGCGTCTCCAGGAGCCAGCCGGGGAGAGCTGAGCCAAGGCCGAAGGAGCCGCCTGCGGGCTTAGCCGCCCCCTCCCGCCCGTTGGCCCCAGAGCGGACGCTGGGACGCCCGGGGTCTGGCAGCTCTGCGCCCGGCTAGGAGCGGGCGGGCGAGCATTAGCCTGCGTCCTGGAGAAGGGGCGCAGCGCCGCAGTTGAGGCCGGAGCAGCCCCTCGCGGGCGTAGGATACCTGTCAGTGAGCGCCCGGATTGCACGGCCCCCGGGTAGTGCCTGCCGGCGAGGGGCGGGAGCTCGGGTGACTTGGCCATCCCCATCCCCGGCCCAGGCCCGGAGGGCGGCCGCTTCCCACCGTCCCTCTCCCCTTACTGGCAGAGCGCGCTGCGGGCGGACTCCCGGGCCCGGAGCAGCCCACCGGCCACCCCACCGCCCACCCGGCTCCCGGTGTCTCCTCCCGGCCGCTCTACCCAGCAACTTTCCGTGCTTTGTTCCCCGACTGGAAATGCTTTACGGAAGCGTCTTGGACAGGGTCTCCGCCAGGCGACAAGAGCTCGGTGCTGAGATGTGTTACGTTCTCATCTCCCCATCAATTATGGATGGAAACAAATAAGGAAGAGTCAATTTTGCTGAGCCCCTTCTCCGGCAACGAGAGGCGTTCTGCAGCCGGGAGGGAGCCGCCGCTCGCGCCGGCAGCCGCTGGCAGGGGCATGGTGAGGAGGAAGGTAGGGAAACTTTTATTTCCCGTCTTGACAGCGGCGGTGTTTGTCCCTGGTCTGCAGAAACTGATACAGTAGCCTCCTTCCTTGGGTAATTTAGGAGGGCTTGAAGCTTCTTCTGTCATGTGTAATTCTTGGATTGAAATGAAAGGTCATAAAGGACTTGGAAGTGTGCACGAGAATTGGGTTTGAAAAATTTGTGCTCCATCCACTCTTGGGACCATTGCTGTCAGGTGATTGTTTAAATCCTGAACTTGTTAAAAGGCGAAATGTCAGGGAGCTGGCGGGGGTGGGGGTGTGGAGGGGGATTGAAGTCCCGGTATGAATCGCAGCGTTTGAGGAACTTAGGGCAGTACTCCCTGTTCTGGGGTGACCATTCGGTAACTGATGTTCCAGCATCCCGAGCCCTCAGCGCCGTCAGCTGGATGATCTCACAGGGAAGGCGCAGCACATCGTTACTATAGATATATAGACTTCGTCAACAGTCATTGGACCTTATGTCTGCCACTACAGCGGGGGCTTTCCTTTAAAAATAACTGTAGTGTTTCCTGTTACTTGGGGTGAAAGGGCAATGAGTAGGACGATTTTTCCCCAAAACTTCTGGCGGTAAGAATTTTAAGTCTGTAATAAAAATTATGGGTGCTTTTTAAGGTTGCCCTTCCCCCTACTTGATATTTGGGGCCATTAAGTGGATTATTTTGTTTATTCCAAAGCTGAAGTCCCTGGGAAAGGTCTAACATTTTTCTAAACTGGTTTGATCTCTGTCCCTTAGAATAGGAAAAATACTTGTTTGAAGAAAATTTTCAAGGTTTCTTCCTTGTAGTATAAAGAAATCTCATCTCAGACCGCTCAAGGGAAGGATTTTACTCTCCTTTGGTGGCTTAAAAACAGTAGCTTTTGATACTGGTTTACTCTTGCTGTTAAAAAATAAATCCCCTTACTCTCTTAGGTGTCTAACTCAGGAAATTAAGTTGTGTGTAGTCATGTTTAATGTAGTGAGTGACAGGCATATTCTTTCAAGCTGGCAGATATTACACAAACATTTACTCTGGCTTAGATAAATAGAAAATGCCAGATAAGCTCTGAGATTTGGGTCTATATTACCATGAACCTAAACATCTAGAGATAAATAAACCATAGTTCAGCCATAGCTGAGTTTTGTTTTTTATAGTTACTGTCTGTGCTTTGTTTGGTTTAGGTCTCTTAGAATGTACTTCCAGAAAGACAGTTAAATAGATAACCCTAAGGCTTCCAAAATGTGTTGTTGAGCAGACTGTTTTCTTTCATTGGCACATTTTGTTAGATTAACAACTAGCAACTATTTCTTACTGCATCCTACAGAATATTCCTACCTGGCCTTATTCCTCGTAGGGATGCTATATCAATAACCTTTCTTTTTTTTTTTTTTTTTTTTTTTGGAACATTTCTGTGACTCAGGAGAGTATGCCAGAAATGTTGTGACTTCTTCATCACCAACAGCTGGTTAACTTGAGTTTGATTTAGATTTGTGGGCATTTTGCCGTCTTCCTCTTCTTTCTCTCTTTTTTTCTTTTGGTGCCCTCTAATAGCACCATCTGGTCATGTCTCCCCTGGTTTGATGGGTTGATGGATTTGAAAGATGGCTGTGATGTAAATCCGTTAGTCCTTAGAGTGAGGACAACTTAGAAATCCAGAAGACTTCAGTTCCTTGCTGCATGCACAGAAAGGCTCTGTCCAGTAACTGTGACTGGGGTAAGCAGGCCCCTACATCAATGTCGTGGTTTCTGTCGCTTGAAAGGCCACAAGCAAGTAAACAGGAATCAGAGCCTTGATTCACAAAGATGGCCATAATTGCTAAAGACTTATTGAAACTGGAGAAGTTCTTCACTTCTTGCTGCTCCATCATAATAAACCTTGGTAATTAGCTTAGTCATTGTTCTTGCATGTGAGTTTCACTAAGATACAAAGAGTGAAAAATGCATCTGAAATAGGGTCATTTTTCACCCTTTTGATGCATTTTATGCAGAGTTAAGAGCCTGGCTGAATGCCTAACCATTAGTAGTGTAACCGTAGGAGGTGAACTCTTTCCTTGTTATATTGCGTGATAAAATATTGTCTTTTATTTTAATTGATAGACTTTAAGCCTGCATATTCTAGATGCCTTTCTAGAGGAAGCAAGAAGCAGTTGGGGTATGCCAACTAGGCAGTATTTACTGAATATTTATCATTTGCAAGGAGCTGTGCTAGCCAGTGTTCCAACACCAGGTGAGCCAGATATGTTTCTCTGTATTTTCAATAGAGCAAAAATAGAAGGAAATAAAGGATGGGAAAACAGACCTTTTGACAAGAAATGTAGATATGCTTCTTTCTTTAGAAGTGTATTATTTTATTCTAGAGATTTTAAAGCAAGATTATCCATACCAGATATTTGCAGTGGTGCAGCCTACCTGCCTTTAACACTAGTGAATGATTCAATGTACTGTTAAGTGTAATTCACGCATTGAATCTGTCCTTAGAGTGAGAGATCTCACTTTCTGTGGCTCATGTGAATGGAGACTTAGTGTTAATATCTACCAAAGCTAGTGTCTTGGGTTGCCGCTGATTTTGTGAACAGCTGCCAACTTCCAATTGGGGAAAAAAAAAGTGTTCTGATTTATTCCCATGACACACGGAGAGAATAAAAATCACATAACTATTTTAAACATACCATAACACTTTCTAGTTGAGGTGGCTATTGTCAGGTGGAGTTTTCCTCCTCACACCTGACAACACTGGCAGTGCCACTGATAATTGAAGCTGCTTGCATTTCTCCCAACAGGAAAACTACTAGACGTTCTTACTTTGAAAAACAACCATTTATGTAACCAAGGGCGATCAAATCAGTGGTCCACACAGATACCACATGAGGTGTACTTATTTCTCAAACTTTCCTTTTCTATTAAGCTTTTGTTAACTCACCCAGATTAGCATTTTAACAACCCTGAAGTGAACTTCTGCCATTCTCTCTGCTTGGACACAGTATGTAGATCATCCATCATCCTGTCCTTGGCTACAACAGGCTGCTGGCTCTATCACCATTTGGAGCTACATGGAATCCATCCGGCTGTGAACAGCACAGCTGGCTACAGCAATTTTTTCTTCTATACCACTGGCAGTATTGTCTGCCTGTGGTAACTAAAGTTAACACCCAGAACGGGAAGTTTCCATTGTTTGGCAACCTGTCCCAGGCCCCTCATCCAGTTCTGGGGTCACAGCTACTGAAAGTCCTTGCCACCTTGCAATGGTGTGTTCCATTTAAAAGGAGGCTTGCCCCAACCTTATACCACCACAGGAAAGATTCTTGAGGCCTGTAAGATCAAACCACCAGAATCACAGAATTAGAAGGAGCCATTCAGCCACCACTCATCTTACACCTTCAGAACTTGAGTCTACTTGAAAAGGGGAAGAAAGGAATGAAGTAGCCTTCAGCCTGTGATCCCAAATGACTGAAGATAGAAAAAAGACCTTTTTTGGTGAACTGAGCAAGTTATTGCTACATCCCTTTTCACAAAGAACACGCGATGTACCTAAATATGGGGCCCGTGTGTACTAGTGCCGAAACTTTCTGTCGCTTTTTTTTTGTTTTGTTTTCTTCTTTTTACTCAATAAGATATCTGTTATAGTAGCCATTGCTTGTTAAAGCAAGAATAACATGAATTAGCTGGCTACATCTGTAGGTTATGTTGCCAGGCTTTTTTGTTTGGATGTTTAAACTTTCATAATTAGGAATCCAGTTTTTGGAAATTGATGTGTCAAGGGGAGACTGCCTCATGTTTGGGTGTGAGTTAGCATGTAGTCTTTCTTCTCTCCATAACATTTACTAGTGAAATCAGCCACAAAACATCTGAAGGATGATGGTGATGATGATGGAGGCGGAGGAAGAAGAGGAAAGAACAGCAGCAACCACAATACTTAACACTTAATGTTAGCTTACTAAATTCTAGGCACCGTCCTAAGATCTTTATATTGGTTATATCATATAACCCTCAGACAGCTCTGTAAGGTGAATTCTGTTATTATCACTGCTTTATTGGTAAACAAAGTGAGGTGCTGAGAAGCTGTCATTTTCCTGAGGTTACATAATGGAAAGGTGGTAGGGGCAGGATTTGAACTTAGGCTTCCCGACATCTCAGCCCACTTTTTCACCACTGCACCGGATTGCTTCCAAGAACACAGACCACCCTGCAGTTTTCTGACTTCCTAATACTTCTGACATTTGCTTTTCAATGAAAAAGTCATGTTTTGGGGGAAAATTGCGTACTGAGTGAAATTATATGTACACGGTGGATGTGCTCTTAAATTACCATCTTTTTTCTAATCTAAATCACATTGTTATACTTTACTTTCATTTTTTATTTCCATTGGCCGTATAATTATTACACACCCTTCTTTTCAAGCATCCTAGAACGGTATCTTCTCCCACCATTTTTCTCCATGTTAGGCTTTCCTGTCCAAGATTACAGTGGCATAGGACAAATGGCAATATTCATCACTCTCCACCAAAAAGTGCTTCTGCGTCCGGGTGTGATTGACATTCATTTCCCTGATCTTGGCAGGTGAAGATCCATTACGTATCTTTGTCCCATTTCCCGGGGGGAATTTATGGGCCCCATCAGCAAAGACAGTGAGAGCTGCAGCTGTTCAAGCATTAGTGGCACCAGTATGGAAAGTGTATTACTGAAGTTAAAGTCTCTATTAGATTGTACTATACATTTTTCTTAGTTATGATGGAGGGAAAATCTTTCAATCAGATACATTGTTGAGAAATTCTCTCTCATGCATCAGCATTTAATTCTCTCTCATGCATCAGCATTTTTTTTTGTTCTTTTTTTATTCAGGATCTCTATGAGAAGAAACAAAAAGGGAAATACACATGACCACTACACATAATACTGAAATGTAAGGTTCTCAACATATATTTACAGGAAGGAATATGGGTTTTTAAAGCCCAATATGTTGGTACATATATAATAAGGCCTCAGGAAGATCTGCAATTACTTAGCCTATTATTGGAGTCTGTACTTAAAAATAACGTCAGGAGTTTCTACTCAGCTGAGGAACTGGCACATAAGAACCAGAGCAGACGAAGCTCTTTGAGAAAATAACACTTCTACTCCCCAGGAGCAGGCTGTCAGCAAAGCAGGGACTGAGATTCCCCTCTCCACTGGCCTACGCCTCACTTGTTAGTATAAGGGTCTTTGCAAGCATTTTTTGGTCTACAGAGTTGTCTTTATTTATCAGTAAGTCTTCAGGCCTCCTCTGGGTAATTGGTGGATCAAATAAAGATATTTTTAAAAGCTACAGAGGGAGAAGAGGAGGCAGAAGAAGGAATAAAGAATGTTGCAGTTGTTCTTGCCATTGCTGGCACTAACATTTGTTCATTCAGCTAACTTTTACCCTGGGTCTACTCTGTACAAGTGGGTACAGGGCAGGAGAGGGCCCAAAGAGGAGCATCACACAATTCCAGAGGTCAGGGATCTTACTGCGTGCTGTAGGAAAAACAAGGTGTACAAATAGCTGAAACGCTGTGTGTTTTAAGTGCCAGAAAAGATATACACAGACTTAGGGAAATTGAGAAGAGTGAGAGGTTATTTCTGGCTAGGGTGGTCAGGGAAGGCTCTGTGGAGTCACTGATATTTGAGCTGGTTCTTGAACTAGGTAGGATTTGGACAGGTGGACAGTGAGGGGTGGTGGGGGAGGTGTTGAGAGGGAGGGAATTCCAGGCATAGAGAACAGCTTAGGCAAAAGCCCAGGGGTGGGGTGGGGGTGAGGGTCTAGATCAGTTGTCCATATTTATGCCCTTACCTACAACAGACTTGTAATTCAGGTGTGAAGAGGCAGTTTGCCATGCAATCCACAAATATTTATTGAGCGTCTCTGGTCTACTATACTTAGCCATTCAGCAGATGGCCCTACAGCTTAAGCCATCAGAATGAATAGGATCAATCTTGTGGCAATTCACTAGATTGCTCCGTGATCAGGACTAAAACCCGCACATCAGCTGCCAACTGGTTCAGTGATACACATGAACGTTGCAAGGAGTAAGATGATTTGCCTCAAATTACCCAGCACCAAGTTCCTCTCATAGAGTTGTTTAGCAGAACCAAACTGAAAGTCTGTGGCTTCACTGGCTTCATCTTTTTTCTTAAACTTGAAAAGGCTTTAGATGTAGATTCTAAAATAAAGAATACGTCGCATATGTATATGAGGATTTTTGGAGGGGAGAGAAGGGAATGTGAAGATAGGAAGTGGAAGAGAGGATAGACACATATTGAAACCATGCTCATATGAGTTGGACTCTAGGTGCTGCTTAGACTGCAGGTTTTTTGAGGCTATAGTGCATGCTCATCACTGTAAGCTAGCAGAGGGAGTGACACATAGTAGATATGCAGCAAGTGTTTTAATAAATGCGCTAATTGAGTTTAACTTTTATTACATTGCAGATATAGTTTATCATGGCTGGTAAACTGAAAGGAATGAGGTTGGAGCTATGACAACCTTTTCCTAATAGAGAAAAGGGAAATGACTTGGAACGTTTTTAATACTTCCTTTTGGAAAATCTCATTTTAAGGTTCCCAGGGGGAATCAGCACCCCTTTCAGGGCCTGAGTCTTCCAGATAAACTCATCTGCCACTAACGGTCCCCAGTCCCCCACTTTCCCACCTCCCTCACCTTCCCCCTTGGTCCTGCCATACTCAACCCCCTCACCCAAGATAACCTGTTTAGACATTAGAGTTCCCAAGCCATCATTAACCCTTTGATTAACATAAAGTATAATCAATCCATGGTTAAGTTTAATAGTGGAGGTAATAAGCTTCAAAACAGGAAAGACCAGAAGTTCTGTGTAGTATAAGTATGCTTATTAAAACACATAATAAAGGAAAAATAAAATGAAAACAGTTACATTAGGGAATGATCAAGTCAATTGCTTTGCCAAGAATTGCTCCAGGGGTTCAATTTTCCATGGTATATTTAAGTCTGTTACAAGTTAATAGTTATGTGACAGATAGTCTTAGAGACGAATCTTAAGTCTGAAGAATCACTGCCAATTAAAGATCAATCAGAAATTATAAAATAGGTCAATAGGGAAAAAGGATTAAGCATATACAAATTCAATGTTGGGAACTCTTCAGGAATATTCGAGTGACATAAAGCAGAGAACCTGTTTAGTTTAGTAATCGGTCTGGCTCCCACCCCGTTGCTTGTTGAAGCGAAGGGCAAGCTGCCTCCCCCTGCGCAGAGCACACTTGCCTACAGACGGGATCTAAAATAAACTGGCCTGGTTCAACTAGACTAATAATAACAGCTAGCACTTACTGTGTGCTTACCATGTGCCATGGCACAGTGCCTAGCACTTCAAATATGTTATCTAATTTAATCCTCACTCTACCTCTGGGAGTATAGGACTAATAGCTAACTAAGAGCCAACATATATTGAGTGCTTACTATGTGCCTGGTACACTTTTAAGAACATGTATTAAATCATTTGATCAGCATTCTTTGACGTGAGTAACATTATTAGGAATATTCTCATTTTGTACAGGAGGAAACTGAGTCATGGGTGATGAAGTCATTTTCCTAGGGTCAAACAGCTAGTGACTAGTGGAACCAGGGTACCTGGACCCATGATAGGCAGTGTGAGTAAGAACATGAACTCTTGGAGTCAACTTCGTGGGGGCTGTGAGTTTTGGAGTGTGACTGATAAGCTGTGTAATCTTTAACAAATTACTTCACCTCTTTGAGACTCATTTTCACCTTATAAAAGGTGGATGATGGTGGTAATACCCACCTCCTAGGGGTGTTGTGAGACACAGATGAATTAATATTTGAACAGCACTTATAATAGTGCTTGGCATGTAGTGAGTGCTATAAATATATCAGTGTCTGTTAAATAAAAATAAATGCAGGCTGGCTCCAGAGCCTATGCTTTTAGCCCTTGTACTGTGCTGTCTTTTCACATGTGATTTTATCCTATTTCTTTAACTGATATATGTACCTTGAGGCCAGTTCCACAACAGCTACCCTGCACTCCCACTCACTATACTTGCCACACATTCAGCCAAACTGGAAAGGGGAATTTAGAAGGAGAGGTTCAGTGGGCTGGAGATTTACCCTAGACCTTGGCACCCTTTTGAAGATTCCTAACCCCGATGTCAGCTGTTTCAGAATTGTGGTGTCAAAAATCTGGCTTCCACTGTCGGTACTGTTGAAGGACTAAACATGGATAATTAGCACATGTTCTGTGCTGGTGGCCCTGGGGCTATTAAAAATCTGAATAATGTCATAAAAATTTAAGCACACTCCAGGCCATCTCTGTCGTCACGCACATCTTTGATCTCCACCAGTGGTCTTCAGACTTTAAATTTCCTCACAATCATATAGGGTTAAAATGCAGATTCCCAGAGCTCCAACATCAATGGGTCTGTTTCGCTGCGTCTGGAATGAAGCCCAGTAGTCTGTGTTTTTAAGGAACACTTCAGGTAACTTGTGCCCATTGTCCCTTCACCACATTTTGAGAAATGGTGCTCTAGTGTAGCCAGAGCTCCTCAAACATCAGTGTGCCTACAGATTGCCTGGCATCTTGCTAAAATGCAGATTTCTATCCAAACAAGGTGCTAGACCTCAGGGCTACTGTTGGCAGGCCACTCAGTAGTAGATCTAAGACCTCTTGCCTACGGCACGAAGAGAATGATTATGAGCTGAAGACATCCCAGCTAGCTCATGAAAGACTAAAGAAAGTAATAAAATCTGCTCAGAGCTAAAGTGGCTTCCCCCCCAACCCCCCCAGTTTGCAAAGGATCTTTATAGTGAGCAGAAATTATGAAAGAAAAAGGGCACTCACTTATTTCTGCTGACCGGCCTATATCATTTCATAAATGAAGTCCTGGGCCAGTATTCATAGCAACAGTTTTTGATTTAATGATAAACTGAGATAAGGGTAATCAAACTTCATGCTTCAGGGCATAAGGTGATTGCCTGCTGCGGTCAGGATGGAATTTTTTCCCTTGTGCTTTGCACAATTGACTAGATGCATTAGAGAGAGTGCTCAAGCCGTGCTTGGAAGAGCTGGAGGCCCAGCAGAAAGCTCCGCTGGCTGAGATCATATGGGAAATGGTTTGGGTTGCAGTGAACAACCCCCATCATCATTTGGCTTTATCATTTTTGTTTCATATTAAGCTTCTGTGTACCGTATGTGTGTATTTCTATAAGCCACACAATGAAGCTGGGAGCATACTGCATTTGGAAGCAGATGCCCTGTACTCCAGCCCTGGCCAACAGAATGAGCTTCTGAGTTACCTAAGGAAAGCACTCCCCACTTGGAGACTCAGTTTCCTCACCTGTGGATCCCTTACTCACCCTGCACGATTAGAATGAGCATTAAATAAGACAGTATGGACAAAAGTGCTTCATAAAAACCAGATAGGTGCTGCTCTAGTGAAAAGTATTATTATGATACAATGAAATATACTTTGGGGAATCACTTTATTATAATCAGCCATATATAAATTCATACTCTGTGTGGTGACATCATAAACATAATGACAGCAAACATTTATTGAGTTCTTAATCTGTGCCAAGCACTGAAGTTTTGTTTACATTCTCTCATCTAATGCTCATATCAGCCTTTTGGGGCACTTAGTTTTACCTCTCATTTTATAGATGAGGACACAGATGCTCAAGGAGCATCACTTAGTTTCCGATCGCTGTTGTAACGAATTTCCACAAACGCATTGGCCTAAAGCCACACAGATGTATTATTTTAGTTCTGGAGGTCAGAAGTCTGAAACGGGTTTCCCTGAGCTAAAATCCAGATAGCAGCTCCAGGAGAGAATGTGTCCTTGCCTTTTCCAGCTTCTCAGGCTGTCTTCATTTCTTCTCACACGTGACCCTTTTCCTCCATCTTCAAAGCCAGCAATCCTATGACTGAGACTTCTTCCATAGTCACTTCTCCCTCTCCGACTCTTCTGCCTCTCTCTTCCATCTTCAAAGGACCCTTGTGGTTAGCTTCGGACCACTCAGATAATCCAGAATAATCTCCCTATTTTAATATCCATTACTTAATTATAATGCAGAGTCCCTCTCGCCATGTAAGGCAGCATATTTACCCATTCCAGGGATTACGGCATGGACATCTTTGAGGGGTGTGGACATTATTCTTCCTCCCACAGTGAAGTACCTTGCTAGGAGCGTGCGGCCAGAGTCAGAATTCACACCCAAGGCTGTCACTTCAAAGTCCAGCATCTCAATTACTCACTATAAACCCTTCGATTTAATCAGTGAAGCAAACAATAAAATCATAGAATGTGAGTGGTGAGAAAAGCCCTGTTGCTTTTAGACTAATCCATTGGGGACTTTTAAATATAATCATCATAGTAGTAACAACACAAACATTGACCTCCTGATCTTCAAGTCCTGCTTTGTACATGGAGTCGTTCATTTATTTCTTCTCAGGGTGTATATTATTTATCCAATTAACCAGATTTACAGGGATCCCTGAATCCATTTGTCTTTCACTGGATAACTGAAGGAACAAGGAGCATTTTGGGGGCCAAGGGACCACTTTGGAGGTCTATAGGAATGTGTTTTAATGGAACTACTAGTTCAGCAAAGGGTAGTTGAAGAAGGATGGCAGGGGCAGTTGGGCCATCATTTTCTGGCTCTGGCACTGCCCCTTGGCAGATTGGATGGGGTTTGTCAGGTAAGATCACCCCACTCCATCTGCTGATAGCCAAGTCCATTTCCAGCCTGTGAGGATTGATACCCACAGAGGCCAATCAGAAAATCCAGAGCCTATATTCTGCTAGGTTTCCAAAGAACTGTAGAAAGCTATCAGAGATCCCTCCCTCACTCTCTTACCCATCTCTCCCGCTCTTCTCTTCACTACACACTTAGCTAATCTCTGGTTTAATGTAACTTTAAAGTTCAAAATGTGTGCTCATTACTGAAAAGGCTGTCAGAGCAATTCGAAAAAGGAGCTGAGAGTCTGGAAGAACACAGCCTAGCTGAACTGTTAGACAACCAGATTATCTGTGGACAAGGACTGGCCTTGCTAGCCTTAGTTTTCTCCTTAGGACAAAGAGAGGTGGTGATGGGCGGGAGAGAGTCTATATGACCTCCAGAGTTCTTTCTAGTAGTGAGATCCCTTAATGCTATGTTTATCTTCCCATTTTATTTTAGTTTAGTTTAGTTTAGTTTTGAAGGAAAATTTATATTATTTTAATTATTTTATGTACAGAAAACTCAACAGTGTACATTTAACCCAATTTAGTGGCAAGTTCTTTAGCCTTTGCCTTTTCGAGCTTGGCGATGCGAGCCACAGACTTAGGATCCAGGACGTTGCCGCCCCAGTGACGGCGGATCTCATCGTATCTGTCGTTGTAATTGGTCCTGATAGCTTCCACCAGCTTAGCCAAAGCGCCTTTGTCTTCCGAGTTCACCTGTGTGAAGGCCACAGTGGTGCAGGTCTTCCTGTGGACTAGACGTCCCAGTCTTGCCTTCCCCTTGATAATGCAGTAAGGGACCCCCATTTTACGACACAGGGCAGGCAAGAAGACAACCAGCTCGATGGGATCCACGTCGTGTGCAATCAGCACCAGCTGAGCTTTCTTATTGTCCACCAAGGTGGTGACGGTGTCAACTCCTGCTCGAAGGACAGGTGGTCTCTTCGTGGGGACATCCCCTTTGCCAGCAGCTTTCTTCTCGGCCCAGGCCAACAGTCTCTGCTTCTTCTCTTGCTTTGTCTCTGGTCTGTACTTGTGGGCCAGCTTATGCAGCTCGCTGTTTGGCGGTCCAGGGCCTGGGTGAACTGGTTAATCGCAGGAGGCACTTTCAGCCGCTTATAGAGTATAGCTCTCTGCCGCTGCAACCTGATATAGTGGGGCCATTTCACAAAGCGGGTGAGGTCTCTTTTGGGCTGGATGTCCTGTCCAATGCCAAAATTCTTAGGCCTTTGCTCAAACGGGATTCACCACTTTCTTAGCCTCCTGCTTCTTCACGACTGCAGGGGCCGGAGCCACCTTCTTTCCCTTGGCCTTCTTTCCTTTCAGCATCTTGGGCAGCGGGAGGAGAGAGCAATCTTCCTATTTTAATTACCTAAGCAGTACAATCAAATACCATGCTGATTTTAGAAAATATTAATCTACTTCATGAATGTGCATGTAGCTACCTGTGAAAAGAGACAGACACACAGATAGTCCAACTTCTCAAATTTATTATTGCCATTTACATTTTGCAACACTTTGCCCTTTTCTTTTGGGATCACGTAAACTTCATTGCTGCTAATATAGTTTTGAGACTCAATTTTCAGAAATACATAGATAATATTTTCAGTTAGCAGTAATTGCACCTCATTCAGCTCTCAGGGGTCGATGCCTTACCTTTGCACAATTTCCCAGTAATTTTCAGTTATATCCCCAAAGAGCCACTGCCCCCCCGCCCCCGGTTGAACACATAGAACTGAGAAGGCAAATGAGTTTCAAAGTAGAGAGCCAAACCTGACTTACTGGTAGTGGCTGTTACAGCTTGTGCTTCAGAAATTTGTAGGCCTGCATCCAAGGACAAAGAGAAAGAGAATGCCTTCATAGATTGGCAAAGTGTTCTATGAAAAAGGGAGAGTGTATGGTAGCCCTCATTGAGCATGGTCTTTGTACAGGTTGATAAGTGTCTAATGCAGATGTCACCTGAAGTGATGTCCCAGCTAGCTGCAAGAACAGAGCTTGAATTATCTGATCCATGGGAAGGCAGATAAGTAACTTCCAATGCATAAAAAAACTTGGTAATTATTACTTTACCCAGTTCTTGCCATTTGATTTATTTTGTTGCCTTTTTCCACAATTATTCCTGCTGTCTTTAACACTCCATCAAAGATTCAAAATATATGATAAATGGTTATGCTACCATAGATATCACCTTCACTACACATATATGTATATGTATGTACATATGTCCACGCTATACATAGGTGTATGTAAATATAGACATATATAAAAATATAACACACCACACATAGACATGTGCCCCTATAGAGATTTTAAATGATAGCCTTCAACGTCAGACAGACGTAGGTTGGAAACCCATCCTGTTTCCTTAACAGATTTGAGAAATTGGGTATATCACTAGACCTCCGAGTCTAGTTTCCTTTTCTGTAAAATGGAGAAAATATTCTTAAAGAGATGTGAAATCGGTTAAATATAATGCATGGAAATTGACCGTCACAGTTCCTAGAACACAATAAGGTGCTCAGTCATGTTGGGTTTTCCATTGTTAGTATGCTTTGGACTACAGGTAAGAGGAAACCTAATTTAAAATTGCTTAAACAATTAGGATCGTATTAAGTCACATAGTAAGAAGTCCTGAAATGTGGTTGCTCCAAGGTTGGTTAATTCTTTGGCTAAACAAAGTCATCAAAGACTCAGGTGTTTTCCATGTTTCTTCTCTGCCATTCTCAACCTGTTAACCTTCTGCTTTGCTAGCTCCTTCCATGTTCCTAGTAGGACTGGTACATTCAAGGTGAGAATCCAACAGATCAAGAGACAAACTCTCCCAGGAAACCTTTCCTAGTAACAGATTTTCCCGGGCTCTCATTGGATAACATCATGTCACCTGCTCATGTATGAAGCCTAAAGCAGTCTTGGGCAGGGGAATGGGACCACCTCAGTTGACCCAAATGGGAGAGATTGGCTTACCAGTGGATACACAAACAAAATCACCATTTTGTTATAGAGAATTATACATTGTTATTTATACCATTGTTATTTATACATATTACCTACACATAGTGTACATTAAACACATTTGTGAATGTGCTCAAACTATTCAAAGTTTGGTGTTTGGCCAGCAATGTTTTTCTGCATGATTTGAAAATTTTGCATACTTGGAACAGAATTTGCATTTGATTAGGCAATTAAAAAAAATAAAAGATATGACACTGCAAGAAAATGCTACAAAAATGTAGGCAGGATTCATAAAACGACTTCTCTTTCACTATACTTCCATATTTGTTTCCTGTAGCTTCTTTTAAATGAGAAATAAGATACCCCTGCCAGATTAACACTTTGAAACATCATAGTAAACACGAGCCGTAATTATGAAGGCATTTTTATCTCTTGAGAGGTGGAGACACAGATGCTAACTCGATTCTCTTCAACTCTGTAAGACATTTCATGATTATAAATTCACATTTTCTCATGGTTCCTACTTCAAAAAGCTCATTAACCCTTAAAGCTCTAAAGCTAAAGTTTCGTAGTGTTTCTGTTACATGTGATAAATTCTGTATCTACTGAGGACAGGTACCCACTCACTTTTTTTTAATCTTTCTTATCACTTAATGAAATACACTGCAAACTACCTAAGTGGAACTCTTGGCCTGGCTCCGAGTCCTCCTTCACCCTGTCCTGTTTAACCTCTTTTCCTGGTACAATAATACAATAAATCAGTCCTAAGACATCATAAAACACAGGTAAGGAGGCTCCTTCTTTACCTCTCTTTGTACAGCTGATGTTTCTTTGCAAGAAGCTGTAAAAATTAACCACCTAGATTTTCAATATTTGAAATTTCTACTGTCAGTGTTTTCTAGTTGCATTTTTGTTCACCAAGGTAAAACTTCACTCAGGCTTCATTGAATACGAGTCTTGTTCCTTAAGGGAAAGCAATAACCCTTGCTTCGCTACTCTCTCTATATTCAGCCTGCAATTTTCCTTCCCAACTGTGCATCCTTGTGAGTCCAGAGAGTCCGGGGTTCAAATTCTGAGTCTGCCACTTAACCCCTCAGAGCCTGGTTTTCCTCACTGGAAAGTTAGGATAATATTTCTACCAAATAAGGATGTTACTAGGTCTTCAGGAGGACATACATGCAAGGCACTTAGCATGGTATCTGACATAAACTCACTAAGTTATAGTAGTTTTGGTTTTTATATTTACTATTTTCAAATCAAGGATGTTTGGCAATATGTAAAATATTCATATAGGAAAGGCTTATGGATTTTATACATGGATTGGTTCCTCCCCCAAAAAAAGTATTTGGATGGCTACTTCTAAAAGCATAAAGAGACAGAGAAAATATAAGAACAAGTCTGCATGTGGCATTTCTTGAGCCCATCAGAGCACAGAAGCAGCACCACATGTACACACGGCCACTCACTGCTGAACCTGATTCTGGAGACTTGTTTGTGATGGGGTGGGAAGGTTTATCATGTTGTGAAGTATTTTCAGATGATGAATTTTAGAACGTAAATGATGGACAAAGTACTCATAGTAACTTTCTGGATTAGCTCAACCTGTCCCTCAGTCGTAGTAGTAATTTTTAAGATCCCTCTAGGTATAGAAGCATCTTACTCACTCACTTATTCATTCATTCATTTATTCATGCAACAGATAATTTTAGAGCATCTTCAGTGTTCACAGAGCTTTTCTTCCCCTTTGCCTTCAAAGCATCAAAGTCCAGTAAATCATGGAACAACTGCATGTAGCATCAGTTTCCTGGGTATGTGACCTGGAGCTGCACTTGGTCCCATGCTTGGAATGTTCTGCTGTTGCCATCTTCAAATCCTTAATTTTTTTCGAACAAGGAGAACCACACTTTTATTTACACAGGGCCCTGCAAATCACGTAGCTGATCCTGACTTCTCCTTGTCACCAATGAAATTTACTCTGTATTGATCTGAGTAAGCAGACATGAGTTGAAAAGAGCCACAGAATTTGCGTCTTGAGTTTCCACTGTGTCACATACTCAGGAAGCTACCTAATTTCTGGTCCTTGGTTTTCTCAGCTGTAAACTAAGGCAGACTACACATGGTCTCCAAGAACATGGCTGGTAATCTTGATACCTCAGGGAATAAGACATAGGTAAAATAATGCCAAGCCTAGGTTTGAGTTTTAAGTGTGGTGACTCTACTTTCAAAACTAGAAATTAGGGGATTATGGGAATTATGGGACCAAAATAAAAATTGAAATTAGCACTCTTCTTGAGAAAGTTGAGCTGTGTAGTTGAAATCTTTGACTTCTAGCCAAGGCCTACATGCAGTTTGGTGGTTTTTAAAATATAAAATCAAATTGATTGAGCACTGTTATTATTCTGCTCATTTCATTTGGATCTGTCCTTTTGTTTCTGTAGATTTTATGCTAATTTCCCAGAAGAGACTTAACTCACTCCTGTACTTTTGCCACACTTAAAAAAAAATCTATAGCCAAGACCTTAAAACTCTAATATACAAATATTGACATCCCTGAGGATTTTCTGATTTTCAGCCCAAGAAGTTTTGTGTGTTGGGAGATTATAATAAAAATATGTTGCCAGCCCTCTGGCATGGGCACTAACCAATCAAAACAGACCCCACAATGTGGTACCAAGTGATTGGCAGCCCTACAGTCTTACATGACAACAATAACTTTTAGAGAAGGCACTACGGTATAGTCATCATGGCCCAAATATCTGTTCTCCAGTGACCCAGACTCTCCAAGATGCAAGAAAGAGGTACCACTAAACACAGTGAGTCTGTATTTATTCAGTGTGGGAACCAAGATCTCTCCTAGTTCAGTCAGCTTGCACCTCTGCAAGCATTGCTACAAAGTCTGTATTAAAAGTTATAGCTGTTTAATGGCAGACACAGACTTCAGATACACTTGTTTTTCATCCACTTAAGGTCACTGACAAATGGAAATGATAAAAGACATTTCAGAGAAAACAAACAACTCCAAATTAACTGAGATTCCACAATCATCATTTTTAGATACATCTTCAGTTCTGCTTGAAGCTGTCATTTACTTGAGCAAATTTAAGATCACAAGAGAATGTGATGCTCAGAGTGTCTCTAATCACCCGCCTAAACGTTTGCATCATTAAGTTGGTCTCTCCACTTCACAAGCCTGCCGTCGGCCTGAAGAGATGGGGAGCTTTTCCGTAATGGTGAAAGCCCACAAACAACTCCAGTGTAAGTCACAGTATCAAGCCAATTAAGATCAAACCTATGATGCTTAGTTGTACACATTTCATCACTTAACTATTAAACAATTTTTACTTTGACACTAATCAAGAGGTGTTAATGCAGATTCTTTTAAACAACTCAAGTGATTTAGGGTGTGTGTAAGAGACAGAAGGAGAGAAAGGGAATGATTGTCTTTTCTACTTTCCAGAGCTATCTTTGGGCCTCTTAAAATTTGTTATCCAGTTTGTGGGGTTTGTTTATTTATTGACTTAGCTTAATTTAATTGTATTCAATTTATTTTATTTTATTTTGTTGGAGAACATTCTGACTTGAGTCTGTTGGTCTGTTTTATTGTGTAGCAGTAGGCTGTTTAGCTTAGAAGCCTACTAAGAAATGAGGGAGTTTACATTTTAGCTCCCAAGCCCCTAATGGTTGGCTAACTGTGTTTACATTTGTATTAGCATTGAGTGGGCTGATTTGAAAAGAGCCACAGAGATAAGAGAAGTCTGACTCCTTGTCACCCTGACAGAGGCAGAATTGCAGAATCACCCTTATCTGCTATGATTATCTTACGACTGAGAAAAATGCTCAATGTGACCAAATTTTGAAATAGATTCAGTGTTCCAAGCAGCTATGTATCTTCAAAGTAAAATATAAACAAGTCATCTGTAGAAATTTGTTTATGAAAACACAGATTTACTGTTTTGCTACATATCCAGATAGGAATTTACTTAAGGCTTAGTTTGTCGCTTATTTGGATCGTGGTGATGTAGGGTGATTACTCTAGCAAAAAGCAAGAAGGCTGGTACAGAAAATGTCCTTACTTCCTGCTGTCATACACACAGGACTTTAAGCAGGATTTTGGAATTTAAATAAGCCAGAACTTCCTTCTCCATTTCCCTGTGCATGTTTTAGAGTTGAGGAAGATCTTAAATACCAGTATTTGAACAACTGAGGTACAAATGTTTTTGGCTTTAAATATTCAAGTACACAATTGCAATCAGTTTTTTGTTTGCTTTTACTGGTGTAGATTAGACCACTGAGAAGTTTAAGCCAGGTTTTCTTACTCCTGTGTGATTGTAATTCTTAACTTTTAATACAAAAGACAATCCCTGTAATACCAGCACCAAGAGAACGGCGGTGATTTTGAATTGGCATGGATCTTTGTGAAAATCAGATTAAAGTTCACTCTAAAAATAGGAATTGCTGTTGCTAATTTTATTTTAGCACTTTATATTTCAGAAGCTTAGGAAGGAAAAAGTAGGAGGTAGGAAGGAAAAAGTAGGAGGTAAGAAGGAAAAAGGGAGCAAAAATTATAATATGCTAATTTAGCTGAAATCTCTTAATTACCTTCGTGATTTCTTAGGGTACACCCACAGTACAAATAAAACAAAACATAATCAAGGACTTGTTCTCTAGGAAGTTATCCTCTAGAATAATTACATATTTCAAAAATCATATCCCATAGGACCCCAGTACTAGTTCTTGGTTTTATTGAACAGACAGACAATAACTGTCTTCACCAAGAAAAATGAGCTGTTTATTTGGATGGAAGGTAACTTAATGTTTTTTAGTGAAGCATCTTCCCATCCTCCCTTTTTTAAATGTTAAAACAATTATAAAGTATTAATTTTAAAGGGGAAAAATCTAAAATAACTTAAATTTTTAAAAATCTGTTTCCTTCTAGTATTTGTCTATATGCATCTCCGGTTTTATAAAGTTGTGATCAGTGAACATAAACCTTATATTCTGATTTTTTTTCCTTCCTAGTATTGCATCATAAGCTGAGGATTACTGGTTTTCATTATTATTATCTGAATGATTGCATCATATTTCATGAGGCTAGTGTAATATACTTTTAACTGCTTCTCTGTGTTTACAATTTTAAGCTGTTTCCAGTTTGTTCACCATTATAAAATAAGTTTCGTTTTTTTCCTTCCTACTTTAGACTATTTGCTAAGGGTAAATCACCAGAAGTAAAATTACTAAGTCAAAGGTTAGTTTTCTAAGTGTGTGTTGTGTATGTAGGAGCATGTGTGTTACACATTGCCAAATTATTTTCTAAAATGGTTGTACTAATTTACCCTGCCATGTGCAATATATTGATTTCATCCCAACTTTACCAGTATTATCTTTAAAAAAACAGAAGCTAATTTCACCAGTGTAAAGTTGTGTCTCCTTCGTAACAATTTGCATTTCTAGTATTGCTATCAAGAAGCCTGATAAACTTAAAAAAAAAAAAAAGGGTTACATATGCAGAACATGCAGGTTTGTTCTAATAGGTATACATGTGCCATGGTGGTTTGCTGCACCTCTTGGCCCATCCTCTAAGTTCCCTCCCCTCAACCCCTACCCCAAATAGGCCCTGGTGTGTGTTGTTCCCCTCTCTGTGTCCACGTGTTCTCAATGTTCAACTCCCACTAATGAGTGAGAACATGCGGTGTTTGGTTTTCTGTTCCTGTGTTAGTTTGCTGAGGATGATGATTTCCAGCTTCATCCATGTCCCTGCAAAGGACATGATCTCATTCCTTTGTATGGCTGCATAGTATTCCATGGTGTATATGTACCACATTTTCTTTATCCAGTGTACCATTGATGGGCATTTGGGTTCATTCCATGTCTTTGCTATTGCAAATAGTACTAAGAAGCCTGACTTTTTAAAAAGACTGGGACAAGACATTTTAGGGACAAGTTTCTACTGTTTGACACATAGAAAAGCAATCTGAAGACTATTACTAGGGAATTGTCATAACATCTGTATTCTGACCAAAGACTCTCTGTTTCTCTGGAATGTTTCCAGCTCTGACAGCTAATTTCAATCTTCAGCTGGACTGACAGGAAAGAGCAGAGGAAGCAGGATTTCAGGATAAAGCGAGTGCTGAGGGGATCCAGGGAAGGGTTCATTTATCCAGCCACCATCCCACAACTTAGTGCTTAAAACTACCACGATCATTTGTTTGGCCCCTGAATCTACAATGTGGGCAGAGCTCAGCAAAGACTCATCACTACTCTATGTAGTATCAACTGGGGTGGCTCTAGTAGGTGAGGGGGGCTCCAGGTCTAAGGTGCTCATTCTCATGGAAGGCCAGTGGGTGCTGCCTGTCAGCTCAGGGCTCAGCTAGGGCTGACAGCCATAGCCTTAGTTCCTCTCCCTATGGGCCACTTCATGAGGATGTCTTCACAAGCAGCTTAGGCTGTTTCATACTTCAGTAGCTGGGTTCCAACCAGTGTCCAAGAAATAGGAAGTGGAAGCTGCCTATGTATTAAGTCCTGGGCTCCAAACTGGCACAGCATCACATCACCACATTCTATTATTCAAACACTCATAGCCCAGATTCACAGGGAGGATATATACACCCACTTCTGAATGGAAACAATATAAAAAACACTGAGAGATTGTGTTTATAAACTGCCATACAGAATTTTCAGCCCTTTGGGAAGCTGAAAAACTAGATAGTTGGAGCACAGTGGACTAGTAGATATTATAGCACCAACCTCCACCTTTGCTTTCCAGAATAGTCCAGGGATGGGTTCTCCGTTAACCTAGTCTACCTTTTCCACAACAAAGAATTCGGCCAGGTGCCTCTTGGACTGACTTTTGCACTGTGGGGAATCTGCAGTATTCCACCACCCCCCGCCCACACAAGCAGTCAGGTCTCAGGGCTTTTAATCATCTGTGTAGTTGCTCTTTCCTGTTAAGATAGGTTTTAGTGGTGGGTCTGAGCATGTGATACATCTCAAGAAGAATAATGACATTAGGCATATTTGGTCCATGTACACTGGCAAGATGCTTAACTTCTAATGTGTTGACAGCCATATGTATGAGAATCCCACCTGATTGCTGAGTGGTTGATTTAGGTGTCTCTACTACTAGGAAAAGGGAAATTATTTGAACTGCAGTTTCTTGGTCCAGTCTTCCAAAGAATATTCCAAGAGAGAATTTGGAACATAGAAGAAGATACTGAAATCATCAGAGTGGTCTTCAGAAAAGGTTAGAATATGACAGGGCAGGGGACACAGCAGTGAGGAAGCATAATGATGCTAATAATAATATCAACACAATAACCATAATAATAGCTAATACTAATTGTACTTATTTGCATAAGTTTAAGTTTTCCGTATATTAAGTCTACAACCCTGGAAACAACCATTTTAGATAGGTCCAATTATTTTCTACTTTTAATAGATGTGAAGTGAAGTAGCTTTTCCAAGATCACAAAGCTAGTGGGTGGTGAAGCCAAAATATTCATAAAGTAGAGCCTGCTTTTCCATTGGTTTATATGAGGGTACTTATCCTCCTGTGTGGTGAGAGGATGGCCATCATCCAGGAACTCCTGAGGGTTTCATGCATTGCGACTCATTTTTCAGCCATTTTGTCAGGTTGGGTTATAGTATTTTTGTTGATAGTTGAAAATAGAAAGTAAAAAACATGGCCGGGCGTGGTGACTCATGCCTGTAATCCCAGCACTTTGGGAGGCTGAGGTGGGCAGATCAGCAGGTCAAGAGATCGAGACCATCCTGACCAACATAGTGAAACTCCACCTCTACTAAAAATACAAAAATTTAACTGGGCATGGTGGCGCGCGCCTGTAGTCCCAGCTACTCGGGAGGCTGAGGCAGGAGGATCACTTGAACCCGGGAGGTGGAGGCTGCAGTGAGCCAAGATTGCGCCACTGCACTCCAGCCTGGTGACACAGCAAGACTCCGTCTCAAAAAACAAAACAAACAAACAAAAAAACATAGACAAGCCTTCCAGAGATAGAGACTTGCCCTCTGATATAGTTTTCTCTCATATCCACTCTGCCTGGTCAGCAAGATACTTAAAAGAAGGGTTTCAAAGGGAGCCTCTCTAACTTTGAAGGGCCCAGGAGCCAAAGGAGCGAGCCGTGAGCCCTCAGTTTATTTCCAAGCAAGAGCACCTGAGCAGGGAGGTACCCAATATACTCTTTTCCCTGACCTTGGGGTAGGTCCCTGCTGCACCACTGCCTGGAGACAAAGGCTTGATGTTAGGTCTAGGGTGACAGGGAAGAGGCCTCTGACCACTGGTGACCCTTAACGTCAAAGATAGGTAGGAGGAAGAGGTGGAAACCAATACTTAAGATTTAGGGAGGCAGGATCCTTGCTAGCTCCCTGCATGAATCTTCTCAATTACTTGACTTTTTCATAGAAACTTTTACTTATTTATTTTTCTGACACAGTTACCTGCTAGACTATTAGACTAGAAAGGGGAAATAATGATGCTTATGTCTTAAAATAACAATCATAAAATCAAGCTAAAAAACTCTGACAGTATTCTTATCTTAATAAATTCTTAAGTTCCTCTTTCTCCTCTCTGTTCCTTTTCTTCTGTGTTATCTTTCTCTGCTGCAGGGATTAAGACTACAGACATTGAAGTCAAACTGGCTTAAGCCCCATTATTTAATTTTGTGACCAAAGGCAGATTACTTCTTTATTTCCTCATCTGCAAAATAGCACCAACCTCCTAGGGGGTGCTTATTCTTAGCATAATGCCTGGTGCTTTGTTAGCATGCAACCCTGGCTTGTTATAATCAGCTCTAATTTTCCGGTCTGTGACATCTACGTATTAAACCTAATTCCAGGTGTGTCCCATGAAAACAAAATAAGAAGGCCGGGCACAGTGGCTCACGCCTGTAATCCCAACACTTTGGGAGGCCGAGGCGGGCAGATCACCTGAGGTCGGCAGTTCAAGACCAGCCTGACCAACGTGGAGAAACCTCGTCTCTACTAAAAATACAAAATCAGCCGGGCGTGGTGGCACATGCCTGTAATCCCAGCTACTCAAGGCTGAGGCAGGAGAATTGCTTGAACCCAGGAAGTGAAGGTTGCAGTGAGCCGAGATCGTGCCATTGCGCTCCAGCCTGGGCAACAAGAGCAAAACTCCATCTAAAAAAAAAAAGTAAAAAGAAAACAAAATAAGAAGGTTAGCAAGCAAAGTCTCTTCTGTTAGTAGAGCAGACATGTGAAATATTTTCTATTTGGGCCTGGGAAGTTATTTCTACCAATAAGCCATAGATCCTGCCTTCGAGGAGCTCACAGTCTAAAGAGGAAGACAGGAGGTAGATGAGCAATTCTACCCACTGTGGCAAATCCACAGTAGAAATGGATAGAGTGTCCTGCGAGGAGAGCAGAGAGAGGGATGGAGAGGGTCTGAGACTGGCGCTGGGTCCTAAGGATGACTAGGAATTTGCCAGTCAGAGGAGCTGCAGAAGGTGTTCCAGGTTCAGAGAACAACAGGAGCCAAGGGCAGGAGGCCTCAGCTGAGCTGGCCACTCGCAGAGGAACTGCAGCCGTGGAAATAAGCATGTGAATACTGATTTGAGCAAAAGTGTAAACGATGTCAGTACACCAGGGTGATGCAAACTGCAACTAAATAAAGCAGTGATAATAATACTACTTCTTCACACTTGTATAGCACCTTTACAATTTTTAAAGTATTTTTACTCACATTTTCTCACTTGTCCCTTTAAAAAAAAACCATGGTGAAAGAGGGAGTCAACAGAGATGCATCCTTCCCTCATCTCAGAAGAGGTGAGGTAAGGAGGGAGGTGGGAGCAGCCAGCGGTGCCTTGCTGCACGGGAGGGATCCCTCCTGTCCTTCACACTGGCCTCCGTTCCCTCTTCTCCCTTGGGCAGCTTGGATGCTGCTGAAAGACAGTAAGCAGAAGGTATAACCGACCCACTTGAGATAGAGCCTAGGGCCTGGGGACTGGTGATTACAGCACCTCATAAACCAGGCCAGGCCTGTTGGGCTGGGGTTGTGTTTGTACTAACGGCTGCTTCTACTTGTTGAATGTCCACTGATCTGAAGGGTGTCTGGGACTTTCAGTGCATATGACATGAAAGAGGTGGCTCTGCCTCTCTACCCAGCTTGGAATAGATGCAGCCCCTCAGGAAGAAACCCACAGGTCCCTCCAGTTCTTTCCCCCAGTCCTGCTAGAACGCCTTTCTTACTCTGGTTGTAATCCTGCCTTGTCCCTGTATCCTTCATACAAAGGACCCCACACCCTCTGTGTTTCCTGGTTTTGCAATCCTTTCTTTTTTGTCAAAGAGCTGCAGGTCTCTATAGTGAGAGTAGGTGGGGAAAAGGAAAACCAGTCACACTTTTTCCTCCAAAGATAATTAGGCTAATTTCTCTCAATCTTTTCACCAATGTTTATCCTGTTTGCATGTCTAAAGAAAGCAACATTCTTTTTTCTCTATGCCTCCCCAGGATGCCTCCTGTGATTAGAATAGAATTTGAGGCCCTAGGTCCAAGGCATTGGTCAACTTAGGAAATGGGCCGGACAATATCACTGGCACACTGCTAAGTCCTATATGTCCTTCCCAACAATTTCAAAATCAAGGGAAGTCCAGATCTCACTATGGTCACATCTGCAGCTGTAAGGGCAATTGCCTACCGGAAATACTGCTGCATAATTTAATGCTTAATTTAATAATTTAATACATAATTTAATATGTTGGTGCGTGTATGTGTTCATTACTGGTGATCGTGGATGACCTGTCATTAGCAATTCACCATCAGTGGGTAAAGGGCTCTGTGGAGATTTTTCAATGTTTTTTTTTTCTTGAGAAGGCACAGGGTCGCACACAGAAATTCATTCAACAAGAACTATTAAAACCCTGTGGACTAACCACTTTTTTGGGAGTTTATTTGCAGACGTAAAAGGCAGTTCCTGAACTCAAAGAAACCTACAGTGCGGGGGAGTAAGTTATGAAAAGAAGGAAACAGACTATCACGTGATATGTGCTCTGATGAAAGTGAGCCCAGATTTTCATGGCCGGAGAAGGAAAAGAAGGAAAATCCTGGTGGGAAGTGATTTCTCATGAGGAATCAGTCATGAAGAGGAAGGGACAAGAAGAGCATTCCAGGTAGTGATGGGGACAGCACATCCAAAGGCAGAAAGGTGGAGAAAGCTGAGTTTGCACTGGAATGAGGGGGTGCTTTACCATGCCCGAAATTTAGGGGGTTCAGAGAAGTGGCATCCAAATGCTGTCCTCTGGTCCCTCTTGGCCCCATAGCTGTAAGACCAATGCTGAATGTCACTGTGGAACCTAGTTTTGATTTTTGTCAATGCAAATCCATTTTGAGCCTCTCTGAGATTAGCCTTGGAGGTCATAGAGCAATGGACCTGGAGACAGGTGACCCAGAAGCCTCTTGTCAGCAGTATGACCTCCAGCAGTTCTTTAACTCCTTGTCTGAAAAGCATCTATTTACTAATTCAGCAAATATTTACCAAGTAGATAGTGAGTTCCAGATGCTATGGTGGGTAATAAAGATAAAGTAGAGAACAGACAGACATGACTTCTGTTCTCCTGAAGCTGACACGAAGTTCAGTGGAGAAAATAACTTCTGCCCTAAGCCTCTAAGGTCAGCTTTAAGGACTAGAGTAGATAGACATATTTGCTTTGAAGAGCATAAAACACTATAAGTGAAAAGCTCTTTCCCCAAACCCTGGTCTAGGCTGAATATCAATGAGAGCTAGGCACCCCAATCCCCACCCACACACAGAAGTTTATTAAATATCAGCTGCAAAGCACATTGGGAATGCAGAGAGAGGCTAAGAAACCTAGACAGAGGTCCTGAGTGTATGTGAACTGAGCTTCCCACAGCACATCCTACAATTTAAAAAAGATATTGGACATGATCTGCTAGCCTGTGGGACCACCTCACCCCTGGGTGAGGTGAGAAAGCTCGAAGAGACACTTAAAGGCCGTATTTCCCAAGGACACATGGTTGTGGGGGGGAAAATGCACCCTCTGCCATTTCATCTGGGACGCCATCAGAATGCCAAGTCCACATTCGTAAGTGCCAGTGGAGGCTCGGTCCCTGTTCAAGGCATCAGTCAGTTTGTAGTACAAAGCCCATTTGTGGTTCAGCGTCACAGATCAGAGGCAGCGATCGCGCACTCTCCTGTCTCAGGGTACAGAGGGAGCACATGCACTTTGTATCCTAGGCAACGGCAATGCTACAACAAAAAACTTAGAAGTGTGAATTGGGAAGAATTTTACTTTGAGTGAAGAACCTTTTTCAATGCAGGCACCAAACTCAAAATCATAAAATGTCACAACTTGGAAGGGGCATTGGAGATCACCTGCGTTCTCATTGTATAGATTGGGAAACCGAGGCTGGAAGAGGCAAGTTGGCTTTCTCATGGTCTGTCAGATCCTTAGAGGCTGAGTTAAGAGTAGAATCCAGATTTTTTACCTCCCTATTATCTCCAGGTGTGTTTAATGTTTGGGATAAGATTAACATCCCCCAAGGTGATTCATAAGGAAAGTGAGAACAAATGTAGATAAGGGTTTGAAGCGTAATTATCTCTGGCATTAGAACCACACACCCTTCCTCACAGTTGTACCTTTAGCCTTGAACAGGCTTCCTGGTACTCACCTGGTCTAATAGTGATTTTTATGGTGCTTACCATGTGCCAGGATCTCTGGTTCAAGAACTCCTTCCGTCCTCAGCAACTCTATGAGGTAGCTGCTAGTGTGATCCTATCCCCAACATACAGGGTAATGGAGGGACCAAGTGGTGAACTAGCTCACCCAAGGTCAGATCACTGGTTGCGCAGCAAAGCTGGGGCACCTACCTGGGCAGCCTGGCTCCAGAGCCATGTTCTCTACCCCGTACGCCACTGCTCAACGCTTGTCAGCCTCCATCCCTGACAGCAGCAAGGGCTGAGTTTGCTTAATACCCTCTTGGTCTTGCATCAATTTAGTGAAAATTAGGAACTGAGATTTTAAGAACTTGCATGGATTGACCTAAACTCCCATTTTGCCTCTGTGGACCCAGAGGTTTCAGAAGTTCATAGTCCATCAGATACAGAGCCTAGACAAAAGGCTGCAGGTAATGCACAGGTGCACTGACTCAGGCTTAGCCTGGGCGCTCCCTGAGCTTTGCAGGACTTAAAATTCACCTGGGCTGTTTATTATTCTCATTCTTAGTTACAGCTCCATTTTTAGTCCAGATCTATCAAATGGAACCTAACTTACCATGGGCCACATTTCCATCAGTAGGAAAAAATACATTTAAAAAATAATTATTTTGAAATAATTATGAACTCACAGGAAGTTGTAATAATAGTACAGAGAGTTCCATGTCCCCTTCACCCAGGAAGTACATTTTAAAAAACAAGTTAGGATTGACTTACAGAATCCTGATAAGGTTAATGCTCTAAATCTTTCTGAGCAATCAGTAATCTTTCTCTACGTTTGTTAGAGACAGGCAACTGTTACTGTATTTTCAAATACAGAAGGCAAATACTAATACAAAGGCCTTATTTTTGGTGACCGAAAACCAAAGGACTTGGGACTAAAAATTCTTGGCTTTTAAAATTTCACTTCTCTTCCTCTGGGTCATTAGAGTTTTAACCCTTCTGTAAACTCATCACCAACTGTTTTAAAGCATGACATCACCTGAGAACCTCTGATGAGGCACTTTGCAGAATATCAAACCTGAAGATGTGAGCCTTTTAAAATAGAGTGAAATCCCATTGTTGTTGGCAGTGATGCTAACATAGATCATTGAACTCTGTTGTGACATCTGGGTTCTGCACTGGCTTCACTACTCCTGGATCATAAGTCCCTCAATTTATCTGCTTGACCTTTGTCAGACAGGAATAGGAGCAGCAGCCCATCCTCAGTCCTTCTTTGCCAGGGTATTGTTCATTTATTTGAAAGCCTGGAAAGGCTTCATGGAGTACATTGAAAGCTATGGCTACACGGTGGTTGCATCAGACAAGTCAGTAGCATCAGAACAAACATACTCTACTTCTGTCATCCGAGCCCAAAGGGCAGAACCAGGCATAGACCCAGGCCCTAATATCCTGAACAGAAAGTCACATGCAGGCCATATGGCAGCCTCAGCAGGTCATCTGGTAGAATAAGCCAGTGTTCCACAGACAGGCTGAGTCCTTTGGCATCTGGGTCATCCCTTGGAACCTTGAGCCCTTCCTTTGTCTAGAATGGCTCCTTTTCCTGGAGGCTGAAGGGGAGGAGCCCAGTCTGGCTGGGATATGCCTGTGGAGGAGATAACCAAAAAAGAAGGCTTTCCATTTCTCTTGTCATTAGTTAGCCTTGAAAACCCTTCGGTTCCCCTGAAAAAAGGAGACACGATTGTTCATTTCTGCCACAACAGTCTCCTGCTGTGTGTGTGTGTGTATATATATATATATATATTTCGATTGTAGAAGGTTCCTTGTGCATTATACTTTCACAAAGCAAGTTATTATATTGATGTCTTAAGAGGCTGATATATTTTGTCATCTTCCCGGATAGCAGATTTTCTGCTTACATATCAGGCTCATATTCTCATTAGTTTCTTGTATTATTTT
Organism: Homo sapiens; assembly: GCF_000001405.40. Lineage (NCBI taxonomy): Eukaryota > Metazoa > Chordata > Mammalia > Primates > Hominidae > Homo > Homo sapiens. Next base: position 47,747,159 of record NC_000015.10, read on the forward strand.
CACTGTTAATGAGGATTGTTTCTAGGACAATTTTGCTTTAAAATGAATGTTATTCAATTTGAGTTAGGGCAGAAAGGCAAAAACTTGTAGGCAAATTGTTGCTAGAATTATGGTCCCCAGAGCAGTGGTTCTGATCACAGGTCAGATGCTGGGATTATTGTCCAGGTTTGCTTAGAATTGGCAAAGACAGGTTAGATCCTGTTTTCTGTCCCTTCCTGCCCAACTCTTTTTAATTTCAGTTCCTTTCTGAATTATTAATATGTAACCAAAGTATTACTGATTCAGATATTGGTGTGCTTTGCTTTAAGAAAATCCAGACTTAAAGTGAAAACCTTGCATAAGAGGTTTTTAATTTTCAGAAAACTTAAGTCGACAGCTTTATCATGTACATAAAATATAACTCAAATAAAATTGACCCAACTTTGAGGAAAACACTGATTTTAAGAGCAAGGCATTAATAAGGATCACCCAGACTTCCATAGCCCCAGCCTCCCCTTTCTTCTCTCCCATAGTATCTACTACCACCTGCGCTTTTTTCTCTTCTGTCAGAATCCAGCATGTTCTGATATGCTGGGTAAGATCAGATCTTACAAATGTCTTCATACTGGTTTCTGGTTATGGTATGTTCTATCATTACTTAATTTATAACTAGAAAAAAGGCCATTGGCCAAAGAAAAGAATTTCCCATTGCAGAATTTTAGGCATAACCCAGCCATTAGGCAAGCTGATTTTCATTTTATATTTGTTAGGTAGTGAAGAGTCACATAGGATTCTTCTCTGCCAGTCCCATATATCCACTCTCTAATCTCAGGAATAGCCTGCTTTCCTTCCCTTTGTTCTGGGAAAGCTGCAAAGTGAGCAGAAATTTCAGTGGTGGAGATGGGGAGGTTGACAGAAATCATTTAGTTATTTGGCCTGTGTTGCCCATTTCTGGTGGGCAGTTTGTTAATGATGGGTAGGTGTGAAAAGAGGCATCTGTTGCCTTTTATAGAGAACCTCTTGGTTTTGCAGCACCTGAAGCTCATGAACTGGAGGCTAATGAGGATATTGTGCCAACGCTGCAGGAGAATGATGGTAGACTCAAGATTCGCTGTTGGGTTGATGGTGGAGAGCTGTTCATTTTGATGTGGCCTGTGTGCCACAGCGAAGTCCTGTCAGTGTTCTACCTTCTTTCTTTATTTCTTCCTCCATTCATCAAGTATTTACTGAGGACCTGCCAGGTGCCAGGCCCTGTGCCTGATCCTGGCAGTAAAGAGGAAAATGATCCTTTGAGTAGCACAGCCCAATAGAGAAAATGTGAAAATCAGTAACATTGCTGTGGAGTGACAAGTTCTGCAATGGAAGTATTTATACAATATCATAGTATGACTAGCTGTCCTGAGCAGAGCAGTGTGGCTGAAGAGGGAAGAATGAGAAAGGGGAGAGGGCCAGGTAAGTTTTGAGCTGGTGAATAGACAGTTTTCAGGAAGGACGTTTTAGAAAGAATAGCGTGTGCAGAAGACACTGCTTAGGGATCCAGGTGGGGAAGTATCATTAGGTGAGATGGAGAAGCTAGAAAGAATAAAATTGTGAAGGATCTTGTAAATCTTGGAAATGAATTTAGACTTTACACATAGGCCTTCGGGAACCATTAAAGTGCTTTTGGACAGGGATGTAACATGATAGCATTTGTGTTTTAGAAAGATCATTCTGGTGGCATTGTGGAGAATGCACTAGAAGTCTAGGAGAACAGAAACCAATGAAGAGTCAATTCTAGACAAATGAAAAGATAGAAGCAATGGGATGTACTGACAGGTTCAAAGGAGAGGATGATGGAGACGGGGCCGTCTAGGAAGACTCCCAGGCTTAAAACACAAGTGCCTGAGAAGAACATGAAAAAAAATAGCAATAACAATAATAATAGTTGTAAATCTTTTTTTTTCTTTTTTTTTTTTTTTTTGGAGATACAGTTTCATTCTTGTCACCCAGGCTGGAGTGCAGTGGTGTGATCTCAGCTCACTGCAACCTCCGCCTCCTAGGTTCAAGCAATTCTCCTGCCTCAGCCTTCCGAGTAGCTGGGATTACAGGCACACAGCACCATGCCCAGATAATTTTTGTATTTTTACTAGAGAAATGGTTTCACCTGTTGGCTGGGCTCATCTTGAACTCCTGACCTCAAGTGATCTGACCACCTTGGCCTCCCAGATTGCTGGGATTACAGACGTGAGCCACTGCGCCCGGCCTAATTACTGGACTCTTGTCAGGCGCAAGGGGTTTGGCTACATGCTTTATATAGGTTATCTCATTCAGTAATCGTAATAATATTAGTAATATTATTATCCTCACTGCAGGCAGGAAAACAAGAAAATTTGAAAGTTAAGTAACATGCCCAAAGTCACATGGCTTGTAAATGGTAGTGCTTACATTGGAAGCCAGGTACTCCAAGCTCTAAACCTATGCTCCGCAGGAAATTCAGCAGGAGAAGTCAAGGCAAAGTATCTTAAGTTCAATTTTAGACTACTGAATTTAAAATGCCTATATTTTACGAAGGTCAAAATATCTAGCAGGGAGTTGGACAGCTGGATTGGAACTGGTGTGTGGTGGACGTGTGATCTGGGATTAGTGAATTGGTGGTAGTGAAGAAGGTAAGTGTCATGTGAGCACATCCCTAGAGACCCGGAATGGAACTGGGAAGAACCACATCCAACGGGCAAGCATGTTAAGACAAATTTGGGAAGATGATGAAAAGGAGCAGCTAGGGAGGTGGGAAGAACTAGGGGAGTCACAGGTGCAGTTTGAAGATCTGATGGAATGACCACTGAGATTAAATGCCTCAAGGAGATGAAGGAAGATTTAAAATGAGGATTGCCTTGGATTTGGCAATTAGGTGGTTGATGCATAGTCATTAAAGTTAGGCTAGAGTGGGCTACAAATGTAATGAAAAGTGAGAAAATGGAGAATATGGACTCAGGCTTCTTTTCAAAGAAGCCTGGCTGAGAAAGGAAGTGGGAGAGAGAGAAAGCAGAGGCAGCCTCAAGGTCAGGGGAATGGCTGTTTGTTTATAATGATAGTGACTTGAAATGCTTGGATATTGAGGAGAAAGAGCCTGGAGCAGTGGGAATTACACCAGGATGTTTATCCCACTAGATAGGGAAGTAGGAATCCCTCTAGCCATCAGGAGGAGAACATGGATTCTTAGAGAAAAAACAGGTTTCTACAGTTTTAATTTAGCAGCCCCCTTGTATTGCATAAAATCAGTCCAGATTGGTGAAGTGACTTGTCTCTGGCCACCTAGCTAGCCAGTCTGTGACCCCAGATCTCCTGGTTCCTGGCCTCTTTCCTCTCTTGCTGCCAGTGTCGGTGGGAGAAGAATCATCCCTGATTTGTTCCTCATGGTGTGAGTCTCCACTGCTCCTGTCAGGCCCTTCCTTGCTCCTTCAGAATGCACATTTCACAGATTCTGATGTGTCAGCAGGGCTTCAGCTGTGTGGAAGGTGAGTCACAGAGCTGCTTCATTTCCTCCACATGCCATGGGGCAGAGTTTTAGACGGTTAATTATAAAGTGTCAGTAACATAACAGTGCTAGAAGCCTCTTCCTCTAACCTGGGAACCCACATTCCTAGAAGGAGGAAGGGTCTCAGAGTTGGGGCCTTTCAGCAATCTCCTCATGGCCCACAGCGAGAGAGGATGTATTTATTTGTTCAGATGTGACACCTGCACACAGAAGCTGCATGCATGTGGTGGAGGGTGGGGTAGCAGTACCGATTCCTTAAATGAAAAAGCCTCTGCTCCTTGAAAACACCACATCAGCCAAGAGTTACTTGGTGAGCCTGGAGGCAAGGAGCACCCATGCTTTTCAGAAGGGCCCAGAGTAGCCTGCCCCAGCTCTACTTCGGGGTCTCCTGGAATCTGTATATATAGTGATGATTAATAATCTAGTCTTCTTACCACACATGGAAGGTGAAAGAAGGCCTGCAATTCAGTGGAGATGACCTTCTTATATTCCAAAGCTTGTGGTGTCAGCCAAGCTGTCATACCATTCTGATTAAATACTGACGGTGATCATTAAGATCTAAAGCCCTGCCCAGAACACACTGCTTAGAATCTAGGCACATGAATGCTATATAAACCTAAACCTCCCTTTTATAATTGATCTTCAATTACAACCCTCCTTGTCTTGATAGGCTCCAAGGTATAGCAATCAAGTTGCTTCTCTTTGCCCTCTCTCAACTTACCTAAACCCACTGCTCCTTTTTTGTTTAGTCTCTTGGGGCTTTCATGACCCATAGTTGGTAAATGGATAATTCCTGTGACACCAGGTGCCATCATTCTCATTGACTACAGTAAGAGCAGTGCCCCTGAAATGTCATAGACTACAGAGTGAATGGTGCTCTTTGTGCCACAGGTCTAGTTCCACCCCCTCTTCTTCCTTTAGTTACAGCATTCTCAGCAGAAAAAGTCCATGCTCTTGGGAAGTGGAAGCCCCAGGGGCCCATCCCCCCTGGGTCTGCTGCCCTCTCTTGTTTGTTTAGTGGTACTAAATCAATCTAAATTAAACTGGAGTCCAAAATGCTAACCTTGCGCTAAGAGATTCAGCGGGGATGTGGTGATTCAGGACACATGGTTCATTCTTCTGCTTATTCCTTTATTCACAGTTGATTTACAGTTGTCTTAGGAATTGACAACTGTGAGATATACTTGACCTAAGGGACTGAAAAAAAAAATCTTCCCTATTTTCTAAAAAATTAGGGGGACTTAACTAGCCCAAGGATGGGAGGCAGAAAGGGCCACCATAGAGGGAAAGGAGGAGCGAGGCTTGGTAGGTGGCATGACATGACATATTCCAGGGCTGAAAACAGAGACAGAGTGTTAGAAGCACAAGAGGGATAGAGGCCCAAGGTGAGACAGGACTCCTTGTGAGAGGGGGCAGGACTCAGAACCTGAAAAACCTTGAAGGCCACATTTAAAAGATTTGGGCTCCATCCCAGGAGTAATAGAAGGTTACTGGAGGATTATGAGATGCCATGATTAGGTTTATATTCTGAAAAGATCATTCTTGTTGTATCTAGAAAACTAATGGGAAACAAACAGGCAGACAGAGAGGTGGGTAAACCGTCAGAAGAATGTGGTATGAGGAAAAGCAAGGAAAGGCAGTGTTTTGAAAAGCTGTGAACTGTCAACTGCTTCTAAAGCTACTGAGCAGTCAAATGAAATAGGACTGGAAAATGTCCGTTGCCTTTAGGTACTTGTAGGTCATCAGTCTCTACTGACAGAGGAACTAGAACACAGAAAGTAGAAGAATGAGCAGGAGGTGAGGAAATTATAGCAGTAGAGCAAAGTTTCTTTCAGTGCCAGTGAAGAGCAGTGAAGACCCAGGTGATAGCTTGAGTGGGATCAGGGCTACAGGAGGTATTTTCCTTTTGTGTGTGTGATGAGGGAGACATGGACAAATTTCAGCGCTGATGGACAGTACTTAAATGGTTAAGAGTTACAGAAAATACCAGAAAGAGAGAAATATAATCAACGTCTTTTTATTCCAGAAAAGAGTGAAGGGATTGGATTTAAAGCAATCCAATTGCTTTAAATTGGGGCTGGGCACAGTGGCTCACGCCTGTAATCCCAGCATTTAGGGAGGCCGAGGTGGACAGATCACTTGAGGTCAGGAGTTTGAGACCAGCCTGGCCAACATGATGAAACCCCACCTCTTCTAAAAGTATAAAAATTAGCTGGACGTGGTGGTGCACGCCTGTAATACCAGCTACTTTGGAGGCTGAGGCAGGAGAATTGCTTGAACCTGGGAGGTGGAGATTGCAGTGAGCCAAGGTTGCACCACTGCACTCCACCCTGGGCAACAGAGCAAGACACTGTCAAAAAAAAAAAATAAGCACATGGGAAAGAGTTGATGTATTTGGCAATGGGAAAGGAGAAAACTGAGGAAGCTCCCATGTTACAGCTTTCATATTCTATGTGAAGTAGCTGTGGGGCAGGAGGGAGGAATGTAAGTAGCAGAGTGTGGAGACATAGCAGATCAGGGCCTTGAGGAAAGTGGGAAATTTACATTTATGGATTTGGGGAGTGGTCTAATTTAATTGAGAAACATAGGATCTCCATGGAGTTTTTGATGCTATTTGTAGTTGATGACAAAGAATTCTGTTACATTACTAGCGAGTTGTCCTAGAGTGTGCTTGTCTCAACTAGTGCTCAGCTGCTCTGGAGAAGGTGCAGAAGGTGAGTGGCAGAGTTCATCCAAGGTTACGACTTTGCAAGAAAAGCTGACAAGGACACAGAGGATGGGGCAGTCAGGAGCACAGGCAGAATAATGGACATGATTGACCATTGACAACCTAAGATGGATAAAGAGGTATGTCAAGATCAGAGAAGACTGACTAGCAGAAAAGAACAGTTAGTGGGCTGAAGGTCCTGATGAGAAAGTAGAGCAGTATGAGCAAGCTGGAAGAATAAGAGGTTAGCATCAGAGCACACAATGCATTGCTTTATGATTTTGAGGCTGAAGTCTCCATATGGAACCATGGGCTGAGGCTAGTAAAGTCTTCGTAAAGCTAGAGGAAATGACTGGGAAACTATCAGGTAAAAGAGAGGAGGAAGGGCAGGACTTCGACCAAAGACTTTTTGTAAGATCATGGAGGCCAAAGGTCTGGAAGAGTCATCGGGAAACTAAAAGGAACCAACTCCACATTCAGATCCTGAGGCAGGTGGAGTAGGAGAGTCTAAGCAGATACTCTTTGTATAGTGGCATCTTGGGATGAGAGCTAGAGGATAGCTTTCAAATCAACATGGTATCTCTCTGGGTTCTTTGGGCTAGCGATAAAGTAGGTCTACCCCATTTCTACATTCTAATTTCCTTTGAACTATCTAGTTTTCAGGGAGACAAAGACTATATACCACTTTCTCTATCTGGGATTCATTAATTTCAAATTTGGCTACTATGCTATAACCATAACAAGAACTTGTGGCCAGATATGATGGCTCATGGCTGTAATCCCAACACATTGGGAGGCCCAGGTGAGAGAATCACTTGAAGCCAGAAATTTGAGACCAGCCTAGGCGACATAGTGAGACCTCACCTCTACTAAAAATACAAAATAAATTTTCTTTTAAAGTTTAAAAATTTGCATTAACCTTCCCTATAAATTCCCCTGCCTAAAGAACTCTCCTTCAATATTTCTTTTAGTTTGCATCTGGAACAACAAATCTGAGTTTTTATTTGTCTAAAACATCCTTATTTTGCCTTCATTTTTGAAGAATATTTTTACAGGTTGTAGAATTCTAGGCTGGAAATTTATTTTCTTTCAGCAACTTAAAAATGTCATTCTATGGTCTGCTGGCTTCCATTGTTTCTACTGATAAGTCAGCTGTCCATATTTTTCTTGCTTTTTGGAAGGTAATGTATCTTAGTGTGTAATATTTTTTAAAATTTTCCTTGTTTCAGCATTTTTACTATGATGTGTCTAACTTTATTTCCTTGTATTTAGAACTTCTTAGAATTTCTTGAATGTGTGGCTTATAATCATATCAGTTTTGAAAATGTGTGCAGCCATTATCTTGTCAAATATTGCTTTAGTCCATTTCTCTCTCTGCAGTCTCAGGGACTCCAGTATGTTAATTCTTTCACAAAATTCTGTGTCTCTTACTCTCTTGTCTGTTTCTTTCAAACTTTTTGCTCTCCATATTTCTGTCTGATAATTTCTATTTGTTTGTCTTCTTACTCACTAATCTTCTCTTTACCTCTGACAAATATGTTGCTAAACACATCTATTAAGAAGATGTGTTATTTATTGTGCTTTTTTGTTGTTGATTTTTTTTTTTTTTTTGAGATGGAGTCTCGCTTTGTCGCCTAGGCTGGAGTTCAGTGGTGCAGTCTTGGCTCACTGCAACCTCTGCCTCCCAGGTTCAAGTAATTCTCCTGCCTCAGCCTCCTGAGTAGCTGGGATTAGAGGTGTGCACCACCATGCCTGGCTAATTGTTGTATTTTTAGTAGAGACAGGGTTTCACCATGTTGGTCAGGCTGGTCTCAAACTCCTGACCTCATGATCCCCCCGCCTCGGCCTCCCAAAGTATTACAGGCGTGAGCCACCATGCCCAGCCTTGTTGTTGAATTTTTATTAAATTCTTTTTTATAGATTCCAGTTTTCTGGTGAAATTCTCCATGTTGTCATCTTTTTTTCTTGCACAAAAAAAGCACAGTTATTTTCAAAACATATGTTTGGTAACTCTAATATCTGGGTTACCTGTGGGCCTATTTCTATTGTGGTTTTTTCTCTCTCTCTTAGCTGCAGTTTTTGGAATTTCTGATAATTTCTACTTGAATGTTGGGCAATGTATGTAAATAATTGTAGTCTCTGGATGATGTTATCTTTTTCTAAAGAAGTGTAATCTTATCTTTTCTGGCAAGCAGCTAGAGTGGGAGATTATATCCATTCAGTCTGGGACTTAGCTTATTGGATTGGATTGGAACTTTTGTAAAACATGGTTTACCTCACATTTTTCTCCTCTTCTAGAGTGTAGCTTGTCAGAGGCCCAAATGATAGCCTTTGGTTATTTACTGGAACTCTTCCTTCTTGGTGGGACCTAAACTTGTGACTGCCAGAAATTTGACTTTTCTTTATAGCTATACTCTCATTTTTATAGAGCCTTAAGCTGTATGAAATTAGCAAATATAAAATTATAAAAATATAACAATATATAATATAAATATAACAATATATTATGTATAATAATATAAGTATAAATATTATATAAAATCATCAAGTCTCCATAAGGTAAAATCAAATGCTGAGTATGGGACTAAGCTCCATGTACCTCCCTTCTCCCAAGTATCCTGTCACTCACGCCCTGGTTGTTCTGGCAGCTCTGAACTCCCATTAAGAGCTTTCCTCATCATATTTAGTATTTAACATTAGGAATGTATGGGAGAAGTTCATATAAAATACCAAAAACTGAATAAACATAGCTAGTCAGGCATCCTGGCTCTCTGACTGTGTCACAAACAGGAATGACTTCATGTAGGAATGTTCTTTACCCTAAGCTTGCGTGTGAGGAAGATGGTTTCCTCTTTTTTGGAGGCCTGTACATCTGTGAAGGTGTGCCTTATCCTCTAAGAATGCCCCTGTCATTGTTTGGATGGTATACATAAACAGTTTAGCAAATAGTTGTACAAGATGAAGGAATGAACATTGCTTTTTTTTTTTCCACCTTTTTGCCAGACAAGACGTAACCAGAATAGACATGATGATATTCGTTAAAATTTACTAAAGATTTACTGCGGAGCAGGCTCTGTGTTAGATGCCTCATACTGATTATCTCATTTAATCCTAAACAGAGCCTATGAAGTAATAAAGATAATTATTCCCATTTTACATTTGATGAAACTGAGGCTTAAAGAGATAAAGTCAATTTAAACAGGGCCCAAGAGCCAGGAAGTAAATGGCACAAGCAAGTTTGAACTCAGATTTTTCTAATCTCAAGATCCATGTTTTTTTCCAACATTTCATCCTGCTACTTGGCCTGCCCTTTTTCAGCATAACTAGTATCATGATTTCACTGACCCCTGGACTCCTGATATATCTTCTTATGTAAAGTCAGAGCTAAGTAGTCTGAGGGGTTTACATGCAAAGACATCCCCTTCCTGGTACATTGCTTTCAGGTATTTCCAGATTCTTCCCTCCCCCACCCAGCTTTTGCAATATGTATCACATTAAATGCCTCCATTTATAACTACTATGGCAAGTCTGAATGTAATTTTTTTTTTTTTTTTTTTCAGAAATACAGCTTTATGCAGAGACAGGAAGCAGTTAGTGGTAGGGCTTTATTTTGGGAGGATTAGAGTGGTAGGGGGTGGGGCATGGGGAGAAATTGCTTTCTGCAGTGTCAGATGAATGAGTTATAGGAAATGATAGCTCAGCCAGCAGCTTGGTGCTTGCTAGTGAGTCAGCAGTGATTCCATCCTCAGCCCCAGTGCTGGGATCACAGCTGAGAGACACTCTTCCTGGTGAGGGCTCCTCCCCGCCCTGCTGTCTGGGACATGGATGTTCTGCTTACCTGATGTGAACCATTCAGTTACCTGTCATGGAGGAGAAAGAGACACAGAACGATCTTTTTGTTTTAATGCAGATGTTTCTACACTTCTTTGGGATTAATTGGTATTTCTAATTATTTTTCCTGATATCCAGCAGAAAGATTCGGTGATTTTCTATCTAGAGGATGATATTTGGGACTGGTGTCAAAGCAGGATCTAGTTCTTAAGGCAACATTTTATACTTTTATACTACTTCAACTTTAGAAGGTCTTTGTAAGTGATCAGAATAGTATGGAAAAGCAAGACAAGAAGACACTGCTTCAGAAGAAGAGGTAAACACGAAACCATCTTGTCAGCACAATGGAAACCATGTAGCTGTAGTAAAAAACTAGAACCAAATCATTGCGGTTGTTGAGGTAGGATAGTAGGATTGTTGGTGATTGCTTTTTTGTTTTGTTTTGTTATGTTACTTTATTTTCCAGGTCCAATACATAGGAACAAGTTGTAAAATTTATTCTATAAGTAGTCCTTTAGTGCTCTAAAGTAACTAGTTGTGAAAAATAACTGGCCAAATAACCTTAATATTTTAGGATATCTTTTCCCCAGGCCCTTATGAGACTCTTAAAGTCAATCTGGTCATACCCAGGATTCTCCAGTAGGAAATGGGTAGAGAGGTCTAACTTTTCTCAGAATTTCCTATGTGCCAGGCATTTGCTTCCTTTTCGCTCTGAGAAGGTGCTATTATCCATATTTTACAGATAAAGAAACTAATGCTCAAAGAGATTGAAGGAACGTTCCCAGGCCAATTTGCTAATATGTGGTATAATTTCATCCATGCCCAAGTCATACTGACTCCAAAGTCCATACTCTTTTAACTTTAGTACAAAATGATGCCAGCACAGTTTCCATTCCACCTGCTTTTTGTAAGGCAGTTTAAATATGTGAACTTACTGCTGGACTGATCATCCACGAAAAAAACTGCTGCAATATATTATTCTCTTTTTGAAAAACTGGGACTCTAAAACTCACATATACTTGACTTGTACTTTAGTTAGACACATATTTAGAGCATTGGATAGCATGCATATCTGTGTGCTTCACCTGAAGTCCATAAAAAAGGTACAGTAAACACCTGGTTTAGTGGTTGGACTCCCCTGGAATTTGCAGTGACTCTCATGATCTCTCCTAAAGTTCTTAGATATGTAAGACTGAGGATAAAGCTAAATGTTTTGTTGTTCAGAACAGTAGCTGCAAGTGACAGTTTTGGTTGAGGGGGGGGTGTTATTGTTGCAAAGTAGAACACTTACAGCTTCACAAAAATATCCATCTCATTGACCCAACAGGGCCCTAATTCATCTTTTTAATAAGCTAATAACATTTAAAGATCTTTTAAATTTTTTACTGTTACTATAATGCAATTAATGCTGTGTTTTGATAGCTTTATTGAGGTATTGATATGTAATAAACTGCACATATTTAATGTACAATTTGATTAAATTTAACACCTATGAAGCATCACTTCAATAAAAATGATGAATATATCCATTTCCCCAAAAAGTTTTTTGTAATGCTCTATATTTGAAGGACAAAAATCCAGTCATTTATGTTCTCCTTTCCATTTGGTGAAAAGAGCCTGGACAGGGACCCAGATTATGTGAGTCTGGACTCCAATCTTGCCTTAACTAGCTCCACACAATTCAGTGAGTCCTTTAATTTTTTTGGCCCTTGGATTTTCATCTGAAAAATGAGGGGGTTGGACTAGATGGTCCCTAAGGACCCCCACAGCTCTGAAGTTCAATAAAGCTAAAAGGACCGGTGTACTTAGGGTATTGGTTTGTGTCCAAATGGTTTTATGTAAAAACGTAGACTTCCCTGGTGGCCTGGTGTCAGCTGTGCCACTTCATCCCTGCCTTGCTTTGCTTGATTGGTTATCATGAAATCATTGTATTTCTTTTAATTCCCTTTCACCCTGATTCAGGGTCATTCGTGTCATTGTCTCCACGTTGGTCGTAGTAAGCATAGGGAAATACTCGACTTAAGAATTTGGGGCTAATACTTGGGTAATGCTGGGAATTTGGCAACACCATAAGCAAAGAGCTAAGGAGAGATTATGACAGGATCATCAGCCCTCTGGCTATTTTTGAGGCAGCTTGAGCGTTTTATGCGGGGCAGAGACAAGCTGTATTAGATATATTTCAGGACTGGGGGAAGGGAAGAGGATTGGAATTTAATTAAAATTCTTATCCCAACTTTGCCCATCTTCTTGCCAAGTCAGCAGCTAGCATTTCTGCTCATGGTTCTGGTGGCTCTGCTGTGATGACATACAATTACCTCCAAAATTCTCGTGAATTTGCTGAAAACTTCAATAATGCTCAACCAGATGCTTTAATCAGGCCTGGCATGTTGCCATCTTTTGCCTGTGTTTTTGGCGATACCTGATCTACCACTGCCAGCATTCCTGGTGGGAGAGGGGCTTTGGAGGGAGCTGATGGTGAAAACTGAGCTGATTACAAACAAGAAAACCGCTTCATTGCAGCATAGAGATCTTTCCAAACTGCTTCTGTTTTCCAGGTAGCTCAGTGGCATTTCTGAGCAGGGGCCACCCTGACTTCACCTTGGCCCACCATGAGGGTCTTCCTGCTTTGTGCCTACATACTGCTGCTGATGGTTTCCCAGTTGAGGGCAGTCAGCTTTCCTGAAGATGATGAACCCCTTAATACTGTCGACTATCACTGTAAGTCGTCTCAAGAACAGTCTTCTATTCTGAGAAGGAAGCTTTTCTGTTTTTCATTCTGTAAGCATGTTCATTTTCAGAAAGAGGCAGAGATTTTTTATGTCTTAACCTTGAATTTGCATCTGAGTTTATCAGTAATCATTTCCTAGTGTTTGGAGAAAACGGGGCAGTTTTGTTGGGTGCTTTTCTACAGCAACCTGTATATAGGTTATATATTTTGAGTTAAAAAGACCATTTGCTGACATTCACTGCCTTTTATTCATTTATATTCAAGACCTTAAGAGAGGAATTTAGTTAAAACCCTTCTACAACAAGTATATACAGCTAATCAATGCTGTTTATTGATCCCTCAGCTCCATAATCCTGAATGATGGTTTAGCCCATTTTTACTTGCAGATTCAAGGCAATATCCGGTTTTTAGAGGACGCCCTTCAGGCAATGAATCGCAGCACAGGCTGGACTTTCAGCTGATGTTGAAAATTCGAGACACACTTTATATTGCTGGCAGGTAATTTTCCTCTCATTGGTTTATTAGATTAAAATTCTTTTCTCTTGTGGTGCTTGCATTAGTGTGTCTAGTTCATGAAAAACTAATATGTGATTGTGATCAAAAATTGCAAGTAGCCAGAAATATTCACTGAGAAGAGTCAGTGTTGTGTACCGGGAACAAAATACAGAGCTCAAGCTTTCAGCGGTGCTATTTTATTACTGCCATCAAGAAATCATACACCATTCTTTTTTCCTAAAGCAGCAGGGGAAAAAAAAAAACCTTTCTTTATGCGTTTTTAACTTAGAATTATTCAAGCAAATATTAGAAATATGTCTATGCTAATACCAAGTAGCAGTTTGACCCATGCCTGGAGAGAAGAGCTTTCTTTGCTCTCTGACTACAGTGATATATAAAAGCATCTCACTAATGAAAAAGTACTCTTTGTTGACTTTGTTTGAGACAGAGAAAATCCAGATGATCTCTAAAACACAATAAAGGCAGATCTGTAAAAATAAAAAAGGAAGCAGCTTAACATTTTTATGTATTCACGTGATATGTTTTATTGCCTTATTTCCAACAGGGATCAAGTTTATACAGTAAACTTAAATGAAATGCCCAAAACAGAAGTAATACCCAACAAGGTGAGCAACTGTAGTTGGCAAATTTATTTACCTTCCCTCTGAACCTGATTAATTTTCCCACTGCCTCCCCAAAAATGTTCGCAGTTAAAAACTGCTTTGGTTTTGCTTGATTAATACAGAAACTGACATGGCGATCAAGACAACAGGATCGAGAAAACTGTGCTATGAAAGGCAAGCATAAAGTGAGTGAAACAGAAAAATGTCTGCTAGATTTAGTCTTTCTGTGGGCTTGATACCACAGTGCCAGCATGTTCAAATGTCTAATATTAATGTAACTACTACTTTCTTTAGGATGAATGCCACAACTTTATCAAAGTATTTGTTCCAAGAAACGATGAGATGGTTTTTGTTTGTGGTACCAATGCATTCAATCCCATGTGTAGATACTACAGGGTAAGTATATTTTATGTGATATGCTTCTTTTGATCAACTTTTCTCCCTTCACTGATATGCTGTTAGAGTTGAAATCTTTCTGCTTTCCAGTAATTTGTTTTATCTCTAGTGCAATGAAAGAATAAAGACAGAATTCTTCAAATGGAATTTTAATACAAATAAAATAGTATTGCCTTCAAACGGGCACGTTGAATAGATATGACACTGGCTATTTACTTTTCTTTTGTAGTTGAGTACCTTAGAATATGATGGGGAAGAAATTAGTGGCCTGGCAAGATGCCCATTTGATGCCAGACAAACCAATGTTGCCCTCTTTGCTGGTAAGATCCTTTAGCGTAATGAATATAAATGATTAATGACATTGAAGGTGAAAAAGGAATTTAATGGAAGAGTAAAAGTTAATAACTTGGATACCCACCTTGATCTAAGTGTTCGAAAGGCTAGAATCTATGCACAAATTTCCAAAAAAAGAAGAAATTAAGGGCAAGGATATTTCAGTGCACACTATAAGTATTATGACACCGTGTTGTTAACTAGGCCAGTGGCCCCCGATAAGTTGCTTAAGTTTTTGATGCCTAGATCCCTGTAAAATTAGATAATATCATGGCTGACCTGTCACATGTTGATGGTGAGAATCAGGTGTAGCCCTATTTGTATAGATAATGGTAATACCAGTGAGAGCGCTCCAAAGGGCATAACACGCTGCCAAAGCTAACACACTGCAGGATAATTATGGTTATCTTACCAAAATTATACCTTTGGTTTCAGATGGGAAGCTGTATTCTGCCACAGTGGCTGACTTCTTGGCCAGCGATGCCGTTATTTATCGAAGCATGGGTGATGGATCTGCCCTTCGCACAATAAAATATGATTCCAAATGGATAAAAGGTACCTTTGAAGAGCAGTGTCGTGGGGTCACCAGGATAGTGGATGGCCCAAGTGGGGACAGCAGCCACGGCCATCAAGAGGTTCAGCGCATGACTTTATATTGTTTATTTAGAACAAGTACACACTGCTTTGATTGTGAACAGGAGCATTGACAGGGAATGAGGAGGCTGGTAGCCATGTCAGAAGAGTAAGTTCATCCAGGTGTTTATCCTAGGTGACCTCAAAAAAAAAAGGGGAGATTTCATCTCTGTGTGTGCCAATTTGTCTAACTTTCTAAATGCACATAATACTACTTGCCATCTACCCATCTTGGAAAGTTACCAGAGAGAATCGATTAGTCCGTATGAGAGCCATTTTGTTCTTCAGAGTCTAGAAATCAAGATTTTTTATTTTCAGTGTAAGAGGTTTTCTTCCCTAGTTAAATAGGTTAATGAATAAATCTGTTGAAACAAAGACCTTTGCTGTAGTTCAGTTCCCTGTAGGTCTTTTTACAGTCCATTAGCTGACTTTAGAGATGACTGGTTCCCTGAAGCTTGAACACACCCATATTGGGACTCCTCAAAGTCATTGGCAGATTGGAGTTCTTGTTGGCTTGAATGTAATTGTGCAACATCTGTCAGTCATGCTTTGCAGTCGGGGTCTTATGCTAATTGAATTATCCTTTAGGAACCAGTTTGTTTTTAATTTTTCTTTCAGAGCCACACTTTCTTCATGCCATAGAATATGGAAACTATGTCTATTTCTTCTTTCGAGAAATCGCTGTCGAACATAATAATTTAGGCAAGGCAAGTATATGCATTTGGCTTGAATTGTGGACTTGTACTGCATGAAATTGAGACCACTGTGATAGAGTTAAGGATGCTCACTTGGCATGTTTTCCAGCTCTCAATTCAGTATACATAGGGCCAACTGCAGAGAGGTGGGTTGCTTATCATGAGAATAATTGCTGGAAAACATCTGAACAATAACCTGAGTGGGAACAGCAGCCTTGAGTTTTGAGAAGGTATCGTTTTTTTTCCTGCAGCCACAGAGAGTGTTCTACAGGTACCCTTGAGCTACGGATGCTTTTTTTACTCTTTAGAAAACCACTGATAGTCTATTCTTTCTCAGCGTCAAAAGACAGGATAGAAAGTAGCGACCCCATTCAATTTTTAGTGTTTCAGTGAAAGCCCATGTGATTTTAAAGTATTGCAACCCCTTCTATGCCAAGTTGAAAGATGACATGTTTC
The DNA here is from genome assembly GCF_000001405.40 of Homo sapiens. NCBI lineage: Eukaryota > Metazoa > Chordata > Mammalia > Primates > Hominidae > Homo > Homo sapiens. The sequence continues at coordinate 47,763,549 of NC_000015.10, forward strand.
ATTAACAATACAGGAAGCAAAGTTGGAGACCAAGTGCAGGGATGGTTTTCATTCAGCAAGGCAGATAGACAGCTCACTTCTTGGGAAGGATGCTTAGCAAAATAGGAAAGTGGCTCTTTTTTCCCCACAGGTGAATCTAGTTTACCTTCTTACTGAACAGATCCCTAGAGAGAAGACTGCTAGATTTTTTTGAACCAGATGTATCTTTAGTATTTTTTGTCCCTCCCTTAAACAGTATCATTTTGTTTCCATTCCTTTCCATGCTCATAACCCCATTGCTTTGCTTCTATCCGTTGGGCAGGCTGTGTATTCCCGCGTGGCCCGCATATGTAAAAACGACATGGGTGGTTCCCAGCGGGTCCTGGAGAAACACTGGACTTCATTTCTAAAGGCTCGGCTGAACTGTTCTGTCCCTGGAGATTCGTTTTTCTACTTTGATGTTCTGCAGTCTATTACAGACATAATACAAATCAATGGCATCCCCACTGTGGTCGGGGTGTTTACCACGCAGCTCAATAGGTGAGAGCAGAACCCCGGCACTGCAAAGATATTCTCTGCATGCCTGTCAGAACCAAGACAGGCTTCATGTCGCCAGCCTCTTCCTGATGATTTTCTTCCTTTTCAGCATCCCTGGTTCTGCTGTCTGTGCATTTAGCATGGATGACATTGAAAAAGTATTCAAAGGACGGTTTAAGGAACAGAAAACTCCAGATTCTGTTTGGACAGCAGTTCCCGAAGACAAAGTGCCAAAGCCAAGGTAAATAAAAAAGTAGAAAAGGGTTTTGTCTTGAACAAAACCTTCCGGTCATTGGAAGCATCCCTCCTCAGGGAGCAGCTTGGCCAACCTCCCACACCAGGAAGGGGTCCCTCTCTCAGACAGAGCCAGCAGACATAGCCTTGTGACCTGCAAGCCCATGAGTGTGAATGGAGAACCCATTGAATTCAGGGGCATAGCATTGCTCCTTTAGTTTCACTCACTCTCCTTCCTCACTTGACCTCTTCTCTGAGAATATACACTTATTCCTTAGATACAGTACATGGTGTGGCAGGGGCAGCCGAGAGCATAAAATAACGCTGTTTTCCTTTCAGGCCTGGCTGTTGTGCAAAACACGGCCTTGCCGAAGCTTATAAAACCTCCATCGATTTCCCGGATGAAACTCTGTCATTCATCAAATCTCATCCCCTGATGGACTCTGCCGTTCCACCCATTGCCGATGAGCCCTGGTTCACAAAGACTCGGGTCAGGTGAGATTGTGTGTGAAACACTCCTTCCTATTCAACGTTTTCTCTGCCCGTTGGCCTCCCCTTCTGATCTGTGCCGCCTCCTCTTGTAGGTACAGACTGACGGCCATCTCAGTGGACCATTCAGCCGGACCCTACCAGAACTACACAGTCATCTTTGTTGGCTCTGAAGCTGGCATGGTACTTAAAGTTCTGGCAAAGACCAGTCCTTTCTCTTTGAACGACAGCGTATTACTGGAAGAGATTGAAGCCTACAACCATGCAAAGTAGGTATATGTTACGAGAACGCCCTTCAGCACTGCTCAAAAATTTTCGGCATGTATTTCATCTAGTCATGTCCTTTTGGTCCTCTAAATTAGCAGTGGTTTGGCATAATAGTGTTTTGTGTTTTTTTTCTCATTGAAATAAATCTTGGGTTTGTTTTTTTCCCGAGCCTGCTAGGGCGAGGGGGGTGAATGGTTGATGAGTTTAAAAATAATGCAGCCCTTGTTTTTCACCTGTAGAATATGAGAACATTTTAACAGCACCTCTCTTATCTTGCAGATATATTCCAAGATGCTACATGCAGCAGACAGCTGTGAGCTTGCATACACACACACACAAATATACATGCACATACATACACAGAATGCAGTACTAGTTAAGTATTTCCTTCCTATCTTTAATAAGTAAGAGAATATTTAGACCATTAAAAAAAAAAACAAATAAGAAATAGAAGAGAGAAATGGAGCCAAGGGGACTAAGGAGAGAACCAGAACCATCTAACACAGGAAAATTTATATGCATTAAAGCACGATCCTTTTTATTTCTATAGTCAAATGTGGCCTTCGCAAATGCAATTCACTTCTATCATCATAACAGGAAAGCAATGTTTAAAAACCCTTTGTCCAGCCTGAAATTTAACCAACCATGCAGAGAAGTAGAAGATGAATCACATAATTATTATTTCCCAAGCTATGTACTTGCCTGGTTTGTTACCAAGAATATTCCTTATGATTTCCCAGGTCTCAGTAATTGCTAAAGCAAACCACACTTGACTGACTAAACATATGGCTTCAAAATGTATCCCACAAAATAGGTGCAGTGCTGAGAATGAGGAAGACAAAAAGGTCATCTCATTACAGTTGGATAAAGATCACCACGCTTTATATGTGGCGTTCTCTAGCTGCATTATCCGCATCCCCCTCAGTCGCTGTGAGCGTTATGGATCATGTAAAAAGTAAGCTCGTGTTTCTTTACTTACCCTGGGTCTTGCAGTATCGAAACCTTTGTTGATGAGAAAATCCAAGTTACATTCTGTTTGGTTTTACACAGGTCTTGTATTGCATCTCGTGACCCGTATTGTGGCTGGTTAAGCCAGGGATCCTGTGGTAGAGTGACCCCAGGGATGCTGTAAGTATACTTTGTCACATGAGCTAGGATGAACTATCCTCTCCAGGGTCTCTAAAGCTAGAAATTGCAGAAAACTTCCAATTATACTACTTTTCTTTTTTTTTGTTGTTATGGGAGAAACAGGAAAACGAAAACCAGGAGACGTGACAAGGAAGGGAATAATAATACTTAAGGGAAATGGTAGACCTAATAATACTTAAGGGAAATGGATGGAGAGAAAAAACCAATTCTCTTCTGTTCTCTTAAGCATTCTAGTTCACCAGTTTTTAACAGAAATAGTCATTTTAGCAAGTTATGTTAAAATGTTGTTTTTTTTTTTTCTCTCTCTGCCCATTCTTACTAATCAGTCTGTGTTCTTGGTTCTGCTCTGGTTGTCACTTGTGTTCCTATGAAGGCTGTTAACCGAAGACTTCTTTGCTTTCCATAACCACAGTGCTGAAGGATATGAACAAGACACAGAATTCGGCAACACAGCTCATCTAGGGGACTGCCATGGTAAGACAGAATCTTCCATTCCCACCTGGAGCTTCTTTTTGACCACATTTGCACGTCGACATTATTTTACAATCAGTCTTTTTAATGACTCAGGACACATACCACCTAGCATTTAACTTAAACTTCGCAAAAGCTGAGCTGTTCGGTCATGGGGATACATTAGAAAAGAGGCTTACTTTTTTTTTCCTTCACCATTTACAATTTTGTAGGAAATCTAGAGAGAGGTAGTCTAACCAGTAGGTTAATATTTTTAATTTATAGTCTTTTTTTTTTTTACTTTTTTAGTTAATTGGAATTCATAAATTTTTGCTTTCTTTTGGTTACTTTTCACTGATTACTTGTTCCTTTAATTCTTTTAGAAATTTTGCCTACTTCAACTACACCAGATTACAAAATATTTGGCGGTCCAACATCTGGTTAGTTTTTTTTAATTTTTTTGAATTAACAACCTTTTCTTTCCTTCAGTTCAGCATTTTCAGCCCCTTCTCCCCTCCTTTTGCGCAGTTTGGCAGCCCTTCATTTTTCCGCTTTGACTCATATTCCCACTGATGGTACCAAAAGACTTTTCTTACTGAGCACTTCACCCTTGTTTATAGCATGTTAACACTTCATCATTGACCAAGCCACATCCTTTAAGAAAATTCAAATGGGCTAACATAGACTGCATTCCAGCTGCACGCACGCCCACCCAAGCTTTCTTCTTTCTCACCTCTTTGCATTGTGAATGTTTCTTCTGGTCATCTGTATTTAATGGATGGCGGAATTTCATTATTTTCCCCATCTCTCCTCACCTTTCCTATGACCTAGTAAACAAATACACATTTCCCATAAATGTGTATTTATAAGTTTTAGAGATCTTTGAATGGTTTGCGCTAATCCTGGGAATCTTTGAATGTTGTGGTCTCAGTGGTGTGAAAAAGGCTTCAGTGGAGTGAAGCTGATTTTTGATGTATTAAGATGTTCAATGGGCTCTCCAAGCCTCTCTGTACCTGTTTGGAGCCTCCTTCTGTTAACTGTTGCACCAGTCAGAATTGTGGTCTCTGAGGTTTTAGCTTAAAAGCGTAGGCTTACATTTTGAGGGAAAATCTATTTGGAGGAAATCAGTACTAGACATGCTAAAAGGTTAAGTTAACTCCCGGTCCTATTGCTGCTTCTAAAACTCACCAGCAATTCCTTTCCTCAGGGGGAGAAAAAGATGGTAGATCTTATGTATCAGAATATCCTCATTCAGTTTGTAAATGCCATTGCCTTTGCATTAGGTTCTGCTTGGAAGAAACTCCCCAGCAGTTTTGGAGAGAGTACAAGCAAAGTCTGTCCCCTCCTTCGTTGTTTTACTGTGGGTGGCAGAGCCTTAGTATAGTGAATAATCTACAAATGGACAGGAGCCCCTGGTAACAACCTCTTAGGCAGAGCTGGTTTGTCACGTCCAAAATCAAGTATTTTCATAGACTTAACCAGATATTTTCCAACAAAGTTCCATCATAGCTTCTTCCCCAGTAAAGCCTATAGATTTTCTAACCATCTGTGAAAGTGCTTTTAAAAATGCATAAAAAAGAAATGAAATGATGTCTCACAAGAGAAGGAAGAAACAGCAACTAATCTGCCCTGGGAATTATATTACCTTTTTCATGAGTGTCATTAGTAACCACAGGGGCTTTCCTAAGAGCCTTTCGAGTATCTTTAATTTTGAAATCTGCTGAATATGTCTTTACTGTTAATTTTTAGTTTTCATTCTTCCCTTGAAAGGAAGGAATTTGATGTAGCTTCCTCAGGCGTGTTTTTACAAAATCCTAGAGCAAACTTTCTCATAAAATTTACTCAAACTTTATTTAAAAATGCAACAGACCAATCAAAAAAAATCTTGACACTATCCATATTAATAAAAATCTGTTTGCCACCACAGACATGGAGGTATCTTCATCTTCTGTTACCACAATGGCAAGTATCCCAGAAATCACACCTAAAGTGATTGATACCTGGAGACCTAAACTGACAAGCTCTCGGAAATTTGTAGTTCAAGATGATCCAAACACTTCTGATTTTACTGATCCTTTATCGGGTATCCCAAAGGGTAAGGCCTCAGCAGGGACCTCATCTCTAACTGCGTGGAAACCTGATCCTTAATGTCACTGAGGAGTATGTGGTTCTCCAGAGGTGGGCCTCACAGGAGCTTCTGCGGTTGTACCTCCACCGCCCCTTGCCACAGTCTCTCTGGCTTTCTGTGGTTATATCTGAGTGCATTCCTTAAAAGATAAAAGAGGTGGAAAGCTGTTGGAGAAAAGGCTGGTGAAGCAGCCACTCAGACAATCTAATCTGTGTTGATTTCTGTCTGAAGAAGCAGAGAGCCTGCTGGATTTCAGGGAATTTCGAGGGTCACCGCAGCAACATCAAAAAACAAAACTCATTAATTGCAAATATCCTGATATCAGATGTTTTGTCTAGGAGCCTTTCCCAGACTCTTGTTTAGCTTCAATTCAAAATGCAATCTGAAAAGGATATGTGAGATGCTAAGTTGCTTGAATGCCACAAGCAATAAAACATAACAGAGTGCTCGTCCATAACTATCATTTTCAGCCCGTAATAGGAGCAGTTATAAAATAGCTGCCTGTTGAGTTAGCTTATTAAATATATTACTCTAGGAAAAAAAAATCTATTCTTTAGTACTTACTAAACTATGGTATCAGGTTTCCAATCAGTTTTTATGGCAGCACATTGTCATTTATGATTTATATCGGTTGATTTTCATTTTATATGTTTTCGTTGTAACCAATTTTATAATCATTCTTCTTTCTGCTTTGCTTTCTTTAGTAACACCATTTTTTTCTACTTTTCTTTCTCGGTCTTTCACAGTGCCACTGAATTCCATAACATTAATTAAACATTAATTAAAAACAACTAATGTTCAAAGGCCTTAGTACTAACTTAAAGCAACAGAATCTTCAAAATCACTCTGACTTACCTTACTCTGGGATAGCTGTGTTTATAGCATGTAACAGACTTGAATACCTCTTAAACTAACTTTTTTTTATTAATTGTTAGATGTCTGTGGTTGCATTAAAAGGTTAAGTTTAATTTCAGTAATTATAAACTAATTTGCTCTTCTTTTTCTAGGTCTAATTTAAATATTTTCAAATATCTTCAGATAATTTGACAGTTTACTTAACTAATACATAGTATGTTTCCTTAGACTGTCTGGGTTTCTTACATAGTCGGTCATTCAAGAGTGCTTCACCCCAAGATGGAATGAAAAAAAAAATCCAAGCAAACATGAAAGTCTCTATTTATAGCTAACAGTGATCAAGCAGATATTTTTGGTTTGTGAACAAATTATATGTTCATATTAAAGTTAGTATAATTGTATCAGAGTAATTATTTTAGCATATGTTTATGCTAATTATTACATTTTCCTATATCCTAGTAGCTACCTTTTAATCCTGAATTAAGAGAAAATTATGAGACAAAACATATGAGTTTAAAGTTAGCTATTTAGAAAATATACACTTCTAACTATTTTTTAGATAGAAACTCTTACATTTTTAACATGTAACAACTATTTATGAGGGATTGGAGGAAAAGAACAGAAGAATACAGATCAGTGGGAGATTAGAGTTATCCTGGCATTTGCAGCAATCCTGTATGTCTCTGGGGATCCTAGTTTGATTAAAGACAAAATATACAAGGAATTTTGGAGTCTACTTGACCCTCCGAGCTAAGCATATGAACCATATGAAGGTCGTGTTGGCTCACTGAAAGCCATTTGCTATTTATTATTATTTTTAAAAAGCACCTTATTCACATTGTCCCATGTGTCTATTTCAGGTGTACGATGGGAAGTCCAGTCTGGAGAGTCCAACCAGATGGTCCACATGAATGTCCTCATCACCTGTGTCTTTGCTGCTTTTGTTTTGGGGGCATTCATTGCAGGTGTGGCAGTATACTGCTATCGAGACATGTTTGTTCGGAAAAACAGAAAGATCCATAAAGATGCAGAGTCCGCCCAGTCATGCACAGACTCCAGTGGAAGTTTTGCCAAACTGAATGGTCTCTTTGACAGCCCTGTCAAGGAATACCAACAGAATATTGATTCTCCTAAACTGTATAGTAACCTGCTAACCAGTCGGAAAGAGCTACCACCCAATGGAGATACTAAATCCATGGTAATGGACCATCGAGGGCAACCTCCAGAGTTGGCTGCTCTTCCTACTCCTGAGTCTACACCCGTGCTTCACCAGAAGACCCTGCAGGCCATGAAGAGCCACTCAGAAAAGGCCCATGGCCATGGAGCTTCAAGGAAAGAAACCCCTCAGTTTTTTCCGTCTAGTCCGCCACCTCATTCCCCATTAAGTCATGGGCATATCCCCAGTGCCATTGTTCTTCCAAATGCTACCCATGACTACAACACGTCTTTCTCAAACTCCAATGCTCACAAAGCTGAAAAGAAGCTTCAAAACATTGATCACCCTCTCACAAAGTCATCCAGTAAGAGAGATCACCGGCGTTCTGTTGATTCCAGAAATACCCTCAATGATCTCCTGAAGCATCTGAATGACCCAAATAGTAACCCCAAAGCCATCATGGGAGACATCCAGATGGCACACCAGAACTTAATGCTGGATCCCATGGGATCGATGTCTGAGGTCCCACCTAAAGTCCCTAACCGGGAGGCATCGCTATACTCCCCTCCTTCAACTCTCCCCAGAAATAGCCCAACCAAGCGAGTGGATGTCCCCACCACTCCTGGAGTCCCAATGACTTCTCTGGAAAGACAAAGAGGTTATCACAAAAATTCCTCCCAGAGGCACTCTATATCTGCTATGCCTAAAAACTTAAACTCACCAAATGGTGTTTTGTTATCCAGACAGCCTAGTATGAACCGTGGAGGATATATGCCCACCCCCACTGGGGCGAAGGTGGACTATATTCAGGGAACACCAGTGAGTGTTCATCTGCAGCCTTCCCTCTCCAGACAGAGCAGCTACACCAGTAATGGCACTCTTCCTAGGACGGGACTAAAGAGGACGCCGTCCTTAAAACCTGACGTGCCACCAAAGCCTTCCTTTGTTCCTCAAACCCCATCTGTCAGACCACTGAACAAATACACATACTAGGCCTCAAGTGTGCTATTCCCATGTGGCTTTATCCTGTCCGTGTTGTTGAGAGGATGATGTTGTAAGGGTACCTTAAAACAAGAGACTCGCTTGTATTTTAAGAGAACCAAGTGGCCAAAGAAACTCTTTCTAACTTTGGCAACATCAGAACTTGCCACATGTAGCTACTGCAGCAAGGCTTCTGTGTACTTGCCTGAAAACAAAGGAAGGTGCTGGTCATTCCATTTCTTTTGTTTGAAGCTAAAGAGATGTGTAGCTCACAGGGGCTACCTTACCAGTATAAAGAGCTGATAACAGTACTCAGAAGAATCTGTGAACAAATACTTGAAAATGGGTTCAATGTAGACTGCCATTATGTGTGGTCTTCCCATTAAATGTGAACATTTTAATATGTATGCATTCACCTTGCCTCTTGCACAAATGTCAAAAAAAAGATGGTAATATCTCAAAGAAATGAACTTGTAGATTACCAAGCAGTTTGCTAAAAATTCAATCTTTGACCCAAGCTGTAGCATTTTTTTTTCATGTGTGGCATCTTTTTCATGCCACCAACAAACTTGTTGTGTGTGTGCGTGTGTGTGTGTGTGTGTGTGTGTGTGTGTGTGTTCTGTACCCACTAGGATTTGTTTAGGTGCCCATTGCATCTTTTTGTGCTATGGAGTTGTTTACATTAAGCATGACCGAACGAGAGACAATACTATTTCCCACAGGAGTCCATTGGGTTCAGCTTTGAAAGAGGAATAGAATCGAGGCTCCTTTGACCATCAAAATGATGAACTTTACTTATGTGGTACCCAATGCCAGAATGTAAGAGTTGCAAGTGATTTTGTGCTGCTATTCATTAAAACTTGTATTCCAGTCTTGCCAGCTTAAGGAGATCAAGATATTAAGAGGTATCCTTGATTTATTTTCCAGTATTCAGTAGTAAAATTTTCCTGTCCACTGTGAATCAAAGCCTGAGTCACTCTATTTAACCTTGGACACACTAATAAGGTTTTATTTTGATTGTGTTCGTTTCCCCCCCCCCAATAGTAAAATTTCTCCTCCTTTAACTCCTCCTACCCCCCAAGGTAAGAAACAAAAAACAAACAAACAAACAAAAATAGAAGACAAAAGAAAGACATATGAAAGGAATTGTAATTGGCTTAACAGAAACAGTCTGTAAAAACCTAACAGTGGTGCAATCATGTTGTCTGTGTTGTGTTATGTGAGAATTTTCTCCTAAGTCATGCAGGTAATGACAATATACTGTAAATACCACATGTGAGTTTACCTGAATCTGTGCATTTTGTGCCTTATTCATGAGAATGATAGAAGTACTAAAATCTGTCAAGTGTTTTCAGTATAGCACATTATTTACTGAGTGCCAGTTGTAAATGTTTTTCAACCAGCACCTAAAAAGACTCTTTTCAAAAAATCACAGAAACAACCTAGGACAATTATTTGTTACATAATCCGACCTCATAGCAGCATTACATTCTTTGCCGTGATAAACATTCCACTCCTGCTTTCCTAAGGATGAAACAGTGATAATGTGAACTCAAATGAGGTTTCCTGGGTAATGTGACACCTGCAGAAACTATAGAGCGTCATTTATACGTAGTTTGGCAGAAACCACTTACGGCTGATGATGCGCAACCCTGCTGACTGTTTCAGTTAATATGCTGCACACCACACACTTGTTTAGTGAACCAAATCTAGAAAGTACCAAGGCAGAGGTATGCTCCTGCTGTAATCAGGCAAATGAGTTCAACTGGATTTCTTTTGACAATACTGTTGGTACCTATTACTTGGGGGAGGACATGTTGCAGAAGACCAGATCATTTTTATACAGAATGTGAAATACTGATACAGTTATTCTTTTTTTTAAAGAACATTGTTTTATAAAGAACGTGATTTCCAGTGATCTCTGGAAGCGCTAAAGCTAAAATTTCTGTTCTTGAAACACTTCAGCTTTGCAACTAAAATATTACAGATTAATAATAAATTAAACCAACCAATGATAAACACTACTCAGTCCACCAACAACAAACGTGTTTGAATTCACCTTACCAATATTAATCCCAGCGTGTGTAAAACAGAACAGTAACTCTATGTGACCCCAGATAACATTTTGTAACATTGTGCTTCCTTGTAGTTTGTAATGTGAGTTCAATCAGTATTTATGTTGAAATTTCTAACATTAAATCTAGTCTCTATCCTGTTAATTTAATTTTTAAATGCTTTATCCATTTGTGCAAAGGTAAACGCAGATTGTATCTTTTTTAATGGTACGGCATAAAAAGTAACCCTCAAGTGAAGTGTCTCTATACTGTTTTATAGAGTACTTTAACATGAATAGATACCTTGTAAACTTGTATTGTGGATGTGTAAATAATATGTACTTTGGGTTTTTAACACCGCATGTAAAGTCAAAATAAAATATACAAATCATTATATCCTGCCTCTTGATATTGAAGAGGTTTATAACATGTTATATTTTTAAAATATTTTTAAGTCAATCAACACCAGTAATAGTTGCTTTTAAAATCTGCCAAAATATTCTTATCTGGAACAGTTGCTCTCCAGTCATGATTACACTACCATTCTCTCCTTGGAAGGCTGACACTGGAGGTCAGAGCCCCTGAAAAAAATGAGAAACTGTTCAGAAAACCAGTTGAACTGTACTACGTCAACAGTCATATGCTTTAGGCAAACAGTAGTGGTTCACATTGTCCATAGATCTATCTAGTTCAACAGACATTTTTAAAATTCATGATTTGTTTTCCTGCGTGAAATTTTTCACGTAATAGTTCAAAATTATAACTGGCAAACAGGGTTCCCGTGAACATTTCTTGCTATTTGGTATAAGGAGTTTCTCAGTTCCCTTGTTTTAAACAAATAGAATAAATTAGGAGCTCTCTTCCCTAAATATTGAAATGAGAGGTAACAATATGATTCCATGGCTTGCTCTTAGCACGTAATGAGTTGGTGGCTGCTGTCATTGCTTCTCGTGGATGTTGACAGTGGCAGGCCACTTCTGAGAGAGACAACAGGGGTAGGCTGTAGCAATCCCTGCCCTCTTGTTTCTAGCTGCTACTCCTGGCCAAAGCCCATCTGCAGCTCCCATGTGGTCATGTTTTCTCAAGGAGCTTCAGCAGCATCTTTGCTGAACAGCAGAATGGCCATATTCCTGTCTCGAGTCTTATTCTCCTTGATAGTGTCATCTAATTAGGGGTGCTGCATTTCAGTGTCAATTTAGTGGTATCAGAAGTCCTTGTTTATTCCTATCATAGCATGCAATACTCCAGAGACATGAGGAAAAATTTGAAGGAATCTTTTTGTGAGAGAAGAAGACCAGGGGATGGCCTATTTGCCCCATTTCACAGCTCCTGGCACCACAGGTGGTGCCACCAGCCACAGAACCTGACCTTGGCCTTCCAAACTACCCTATCATTGGAAGGAAGTCTGCGTAAGTGCACACCATTATAGTGCTGGAGAAGAGGGTGGAAGGTGTCTCCCATCTTACTGACTTGCAGAAGTCAATTTGTAACTCAGATTTCGAACAAATGGATGAAAGAAGACACAAGGGAAATGCATCTCCAAGCTTGTCTCACTCTGTCGCCCAGGCTGGAGTGCAGTGGCACGATCTCGGCTCCCTGCAACCTCTGTATCCCGGGTTCAAGCAATTCTCCTGCCTCAGCCTCCTGAGTAGCGGGGATTACAGGCACAGGCACTCACCACCATGCCCAGCTAATTTTTGTATTTTTAGTAGAGAAGGGGTTTCACCATGTTGGCCAGGTTGGTCTCGAACTCCTAACCTCAGGTGGTCCACCTACCTCAGCCTTCCAAAGTGCTGGGATTACAGGCATAAGCCACCACACGCAGCCTCTTCCTAGGCTTCTTTAGCATTGCATTATCATTCATTTGCATTGCCTGTTTCCATTAAATTGGTGTTTATTATACCTACTGCCTGTTTACTAGTTTTTCTGAGTTCAACGATTTTTTTCTCTTCTAAAAAATGCACCTTTCTTTTCTCCCTTATAGAAGTTCTTAGCCTTATTCCATCATAGACATTTTTGATAATTTAATGAATGCTATGGACTGAAAGGCGCATTTCCCTTTCCTCTCCAGGACATTTACAGTCCCCTAAAATCACATCTATGAATCCTCAAGATAAATGCTCAGATCCCATTTGAGAGAAGTAGGGTAAGGGAACTTGGGACTTTTTTCAAAGGGAGCCCATAAAACCAGAGAGTAATGGGACAAATACAATAACCAGGACAAGGCACTGTGCTCTGGTTCCAGAAATGCCATCGACTAAGCACTTGGTTACCCTGGGAAGGGGCAACTTTGAAGCCAGATGGAACACTTGAAATGCTGATACAGGCTAAGAAGAAAGGGCATCTCTTCTTCTGCCAGGTAGTGGTATGATGGCCCAGGTGCTGGTCTGGAACCAGGACTCACCTTCCTGCCATCAGAGAGATTTCAACTTTCTCATCTTCTCCCAGCTGGTCTCTCTCATCTCCTTGTCAGAGGACGGCAAAGAACAAAGTGTCCAAAGCAGCCCTAGGTCCAGGTCCAGGGAGCTGAGTTCTAATCCTCACTCCATCACTCATCTAGTGATTAAGGGGCACTCCACCTCTCCTGACTTTGGTAAAGAGATGATTTGACATCCATGTCTCTGACAGTTCTATGGTCTGTGTCAACTCTGCAAATTCTATTATTTTATGAATGCTATGCTTAACTATTGCAAGTTCAATAGCTTGGTTGGTAGTATGTTTATGGATGCATGAGGCCTGCTCCCTGTTAGATATAAGGTATATGTGAGATTAACAAGTAAGTTATGATAAACAGTGCACTTTTAAGTCATTTACCTTGGATCTATTAATATATTTGATGCTTACACTGTTTGCATATATAACATGTGAAACACTTAAATCTCTGCCAGTGTTGCATTTTTTAAATCAAATAGATGTGGTATCATAAACAAAGAGGAATGGACCTATAATAAAATCAATCTTTAATTCTTGGGGGGATGGAGGGTGCAAGGCTGGAGTGGGAGGTAATGACCATTCAAATGGTGAATCAACTAGAATTCATATATAAAGAAAAATAGCATATTGTTAGCCCCTGTCTCATGATATAATTCTTTTTAAAAATTAGATATTGATTACTGGTTGATAAATCTCATTTTAACATGCATTTGAGTACACTTAGCCTCATATGCAGGGTTTAGGTAAAGGAAAGTATGAAAATACAGCATTATATATGCGCTGTTACTTGTGAGAGTTCTTCATTAGTGTGAGATGGACCTACCCAATGCTACTGTAAAGACTGACTTCAGACCAGTTAGAGCAGTGGTAAGAAGGAAGATTTGTCAGTTTCAAGCAGCGCTGTGCAGTGGAATGTTCCATGCTGATGCAGGTTCTAAATCTGTGCTGTCCAACCTAGTAGGTTAGCATATGTGGTTACTGAGTACTTGAAATGTGGCCAGTATTTGTGAGGACTTAACTACACTGGGCAAAGCCATCTACAAGGCCACCCCTCCTCTGGCACTACTGTAAGAGGGTAGGCTATGGCTCCAAATACAGCAATTTCATGAGGTATTTAACTCTGGTTAAAAGATAAAACATGCCTTGTACATTTTGTGTATCTACTCTGGGGCTTCACAGAGAGTTGAACTCACAATTGATCACCCGATCAATCATAGATCTAGTTTGAGGTCTGTTTTCTGATTTAGAAACTGCAATAAGCACATCCATTGACCGCTAAGAAAGCATCAGCGCTTGGCTTATGTGGACAGACTTCTCTTACATTTTCCTGGTGCTTTTGAGCCCTGTTCAGTTAATCCCCAACATGCCTTTTTTTTTCTCTTTTTGAAAGGGATAAGATTGTCATTCCCATTTTCAAGGTACAGAAATTAAGATTAGTGTGAGTGTGACAACTATGGACATATAAATGACAGTCAATTCAAAAATCAGGGCTAATTCACATGTTCTCAACTCATGCCCGACGCACAAGCTAACACCCTCTGTGAGAGGGTTGAAAAGGGAATATCAGTGTTCGATCAGTAAGGATGGCCTCTCTCCAGCACTTCATGTATAATGAAGAGAAACAAAAAAGGTAGAATAATTACAGTATCCAGGAATACGTGCCAAACTTCCAATGAAAAAACGGAACATTCAGTGACATCAGTCACATGCTGAGCCATCATAATGAACATGCCAAATCAATTATTTGAAAAAAGAATCCATGGGCTGAATTGACAAGGTGTAGGCTGAAAGCAACCAAAAGGATGCATTCAGAGATATTACAAGGAACTAACCTGATGTGTCCAAATTGTACCCATCTAGGTTTCTGGGCATCTTGCCAGATCTAAACCTGTGGACTGGCAGAGAGTCTCTGGGGAGAATTTGTTTATTTCTTACTTTGGAATTTCTTCATATTGAGCTGTGGTTGTATATTGGGAGTTAAACACAGTTACGATTTTTCCACTGCTCCCTGTGGTTGGGAGATCTTTAGGAGTTGGACTATCTTAAAGATAGACTATCTTAAAGTTTTCTGATCATTTGAGCTGCCTAGCCTTCTGTGAGGCATTAGAGTAAGCACACAAAAAAATCTGTTGAAGAAACAAATTTGGTGATTGCCCCAGCATCTTATCCTAAGTCAGGTGGCAGGGCCTTGCCAGACATTTGCAACTGTTAATGCTAATAAGCATAGTAAAAGCATATATACCTTCTTAGCATTTGCAAATCAGGTTTTCAGATAAGAGGATTATAGCATTCTTTAACCATTCTCAAAGGAGCATTCCACGGGTTTGGGAGACAGCTTTGGAAAGTATAAGAAAGAAATGGAACCCTTGGAGTACATTTGCAAATGTGAAAGTTTAGAGAGTTTAAGAGAGCATTTGGGATATGAATTAGGCTCCAAAGTTCAATGACATCTCAGGTTCAGAGACAGAGTCAGGCAATTTGGAGTTTTGTTGGTCTGTATGTTACTGGAGTGACTCATAAAATTGAGATCAATTCTTAAGATTCAATCTGATCTGATGATAGCCTCTTCTGGCTGCCCAATTAAGGCTTCACCCTGAAAAATTCCATCAGCTTTTCAGAACTTACTAAACTATTATTTCCAACTACCTATGGAACCCACACTTCATAGAGGTAGAAATGATTGACGTCACATGATTTGCTTAATTTACATGAATATCATAAATGAGAGAAAAGAGCAAAACACTAAAATGGAAGAAAGCAATAGAGTTCAAATTATTTTAAATATATATACATATATATGAGTCTAGAAAAACATCAAAAATATTAAAAACTGCTTAGAATCATTAAAACTGACATGTTTTGAAACATGCTTCATTCAAACATACATTTTTGAAAATTCTCTGTACATTTTTATTCTAAGTTTGTTTTAAAAAGGAAAAAAAAAATCCTGGAAACAGCCCCTGACTTTGTTTAGTTATCTAGTCTCAAGAAAAGATGAAATCTTTATTTACCACTGAAAACAAACTCCCAAAAGGTTTGATTTCGCTACAAGGAAGGTATCTATGATCATGATCGACCTTGATGTTCTTTGGTTCCTAGAGTGTCTAAATAAAATGTTTCTTTTTTTTTTTTTTTGCTGGAGATACTGGGAATAAACTGATGAAATGTGGAAATTATTAAAAAAAGCAAAAGACAGAACTCGGGACAGAACTAGGACCCAGGCAGAATAGCCAGGCAATGGCAGAGCACGGTGTGAGTACATGGCTAGCGTCCAGAGCAGGAACTCAGAATGGAGATGCCGTGGCAGCCTGGGCCTTCTCTGTGTCTCAAAGGGCAACCACACAAAAAGATGGAAACCCCCATTTTCTCCTTTGTCTTTTCTTTCCTAGATTCAAGAATAGCAGAAAGCAAGGAAGCAGATGAATAGAGAGCAGGTAGCTTTGAGGACAATGAGATTATTATGGTAATGACAACTTGGGAAAATATGAAATAATTAGTAGAGCAAAATCCTCTCGTCTGTGACAGCATGCCAGTTAAGGATGTCAGGAAGACCACACCCCTTTTGCAAAGTTCCCTGCCATTCCTCCCCTCCCCCTACTTTTTAAAAAGTAAATTTTCTCAGTTTAACAAGTTCTCTTTTAGGAGAAGTAATTCTGCTCCTCCTGTTGTAGCTATGGACTACCTTAAGGAGATGTTTTCGGGTAATCTCAACCAGGCTTGCCAGCCAAAATGGAATTGGCATTTAATGGCCTGGTTGTATGTCATACTATTTCATTAGGGTTTCCACGGTTCCAACTTACATCAAGAATGTCAATACCAAGACCATTCAATAGGGAGATCTTATTTCCTGAAAATGAGCCTAGGAATCAAAAGGCATAAAGCCACCATAGAGAAAATTACACCCATTTTTGAAAAAAATTAAGTTATTGCATAACTGGACATGTCAGAGGCGTTCGAACCAGAGCGACCCCATTTTGAGTGAGGGCTAGGAAAATGAGGCTGGGACTTGCTGAGCTGCATTCCCAGAAAGTTAGGCATTCCTAGCCTCTAGATGTTTACAGTTAAGGGAACAGATTGATAATGTTTACTAAACAGACCCAGACTTGGGATTGTCCTAAAATCCTGTTATCTTGAGAACAAAAGCATCCCTATTTTTGCTTGAAAGATAATAATATCGATTTTTAAGAAAATTAGTCCCTTATCACAAAACTTTGTAGCAGAGCACATCTCCCCATAATCTTTTTTCATCATATATATATATGTATATATACACACACACACACAAGCATTGTACCTAGGGTGGATGTGTTTCTCCTACTTTTGGAAGCACCCTACTCTGTCTATGGAGTAGCTGTTCTTTCACAACTTTACCTTCTTAATAAACTTGCTTTTGCTTTGCACTGTGGATTCGCCCTGAATTCTTTCTTGCAAGAGATCCAAGAACCCTGTCTTGGGGTCTGGATCGGGACCCTTTTCCTGTAACAGACGTGTATCTCTTGGTTTTAGATTAGTCACCCACTGCCAGGGAATTAGGAGATAGCTCTGGAGTTAGAATGCTTTTACTGTACATATGGAATCTCCCGAGCTGAACAATTTCTATATCTCCAGTATCTACAATGTATACCCTGGGAACACTGAAAACACATTGATTACATTTTGAGACCCCTGCTGCACTGGGCCTTATACACATTTGGTGAGAATCATGTCAGGCTCTAGCCTAACAAAGCTATTGCCCTATGCCAGAATTGATGGTGGCCAAGAACTACAATATTTTGCAGTTTTCCCCTTTGAATCTCTTATGTCTTTGCCAGTGATCTTATCTTTTGCTTCTTTTCCTCTCGTGTTTATTTGAACACCAGTATATTTATGCAGTTATTTAGAAGACATACAAGAAAGATTCAGGTTGGCTATGCTTGACAGAAATCTATAAGATAATCCCTGTATAAAAGTGTCTAACAACTATTTGGTTTTGTTCACATCTGATTAAAACATAACAGGAAAAGTCACAGTTCGTAAAAAACAACACAACAAAAATTCTTGGCAGAATGGTTGTTTTAGAGCTTTGTGAAAAAACTCCCTTCAGTGTCAGAATAAACACTGAAAAGGAAGGCAGGGAGTCTAGAAAGAATGAATTCTCCTTTAGCCCTGTAATTAGGATCCTTCCACCATGTGAGTGGCAAAAGGCATGGGGAATGTGGCATGTTTGGAAATGTAAAATATCACTCTGAGGTCTTATATTTCCCTTAGGAGAGAAGGTAGCTTCCAGAAGCTTAGGAGGGACAGATTAATTACAGGCTTTCATTGGGAAAGGAGAAAGAGAATGAAGGATCTTAGAAACTAAACGGGAGTGTCAGAATACCCTGAAAACTTCTCTAAGAGCAAGCAACTAGTTGAAAGACAGAAGGGCATGTAGAGAACATTCTGCTTCATAACTACGTTACCCTGACATCCCAAACAACAAAGTATGAGGGAGGCTAGGAAGCTCTGTACTCATGCTTAGCTGGACTCTTTGATAAAAGTTGAAGGAGATAGAAAGGAAAGTTGAATAGGAAGGAAAAGTGGGAGGAGCTGGGGAGCAGTGATAACGTTTAAAGACTAGTAAGCTAGGTACCTAAGTGTTTCTACATACTTAAAAGGATTGTCCTAATATACAGCATAATATTATTGTGGTAAATAAATAATGACACACTTCCATTCTATAAGTATATGTATATTCTATGATTTATGTAAGCATTGAGGAAATTATTAAAGGATAAACACCAAGTGTTAACGTATGTTACTGAGTAAAGTGCGGGAAGTCAAAATGGTAATAACAACAATAACAGAATGTGACAGGGAGGATGACCATAGTAAAGAGCATGTATGATATCATCCCATTCCTGAGTACATATCCATATCTATATCTATATAGACACACAAATACTGTGTCTTTATATAAGGATAAAGAGATGTGTGGAGGATCAGCATATTTGGCTGTCTACCTACTAACCATCCACCCACCTACCCCTACTTCTAACTTGCTGGGAGTGGTCACCTCCACCTACAGAGCCTGAAAATGCAAAATACTTCCTTTTCCAGTCTCTCCTACAGTGAGAGCATAGACACGTGACTCAATTCTGGCCAGTAGAATCTGAGCAAAAGTGTGGGAGGGCTTTGAGGAAGGTTGTCTTTTCTAAGAAAAAGGGAATACATGAAGAAAAGTCTTCTTTCCGGTAGTGGAAACAACAGATGGTGCATGGATCAGCAGCTGCCATCTTGGTACCATGAAAGCAGGCTGGGGGAAAGTTTCATATGCTGAAGATGGCATAGTAAAGAGATTCAAGCCCTCAAGTTCTTAATGGCTATGTAGAGCTGCTAAACTCACCAACTTTGAAGACTCTCAGGTTTGGGTTTCCTGTTACAGGAGATATGAATGTTTTTATTTTGTTTTGTTTTATTTTGTTTTGAGACAGAGTCTCGCTTTTTTGCCCAGGCTGCAGGGAAGTGGCACAGTCTCGACTCACTGCAACTTCCATCCCCCAGGTTCAAGCAATTCTCCTGCCTCAGCCTCCCAAGTAGCTGGGATTACAGGCTCCCACCACCATGCCCAGCTAATTTTTGTAATTTTAGTAGAGATGGGATTTCACCATGTTGGCCAGGCTGGTCTCGAATTCCTGGCCTCAGGTGATCCACACTCCTCAGCCTCCCAAAGTACTGGGATTACAGGCATGAGCCACTGCGCCTGGCAAATGTTCTTCTTGTCCCATTGTTGGTCAGGTATTCCTTCTTCTAGTCAAAAGCACCCTAACAGATAGAGTAACCAACACGTTCAAGATGGTCATCTCACAGTGGATGGATTAGGAGGGAAGATGGGGTGAAAATCTCCCCCTCTCTCTTATCTATTTATCTGTCCTATATAATTTGTTTATCTTGGTGCTTTTCAAGCCTGGTTGTACATTAGAATCATCTGGGAGGCTTTAAAAACCACCAAGGCCTGGACTACATCCCAGAATAATTAAACAATTAAATTAGCATCTCTAGGGTGGGCCCAGGCATTGGTATTTTAAAAGTGGTCTCCAAAAGATTTTGATTTACAGAGTTGAAATCCCCTGCTCCATGTTATGTCTTTTCTATGTATTGTAAAAATCTTCGTGTGTATATTTGTCATCTATTGTTATTAAATAAACTCTTGTTTTTGTTTCATATTGCTACATAATGCATTAGCACAAACTTGGAGACTTATAACATTTATTAGTTCACAGTTCTGTAGGTCAGAAATGGGGGCCAGCTGGACAGGGTTCCCCACTCAGGGTTGCACGAATCTATAATCAAGGTATTAACTGAACTGTGCTCTTATCTGGAGGCTCTGGAGAAGAATCTGCTCACAACTGTCTCAGACTGTTGGTAGAATTCAGTTTCCTATGGCTGTACGACTGATGTCCCAGTTTTCTTGCTGGCAGTCAGCAGGGGCTACTCTTATCATCTAGAGGTTGTTTTACTTCTTGTCATGTGGCCCTCTACATCTTTAAGACAGTAAGGCCATATCAAATCCTTCTTTTTTTTTTTTTTTGAGAAGGAGTCTTGCTCTGTCGCCCAGGCTGGAGTGCAGAGGCGCGATCTCTGTAACCTCTGCTCACTGCAACCTCCGTCCCCCGGGTTCAAGCAGTTCTCATGCTCTAGCCTTCTGAGTAGCTGGGATTACAGGCACATGCTATCTCACCCAGCTAATTTTTTGTATTTTTAGTAGAGACTGGGTTTCACCATGTTGGCCAGGCTGGTCTTGAACTCCTGACCTCAAGTGATCCGCCCATCTCGGCCTCCCAAAGTGCTAGGATTACAGGCATGAACCACCATGCCCAGCCTCAAATCCTTCTTATTCTTCATATCCCTATGAGTTTTTATTCTGCTACCAGCCAGAGAAAACTTGCTGCTCTTAAGTGCTCATTTAAATATCTGATAAGATCACATAAGGATCATATTGGAAGGTCAACGGACTTGGGGCTTTAATTATATTTGAAAAATCCCTTCACAGCAGTACCTAGATTAGTATTTGATTGAGTAACCGGGCAATAGGAATCTTAGAAGGGCCATCTTTAGGATTCTGTCTACCACAATACCCTCACATTTGATGGCTGACAACAATAACCATTTATTTCCTTACAGTTCTGTAAGTTGACAGTTTGGCAGGGCTCATTTGGGAGAGCTTACCTCTCCACAGAGTGTTGACTAGGCTTACTTATGCATTTGCAGTCAATCAGTTAGTAGATTTTTCTGTGAGGTTGGTTGTCCCCGATAGCCTCATATACCTTGGGTCTTGGCTAGGACATCTGGGACAGACGGATCTCTATCGTCAAATGGTCTCTTTCACTGTCTCCCTGTGATCTCTTAACCTCAAAGAGGCTGCCTAGACTTCTTTCAAAATGCAGTGTTCTAAGAGAATGAGAGAGGATGCTCCCAGGCCTCATTAACAAGAGGCTTGGAAATCGCACAAAATCACATCTGCCACCTCTTTTTGGTCAAAGCAAGTCACAAAGCCAGTCCAGGTCAGAAAGTAGGGGAAATAGACTCCACTGCTTGATAGAGGAGCTGTAAAAAATGTATAGCTGTATATATCACAGTGAGTGATCAATATTTATGATGATATATTAACAAAGAAGTGTTTGAATGGTTTTCCAGGTGCAAAAAATCATGGGTAGATGGATTTGAGTTATTCTCTGCTACAGCCCAACATATTTCAGTTGGCTCTGACTAAGAAAATCCCAAGTGGTTAACTAAAATAGCATGTTAAGGTGTGACCATTAGATGCCAGCTATTCAGATGGCCAAAAACAAACAAAACAATCTGCTTCTACAAGTTTAACTTTTCAAACCTTAGAGTGGCTACAAAAAGCTTACAATTTTAGGTCCAGCACTTTAAAGAGCATTGTTTCTTTCTCAGGGGGATGTTTAATAAATGAGAATGGGAACATTTCTCTTTCCTAGTTTGAAGATAGTCTTGTTTTTCACGATTAAGAATATGGAAGATCTTTGAGACTTTGTGCTTTACAGAAATGACAATTAATTGAGCACATTTAGCTTATACTAGTCTCACGAGGACATGATGTCTTCTAAAACTGTACAACACCTTTAGACCATGTAAGCTGAGTAAAGTACATTTGTTCCCATCAGTAAACAATAGAATTAAGGCAACCATACCTATGTTTGAACTTAAAGCCCCTTGGTCATTGAAGTTTTCATTGTTACTTTTTGAAAGCAACAAAAGCTTAGACATACATCAGATTTATCACCACAGCAATACATCTTCTACATAACCATCAGAATAATCTTTCTAAAACAGTCTTGACCACTAAATCATTCACTGATTACTCAAAATGCTTCAGTCATCCCCTATAGGAAAAGGAATAAATAATAAAACGCAACATCCTTAGTCTTATATACAAGGCCCTTCCCAACATGGCTTTCATGTTGAGAAGGGGCTTACTATCTCCCATCATTTCCCTAAATCGGCTTAGAAGACAGGATTGTTTATTCAGTGATTTAGTTATTTATTCCTTCAAACAAGTATGTATTGAGGGCCTATTATGGACCATATATAGTCTTCTAGTAGCTGGAAATTTAAAAAATAATCAAAGTATTTTTTTCTCTCCACAATGGGGTCAAGGCTTATTGGAAAGACAAAGATAAAATACGAATGGCAACTCAAGTACATTTTGTATGATAATTATGATGATTCTTTAACCCAGATACCCTTTTGCAACTATTCATTTATTCATTGTGCATTTATTGAGTGTGTACTGTTGAGCCTCATGAGAGCACCTAGAGAAATCAGTGGAAATGCATTGAGCTTAAGTTTTCCAATTTAACCGGGCTTTGATGATGAATAAAGAAACAAAAATGAAAAACACAGAATAGGCCAGGAGAGTTTATGTATCTTTTCTTAAGTAGGGCCAATCCATGCAGAGGAAGGGCCTCTAGTCTGGATAATCATACAGCATGCTGGAAAGTACTGCTGCTCTGTCACCAATGAGAAAGCACCTGGCTCAAGAACAAACCAGGTTGTATACATTGGTGGGGCTGTGAAATGAATCAGTTGTTCCCTGAAACTGGTGGTGGCAGACATGGTCTCTCGTCCTAGAAGGACAAACGACAAACTCACGTTCTCTAAAATCTGTCTCCCTTCTGCTTTCTCATGTTTTCTGCCCCTGGTTCTTGGGAAATGGCGAGAGAAGCAGTAGAACTGGGTTAAACGGATAAAGTAAATAAGCTTTGCTCTGGGATCACATTGTTTATTTTTTTCCCATCATTTCCCATCATGTCAAGTGATCCCTGGGATAAGACTGAGTGAGAGCTTGGGAAATCTAGGTTGAGCATGCATTTCTGACATTCCACAGAACCCCACTCCACTCCCATTTGCTCTTGCACTGAAATGCTCCACTCATAAAAAAGGACAACAGAAAACAAAAAAGAGAAAGTCAACAAAACAAAGAGAGAGAAGATACAGGTTAAAAGAGGAAAGGAGAACAGCATGAGGGTGAAGATGGACAGGTTCACAGAAACGGCAAACTCTAAATCCCTTTCATGTGCCAGAGGCTCCAGTCAAACTAAGATTTCTCTTTTCTGCACAGACAAACAGAGTTTTTCAATCACCAGTCTTGCTTATCCTGTTTCATTCCCTCCACTTAAAATGTGCTTCTGCCCATCACTGCTACACGTCTGAATATCATCTCTCTCCTTTGAGGTCCAGGGCACACACAGCCACCTCCTCTATGGCAGTTCCTCTGATCTGTTGGCTGGAAGCAATCTGGCACCTGAGAACTTTCTAGTCTTTATCTGAACTCCTCCTATCATCCTTAAGACTTCCTACATTTCAATCAAATTACGTGCATATGTGTTGTTTCCCATTCTTGACTGTAAGCCTATTGCTGGAAGACTCCATAACTAACAGGCTTTTGTGATCCTCGATAGTGCCGAGACTAATCCTGCACATAATAGACCCTCAAATAGCTCAAGACCAACAGACTGAAGGTTTTAGCTCAGTCGGGCCGCCCTCTACACATGGCTTTCTCTGCCTCCAAGTGCCAATAGCCTCACTCTCCTTTCTCTTTGGGGTCTGGAGTTGGTCATCACTCTCTGCTCTTACTAGATCCCACAGAATGCACTTCCCTTCTTGTTTCCAATTTATCCAAAGTTGCACACCTTTAAAGTCTCAATTTAAATAGCACCTTCTTACAAAAGACCTTCCCTACTTAAAATAATCGCTTCCTTCTGAGCCCTGCAGTCACTCTTTATCCCCTTCATAAAACACTCAACATCGTCAAATATTCTCTTATTTGTTGGTGTATTCGCTACTTGTCTTCTCCAACCAGAACGTGTGTTCTGCAGAAACAGGGCTCTGTTTCCTTCATGGCTTTATCCTTGTATTTGATGTTCAGGAAATATGTGTTGCATAAACAAGTGATTCTCCACCTTCAGTCCTGCGCTCTTCCCTCTACACCATGTCATCTGTCACAATAGCCCGGGATTATTTCCTTTCCATTTGCAGCAACATCTTCAAACCCAGAGTAGAGATCAGTCAACTCTATCCGTATCAAATCCATATCAACTCTTTGTACCAAATAGAGTCCCAAAATTGATTTTGATGCCTTAAAAGGAAAATTAAAGAGTCAAGGAGTAGTGTGTGTGTGTGTGTGTGTGTGTCTGTGTGTCTGTGTGTGTATGTGTGTGTTTGTATAGGGGTGGGGGAGAGGCAGGGAAGAGAAGCGGGAGGAGGAGGAGAGAGAGAGAACAGGAGGAGACAGGGAAATTCTCCAGGGCTGCAGCTGTACTGAGAGCTCCATGTGGGCCTCTGATAAGGAGCAACAGGCCTGAGCACATGCAAAGCCTGGTGAATTGCTGTCTGAATTGGATTAAAGATGGCAGTCCTCTGGTAACTCACAGAGCAATGCAAACTCTTCAAAGACCTGTACCTTAAAGAAACAACAAAGTAAAACTAGTCATAATTTAATAATAAATACATAAATAAATAATAAATACATTTAATAAATAACCCTGCAAAAATTTAAAACCAAACAACTATTTTGAAAAAAATTAAATAGGAATACCATATGTAGTGTATATTCCGTAAACACTTTACAATCTATTCTGTTTCAGAAGAAGTTTCACATTCTCTATTAAATTTACTGCTTGAAAGTATACGATTTCACCTTTAAAATATCACATTTCATAATTTCACATTTAAAATATTTTAAAATTTCAGTATAAAAGATTTCAAGTTCTTATAATCCTTAGTCATTTTCAAAACAATCAATTTTGGACATAAAAATTATTGTCCATTTTTTGTTCCATAAACTACTCTTTCTGCATAGAGCTGGTCCCTGCCTGCTAGATGTTTGTATAAACCCTTGTTCTGAGCTTTCTCTGTTTAGAAAAGACAGGATTAAGTTAAACCGTCATTTCACCATTGTGTATTCACTGTTCCCCACTTCAAATTTCCCATGTACATCATTGTAAGGGCATTCCCGGGAGTTTTCCAACAATAATAAGCTGTAGTTCTCCAGGCTGCAAGTCCTAAGGGGAGGAAGGAACCTTGCCCAGCACTGAGCAAATTAATGGCACTCAAAACTATCAGGTTGTCTGGCTGGGTGAACTCAGGGCTTCCTCAAGAGGCTAAATAACTCCCTTCTATCATATTGTTTTCTTTCCATATAAAAGAAGTTATGGCCTGTTGGCAGGCTCATAATTTTTATACTGTGTTAACTGGATAACTACAAGGACCTTTTGCTCTTTAAAAACTGCTTCTTAGAAGACTGGCACGGTGACTCATGCCTGTAATCCCAACACTTTGGGAGGCTAAGGCAGGAGGATCACTTGAGGCCAGGAGTTCATGACCAGCCTGGGCAGCACGGCAAGACCCTGTTTCTACAAAAAAATTTAAAAAAATGCCGGGTGCCGTGGCTCATGCCTGTAATCCCAGAACTTTGGGAGGCCGAGACGGGTGGATCACGAGGTCAGGAGATCGAGACCATCCTTGCTAACATGGTGAAACCCCGTCTCTACTAAAAATACAAAAAAATGAGCCGGGCGTGGTGGTGGGCGCCTGTAGTCCCAGCTACTCGGGAGGCTGAGGCAGGAGAATGGTGTGAACCCGGGAGGTGGAGCTTGCAGTGAGCCAAGATCACACCACTGCACTCCAGCCTGGGCAACAGAGCGAGTCTCCGTCTCAAAAAAAAAAAAAATTTTTTTTTAATTAGGTGGTGTAGTGGCTCACACCTGTAGTCTCAGCTACTTTGTTGGGAGGCTGAGGCAAGAGAATCACTTGAACCCGGGAGTTCAAGATTATCAGTGAGCTATCATCGTGTTACTGCACTCTAGCCTGGTGACAGAGTGAGACCCTGTCTGGGGAAACAACAACAAACTGTTTCTGGATGAATGCAAAGGGGGAATTAAGCCCCTGGAATTAGCACTGACCACAACAGGTGTTTGGAGGGAAACATCATAGTTTCAAATGAGAAAAATGGGACAGGAACAGACCTGAGCAACTCTGTCTATTCATACATAGGGCAATGAAACCAATCGCTACTGAAAAAGGATCAATGGTTAAAGATGAACACCACACCTGTGTAAGTGATAAGGTGACTCTTTAGCAAACCTAGGTAATTTATATAAAGTGTTGTTTTTATTCTTGTCAAATCCTTTATTTGTACTGCACCTAAAATCGTTGTATATTCCATAGAGATATTGTTCACCAGAAATCCTTGAAACCCCTGAAGTGACCACATTATCATCATTTTTGGAGAGGAAGAAACTCCACGCTGCAGATATCCCAACAATGGACCATGGCATCTATCCCTCACCCTGACAATGAGGATGCAACTCAAGAAGGGTCACATACTGCTGAGGATAACTTGACTTTTCAGGGAGTCTCTGTGCTGAGCCCTTCTGTGTGAGCAGGTTCATGGCTATGCCCAGATCTCCAGGGGTGGTTTTAAAAGGGGGAGCTTCACAGAATCTGCATAAAAATTGTGCCTGTCAAAGTGATTTGCCATATCTTGAATTAAGATCACTTTTGTGTTTGGGCCAATACAACTTTAAATTTTTCCTTTAAACGAAATAAACACAGTAGTATGTTTTGAACTGTCCTCTTACATATCTTCCAAACAAATTCTAATCATGACCTTCAGATGAATCCATTTTATGTCCCAGTTGTGGATCCAAAAAAAGTTACCAAAGAATGAGGATGCAGAGAGTATTACATAGAATATCGAGCTCAATGAGTGTTTGTTTTCGTTTTTGTTTTTTTTTCTTAATGCAGCATAGCAGCATGGTGTAGGTTGATGTGCACAGGACTGGGCTCAGGAGACTTGGAGTTAGTTTCATATTTGCCGTGAGTTTAAAGTTTCACTTTCCCAAGAAACAAGAGGTTGCATCAACTAAAATAAATTTATTTCATGTCTTTGCTTTTGCGATAGTTTTTGCAGGTGGGTGGGAGGCTCCAAAGCCAGTGGGCCTGCAGTTGTATCATGATCTCTGCCGCTTATTAACCTATACACGGTATGAATTTGCCCTCTGCCAAAGACTAAACTATACTCAGTTTCCAAATCTGTTAAATGGAGTCAATAACCATATGTATCTCTTTTAGGGGACTTGTGAAGATTAAACTAGTGTTTAGGCAGCACTGGCACTAGTAAGTACCCTACAGATATTAGCTACTGATATTTTAATTATTATTATTTTGTCTTCATTGAGGAAAGCTGAACAAAAGCTTCTCATGGTGAGGGAAAAATTCAGGCAGAATGATTGTATAAGTGCACACATAGGCATGGGCTTGACTAGTAAGGTTTTTGAGTAGGGGCTTCAGTTTTCTGATACCTGAATGCAGCCTTGAAATGCTGCACAAGCTTTCACAAATGCAACCTTCTTCCCAGGGAAGTCACTTCTTTCCGGATAAACAAGTCAGGCCCCATCCAGTGGCAGCACTCCAAGTGAAGCCTCTTTTTTTGGTGTGATAGTAGTCTGAAATAAGCATTTCAATTAGATTCATTAAGACAGTTATTACTTGGTAATTGAATAGCAACAGATTGCAAAGGAACACTTATTGAGGTCTAATAAGTATGTAGGAGAGAAATCTTCTCCTTCTGTAATTCCATCAGCTATAAACCAGTGTAATTAGATTCTCACTAACACATTCAAATTGAAGGGAATGTTGAGGCATATAATTGGCACTTAGGAAGATACCTGTATTATGTTAGGGTGCCTTCCATTTACATACTTATTAAGTGTCAGTTTAAGCTGTTAAATAATTGAGACTAGTGGACAGTAGTAGGTCAAATAGTTAAGCAAGAATTAAATTCTTAAACATATTAATAAATCAGGGTCTGATATAGCTTAAAATACAAAATGCAACTTTATTATGTCCATAACTTTGCATCAATACACATACTATTTTGATGCTTCTCATGAAAAAATTCACGACTCTGAATTGATTTTCTCAAGTATAATAGGTACATTTACTTATTTACTCATTCATTCATTCAGTTGTAATTATCCTTTGAGAAACCACTATTTGAAAAATAAAAGCATGTTACTTGCCATCAATTTGATGATGGAGGTAATTGTTCTATATGAAAAATCTATAATTGGTCTCACAAGCAAAGTGTGCTTGGAGAGCAAAATCACAAGAAACAAACAAATTATCTTCATATTATCTCTTTTAAGTGGGACACTATTCTCTCTAGAATTTCAATTTCCCATCAGTGATACAACTAGGTATTTGCACCTCCCAAATCAAAGTACAAACTTCAACAATGGATCCTTATTCCTCATTATTTTCAATGCAAAAAGATTACCTGGTGCTAAGTGTATATAGCAAGTTAAATTAAGTACTTATAAAACCTCATATAACTTTTTGTAATTAAAATGTATTTAGTTGTTGGAGAACTTATCTTTAATTCAGTTATATTAATAAACAACCAAAATATAGATAATCTAGTTTATCTTTTATTGAAACCAACCATGAGACAATGTAATTTCATTTTAAATATAAGAGTCTACCCAAATCCAATCCCACAGAAAATTTATAGGAAAACACAGGAAAGCAAAAATTGCTGCACATCTGTGGTTGTTGTAAATGATTCAGACTCTGCATTTGTAAGACAGAAGACTCACTCAATAGATGACTGGGGCAAAGTGCCACTTTTGTTATAAAAGCCTCTGTAAGGCAAAGAAAAGCCAATCGTTACTACCACGTCTGCTGCTACACTCACACCAGAAAGTGGGACTGGATTAGATCCATTTTTGAGGTACTGCTAATGAGAAAAAGAGAAAATGTCTTCTTTACTATTCTGGCACAATTTTGATTTTATTATCAGAGCCCTGGTAATACCACCACCTTATATTTATAAATCCAACTCCTTATCTAGCAGACCAACCTCTCCCCTCTCCCTCTTTGTCACAGATACCATCGTCTCCCTCGTCTTTCATGCCCACTATCATGGGCCTGCATCTGACTCTACCCTTTTCTCCCTGTCACTAAGAAATGGGTGTCACTAAGCCTTGTCACTTTTCCCCTGCAACATCTCTAAAGCTCCATCTCAGCTCTCTATGTCTCTAAAATCTTTACCTATGTTTTATCCTGTGTGAAGACATAAAATGGGCTTATGTGACAAACTGGGATTTATCTTGAATATAAGGGATAATTTCTTGACCATGAAACATTAGAAAAGGCTCCTGAGAGAGTCTGCTGTGATGTTTAAAAATGAGAGACTCACCTTGGACGGGAATCATTTTAAATTTTCTGAACCCCGACTCTACTCATCTACTTACTTGGAATCATTCTTCTCTCCCAGATGCCGCCCTCACACCCTAGTTCCTTCAGTTCTTATTCCTGCCTTCATTATTTCTCCCTCAACTAAGTACATGAATTTATTTACTGCTGATACCTTAGAATTTCCTCACACATTCTCATGAACATCCTACTAGACAATCACTTCAATGACTATTGTAATAGAGGCTAACATGTATTAAACTCTCACAATATGACAGGCTCTGTCATAAGTGTCATAAGCATTTTGCATACATTGTCTTGTTTAATCTCACAGCAAACATGTAAGGCAGTTATTAGCATTATCCCCATTTTCCAGTTTGAGGAAATGAGACTTAGGTTAAACAACTGGTACAAGTTTACGTGGTTATTAAGGGTAAAACCTGGGTTTACACGTAGAAAGTCTGACATCAGAGTCCCTCTCTTTTAACTTTCAGGGCACCAAGAAAGCTACTTTATTAAATTTCAGGCTTGTTTCCAATAGAGCAGATATTTGCTGCTTACCTATGCAGTATTCATTCCCACTCTTTTTTAAAAAAACTTTACCCAGAATTTTCATGGAAAAAAAAAATCACTCATCCCCAAACTGTCCTGAGTGCTTGTTAAGAAACGGAACTTACTCAAAGCTCCAACCAGCCCTCGTTGGTTGAAGCCAAACACGACATTCCACTTCCTTGTCAGTTATAGCAGTGGGCATTGACGTGTCTGAGCCTTGCAATTCTTGCTTAGAATGCTGGGATTGAGGTGTTCTTTCTGTTGCTGAATGTGAAAAAGGAAACATGCCAACTGCTACTGGCATCCATCTATGACCACAAGAAGAACCAGTCTTGAAATAAAACTGCTATATTCTCAGTCTGATTGCTAGGGAAATATTTATTTATATATATAAAAGGCTACCATCCAGAAGGCAGAATAGAGACATTAAGAGAAACTGGTCGAGTTGTTTCAAAGCCCACCTAACCCTTGCATTTCTTCTAATGCAGCCCAGTGAATCTCCTTTATTGCCTTAAGACAACTTGAGTTGGGCTATTTCAAGGGTGGAAATGCATCCCTGTTTGCCTAGGGCCGTCCAAGCCTACACACCTGCTGTCATGGTATAATTGTTAGTAGTGTCAAAGTGTCCTCATCTGTATAATAAATCCTACAGCCACCCTAGTTTTTGTGTAACTAGGAACAAGTCCTAATGAATGCATTCAATTCTCCTTCATCCAGTTTGATTTCTTTTTTTGGGCTTTTGGCTAATATCCTGCAACTTGATATAAAAAGATAAAAAAAATTAACCGCCCCCCCGCCACTCTGATAAATGAGTCATGGTGAATTTGACACATCAAATTCCTGAACCCTTCTTACTTTTGCCCAGCTAAGGAAAGTTGTCTTCCTGCCCAGATGAAAAGGTCATCTGAGAATCTGAGATTCAGTGAGTTCCTGCCTGCTATAAGCCACACCTCAACTTAGCTCATCACTGCTCACAAGCATCTATACCAGAAATCTAGAAGCATCTTATCCATGTTCATTTTGTCAGCAGGTGAGCATTAGGCTGTTTCTTGCTGCTCTATAAACAGTCAAATATATCCCTTAGAATAGAAACAACTATGCATCACTGAACATCATATTGATGTCCTCAGCATAGTACATCAATGCAGGCACCCTGGCAGCCAGACAGAAAAGGTGTTCTTGGCATCTGACTCAGAGCTGGAACGGTGTACTAAGTTAACTACAGAGCCCTGGTAGAAATGCTAATTTTAGCAGGGAAACAGAAAGAGAAAATGAGGAGAAAATAGTTCTAACAGAGACTAATAATTGAGAACTTTGGGATTTATTCTGAAATGCAGCACAGGGTTTAGGATGTGAGCTTTGGGGAAGAGAAAACTTAATGATTACAAAGAAAAAATAAGGAAGACTAAAGTAATGTAATTACTCATGCATTTCCCATCCTTGAATAATTCCTTCCTCTCAAATTCTAAGAAGAGCTTTGAAAAGATGTACTTTTTTCTCCTGATCAAATCTCATCTCCTAATATTTTATAAAACTTTAAAATAGCGATCATGGCAACCAATAAAGTACATGAAACAGGGTGTCCTGCCTGGGCAGAGAATGGAGCTCCATTATTTTGAGTGTACCCCTTTGCATGTAGTAATTGAATCTAGTTGGGGAAAACTTGAAACTCATCTAATGAGGCTGGTTGGTCTCAAGGTCCCCACAGATCTGCACCCAGTGGAAAGAGTCTAGAGAGGAGGATGAGAAGCGGAACTGCTCTTAAAAGGGGATGGGAGCTCTGAACACAGCCTGGAGGACCCTATAATATTTGTCCTTAACTAGGGCTCCAGGAATCTATGTTGCATGATAGGGTATTCCAAAACATGATAAGTTAAAATAAGGATCATTTTATATGGGTCAAGAATTGGCTGATTTCTTTGCATCATGTGGAGTTGACTGGGGTCGCTGGTATTCAAGTGGTGACTGGGCTGGGCTGGAGGGTCTACGGGCTTCACTCCACATGCCTCAGTCCTCTTCCTCTTCATGTAGGCTCAGAGCCTCTCCACAAACTTTCTCAAACAGGGTACTAGTCAGGCACAGTGCTCAAAGAAGCCAAGGCAGTGGCTACCAGTCCTCTTAAAGGCTAGGCTTACATCTAACATAGATTCACTTGCACTATACTCTATTGGTGAAACACTCACAGGCCAGCCCAGATTCACGGGGAGGGCAAATAGCCACCACCTCTCCATAAGAAGCCTGTGAAAGAACTTGCCACCATCTCTAATCTGCTGCATCCAGCTACAGTGGCAGTGTGTATGCATGTGTGCATACATGTTTATGTACCTTGAAAGGATTACATATCTCTAAATACTTGAGAGCTATTCATGCAACCTTGCTCTGGGAGCCTACCTTCCTTTCCAAACTAAAAGTGAAGCCATTTTCCCCCTTTTACTTCAAAAGTATTGCCCTAGGAATGTCTGGTACACCGCTTTAAACCTCAGGTAGTGAAGAGATAGTCACTGTTATAGTGATGCAAGCAGATTTCCGCCCTCAGAACTCTGAGAAACTGCTTGTCTATGGGCTACTAATACAGGCTTAGATCTACCACCTAGAGAAAAAGAAGAGCTGGATCGCTAATTGCTGTGATATTTTAAGGCTCAAGCTGAGTTTCTGCAGGAAATCCTGCCTTCCTCCCTCTTCTTCTGACTTTGCAAGAGTGGTGATTAGGATCTCTGGCATCAGGGCTTGAGGTAGGCTTCCAGTTTCATTGACATGGAGAACAGCTAATGTTCAATTACTGCAGGATTCGGGGAACAGTAGTAGAGACTGGAGCCATATTCTAGAATCCTAACAGTCTCTCTCTAGAAACATCAGGGCAAGGCTTCAGAGTCTCCAGGAAATACTGAGTACAAAATTGAAAAGCAGGCCAGTCACAGTGGCTCTTGTCTGTTATCCCAGAGCTTTGGAAGGCCGAAGTGGGAAGATCACTTGAGCCCAGGAGCTGAGGCTGCAGTGAGCTATTATTGTACCACTGCACTCATGTCGGGGCAACAAAGCAAGAGCCTGTCTATTTAAAAAA
The DNA here is from genome assembly GCF_000001405.40 of Homo sapiens. NCBI lineage: Eukaryota > Metazoa > Chordata > Mammalia > Primates > Hominidae > Homo > Homo sapiens. Next base: position 47,796,614 of record NC_000015.10, read on the forward strand.
AAAAAAAAAGATAAGGCATAACAAGTCCAATTACCCTGGAGTGGGATGGGGCATGCAGTTAAATATAAGCTAATGGATTTAGGTGTTAAAAATTTGTGCTTACTGGCTGGTAAAGCCTGAGATGGGCATTATATATATATATATGTATGTATGTATATATCTACACACACACACATAGTGAAAAAATCATTAAAGTAAAACATCAGCTAGCTATCGATACTTGACTTAGCAAAAGGAAAGATGAACATTATGAGAGAGTGATGCAAAATAATCCCTTTTATTCTGTTCCATCTGCCTTACTTCACTTAAACAGTTTGTGTTTCAGTCCCAGTAGGGAGTGGTAGTAAGTATTCGTGAGCTCCAGTTACGAGGTTTTTGTAGAGGTCCCTGGGGCATCCACACAAGAGTTCTGCTTCATGCTGTAAACTGGGGCTGAGCAACCCTAGAATTCTTTTTTCCCTTGGGTTGTAAGTGCTTAAATTGTAGATCTGAAACTTGAAAGGAATGGAAATTCTTAATGGAAACATCATGTGTAATCATCTTTTGCTAGTGGCCTTTTCTGGTTTATTTCTCAGAAATATGAATACCGTATTTCACTATAAATGGTACTTTCATGAGGGAGAGAAATTATTAAAGAAAGAGAAGCTATTTGATCATCTTATTTTAAATTTCACTTTGAATTGTGGTATAACTCACTGTCCCTTAATAAAGTGAAAACTTTTAATAACAGTTGTTGTGAATTAAAATGCACTTAAGGCAATGCTGTGTTTAATTTTTTCTTTTCTTTCTCATTTTTAAGATGAATTTTTCAGACAAAAAAATCTATAATAGTTAGAGGCATTATTTAAAGACAGCAACTGTAGCACTGAGAAAAGAATAAATGAAGTCAAAATGATCTTATTAAATTAGACAGCTGTGGTGGTGTCTGTAGTCCTAGCTACTTGAGGTGGGTGGGAAGAGGTTGAGGTGGGAGGATTGAGGTGGGAGGATTGCTTGAGCCCAGGTGGTCAAGACTGCAGTGAGCTCTGATCGTGCCACTGCACTCAAGTCTCAGTGACAGAGTGAGACCCTGTCTCTTTAGTAAAAGAAATAAAAGATCTTATTGACTGTCTTATTGACTAAATCTTCCAATGTACAGGAGGACACACTGAAAAACTGTAAATGTGTGTGGGGTATGTGTGTGTGTATTTGTGTGTATGCATGCATACACACATATATACGTATATATATATATATATAAGAAAATATTAATAACCAATTTAGCCACCCCTTTTATGGAAGTAAATTTCTCAGATAACATGATGAATAGTTAATTCATCTTTTGAAAAGAAAATGAAAACAGAAAATATCGTTATTCATTGTATAGATAAAATTGGACATAGAGCATATCCTCAACTCATTAAAATTTTTTTGAAGAGTCTTGTAATAATTAGAAATATCAAGTTCACCTTAAGTGGAAACTCAGGGGTTTCTTTCACTCCATCCTTCAGAAACAATAAGTCCTTTTTATGTGTCAGGCTCTGTGCTGAGTGTAAAACGAACTGGGCATGAAAAGATGAATAAAACCTAGCCCTTGACCTCAAGCTAACAATCTGCAGTAGGAAAGAGGCAGAAAACCATTACTGTGCAGTGAGATAGTTAAACTGATAAGCACAGGAATAGGAGCACCTCCAAGGTATGTCTGTTATGGAATATGGACGTGGTGCTGAAGAGAGAGTGGCAAATTCTGCGGAAGGTGAGAGTTTTTTAGGTGGCAAGAAATGTGGAAAGATATCACAGACCTGAGTAGTATCTTAAAGTATAGCATACAGACAAGGTATGGAAGAGGGCAGAGGGCAAGAGGCTGTAATGATTCAGGGAAGATGTCATGATGCTCTGAATTAAGGAAGTACACCTACTAAAATTGTTAAAAATAAGAAGACTGGCCTAACCAAGTTTTGGAAAGGATGTGGAAGCAACTGGAACTCTTAGATGCTACTGGTGGAAATGTAATTTAGGTGCAACCATTTTGAAATACAATTTTAGAGTTTATTTAAAAGTTAAATATTTCACACCTAGGTATTTATCTAAGAGGGATAAGATCATACAAATATGTGTACACAAATCTTCATAGCAGCTTTGCTTGTAAAAGCCATAAACTGGAAATGACTTAAATGTCCATCATCAGGTGATTGAATAAACAAACTGTGGTATATCCACAAAGTGGAATGCTACTAAGAAATTAAACAAAATGAGTTATTGATACCCACAACATGAATGAATCTCAAAATAATTAAGCTGAATGGAAGAAGCCAGACAACAAAGAGTACACACTGAATCATTTCCTTTATATAATTTGAGAATATGTAAAATAATCTATAGTGAAAGCAGATCAGTGTTTCCCTGGGGATGTGAAGGAGAAGTAGAAGGAATGACAAAGAAGCACAAGGAAACTTGGAGGTAATGATTGTGTTCATTATCTCAATTATGGTCATTCTTTTCCAGCTGTAAACACATATCACATGTATCCAATAGTACCCCTCAAATATATGATGTTTATTGTAGGTCAGTGTTGCCTCAATAAGGCTACTAATTAAAAAAACAAAACAAAACAAAACAAAAAAACTACCTGGCAAGTGGAGATAAAAGTTTGCAGCACAGGAAAACAATCTTAATTGAAGATAGCAATTGATACGTGAATAGTCCTTAAAAACTTTGGATGTAGATGAGTGTAGATGAGGGAAAGGAAAACAGAATCCTATGGGAACGCTGACAGGGGACTGGCAGAGCAAGAGGACTCACGATGAAGGCAGGGAAGTCACTGCAAGAAACATCTCTTTATTTCTTAGGTTGTGGTCTTGTTTTTATCATCCTTTCTTAGTTGGACAACCCATAGCATAGTTTTGAAATCTATTCTCCAACACTTTTGCTCTCAAGTTAGGAAGGTAGACTTCCCAGATGGGTCACTCTGTCTACATGGGACACTGGCTCTGATCTTGAGTGAACTATCCCTAAATAAAAAATGAAACCAGGAGAAGAATTTTTCCTTTTCTTGGGCAAATCAGTGATTTTATTGATTAAACCTCATTTCTTTTTCACATGACACCACAGACTCATTCATTTACCTGTAAGGTGGGCAGTTTGGGTTCTCCACCTTGAACTACAATGGCAAGAGTAGGAGCAGATAGCCCTGATTCCTCCCCACAGCATCACCTGCTGCCCCAGCATGCTGGAATTATGGTTGACCCAAGCACAGTCTAAGCATGAGTCCATTTATATGGCATTTTCCAACCAGCATAGTTAGGTTTTTGTTTTGTTTTGTTTTTTTGAGATGGAGTCTCGCTCTGTCACCCAGGCTGCAGTGCAGTGGCACAATCTCAGCTCACTGCAAACTCCGCCTCCCAGGTTCAAGTGATTCTCCAGCCGCAGCCTCCCAAGTAGCTGGTATTACAGGCGTGTGCCACCATGCCCAGCTAATTTTTGTATTTTTTTAAGTAGAGACGGGGTTTCGCCATGTTGGCCAGGCTGGTCTCAAACTCCTGACCTCAGGTAATCCACCCGCCTCAGCCTCCCAAAGTGCTAGGATTACAGGCGTGAGCCACTGCGCCCAGCTGCATAGTTTTCAACATTCTCTTTGGCATTATAAATATTATAAAAATAAAGGAATTGGCTGGGCATGGTGGCTCATGCCTGTAATCCCAGCATTTTGGGAGGCTAAAGTAGGTGGATCACCTGAGGTCAGGAGTTTGAAACCAGCCTGACCAACGTGGTGAAACCCCATCTCTACTAAAAATACAAAAATTAGCCAGGCGTGGTGGCACATGCCTGTAGTCCCAGCTACTCGGGAGGCTGGGGCAGGAGAATTGCTTGAACCCAGGAAGTGGAGGTTGCAGTGTGTGGAGATCGCGCCAATGCACTCCAGCCTGGACGACAGAGCAAGACTCCATCTCAAAATAAATAAATAAATAAATAAATAAAAATAAAGGAATTAACACAGAAATGAAGATGGCACTTGTCATATCTTCTGCCGTCATTTCCTTCAGTTTGTGGAGGATCTATAATGTATGAACAAAATAGATGAGGTAATTGCTCTCTAAAGCTCATATTCCAGTGGTGATATATACAGGAGCAAAGAAAAAGAAACATTAACAAGATGATTCCAGTAGCAACAGGCCTAGAGAACATTATAATATGAGGTTGGTATGACAACTTGCTTCAGATAACGTGGTCAGAGGAGGTTCTGTCTTTGGACAAAATCTTTGAGGTCTGTTCAAAGATTATGCTTCAGCAGAGAAAGTTAGCCACGTGATCCTGGAAAGAGAGTTTCAGATGGAGAGAAGAGGCCACAATGAGGCCCATCGATGGGAGGAGCCCATGGGGCTGGAGTAGAGTGAGTGAGTTGAGAAGTTTTCATTCATTTAATGAATGAATAGGAAGACATAGAGGTAGAGAAGGAGACAAAGGTCAAAGTTCATGATGTTCTGTTTGGATTTTGAGTGTTTTTAAATGGGGAAGGGGAGAGATTACAGTGATAATCTGAGAAGTGATTTTGAGAAGATCACTCTGGCTTCTTTGTGAAGGGCAAGACTGGTAGTAGGGAGGCCAGTTGGGGACAGCTATAACCTAGAGATGGTGGATCAGAGCAGTGTTGATAAACAGGAAGTGCAGTGTGCACACGTAAGACATATTCTGGAAAAAGAGCTGACAGGCCTTGCTGATGGACTGGATGTGGGCGTAATGGAAGGCGGCATTCGGGAATGAATTCTGCCTGGGATTTCAACATGAGCAACTACATCGGTGATGATGCTTTATCCTGAATTGGGAAAGCTCCATGAGGGAGAAAAAGATTCTGTCCTGGTGGAATGATAACAGTTCTGGTTTGAATGAATTAAATCCTTCTCGGGACACAAGACCTTCAAGTGTCTCTAACTGCATTGCCTTTTTGGTTCCAGGGTCAAGGAAGCAACAAGAAAAAGGATGCTTGCCACCTAGATTGATATCTAGGTGATAAAATATCAGGAGAGCAAAACTCAGACACAGGGCATTGGATCCCATGCCAGGAGCCCAGGAACCAGGAGACACAACAGAGCTGCAGGGGGAAGCTGACACAGAATAGACAAGCGCGGGCAGATCCCTGGGACACAGGCCAGGTTGACAGGGAATTGCAGCATGGCTTATGTGTACAAAGAGGAAATGGGCATGTCAGAATCAACATGGAGAGGCCAGTTATGCCCAGACGGATGTCCTATACAACCTTCTATAAAATATGCCATATTTACCTGATGCAGCTCTAGGGCCACTCACTGGAAGGACATAAGATCTACTGGAGACATAGCTTATCCCAGTTATTCCCTGCCCTGACATTTTTACAGAGAGACACCTAGAACCAGCTTCATAGATACTTTTCCCACTGCCACAAGTAGGCAGGCTGAGAGACTTCCACTGTGAAGCTTAGTGGACCCCTTTTGAAGCCATAAATCCCAGGTACCTCTGCAGGGCAGGTGCCTAGAGGGATTCAAAGAGCCTCTCCTGCTCTCCCACCTTCCCTCAGGTGGAAGGTGCTGGCAGGAGGAGTCAGCATAGACTATAGGATATGATCAACTTAATGGGCTCTGCCACAGCACTGAGATCTGAAGCCTAGTGTGTTGGCAGAGGAGTGGAAGATATACCCATTCTAGAACCCTGCTGCTGAAGCAGAATCCACAGACCAACAGTGTTGGGCTCACCTGGGAGCTGGTTAGGAACTGCAGACTGTGTGGACCAGTCACCTAGGGGACTTGTTCAATGCTGGACTCTGATTCAGGAGGTCTGGGGCAAGTCCTGAGAGTCTGCATCTCTCCCTGATGACTCTGCTGCTGCTGATTCCACAACAAGCATGAACACCTGATCATTTCACTGCAGGTTACTCTCTCCATTTTTAAGGAAATGTTTTTAAAATTGGAAAACATGGTTCAGTATTCTTGGGAAATCCATCTCATTATTCTAGGGACAAACAAGGCTGAAGTCCATGAGGGCAGGGGAGTAATAGTAGAGGGAGCAGTAGGTTGAGAGGAGAGAATTGTTAATAATAATAGTTGTTCTGAATCCAGCTGTTTATGCATGAATCAGACTTGTGCATGTCTTCTAGTAGTCAATTCTTTCCATCTCTCAGGTGCTCTGTGTTTTTATATTGTTACTATTGTTCATTATCATTATTATGGCAGTTAGGATATAAGATTTGGGGAGGGGTCAGGGAGACAGCTCCCCTAGTTACTAGTTGTGTGACCTTGGGCAAGTCACTTAACCTCTCTGAGCTCCAGCCTTCTCATCTGTAAAATGAGGATAATAGTTATGCCTCCCTCCTTGAGTTGCTGTGAGACCGAAATGGAGTTAAACAGACTATGGGTTTAAGCAGTAATGATCTAGTCAGATGTTAATTGTTGGCACTGCTGTTAGGTATTATACTACACTGAGACACTTGTCCCGGAGAGGACTTGTGAGATGCCTTTTCCTTAAGCAGTAGAGAGAAATTGAATCCTTGATGTTAAAATACAAAGTCTATGAACAGGTCAGAGTAGGGGAATTATTGGAATAAAGTAAGCAATTTTTCTGAATTAAGTAGGTAACTACTTCTAAAAGTTTGACATGCCTCTGAGAATACATTCACTCAGTGGACTCTGGAGAAGAATTTGCCAGGTTTGAGTATCCTGACCTTACTTTTTGTCCTTGTCAAGTGATGAGACCACAACTGGACTCTCTTTCAGTGGCCCAGTAGTCAGAGCCTGGTCCTGTGCCTGGCTCATGGGACTCACCTGATGCCAAAGTCCTGTGTCATGTTGCTGATTCAAGTGCGAAGAAATGATGCTATCAGAAGAGGATAGAAAATATTTAGGAACTGACAAGAAAGTGAATATGCCCAACTCATGTCAATATCTCATTACTTCTTTCTATTGCTTGTTAAAATTTGGAATAGAAGGGAGGAAGGACAGGGAAGTAAGATCTGATTTACAGTACTCTACGAGTCCATTTTAGATGCTATTATCCCATTTAATTTTCACAACAACATTATGGGTTAGATAAAATTTCCACGGTTTCAGAATTGAGGAGACTGAAGCTCACACAGGTTAAATTACATGTTTGTCTAAGCTAACCCAGCTCGTAAATGATGGGGCTGGGATTCAAACTCAGGTCTGGCCTGACTCCAAAGCCCATAGTCTTTCCATCATATCTTGCTGCTTCCTGAGAAAGACACCAATTTGAGACATGAACAGCAGCTACACAAATGGTGTCGATACACTGTGGGTTCTCAAAGCTTTATGTAAGGCAATTGCTCTCAGATATTAGCATGCATCAGAATCACCCAGAGGGCTTGTTACAACACAGATTACTGGGCTCATCCCCAGGGTTTCTGAATCAGTTTGCTTGGGGTGGGGCCAGAAAGTCTGCCTTTCTAACAAGCTCCAGTTGATGCTGATGCTGTAGTCCGAGGACCACACTTTAAGAACCAGTGGCTTATAGAAGTGGTTTCAAACTTGGCTGCACATGAGAATCACTTTGGGAATTTAAAAATGTCAATGTCTAGGATGCACCCCATATCAATTATATCAGAATTTTTTGGGGTAGGACCAAGACATCAGTGATTTCTAAAACTCCTCAGGTGAGCCAGGAGTGGTGGCTCATGCCTGTAAAAATAATCCCAGTACTTTGGGCGGCCCAGGTAGGAGGACCACTTGAGGCCACGAATTGAAAACCAGTTTGGGCATCATAGTGATACCACTTATCTACAAAAAAAAAAAAAATTAATCAGGCATGATGGTGCATGCCTGCAGTCCTAGCTACTTGGGAGGATGAGGCAAGAGAATTGCTTAAGTCCAGGAGTTCAAGGTTACAGTGAGCTGTGACTGCACCACTACACTTCAGTGTGGGTGACAGAGTGAGACTCTATCTCTAAAAAGAAACAAAAAAACTCCTCAGGTGATTCAAATGCACAGACAAGTTTGAAAACCTGTGAGTGATGTATGGCCATGATGATCCAATCAGTGGATTTAGCTGAACATCTGTGAAATATTGATAGTTGTTGTTCTTAAAGTTATAGTATAGGGAGGAGGAGCAAGACTGTTTTTTCTGGGGAGGCTTCTTGGGTGGAGAAACCCACTCAGAATCTATGAATGCAAAGTTCAGTAAGAAAAAGCTCTACTTCACCACGTTTTCTGTTTCCTATTCCATTTTGAAGGAAACCAGTAGCCTGCTCTCTCCCGCCTCTGTGAGCAACTTCTTTAGCAACTCTCCTGCGTTCAGGGCCGGAGCCTGTGGTTTAGAAGAAACAGAGTGCAAATCAAGCTTAATTGTAGTCTTCGGCTCATAAACTAAAAGTAAGCAAACTTGATTATGCTAATGCCATGCAGAACAGCGTGACAACATCCAAACTTTGTGGTAGATTTAAAATCAGAAATGTATGTTGTGTTTTTTTCCCCCCAATCTTGTGAACCTTCCCTGCCACACTGTTTACCTGCTTTTTCAGTCATGTGTTAGAAGCTTATGGGTTCTTAATTTTTAATAAATGAGATATTGATTTGTTTTGCAAAATGCTCCAGCAGGTAAACTTTAATTGACTGTTCCTAAAGACCCAGGTTATAAAAAAGCCATCAGACTCCACAATTACACTTTGAGTGTTTTTTCTTTGGACTTCAGGAGAAGTTAAAAAGCATTCCTGCCTCAGTGGCATCCTTTGGAATCCTTTGACCTCCTTAAGAACAAAGCTGTGCTCATTCCCAGAGGAGCTGTCCAATAGAACTCTGCCCTCTCACATCCCGTCATTTCCAGAGTGACTTTTTTATCTCAGACATTTCAGCTTGACTTGAGGAGGGTCAGAGCGGGGTATCTTTGCTCTGTTCAAGATCACATATTAGGGAGGAGAAAAGAAGCAGCAATTTTCTAGGGCATCTAGAAGTCAACTGCTTCATGCTGATCAAGGAAAGGGTGAGGTTTCAGAATGTGAAGAGATTCTTGGTGCCTGGTGGCCAGTTCACTTTAGCAGATCTCTCTATGAGATACTTTGTAAAATCACATCCTTGCTTTGCAACTTATTGAAATGGGTTGCTCATTGACAGCAAAGAAGGGAGACAGAGGAGATGGCAGGTCAGAGGGTAGGGAGGATCATCTGAGCACTACATTCCAGACTCTGTATTTTCTGTCAGATAATTAAACATTAACTTTTGACACTAAAATTTAAAAATATGGCTATTAAACTAATGCACAAGGCCATCAGGCTAAATAGGAAAGCCTATTTGTAGTTGCATTCTTGATCCTGGGGCTATACCTTTGGGTTTTGAGGCATGGACTGAAATGTGCATTTTTCAAAATATGGCAAAACCCAGGACTTAACGCCATCAGTAAGTCCTAAACAGTTTATGAATCAGTTCATTCAGGAGGTCCCACATTCACACTGCAGTAACATTCTCAGTGGCCCTCAAGCCATTCCCAGCCAAATGCTCTACAGACATCCTGAACAGATTAGTGCCAGCATTTGGTGGTGGGTACACGTAATTGCCTACTTACTGTTTCCTTAATTTGATTATTATCTTCCCCCAGTTTGGCCTACCTGCTGTAATAGTGGTTATCCTGTCAAGAGGAATTATTTCATACTGTGCAAAGATTCTGTCAGGGCAGCATATGGTGCTATGCAAATGAGTAAGGATGCTGCAAATCACCTCAAGTGGAACCTAAACGGGATGACATTGGCTGATACCATCAAGCCAGGAAACCTCAATTAAACAAACTGCCAAATAATCACTAGCCCCTGGTAAGTGAAACTAATATGATTTTCTTTGTTTTCTCAGATAGACACATTCACTTTTATATATTTGTAAAAATGATAGCTGCTGATGGAAAAAAAATTTCACGCAATAAAGAGTACAAAGAGCAAAGTAAGGAAATCATGGGGAGGCACCCCAGCTAAGGAGCCTCTCACAGAGGTTTTAGGAAACTTTAGGGACCATGATTCTGGCTATCTATACACAGAAGGAAGGAGATCTGAAAGCAAATTTCACAAAAAATGAAGTTACTGTGCAAACTATTTTTATTAAAATATATTAAGCTTCATTTATCTAAACGTTCATAATTTATAAGCAAATAAAGTAAGATAAAGTACATTGGTCTTCACATAAAAGAGTTTTAAGTTTCTAAAAGATGCCTACCGTTTGAAAGAGAAGATTATGGACAGCATTAAGAGACTGAGAATAATTTTTTTTTAAGTTCTCTATTCTGTCTGGGTGCTGTGGCTCATGCCTGTAATCCCAGCACTTTGGGAGGCAGAGGTGGGCAGATTACTTGAGGTCAGGAGTTCGAGACCAGCCTGAACAACATGATGAAACCTGTCTCTACTAAAAATACAAAAATTAGCCATGCATGGTGGCACACGCCTGTAATCACAGCTACCTTCAGGGCTGAGGCAGGAGAATCACTTGATCTCAGGTGACACAGAAAGACTACGTCTTGCAAAAAAATAAATAAATAAAATAAAATAAATCCCTATTTTGACTTTAGACAGTGATTATTGATCCTTGCAATAAATTATAAGGAAATTAACACACAGCTCTCTCTCCATCTCGTGATTATTACTGGTTCTATGCTATGTGGTCTGGCTTTAACATTTGTGAGGTTGTAGCAAAGGTAAAATGAAAACTCACTTTCCCTATGCCTAAACATTTAAATGTTATAAATGCTAACTATTAAATGAAATACACTTTATCCTCCTACCTTGACAAATATACCTTTATAATTACAAAATGGAAAAACACATGTATGTGTAAAATGATAGTTTTTTTTTAATATGGTTAAAAGTTGGGAAATATTGTAGAGAAGCGAATATAATTATTTTTAATCCTACTGATGTATTTCAATGTTTAAGTAATAAAATGAAGACATACATAATTTACCAAGTATTATGTATTTATTTTTTGTACTTTAGAAAAATCCCATATTATGTTTTTATAATTGAGATTTTAACATAATTTGTTTTCTACTGGCAGTAATGAACCAAAGCATTCAAAATAAAATGTAATTTTCATATAATACATGAATATGTTTAAAGCCAAAGTGTCAATTAAAGTAGACATAGAAATTAAAAATCAAAATTATTTTTCATATGGATTTTCCCCTGAGTTGTCAGTTGTAGTTTATCATTGAATGCTGTCACTTAGATTTTTTTTCTTGTAGTTACGATTTGCTTAAATGTCATAAGAGTCTTGCCTTATAGTGTAAGTTACTTGGATATAGAAAATGTCATATCCGTTTTTTGCTGACACAGTGTTTTGCATTGCCTGACAATAAGTGCCACATAATATCTTATTATTACTACTAATATCTCCATAAGCTTTTCTTTGATTAAATATTTGAATTTATTTGTTTATTTTTTTTTTTTTTTTTTGAGACAGAGTCTCTCTCTGTCGCCCAGGCTGGAGTGCAGTGGCGCAGTCTCGGCTCACTGCAACCTCTGCCTCCCAGGTTCAAGCAATTCTCCTGCCTCAGCCTCTGGAGTAGCTGGAATTACAGGTGCCCACCACCACACCCAGCTAATTTTTGTATTTTTAGTAGAGATGGGGTTTCACCATGTTGGCCAGGATGGTCTCAATCTCCTGACCTTGTGATCTGCCCACCTCGGCCTCCCAAAGCGCTGGAATTAAAGGCGTGAGCCACCGCGCCCGGCTCTATATTTGAATATTTTAAGACTCCATTTGTTTTGTGTCACATAGGAGAGGCAGTATAACATAGAAGTTTAGAATATGGACCCTGAAGCCAGACCATTGGTTTCAAATCTCAGCTCTGCCGTTTACCTCAATGTGAGCTTGGATAAGTTACTGAACCTCCTTGTGCCTTGTTTTCCTCACCTATGAGATGGAGACCTACTTTCATAGGGTTTTTATAAGGAGTAGCATATATAAGATAAGTCATATATGTCACATATATGTGTCTACCTTCCATATTTATCATTTTGTTGCTATTACTTTATTTTTTTAATTCAAAATTAAAATTAAATTTTTATTGTTATTTAAGATAATTTCATCAAGTGTGTAAGCAATGTCTCTGACAATGCTTATATCCAATTTTTTTCTAGTTCTTGTTTATGTGGCCTTCCTCTTTGCAATAGTTCTATTCTCTCTTCCATTTCTTTTCTATGCTCTTCCAGCTCAGTTTTCAACTTTTTAAGTGGTCTTACCCCATCTTTTCTTTGATATTCCTATTTCTTTTCTTTTTGAGCTTTTTTAGCTTCAGAAAGTCCATGCCATCTTTCATTTTTCTAAGGCTCTAGGGCACTATTTTGTGAACTCTTCTGCTTTCTATGATAATAAATTGATTTGTACTTATGTTAGATACTCTACTTAAACTAACTAAGTGTAAAGGGGCATGCATTTGCTCATAGCACTGAAAAGTCCTAAGGCAATGTAGCTTTAGAAACATCTGAGATCTCCACTGTTTCTTAAGCTGTTTACAAGTGATAGCCATGATGGCTGCTCTTAACCCAAGACTCATATTCTACTGCTTAGCAATGCAGTTAAGAAAAAAGCATCTTTTCTCAGAGCACTGATAGAGAAATGCCAGGGAAGACTCTGCTTGGCCCAGATTTTGTCACATGCCCATTCCTGAAGGTATCGTCTGACTAGGCAAATGGTTGTTTTGATTGGTCAGATTTGGGTTACATACTTCTGGCTGGAAAAGTAGGAGAAAGAGATTGGTAATCACACTGGAGCCACATGAAATGAGAGGGGTTAGTTCCCAGCTCAAAAAGTGGGTATTATCAGTAAATTTAGGAGAAGGAACATGTTGACTATGTGCCTCTGCATATGTTTCTTCCCTGGATTTCCACCGCAAGAATCAATGCATACGTTCTACATGGCTTCTTTTCTGTTTAATGACAATCTTTGAATGAAGCTTTCTCCACTGAAGCCAACTGGAATATCACCTAGAAAGGGAGGACGAGTGAATTGGTCAAGTTCATGGTTTTAGTCGAAATGTGCTATCTTGATGATTTTCTCACTGAATTTGCTACACCTCCCCAGGAGTAAGTCATCCTCCTGTTTTCAGTAATTCCACCTTCTGAGAATGCAAGAAGTCAGTGAAGTTCACAGTAATGCCACCCAAATCTCAAAGACCCTCTGTGTGATTATTGCTTCCCTTTCTCTGTCATCTGAGCATATTTCTTGTAGTCTCCCTTTCATAGTAGACCCTTGCGTAGGCCTGAATGCTTTTTCCTTTGTATCTACCTATCATGTTGATGAGGAATTAATCCATATTGGTACATTTCCTCACTATTCTAATGGCCCATCCAGGCCCCTAGATTATTGAACAAACCTTTTAGGATCGTGACATGTTTAGAGAAATGCTTGTCCAGCCAGGCATGATGGCTCACACCTGTAATCCCAGCGTTTTGGGAGGCTGAGGCGGGCAGATCACTTGAGGCCAGGAATTCAAGACCAGCCTGGCCAACATGATGAAACCCTGTCTCTACAAAACAACACAAAAATTAGCTGGGTGTGGTGGTGCACACCTGTAATCCCAGCTACTCAGGAGGCTGAGGCATGAGAATCGCTTGAACCCAGGAGGCGGAGGTTGCAATGAGATGAGATTGCACCACTGCACTCCAGCCTGGACAATCAAGTGAGACTCTGTCTCAAAAAAACAAACAGAAATGCATATCCTTCCTATAGGTTAGAGTACCATATATTGGTTTTTAGTGCTGTCTCACATTTTATCCCAAACTTCATTGTATAGTGTACTAGGTGTCTGTCCCATGTAAAAAATTGCCCCAAAACTTAGAGGCAAAAAACAATAAATATTTATTATGCATGGTTTTGGGGAGTTAGAAGTTTGGAAGTGGCAAAGGGTCTTTATCTTGTGTCAAGATACCTGCTGGGAGGGCTGTCATTTGAAGGCCTGATGGAGCTGAAGCATCCACTTCCAATACGATTCACTCATAAGGCTGTTGCCACAGATCTTAGGCCTTCACCACACTGGTTTACCCATAGGCTGCCTCAGTCCACATGCCATGGCAACTGGCTGTCCCCAGCGCCAGTGATCCAAGCACACAAGCTAGAAACCACACTGTCTTTTATGACTTTGCTTCAGAAATTGCACTCCATCCTTTCTGCAGTATCCTTTTGGTTACAGATGTCAGCCCTATTCCATGTGGGAGAGGATGCTAACAAGGGTATGAATCCTGGGTCAGCTCAGAGGCTGCCCACCACAGGCAGATAGTCCTCATGGTTTAATAACAGAAACAGCTTCAAGGCTTTTCTCTGTCACTTAGTAGCTCTTTTTGTTATTATAGAATGGGCAGACAATATATCAAAATTTGGAGATAAATGCAGTGCATATCCTGGAGATGACTAAAACAAGTTTCATGTTAAACCTGCACCAGTCTGTAGGCGTGCCACACGCAGAAGCAGGTCCCTAGGAGAGACTGAGTATCCCAGTTTGGAGTCACATCCATTGTATTTCCCCATAAGCAGAAGAGAAGCTAGAGTCTCACTTGAGCCAGCACTCCCTCTTTCTCCCTTTCAAACCAAATTCAAATGTGTGATCCTAGCTGCTGGAGGCTGCTGGCTGAAGGGACAATTTCCTGTCTAAACACATGTTGTGTTTCCCTTCGAAACTGGGGGCTTGAACACCACCCATCAGCTTCCAGATAAAGTTCCTTTTGACCTCATATCTGGCCTGCACATATCATCCACAGGCAGGGCCAGCCACAAGCAGTCTGTGGAAGCCTCACCTCTCAGCACCTTCCCCTTCTCAGCACCCAACTCCCTGCCCTCCCAGGTGCCTTTTCTGTTTTCTTTTCTCACAGATCTTGTTTTTAGCTAGCTGTCATTTAGCTGTCAACAAATTTCCTGGAGGCATTACCTAATGGGTTATACATACTTAACTCACTCAGAGGCATTACATTTTAATAGGGCATATTTAAGGCAAAGTCATCTTCAATACCCAAAGGAATACATCCTAAACAGCGAATTTTAAGCATCAGGACTGAAAAGGGTACTAGATAGGACCAGAGAGAGATTTTGCAGTTAAAAGGCTATAATCATTGCTTTTCCAGTCACTGGCCACTGGTATAATTTGCTTTGGGAGCTTAATCTTCATCCCTTTTTCTCCTATGTCCTCATTCACAGCTTGGTTTCCAGACCCAGGGCTCACACACCATTTCTCCTCCAGAGTCTGTCCCAGCTCTCCTGGACAGCTACTCACATCCATTTGTGCCTTGCCCTGACAAATGCCTCTCTTTCCTATCTCTCTACCTTCATTCCAGCAGTGCCTTCCTCATCTTTCTTCCTCCCTTCCCTGAATTTCAAAATTTGATCCATCTTCTGACTTCCAACATAAACATCCTCGTCTATAAAGACTTCCCCAAATTCTCCCAGGCCTATCTCATGACATCTGCCTTCCAGTGTCTCCTCCTAATACCCCCCGCCCCCACACCATACCCTCTGAAGACTTCAATGGACCACATGCTTCCAGGAGGGGGAGGTCACCACGCACTGTTGCTCCTGCTCACCTTGGTATACTTGGCTCCCAGTATGAGCTTTAACACTGTCCCCAGTGCCAGTGATCCAAGCACACAAGCTAGAAACCACACTGTCTTTTATGACTTTGCTTCAGAAATTGCACTCCATCTAGGCGCCTAATAGAAGCCTCATAGGTGTTTTTGGTTTGTTTTTATTTTTTTAAAATCAATACTTATAGTTTCTGCCATTAATTAACTCTGTGCATTTAGTCAAATCATTCCCATTTCTCTGGGCCTCAGGGTCCTCCATTTTAATATGAGGAAATTGGACAAGGATATTCTTAGCGCTTTCCAAATGATAAAACTCAATGCGAGAGGTTGGGCTTCATGTCCCAGTCTCTCCAATGTGAAGAATTCATATTTTCTTCACAGTATAAGAAGAGTGAGTTTGTTTTTAAGAGTACTGTTTACACATGTTTGTACAAATCAATCAACATTCCCATCTCTACTGACTCACATGGCCTGGAACGCAAGTTCACATACCAAAGAGAACTGAGAAGGGGGATGGGGGAAATAACTCTCCAATTTATCTAGGTAAGAGCACCACTCCTATTTTCACTCCATGAGTGTTATGCAAGGTCAGCCTCCCCCTCTGCAGAATGGGAGAGTTCTGGATGACTTCTCTGAACAGCATGGGGTCAAGGATGACTGCCAAGACATCAGATGTCATCACACCTGCCTTTCTCCTGGATGTCTTTTCTTATCATTACAGTTGAAATGCAAGAGAAACCCTAAAAGAAATGTGAAGCTGAGAAGGACACAGCTCTCTGACCATGACCACAGGAAGTGGTAAGTGCAAACACGTTCCTCTGATGGTTTCACGTCGTTGCCTATTCTGTCCAGCCCTGATGGGTCTGAGCAAACACCCATTTTTAAGAGAATAAGAGGCCTGACATTTGCTGTCTCTACTGCTAAACCTTTTTCTTCTTTTGCACCCATACTCTGTGCCTGGGGTAGACATTTTGGTGCTTGGGGTCTGTAGATGCCAGACCCAAATCCCTTTAACTAGCTGGTGACTTGACTTTACCTGCTATGAGGGGTATGTGCTAATGGCTCACAGCTTCCCCCTTCTCCAGATAACTGCCTTCGGAAGACAGGAGCCATCTTGCCAGCATCATTCCCTCAAGGCCCACAGCCAATGCCTAAGGGACATGGGCTATAAAGGCCAACCTCCTATAAGGGCATAGCTGTTCTGTGTGGTGTGGGCTCCAGAACTTTCCTCCCATGGACCAGATTAAGACTAGGCCTCACCTAAGACCAGATCCTTGCTATGCTTCTCCCACTGCCCTCTGCTGTGTCAGGCTCTGCCTGTAAGGAACCCAACCTAATTTAGCTCGTCTCTGTTCAGTCTGTGATTCCATAGAACCCCTTTGTAGAAAAGCTATTTTAACTGGCAAGCAGATTGCTTTGCTCCACAGCTGCCCTTTGGAGGTTTTGTGTAATCCTATTAATATTTGTCTGTGGTTAATTTATATTTTAAGGGCTAGTGGGTTTCTAGTAGTAACATATGTAGATCACTGGGGAGGAGGAACCTGAGGCAGCATAGACTAGTAGAAAGAGTGTGCCTTGGCATTGAAGGGAACTGAGTCCAGCTCTACTCTCAAGGGTCATTTTGACCAGGGGTCAGTTGATGTAGCTTTTGGGTCACAGTTGACTTTTCTGTCAAGTGGAGAGAGGGCAAAGATGAACCCTAAAGTCTCTTTATGTTCTGTTGGGTGTTCTAGGACTGTAAGATTCATATTCTTCTCTCCATTTTTACCCAGAAGGAACATGCAAAAAGAGATGCGCATATGCAGGAAGGATACATGTGGACAGAGTGGACCCTAAACTCAATTATCCATTTCCTATCTCCAAAGCAGAAAAGCCACACACATATTTTAGTGATATTTATTCAGCACATAGTGCATTCAAAGAGCTGGTTTTAAATAAAATGGTCTAAGCACCTGCTTTTTGGTGGGAAGCTGGCAGCAGGGCTTCCTCATTTCACTCTGGCAACCACTCAACATCTGCTCTCCTTGGCTGTTTGCATTCATAAAACTATGTCAGCGTCTGTTGAAAAAGACAAAACCTACTCAGATCAGTGCAGGACTCATTTGTAAAAACGAAAGTGCTCACTGAATCAATCATAGACCACATTGTTCATTTGAAGAGTGGAGACTTCACTTGCTCTTCCTTCTCTTTTAAATTTTCGAAATGCTTTCACATTTACTCCTTCATCTGGTCCTTCTGGCAGCGTCATAACATACTATCTATTTGTATTTGGAAGGAAACTGAGGCAGAGTGTGGTTGTATGACTTGATTTTTAAGTGACCAAGAGTTAACGTCAAAGCAGGCCCAGAGCACCCTGTTTAGGCTCTCAGCTGCCTGAATTCCTACCACATCACACTGCCTTTCAACACAGTCTAGAGTTTGCCTCAGTGTTTCTTAAGAATTGTGCACAGGAAGTTTTCAAGGAAGGGGGATAATTGTTATAGAAAAAGGAATGGTTTCCCGTGACCTAAGTTTGGGAAATGCTGCAGTAAGCAGGCTTCTTTACAGTGAGACATCTTGGAGCCTTGGATGTTGCTGAGGTGTTCCAAGATTAGGCATTGCATGTAGGATTTCCAAACATACTGGACCACACCTCCCTTTATTCCCATATCATCTCGCATCTTGGAAAGCATTCCAGTAAGTCAGACTCATTGGTGTATATGATACCCACAGTTTGGATATTTGGATGATTTCTGGGACTAAGTAGGCATAGTCTACTACTGCAGCTATTTCAGTGATCAGTAACCTAATAGCTTGGTTTTGTTTGCATGTTTGTGTATGCATGAATACTGACAACCCTACTTGTTGCAATGTGAGGAGTGTCATCTCTAGCCCTTTGGCTTTGAAAAGGTTGCCATGAAGAACTTACTGATCACTCTCTTGTAGAATTAATTCAAATCTCAAACCCTCTCAAAGTTTTCAGCAGGCTAACAGGGCCTCATGACTTCCAACAACTTAGATATTCAAGGTGTAGCAGTTTTGACACAGCCTGTAATCTCTTGGTCTTAAACTTAAGATTTATTCAAGCTCTTTTTTTCTGAAAAGCTCTATAG
Organism: Homo sapiens; assembly: GCF_000001405.40. Taxonomy (NCBI): domain Eukaryota; kingdom Metazoa; phylum Chordata; class Mammalia; order Primates; family Hominidae; genus Homo; species Homo sapiens. The sequence goes on from NC_000015.10 coordinate 47,815,211, forward strand.
CTCTCCAAAACAGATTGACATCCATCTATAATTACAAGCACTTAATTGCCCATATATAATAAAATTTCAAAGACTGCAATTATCTCCTCCACATAGACATATACCTCTCACAGTTCAAAACCAAGTACCTTTGTTGGATTCAGATTATGTATTAATAATTTCCCAGATCACTCGGCCCTACTTGTCCCTAGGTCTCGGATTTTGCTCAGTGGAGATCCCTGGCTGTTGTCTTCCCATTTCCTATCACCACTGGCAGCAGCTCAGGCATCCTATACAGAACTTACTCGATCCATGAAAGCCTGGGACCTCTTTATTTTGGGGAAGTGAATGAAACCAGCCATGGAGCTGGGGATTAGCCTTCTCCCAGACAGGCTGAGTAACACAGGCTGCCAAAAGAGGGGAGGAGGGTGGAATTACCTCAGTGAGACTCCTGGCCAGTAAGAGATAGGAGGCAGAAAGAAGCCAACAGGAAAACTCTGCTCCTATCCTCCTGCTGACAGGTAGTTCTGAGGTGCAGTGGTTCCTCATGCTACCTCCAGAGCCCTCCAAAAAAGTGGCTGTGTGTGTGTGTGTGTGTGTGTGTGTAGCTATGGCTGGCTCAGAAACTACCACCTTTGACTTACTGTGTCAACTTCCCTTGACTAACTCTTTATGCCCTGGACTTGTATCTCCCAAGGAAGCATTAGCATTCAAACTCTTCCTTAAGCTCTATTCTGGGGAACTCAGGCTAACAATTCCATACATAGCCAAGAGTTTTCTCTGTTTGTAAAGTTATCATAATCATAGCTCATGTATACCAAACCTTACTATACAGACTGTTCACACACAATACTTCCCACAGCACACAAGAACAAAATTGTGATAAGCCACTGTCTATAACACATTGTTTATTCTTATTGGTCCTAAAGTAGATCTATTTCAAAGTCTTTTCTGCAGATGATAGATGTTAAGTGTTCATTAAGAAAATAGTTATGCTCTAGACAAGAATGCTTCCAGATTTCTTACTGTTTAAGTATGACTAGCTCATGATTTTCTACCCCAATCCTATTCAAGGGATAAAATGTATTCAGATAAAGAGGGGGAATAGCATATATACTATATTGTAGAGGTTACAGATTGCATACAAACCTAGGAAGAAAGACCGGTTCATTTAATCATATATTTTAATAAAGCAATTGAAAAAAGTGGTTAATTCCCTATCCCTCCCTGGCACAATCAATATAAAGCTAATTTGTATAAAACTTGGTTCTTTCCTGTGGCCTAGATAATCCACAGTTCGCTGGACTGGAGATGAGACCTTTTCAAACCCTCATCTGGAGAGATGTCCCTACAAACATAGATTATCTCCATGAAATGCACTTCCACTGGCAACTAAAAGTCCCTGTCTTCCCAGAGGGGATTGTGGGAATCAGGAAAAACAGAACAAGCTGTGCTGCAGTAACAAACAAGCCAATTATTTTAGTGGCTTATAACAGTAGGAGCTTATTTCTCACTCTCCCTACATGTCCATCAAAGGTTGGCAGGGCATCTAATCCAAGTCATTCTCCCTTTGGCAGCAGCAATCACTGAAACCATCACCAGTTACCTTGGCAGGTAAAAGAAGTGTGAATTATGTAATAACTCTTAAAGCTTCAACACAGAAGTGACATAATCATTTCTTCCCACATTTTACTGAGCAAAGCAAGTCAGATAGTCAGATGGCCACACCTTATTTCAAAGAAGGTGGGGAAAAAATAGTTCTACCAAAAGTCCTAAAGAAGGAGGATCAGAGTATTTGCTTACAGCTCTAATGACCAGGGCTCTATGCACTGTCACCAAAGGAAGAATCGATCCTGGGAAAGGACGGTCAGTAGAGCAGTTTTGCCAAGTGCAGCTTGCCCTCTCTGAGGTAACTGTAGATATCCAGATGTTCTCTAATATTGGAAGGTGGTGTGCCACAGGTGCGTGACACACTACCATTACCAGCTCACTCCGCCCCTGACTCAGGCCACCTAGTGTAAATGTGTAAACACTTGTTTAAAATCCCCATCTAAGAAGGAGGCAAACTGAGCTCTTCCTCTCTGGGCTAAGCAGCTTGGATAGGGGAGAAGTAGAAACTTGCCAGCCCCACTGTGGGGCAGGATGGTATTCAGAAGTCATACCCTGACATACCATCCACTGTGCTGAAGGTTTACATCTCCTGTTTCTGAAACTGAACGCTGCCAGTAGAGTGAACTCCCTAATGATTTGGCATCCAGAATACATCATCTCCAGATTCATCAGCCTGCTCTGGAAGCCTTTGAAAATGCAATCCCCAAGTCCTCTGCAGAGAGCATCCTGTCAACCTGGGAGTTGGCTTGTTTTCTGTGGTGCTTTCTTAGCAAACACCAAAAGCTATTTTCCAGAGAGTTCCTTTGAATGGTTCCTATAAATCAAAGATGAAAGACATTGTGGCCAGAGGCCTTTTAAAGAAATTTTTGGTCTTTCTTCACCAAGCTTTTAAAAGACCACATCTTCAGAAGCCATTTTTTAAAAATCTATCTAGGGCTAAGTAAAGAATAATATAGAGCAGAGATAGTGGAGAATTTTCCAGAAAAAAAAGAAAGAATAGAACAAATCATAAAGAGTTTTTAGGTACAGGAACCTAGAAGCATCTATACTGGACACATTTTTACAACTATAAAAATGTCATTGTTTCTTCTTTAACCCCATTAAATGGGGCAAAGGAGAAGAGCGCATTTCCCATTTTCTCCTCTGAAGTGATTCCCCCATTATGCTGTCCCTGTGCCCAGAGGTTACTGCATTAGCATGACCAAGCCCCCAAATGTCGCATCTCCCTGCTCAGAGCCTCTCTGGCTGCTTGGAAAGCAGGCAGCAGTTTAATGAGACAAGTTCCCCTTGGAGACTCCTCTCCCCTCGAGGAATTCTGTAAGTGCTTTATACAAAACAGTAATAGGATGGTTCAGCCAGACTCTCTGGCTCAGATACACTAACTGCTGCTCCCTTTGGGAAGGAGGAGAAGGTAGCCGAGTGATAAGACCATTACCACTGACTGTGCCCTGTGAGCTGGTAGTCCCTGAAGCCACTTTTCTTGCCCTTTGCAAGCATGAAAGGAAGTCGGTGAAAGGCTGATCAGAACAGACTTCCTGGTGGGAGATAAAGCTGTCTATGGACAGGCTCTGGATGATAATGGGCAGAGAGTGATTTAGTACCATGATTACTTCTGAATAGAGGCTGCAAGCATTGTGCCCAGGAAGCCCAGTGAAGCTGCGGAGGAGTGACCAGAGAGAAATCCACTAGGCTGGATACACATAGGAGAGCTGAGCTGCCTACCCTGGCATTAGGAGGAGCCAAGAGCAACCTCTGGGAGGCCTTAGCAACACCTCTCAGAACTCCAGGATGCATCAGATAAAACAGTCCCATCTGTGGAGAATTTCCCTCCTCTTTCCATATACACTTTACCCCTGTCCTCTGAACTCACAGATTTTTAATTTTCTTATGACTCCAGACTTTAGGGGTACCTGAGCCTCTGCCTTATTGTTTTTTTTTCTAACAGGTTGGAATGTTGTTGAGATTTACTAATGACAGATCAACAGCTGGAGTTAGGGGGAAGTTAGTGAAAGCCATGAGCAGTGTCAGAATGAAATAAGGTCTGCGGGTGGGACTTGAGATGGAAGTTCATGAGGCAAGATAAGGAGTGGCCTGAACAAAGCTGTGCTTTTATTTTTATTTTTCTTTCTTTTCTTCTTCTTCTTCTTTTTCTTCAATGTATGGTATTGATTGAGATCTCACTGTCAACTGCACCAATTAAAAATTCTATTCAACCCGTGGAATAATTTTAAGACATGTCCACAAATTCTTTGATATTCTTCCCTTTAAGAGTTGGAGACTAATTCTCCTCTGCTTGAATGTGGGCTGACTTCATGACTTGTTTCTAACAAATAGAATAAAGCAGACATGACAGTGTGTGACTTTAAAGACTAGGTAATAAAGCTTATTGTGGATTCCCCTGCTAGTTCTCTTTCACTCTCTCACTTGGAGCACTCATTTTTGGGAGAAGCCAGCTGCCATGGAATGAGGACTCTTGGGCAGCCTATGGACAGATCCACTCTGTAAGGAATTGAGGCCTCCTGCCAACAGCCATGTGAGTGCACCATCTTGGAGTCAGATCCTCCAGCCCCAGTCAAGCGTCATTTGCTGCGGCCCTTGTCAGCATCTGACTGCAGCCTCACAAGAGATCCTGAGCCAGACCTCCCAGTTATGCTGCTTCCAAATTCCTGACCCACAGAAAGTTAGTGTGAGATAACATGTATTTCTTGTTTTGGGATGATTTGTTATGCAACAATAGATAACTAAGACAACTGGGATTGTAGTTCCTATGGCACAGACAGTGGCCCGAAGTAAGTAACAGATGACCAGAATAAAGTCTGCACCAGTGTTCTCTAGTTAATGCCACAGTTTATTAGCACTTGCTTTTATAAAACACTTTGAAAATCTGAAGGCGGGGGGAAGAAAAATGAGGCAAAAGCTTTCCATTCTGTGCATGGTGTTGGCCAAATGAATTGATTATTTTAGAGCATCACAAGCTTTGTTTCTTTGTGCCTTTCCCTGGGTCATGTGAAAAAGTCTTCCAGTCGAAGTCTTCCATTCAGAGCAGTGGTTACGTATTCATCCAGTCATCATTTTAAAGTAAATTAGAAGACACATTTTTCTATTCTGTATTTAGACATTAGATTGGCTAAATTGGAGCAGAAAGGAATAGAAGGAAAGCAGGGAGAAATGAGTAAAAATGAGAACTATAGTTTATATTAGTTTATCTGTGAAGCACCAAAAAAGTCAAGAAATTTCATATTTTAGCAGCTAGAGAAAAGGTGTCCTCCCGCAGTTCAAGTTTTTATGAATTTTATCCCTAAGCTTTTCATACCCACCTTGATTTATTAGCCTTTCTCAGCATTATATCTTGTGGACCTGACAGGAGAACATAGTGCAATGAAACATCTGGTAAATTTTCCCAGACCCTATTATGAAATATCTTCAATTTTCAATTCAGTGAAAAGTAAACAAGTCATTGTCTTCCCCAGAAGTGATTCACTTTGCTGTCAGAACCCACGGGCTGTAGGCGATAGAGGTTTCAGAGTCCTTCTTCGGGTTGATGGGTACACGGGGCCCCATCTTTTGCAGTACGGGTGAGCTGGAGGGGTCAGGTAACTCTTGGATGCTTCACCTAAACAAATACATCTGCTTGCTCAGTGAAGTGATTATTTTTAAATTTTCGAGTGATGTGCTTTGTTGTTGTTCAGAGGTCACTTATGAATTGACATTACATCAGCAAATAGTAATTGCTTAATTTCTGCAAAAATACCTCGTTTCATTTCCATTCCAACTTTTCAACCAAAACACACACACACACACACACACACACACACACACCCCATGGCTAGGCTTGAAAAAGACAAGGCAGATAATGTGGCCGCCTACAGCTGCTTGTTGTATTACATTGCCAGCTTCTTTTTCAAAGGAAAGCATTCCAGCAGATCTTTCTGACAGCAGTCTGTCCTGGACGTAAATTAAAATGCACATTTCTGAAAACTTTTTATTCATTAAACAGAAAACAATGCCCAATAGCTGGAAAAGATACTATCAGCTTGGTATTTCAGGAGATTATTTTTTCAACAGGCGTGTTTATAGAGATAACGTATAGAGATATTAAGCAGATACACTTGACTGACAGACAGGGAGGACTGAACCATAAGGACTTCAAACAAGCACGTACTAGCTTCAAGTGCACTGAGCATCTGCCAAGAGACTGAATGACTCAGAACCAGATGATTTTATAACAACACATATGGAGAAACTGAGGTCGAATGTGGGAAAGAAATTTGGTTAGCATTTCACATAAGTGATATCAGTGTGGTGCAAACAATTCAGATGTAGAAAGTGGGGAGGGGGGTGGAAAGGCTAAGATAAATGCTTCCAAAATTAGAGTAGGTTAGCTTGATTCTGAAATCACTGCCGCAACTCCATTACAGAGGCTCAGAAATGGTCCACAACAGGACATTTGAACTGTGGCTAGCATCTGATTCATTCGAATCGTCAGAGGCTGTCTCAGCAGTTCAGCAAGTGGAAGGGCTTCTTTCACAAAGATAAGCTCAATGATTGAATCTCATTAATATCACCCATATCAATCACAGTGCTGGCCACGTAATACACATTCAATAAATGTTTATGCAAGAAAAGGTGGAATTGTTTTCAACATTTTGGATCATACCTTCTATATTAGCTATATACTTCCTGCTTTTCTTCTTCCATTTGAAGCTGAATGAAGACAGAGGGGGATCCACCTCTCCCTAAATGTTCTTCCTTGAAACAAATGAGCCTGCTGGAAACCCTCAGAGTCTCTAGCACCATTGTTATTACAGTTTCTCTGTCTTTCTCTCCTTTTGATTTCACCTTAATAAGCCCTAAGCCTATTAATTCTTCTACTTGGGGAAGCCACCAAGGTGAGAAGAAGGAACACCACTTGCATTTTGCCCTTCCTTTTCTCCAGGAGCCAAATCATGATATTTTTGTAAAAGCATCTCTCCTTTTTTTCCTAGTTATCTCTCAGAGATGATGGTGGATCACCTCCGTGTGGGGGCTGCTTATCTTGGTGGGGATCTGGTGGTGGGCTTTTAAAGTTGGCCCAAGCTGAGCTGGCTGGCTGCAATTCTTTGTGCTATTTATTTAAGAAAAAGAAAAAGGAAGAAGCTATTGCTGTCTCCTCTGGTGTGCTGGTGTAGAAAATGTGAGTGAACATTTTCATTTTCAGCTCCAGTTTCTTAATCTCTTGCAGTGGAAGAAAGACAGTATGCCAGTAAACTCAGAACTTCACAGACCCCACGCTCATGCTCAGCTTTATGGTAAATATTGTAATACTGCCCCAGGAAAGTAGGACACAGGCATGGGAGAATGTCTAAAGGCAGTCTGAGTGTGCTCCAATCAGTAGTATTTTCTTCTATGACAAATAGTTATCCTTTTGGTGAAACCTGTTTTAAAATGCTAATCCAGGTTTGTTTATAGTTGGCCTTAGCCAGCAAGCCTGCAGGCCTGCCAGGCCGGGCAGCCATGTGTGACCCTGTTCCTTGAAAACAGCTTCACCCAGGGCTCAGGCGTCTTGTGGAAGAAGGGTTTGCTACATTATAAAACCAAGGCAGTGGAGGCCAGAGCGAAGAGCAAGTGGCCTTGGAGTTTTCTTATTTGATATGAAAAAATTGGCAAAGCCTATTTTTGGGGGAGATCAGGGTTCAAAAAACAGTGGTCAGAAAACACTGGATAAGGCTAAACTTAGTGGTACAGAGAACTTTGATTCCTCCAGCAGCCTTCTCATGTGGGATCAGATAGGAGAGCTGGTGTAAAAGCAAGCAGCCAGCGGTAAAGTGTTGAACATGAATGTGCAGGCTCATCACGGGCTGGCTGCTGAGTGGGGTCATCTTTGTGGCCAGAACTGCTGTCTGTTAGCTCAGTTCCATTGCATGGGCCTTGCTGGCCTGGAGGAAGCAGTGACAGAGGCAGACCCATGCTTATCCAACCTCAGTGCCCATAATAGAGAAAAATTAAAGTAACACCTGAAAAATAAAAAAATAAAAATAAAAGTGGCTACACAGCCAGGCAAGAAGGAAATGAAGACAGGATGGCTCTGAGCTGTGTGCTCTCCTTTTTCTCTTATTGTAAGTTAAACTATGTTCTATAGAATGCTGAACTTCCACAAACATCTAACCTAACTATCCCCTGTATCAGGAAAACAAAGTCAAAGTTCATAAAAAATGAATTAAAAGGAAGCCAAAAATACTATTTTATGAAACTGAAGGCAGCTTTTTGAGTATAGTGAGTAGGGTGTCTAGGTGTGCAAAGATTAAGAGAGAGGGCAGGACACTTTTATTTAAAGGATTCCTGGTTAGAGAGGCAAGGGCATGGCCAGGAATGGGGTTCTTAAGACAAGAGAACCTAAATTACTGTGCACGGTAAGGCAATAATAATGACAAGAGCTTGCTGTCATGTGAAATGAGTTTTTCCTTTCCTCTGTTCCGGTCTCAGTAACAGGGTGGGGAAGAGAAGAGTGGAAAGGAGATTCAATAAGGAAAGCACAGGTGCCAGCAATAAGATGAGGAAGCCAGGGCCCAAGGAAGGAGCTCTCAGGACAGGATGATGGGGATCTGCCAATACTGAGAGCTCAGCAACTGTGACGTTGCACAGCTGCTGTGGTTTCAATGTGTGTTCCCCCAAACTCATGTGTTGACATCCCAACCCTGCTGGGATGGTATTGGGAGGTGGTACCTTTGGCGAGGTGATTAAATCATGGGGCAGAGCCCTGATGAATAGAGTTAGTGCCCTTATAAAACAGACCCCAGAAAGCTCCCTTACCCCTTCCACCATGTGAGGTCTCAGCAAAAAGATGGCCCTCTATGAACTAGGAAGTGGGTCTTCCCCAGACACCAAACCTGTCTTGATCTTGAATGTTCCAGCCTCCAGGATTGTGAAAGGTAAACATCTGTTGCTTATAAGCCCCTCAGTTTATGGTATTTTTGTTACAGCAGCCAGAACAGACTAAGACAACAAATGCTACAATCACTCTCCAGGTTTCCTCATGCCTTTAAAAGAGCTTGAAGAGCCATTAAGTTTAGGATCCACCTGGTGACAAGGCTGCTTTGGGTACACTGTGCTCACACTGCAGGTCACAGGGACCCAGAGGCCAGAGAGGACTGGGAAAGTGAGCCAGGCTGGGAGAATGCTGTCAGTTGACACCAGGACACATGGGGACCATCTAGGAATTCTCAGAAATGTCCCCAAAAACAGTTAAAGTGTGGTCATCAAAATGAGGAATGAGCTGAAGCTATCTTAATAGTTAAGCCAAAGCTATCCCAGAAGTCTGGGACTTGGGAAAACTGTGTCAAATGGCCACGGACACTGCTCATATTGATGAAAAACACAGAAACCATGTTGTTCTGTGAGTACAGTGGTGCCCATGTGCACATCAAGGTAGACAAACCACACCTAGTTTCAGAAATGCTGATTCGGCTGCCCTTACCATCTTCCATAATTCCTGGCACACTTCCTCATCTCCCTGCCTCCTCTCCTATAATCTTCTCTTCAAATCTGCCTGGCTGTGTAGCAATTAGCAAGCCTGGTGGTGCAGGTCCTACAGAGCCTGGCGGCTACACCGTCAGTCAGCAGCTTTATGCCAGCCAAGGAACGTGGGAGGCTGTGATGATTTATTGAATGTATTGTTTCTACTAATATGAGTAAACAGGCCAAACTACTTTTAAAAAGCCAGAAGTGAAACTACTTCTCCTGGGGAATCATTAATATAAAACAAAATGATTGGTGGAGAGCTTGAACATAATATCATGCTAAATGTATAATAGTAGAAGGTTAAATTGCTTTCTGCTATCTGTTCTTTTTGTCTTACAGTCTAACACTCTGTATGATATTATCATTAAACCACATAAGATGTTACTTCCTCATTGTCCTGAGACTTGATTAAATACTTCATTTTGGTTCTTTAAGTTGCTATTTTTTTGTGGGGGGTGGGGGGCGGCGCTTATTTCTATTTTTAAAATTTATTATTACTGAATTAAATTTACATATAGATAATGAGCTTAGAAAAATATATTCACCCGTGAAACCACTACCGTAATCAAGACACAGAATATCTCCATCATCCCAGAAAGTGGCCTTATGTTCCTTTCCAGTTACTCCTAACCAAATCCATCCCCTGCAAGGTCAACTCTGTTCTCATTTCAAAAATTAGTTCTGTCTGTTGCTGAACTTCATATAAACAGGAGCAGGCTGTATGTGGTCTTTGGTGTCTGATTCCTTTGCCTAACAGGTTTTTAATATTCATTCATGTTGGTGTATGCCTCAATGATTTATTCATTTTTATTGCTGAGTCCTATTCCATTATATACATGTAACACAATGTGTATATTCATCCTACTGTTGATGGACATTTGGGGAGTCTCCAGTTTGGAACTATTGTGATTAAAAGCTGCTATAAAGGTTCTTATGCAAGTCTTTTTGTAGGTATGTTTTCATTTGCCTTGGGTAGGAGTAGAATTGCAAGATCAAAGAGTAGACGTATGTTTAACGTTAAAAGGAACTGCCAAACAGTTTTCCAAAGTACTCACAACGTTTTTCATTTCTACCAGCACAATATGAGAGCTCTGGTTGTTCCACATCCTTGATGCCCTCTTTGTTAGCCATTCTAACAGATGTGAAGTGACATTTTGTTGTTGATGTAGTTTGTATGTTTGTCCCCTCCAAATTTCATGTTGAAATATGATCCCTGGTGTTGCGAGTGAGGCTTAGTGGAGGTGTCTTGGTCACAGGGGCAGATCCCTCATGAATGGCTTGGTGCCCTACTTGCAGTAAAGAATGAGTTCTAACTCTATTAGCTAACATGAGAGCTGGCTGGTTAAAAGAGTTTGGCATCTCCTCCTCCCTCTATCTCTTGCTCTCTCTCTCACCATGTGACACGCCTGCCCCACCTTCACCAACCACTATGATTGTAAGCTTCCTGAGACCTCACTAGAAGCAGAGGTCGGCACCATGCTTCTTGTACAGTCTGCAGAACTGTGAGCCAAAATAAACCCCTTTTCTTTATAAATTACCTGGCTAGCCTCAGATATTCTTTTACAGCAACACAAAATGGACTAACACAATTACAGGCTTAATTTTATTTCCCTTATGATGATGTTGATCCTATTTCCATGTGATTATTGGCCATTTGCATATTTTGTTTCGAGAACTCTCTATGCAAATATTTTTTCCATTTCATTATTGAGCTGTTATCTTTTTATGCTTTGGTTATTTATAGATATTTTTACACATTCTAGATAAAGTACTACTATGTTCTCCAGTCTGTAGCTTACCTATTTATTTTCTTAACAGTACTTTTTAATGAGAAGTTTTTAGTTTTGACAAAGGCTATTTTATCAACCTTTTTATTTTATATGTAGCATTTTTTCATTTCCTCTAGGCAATCTTCACTTACCTGTTTGAGTGGTTTTTCGGCTGAATCTTAAAAAAAAAAAAAATTTAAAGTGTTCTCAATAATAAACATTGCCAGATTACCTATGTTTTTAAAAATATCCCTTTATTTGTATTATTTTTATTTTAGTTACCCGAATGCAGTGGTGTGCTGGTAAACTGATTTCAGATTGGGCAGGGGAAGCCCTGATTTATAGTATTTGTCAATTTCCATGGTGTGCATACTCCCACCATGACTGATTTTAAACTGTGATTTAAAAACTGGGTCACAAAATTCCTGAATATTTGACAATGGGCTCTCATTAGCTATTATGAGCCCTTCCAGAACACCACTGCAAATGCTACATGAACACATGTGGCCAAAGATAAACCCTTAGGGAAAGGTTGTTCCCAGGAACACTAGAAAGATGCCATGTTTTGAGAGACACTTGGCCACCCAAATTGGAGCAACAGTGACCATGACTGACCTCAGAGCCATATCTGACTTCCAACTATGGTTCATATACACAGAAGTGCAGATCAGAGTGATGTGAAAGCCAAAAAATTCAATGCTGAAAATGATGAACGCACTGTCCTGGTAAATTAGTTTAAGAGTAGAGGGTCTGCTGATATTCCAATTATTGATAAGATGAAGAGGCAACTATCACCTGAAAATGCTAAAAGGAAACTGTATGGGAAACTGGAGGACCTCATAGGCTGGGACAAGAGGATAGACACTGACACTATAGACAAAGAGAGCGGAGTAGGGACCAAAAGAGAACGACACGGGAAGCCTTGGAACCCATGGATGTATCTTCTACTAGTAAGTTCCCCTGGAGTAGGAATTCAACATTAAACCAGAAACGCCAGTGAGAAGGTAAGTGGATATGTATCATCCACCCCTGCTGTGGCAAGGTACATGCTGATGTTAAGCCACAAGAAAGGACCATGGGCTCAAAACACCTTTGAGTAATAAGGAAGAGTCTCATACATTACTTTCTTTTCATCAAAAAGATAAGAAAATTTATAGGAATCTTCTACCATGGTAGTAAAGAAAAAGAGGCATTTCATAGCAATCATTCTGCAACAAATTTTCATGTTAGAGTGGGGAAAGCCTGGAGATTTACAGCTGCATATGGTTCTCTGTAGCAGCAATAACAGAAATAGGGAGCAGGGAACACATTTTGAAAAACGTGTATTCTTTCAAAACTAAGCTTTGACCAATTATAGACAGATTTAGAAGCATTTCCAGTTTAAATATATTAAAGTTATTTCATGAAATATACTATATGTGCGTATATATACATATATTTATATTTAACTTAGTTTAAATCATCATAATAAAATGAATCCACTTATACTCACTAACGAGCTTACATAGTTGTCCCTCTGTATTCATGGTTTCAGCATCTGCCTGCAGATTCTGCAATCCACAGATTACAAATATTTTAAAAAACAATTAAAAATAACGATACAAAATTTAAAATAATGCAAACTTAAAAATAGTACAAGAACTATTTTCATAGCATTTACATTGTTTTAGGTATTATAGGTAATCTAGAGATGATTTAAAGTATATGGGAGGATGTGCATAGGTTATGCAAATACTGTGCCATTTTATATAAGAGACTTGAGTATGGGGCATTTTGGTATCCACAAGGAATGAATCCTTCATGGAATACCAAGGAACAACTGTATAATAAAACTTCCCCAGTGCCAATACTTGATATTCATTCCTTGATCCCGTTTCCCCACTTCCCTCCGTTCATAGAGGAAACTTTTCTTCATTTCAGGCCCCAGTGGTTTTCCTAACTCTGCTATCTGCTCAGCCATGAACTAAAAGGATGTTGTTGTTGTTTTATAATTTATCCCACAGTTTTATGTGTCCTATATTAAGACATTTCTTTCACACTAGTGTGTCAAATTTTTAGAAACAGGGAGTCCATATATTTTTAGGATCCCTAAATAATAGGCTTGTAGGGGACCTGCTCATCAAGGTGCCCTCACCCATGTGCTCTTTCTCAGAGAAGCTGTCCCACCCTCTCCAGCTCAGCCAGCTGCAGAGTCTGGACCTCATCCACACCCCACTCCTGTTTACAGCTGATTACATGAAGCTTAGACACCTGAAACAAGCAGAGCTTGATAACAGGAAAATGGAGATCTAGGTAGCTCATCTTGGCCACTGGGTTTGGGAAGTTATGTAGGACTGGGGCTGAGGGTACTGCTTTCTGTCGTATTTACTCTCTTCTGCAGAAAGAAAAGATGAAGGGGAGGAACTTTCTAGTCTAACTCTCTCATGATTCCTAGTCGTACTTCTTGCCTATTGGTAATACATGCTGCTCTTTTATCTTTTTAATGACTGTATCTTTTTTACATTTTTGTTTCAAAAGTTTTAATGGGGTTCTGTTTCATGAACTAAGTTTCTCTGATAAATGCAAGCTCATGTTGACTTGAGGAGAAAGAAAATGCTGATAGAAGCTGCAGTGGCCCAATGTGAGAATAAATGAAAGTCTAGCCAGGAAAACATCAACTTCTTCAAGCATTTCCAACAGACAGAATTTAATGCAGGGAGGTGGTAACCCAAGTGATAAAGGAGCTGAGCACCAATCAGAAGATGATGAGAAACCCAGAGATTAGCAACAGCAGGAAGCCACTATCATGCCTAAGCTAGAGGGACAAAAAGAGCAGGGGGTGTTACTGGAACCAAAGGTTTGGGTTTTACTGGGAGGTGGGGTTCTGGAACCATGAAGGGCCTGTCTGGTGAGGGATGTAACCAAGAGGGAGGCATAGCTACTGCCAAAGAAACCATCCACGGCAGAGTGGGAGGGGAGAAATGGACTTCTGGACTTCCTCCTTTCCCCATTCTGCAATTTTCCTGTTAGTGTCTTCCACTAGGTGAATTCAGCCAGAAGCCAACTGACGCTGATTACTATAATGTGGAGAAGAGCAGAGGAAGGAAAGAAATGAATCTGAGGTCCAGGACTGGTACAGTGTAGACGCAAGGCATTCTTCTCTCTTTGTAAGCAGAGTAAAACAATCATGAATATCACGTATATGGAAACAACATAAGTGGCCAATGATAGGTAAATGGTTAATTGGTTATAAAATATTATGTGGCCTTTAAAAATAATATTAAAAAGAATTTGCAATTATATGAGAAAACATTAAAAGTTGAAGGTTAAGTAAAAATTTAGAAAAATATTACATATAATTTCAGCTACTTAAATTATACATAGAAAACAACTGCCAAGTATGTATATCAAAAGGTAAATATTGTTCTATTTTAGGATAATGGATCTTTGTATTTTCTTATTTATATATATATTTTTTGTATTGGGAAAATTATCAACATTGAGCATCCATTACTATTATAACTGGAAAAAATTATCTTTATCACCACTTGGAATATGGAATCCACTGGGGAAATGAACACAGCTCCCAGGAAGTTTATCTGCCATTTGGTGACATGACTATTAGAAATGATAGTCATGATGCTCTCATCTTCCTATAGTATTTTGCATTTTATGAAACACTTGTACTGTTTTTTCTTTATAATCTCATGAGCTAGCTTTTCCTGTCTTGCAGAGAAAGAAATAGAAATGTTACAAGATAAGACTAGTACTGTAAGTGAGAGCCAAATTCAGAGCCTTGGTGTCCCTTGCCAAAGCACTCTGGGAGTCAGTACTCTTCTCCAACTGCTTCAGAGCTTCCTCTTCAAGACACATGGTAGGAATACGCTTTTCCACTTCCTGGGAAGTGTGGTCATGTGACTTGCCTTGGCCAATGAAATATCAGCACAAATAATGTCTTTTACTTCCCAGTAGAAACTTTAAAAGCTGGCATACAATTAGTGACAGTCTCTTTCTACAACTATGGTCATCATGGGAGCACATCTAGAATGAAGCCTCCATAAGCCCAGGCCTCTGAGAACCCCATCTATTCACCTGCTTTGGGCAATAATATAGCATGAACAAAAAATAAGCTCCATTGGGTTAAGACACTGAGATTTCAGGGATGTTTGTAAAGTCTAACCTAACCCATTTTGATCAAAACAGAATTTATTTTCTTCAAAGCACTAAAATGTGTATCTGATATATCTATTCACATCCAAAGATAATTGAGTAGTGACTACTTGTATAAACAGTCCATATACTGTACAAAAAATAAAAATATCAGAGCAGAATAGTCAAAGATATATGTTTTAATTGTCTAGAATAACTTTATAAGTGATACAGAAGTAATTGTGTAAACTCAAAAAGAGATGGAAATAGCAAATGTGGTTTGGAAAAAATCTCCTAAGCACTACATTTTTGCTTTCTCTTCCTCTTCTCTTCTTTAAAAAATGTAAATTGGTTTCCTTCCTTCCTGTACCAAAAAGCCATTAAGGCAGACCCAAATATGTAGGTGATCTGAAGTAAGCAGGCTCAAGTAGGGGTTGAGCTTGCAAGCAAGGAGGGGGGCAGCCGGGTGGGGTCAAGAGATTGATTACATACCAGGAGACTGAGGTATTGGGAGCACTGGGTTACAGCTTTCTCGCTGTCAAGGAAGAGAAGCACAAATATGAAAAGGAGAAAAGCTAAAATAGACCCTGTGGTATTGGATTGGAATTGGAAGTAGCAGTGAGAATTCATGATTTTCAATGTAGTTGAAAAATATAGAATGAATATTATCTACATAGACACACACACACACACACACACACACATATGATTGATCCTCCGGTGTCAGGGGAAGAACAGGATGTGTCTGAAAGTGAGTCTGGAACACCTTTTTGGGACAGAAAGTAAGGAAATGGTCAAAGAATGATGAGGAAATGCCCAGAGTTCACATACATAGGGTCTTTTATTGGCCAAACTTGGGCAACTTGAGCATCAAAATAAATAATAAGAATTGTTTATAACCCATTGAATTAACTAGAAAGCCAAGAGTCTAGACTGATATAAATAAAGGAAAGAATAAATTCTTCAGTGAAAAGGGAAAATTCTTCCTTATGATGGGAAGCCAACTAATAAATGTAGAAGGAATGACAGTATTGGAAAACAACCATTTAGCAACCATCACAATAATCATTGATTTGGACAAGAAACATATTGATGGGTGCAAAAACATGTGGTTAATGACTTCAAACTACACTACAAGGCTACAGTCACCAAAACAGCATGGTATTGGTACAGAAACAGACAAATGGAACAGAACAGACAACTCAGAAATAAGCCCTCACATCTATAACCATCTGATCTTTGACAAACCTGACAAAAACAAGCAATGGGGAAAACATTCCCTATTTAGTAAATGGTGCTGAGAGAACTGTCTAACAATGTGCAGAAAATTGAAACTGGACCGATTCCTTATACCTTATACAAACATTAACTCAAGATGGATTAAAGACTTAAATGTAAAACTCAGAACTATAAAAACCTTAGAAGAAAATCTAGGCAGTACCATTCAGGACATAGGCACAGGCAAAGATTCCATGAAAACAACATCAAAAACAATGGCAACAAAAGCAAAAATTGACAAATGGGGTCTAATTAAACTAAACAGCTTCTGCAGAGCAAAAGAAACTATTATCAGAACAAACAGACAACCTACAGAATGGGAGAAAATTTTTGCAACTTATCCATCTGACAAAGGTCTAATATTTAGAGTTTACAAAGAACTTAAACAAATTTACAAGAAAAAAAACAACCCCATTAAAAAGGGTCAAAGGACATCAGCAGACACTTCTCCAAGGAAGACACTTGTACAGCCAACAAACATGTGAAAGAAGCTCAACATCACTGATCATTAGAGAAACACAAATCGAAACCACAGTGAGATACCATGTCACACCAGTCAGAATGGTGATTATTAAAAAGTCAAGAAATCACAAATGCTGGCGAGGCTGTGGAGAGATAGAAATGCCTTTACACTATTGGTGGGAATGTAAATTTGTTCAACCATTGTGGAAGACAGTCTGGTGATTCCTCAAAGACCTAGGAGCAGAAATACCATTTGACCCAGCAATCACATTACTAGGCATATGCCCAAAGGAATATAAATCATTCTATTATAAAGATTCATGAGCATGTATGTTCATTGCAGCACTCTTCACAATAGCAAAGACATGGAATCCACCCAAATGCCCATTAATGGTAGACTGGATAAAGAAAATGTGGTGCATACACACCATGGGATATTATGCAGCCATAAAAAGAAACAATTATCATGTCCTTTTCAGGGACATGGATGGAGCTGGAAGCTATTATCCTCAGGAAACTAATACAGGAAAGGAAACCAAATACTTCATGTTCTCACTCATAAGTGGGGCCTGAACAATGAGAACACATGGACATAAGGAGAGGAACAACACATACTGGGGCCTGTTGGGAAGGGGCGGGGAAAGGGAGAACATCAGGAAAAATAGCTAATGCATGCTGGGCTTAATACTTAGCTGATGGTTTGACAGGTGCAAGAAACCACCATGGCAAATGTTTACCCATGTAACAAACCTGCACATCCTGCACACATACCCCAGAACTTAAAAAAAAATAAAAAACCTTGGCTGGGAAATAGAAAAAAAAAAAAAAACAAAGAATCGTGGGTAAAAGCTAAATGAGGAATGGGATTTTACATTGTGTCAAAGTACAACCCATATTATATTTATTAATAACAAAGAAAGAATAATTTTACAGTGAAGAAATCTGGCAGGCACCATTTCAACCAAGTGATCAATGTTAACACCGTCAGTAACATGACAGACATTGTGTGCCACTTGAGAGAATGCATTGCAAAGAACACAGCATTCGTGGTATTCCCTCCATAAAATATATCATTGATGTCTAATCATGAGGAAACTTTGGAAAACTTAAATTGAAGAACATTCAAAAAATGACTAGTCTACAATCTTCAAAAATATCAGGGTCATGGAGGTCAGGGAAGACTAAGGAGGAAGAGCATATGGGAGGTTTTTGTACTCTTCTTGCAACTTCTCTGTAATTTGGAACTGTCAAAATAAAATATTAAACAAATCTATTAGCACAGAACAATAGGTTCACAGCAGGCACTAGAGGAGGGAGGGTCCAGTGGAGCTGAGGAGGACCCTGTGCCAGAAGAGAGACCTTAAGGCATCATCAGCATTTCTCACAGTGTCACCCAACAAAATCAACCCTCTTGTGAACTTCCAGTGTTCCATTGCAATAAGTGGGTGATGGGCACTAATGGTGGTGCTGGCTGGGTAAAGATGCTTTCCAATTTCTGCAAATTCCCCATTTGGAAGAGTCAGATAAAAGAAGAGAATTCAGTGAGTACAGGCCAGGGAAGCAAGAGGAGAAGGGCACAGCAGGCGAACGAACCAGGGTCCAAGAGAAGCTTCAACCCAAGCCGCTAAGCAGACAGCAGCCCTGATGAGAAAAGCAGGAGCACAGAGGACACGTCAGATGGTAGTGAAAGAGCTTGCAGCTGGGGATCCCTGCAAAGGAAAAGAAGTACAAGGTAGGGGCTGAGAAGCCACCACCAGATAGCCAGGGTGCAAAACTGGGGGAAAGGAGGCCAGATCAGAGAACCAAAGTGAAAATATGTAAAAACGAAAGACAGAAAGTAAAAATATATCAAGTTGATGAGAAGCAAAAGGTCAGCAGGGCCTCACAGAGATAGGTGGATTATTTATTGGTGTTAGAAAGTGAGATTACAGAAAATTGAAATAAATTCTGTGCCTGAGAGTTTATGGGAAAGGCTGGCAGATGGGAGACAGAAATATAAATTCCAGGAAGGAAAAAAAGGCACAGCTAGGAAAAGCAAGGGAGTGTACACGTTGATAATATAAAGATTATACTACCTGGAATGTGATAAAGCATCAAATTTGGAGAAACCATAGTCTAGTGTTCAAAATTGGCAGGGAAAAAGTAGCGACATTTCTCTTTAAAATTGCACCCTAAAGACAAGAAGCTGTTCTTACTCTGTAAAGAGGTGAACATGCTGTGCTCAAAACATCATTCTGGAATCAGAGGAAGTAAGAAGAAAGAGGGAAAGCCTCATGTGACATTCTTAGTCAGGAACCTCGGTCTTCTGATCCAGCTGGTGGGAAGACACACAGAATTTACCTCCACAGCCTGAGGGCATTCATCTTAGCATCCTTAGTACCTGATACAAGAGCCAGTCACACAGCAGTTGCTCAATAAGTTTTTTCACTATCTGAAGGGTGAAAGTTTTCCCCAAAGGATAAAGGCAAACAATGAAAAAAGGGAAGAGTCTCTATTATTAGGTGAGATCTCTGGGAGAGTACCAGGAATAAATAATTATGGAGTAAAAAGTTACATTAAGGCTACCTTTTAGGATTTCATTTTAAAACATTTTGAAACAAACTTGCAAAGATTTTAGTCAGCAATTTACCACCATAAATTGTTTCTGTAAAACTCCTAGCAGATGCCAATGAATGTACCTAGAACAACTCCTACACATTCTTCTGTGAAATTCATTTCCCTGGTCTCTTTCCCCCTCCCGGTCCTAGCTTAGGTTGGAAGTCATATTACCAGGATATCCAGATGTAGCAGCACTAGTGGTCGCCCACCCGCAACTGCTCAGTCTACCCCCAAAGACTCCTGCAGACAGTTGTCCTTCACGCTGACTGCCCACTGTAGCCCCTGCCTAAGCAAGAGTCTGGCTGGAGAACAAGTCCAGCCAGAGTGCTCAGGCAGCAGAATGCTTGAGAGGTAGTGTCCCTGGAAGGAACTTCCAACCAGCAAGAACCGAAGATGATGGCTTAATAGCCTAGTGTCCACACCCTCCGCTGGGGGCAATTCTGAGATGTACTTCTCACAAACTCAGAGGGTCCTGAGCATGGTTGAGCTGTGGATGCCACTGTCGTTACCAAATTCTGTACTGATCTTCTTCCTGCCTCACTGCTCCACTGCTTCACAGTGCTCCCTGGGACCAGGCTCCCAAATTAACGACCTGCATTCAAACCCTTATATCATAATCTGCTTTGGGGGAGAACCAAACTAAGACATCAAGGATGGGAATGTGACCTAAACAAGGGCAATCACAGTCCTGCCTTGAATGTTTTCAGATTAGAGCTAAGGGAATAAAGCCTCTTCTTGTTGGAGAATCTGGGAAAATGAGAATAGTTGCTGGTGATAATCAGGGTTCCGGTTTGGCAGAGAAAGCTGGTGTATTAGTTCATTTTCACACTGCTATAAGGAACTACCTGAGACTGGGTAATTTACAAAGGAAAGAGGTTTAATTGACTCAGAGTTCCATATGGCTAGGGAGGCCCCAGGAAGCTTACAATCATGGCAGAAGGGGAAGCAGGCATGTCTTACATGGCAGCAAGCAAGAGAAAGAGAACATGTAAAGGAGGAACTGTCAAACACATAAAACCATCAGATCTCGTGAGAACTCACTATCACAAGAACAGCATGAGGGAAACCACCCCCATAATCCAATTACCTCCCATCAGGTCCCTCCCTCGACACATGGGAATTATGGGGATTACAATTCGAGATGAGGTTTGGGTGGGGACACAGATCCAAACCTTATCAGCTGGTATGGGTGAATGAATCCATATGCCCATGCAGGTGTATTACATTGTACATTCTCAGCAAGGTCAGTAGGATGTGAGGGGTTACTTCCCCTATTTCTCTAAGTTTCACTAGAGACCCCAAGGCTCAATTTTAATAAAACAGATGTCAGAGACCCTCCTCCAACCCCATTTTATTGAGCTCCTCAGCTCAGGAGATTTAAAAAACGCTTTGCCAAATATAAGTTGTATAGGGAAGAAGGCAAATAATGCATTGAGGGTTCCAAAAGTTGTAGTGCCTCAATGTGCCACCACTACACACTCATTAGAGCAACTCAAGTTAAAGTGCTGGTGAGGATGTGCAGCATCTCGGACTCCTAAACACTGCTGGAAGGGATGTGAAACAGCACGACCACTTTGGAAAACAGTTCAGCAATTTCTTAAGATGTTAACTATATAGGCATCATACAACCCAACCATTCCATCTCTAGGTATTGATCCAGAAGAAATGAAAGCATATGTTCACACAAAGACTTGTATGTGAATTCTGATAGCAGCTTTTTATGTAATAACCCCAACCTGGAAGCAACCTAAATGTAAGTATGGTACACCCATACAATGGAATACTACTCAGCAGTAGAAAGGGACAAACTTTTCAAACACACAATAACCTGGATGAATCTCAAAATAATTATTCTAAATGAAAGAAGAGAAGCCAACCCTCCCACCCCCTCAAAACAGAAAACCAAACCAGACTGATTCCATTTACACAAAAATCTAGGAAACATAAAGTGAGGAAGCAGATCAGTGGTTGCCTGAGGACAGGGGTCAGGGAGGCATGGAGCACAGAGTGGCATGAGAAGACCTTTGGGGTAATGGATATGTCATTATCATGATTGTAGTTTTAGTCATGCGTGTTTGTGTATGATAAATCCATCAAATTATACATCTTAAGTATGTGCAGTTGTTTCATACATCAATTATGCTTCAATGAAGCTATAAAAGTGCTGGTGCATATATTTTGAGAGACAGTTTATGTGCCATATATTCCCTCATAACCTCCCCTCTGAGGACAGAGGTGCATCCCCCTCTTTTTCAGCGAAGTGAGAAGGACTTGAAAGGACCCACTCAGAAAGTTTGATATATGTCCTCTGGAATTTGAGAGATGAAGAGGATGGCACCTAATCTACACCTAAAAAAATCTGAATGCAAGAAACTGTGGCTCCATCAGCCTAAGGGGGCAGAAGAAAGAGAGAAGAGGCCTGCATAGGAGATGGATGTGTCTCCACCAAAGGTGGGCAAATGAGTGTTTCTTGTGGGCCAGATAAGGTCCTCTAGAGAAAGGAGCCAGACTAGGTCATCTTGCAGGAACTATACAGATAAATACTGTAGGGCGACATAACCCAACAGACAGGCTCTGTATGCTACCTGCCCCTAACAATTTTGAGGCTGTGAGGCCCACAGTATATAACTCTAAACATTAAAAATTGGGCCTGACACAGTGGCTCATGCCTGTAATCCCAGCACTTTGGGAGGCCAAGGCAGGAAGATTGCCTGAGCCTAGGAGTTCAAGACCAGCCTGGGCAATATGGTGAGATCTCATCTCTATAAAAATAAAAAATAAAAAAATAACATTTATACATCAAGCTAATGAACACAAGTAAAATGGGTTCCATCCCCTTATCTTGGCAAACATGCCTTCATCCGTATCTTGAAGTCTAGGTTTGCATTTAGAATCTTCAGTCATCACTGAATCCTATACTAGAAAGGGATGTGCAGAGAGCCCAAGCTCTTCATTTTTGGTCTCTTGGCCATGATGAAGGATCATGTAGTTCTTCTCCTCTCCTCCCCGACCCGATTCCCTCCCTCATTATGACAGCCTTGTAGGCACACTTGTAGCTACCCCCACCGCATGTCCAAGCTCCATTCCACGCCCACAAACAGCCACCGGCTGGATCAGGAGAATGGACACCAGAAGCAATCTGCCTTCGGGAGGAGGGACACAGGGAGAGGCTTGCTCAAGCCTTAGAAGCAGGTTCAGGGACACTGGGCAGGAGGTTGTGTTCCAGGAGCATGGTCTGAAAGTGAGGAAAGGGTTAGACCACGTGCCATGTGCCCCTGGCTCCACCAACTCCTTGCCCCACTTCCTGTCTCTGCTCAGGAGTGGACTGTGCGGCCTGGACTCCTGAAAGCCTTGTGTTAATGGGGTGCTGTCAATGTCCAGTGGGAGACAGCACTTCAGGGAGTTGCAGTCAGAGGCCTGATGGGCAAAGTACCTGAGGAAACCACAGACATGTCCTACAAGCAAAGAACCAGTACATTCGCATTGACCACACTCAGAAAATACAAACCCCAGGTACCAAGGGCATGGTGCACTTTTCCCTGTTACACTCTTTACTCCTTGGGCTCAGTCCTATCAAGGGGGAGGAGGGGGAAGAGGAAGACAAAAAGAACTGCATGCTCTCCCTGCCCTTCTACACATTTCAGCTGGAGATGGGGAAACATTTTAATTTGGATGAAAGTTTAGAGTTTTATTATTAGGCTGAGCTGGACATTTTATTACCTGAAAGGAATTGCAAAAGCTCTGGATCCTGCAGAAGATTTGACCAGAGGGGATAACTGTCAACAGAGTGGGTTTGCAAGAGAGTGATGAAGAAGAATAAAGCTTCTTCCTGCTTCATCTGTACTGAGTTCAGCCTATTCTATGTATTTACATTTATCTGGGAGGGGGAGATACCTGATGATGATCAGGTCCCTGCATCCAACTGTCCCTCTCCGTTTTGCCTGAAGTAGAGTTGGGGTTTGATCTCTTTTATTCAAAAGGATTATGTGAAACCCAATCTGTATGGCTGAAGCAGGCTATAAATCTGTAGGTCTCATACCCATTTCTAGCCACTCTTAAGAGAGTACCTTATGAATTTTCAAATAGACTCTGACTACAGAGAAGAAAATAAATGATTTTGTAGAGAAAGATTTTTTTTTCCTTTTTGTAAAGGCAAAATAGAAAGCTATGCCCTTCTGATAAAAAAGACTTTCAAGGAAGGCTCAAATTCAGGAAAGACAGAATGTTGACAGTCATAGAGGAGAGTTGACCATCCTGAGAAGCAAGAAGGCTGGCAGGGCTATCAGTTAGACTACCTCTGTTGATGAGGAAACACTGGAAATTGAGGTTAAATGACTACAAGGAACTAGAGATCAGATTGTCCTAAAGTCACAAAGCCATCGTCGTAGCATGATAAACGAATGGTTCAAAGAAAATGAATCAGGATGAATCTGAAAGATATGTTGTATTATAATCTGAGGTTAAGAACATACTAGACTATAACTAACAATAAAAGGCACAGGATTATAGGCTAAATATGTCTTTCCTTAAAAACTGTTTTCCGAGTGAAAAAAAAATCAGCCTCTTCTTTCTCGGTGATTTGACAGGGGAATTAAACCAAATCTGGAGAACCATGTGGGCATATACTGATTGCAAAAGTCCTAGAAACACAGGACTCAAATAAATGGTGACAAGAAAAACCACTGTGAGAACAAGTTTCATTTAAAAACCAAAAATATTAATTGAATTTCATTCAGTAAAGTGGAGAGCCCTCAACATGAATGAATCAATACAAAACCCAATCTTCCCTTCCTCTTTCAGAGCAGAATTCGCTCCTTAGACTGGACTGGCTTTGTTGTCCTAAAATATAGCTCCGGCCAAAAGGCTGGATGGAAGCTGCTGAGCAGATGGGGCCTCAGCCTGTTCTGAAGTTCTGAGGTGGACTGACTCCTTGGGGAGCCATGGATGGAAAGGAGATGAGAAAAGATGTCAGAGAAGCCAAAATCCTCTGCAGGATCCCATGGTGGCCCTCCAGGAAAATCCTTTATTAGACAGGATCACGAGACACTAAGGTAGAAGGAATTCCCTCCTGTATCTCTGTTCTCAACAAGCAGTTACTGAGCAAAGCACTATTCTTGGTGCTCAGGCACTGTTCCAATCTTTGAACGCTGAGCAGATGTCATTGTCACCGAAGAAATGTGTAGCTGAATCACAGTGAGAAGAGGAAGGCAGACAGTGAAGGCTAAGATGAAGGGAGGAAACTGGCTTTTCTCTGTCTGCTAAGAAATTTAAAAATTAAAGTTCGAGTGTTAGGGTGCATGAATAGTGTTTGCTTTGCAATCAGCATTGATTAGAGAAGGACCTTCTTTGCATTTTGAGGTAATTTTTTTTTGTTGGCCTTTCATTTTGGGTGGCTTACTTACTGCAACACAGGGTAATGCGCTACATAAACTTTTGAAGTTACTCCAGATTTAAAATTCTATGTGCTTATGTTTTCTATTTTGCCTTATTTTTAGAATGTTTCTAATCTGACATATGCCTGTTTTACTGCATTAAGCAACTTGAGGACCAAACAATAAATGAATCACAGCCTCTGATTTTAAAAGAGTCATAGATGGAGATAAAAGAAGTGCCCAAATGATATCCTATTTTTAAATTTCTTTCAAAAAACGTAAAAATAAAACACAGTGGAAAACTACTCCAGACAGGTAATCATACAAGTTGTGGTAGAATGATTGCAAGAATTTTCCAAGTTTTTATTCTTTTCTCCACACCCTTTGTGATGTAACTTTGCAGTTTCTCCCACAGAGGGATAGAGTCAAGTTCCCTAAGCCTTGAGTTGGCTTTGTGACTTGCTTTGGGCCACAGAATGCAGCAGAAGTGATGGTGTGCCAGCTGTCAGCCTAAGCCTCAAGGAAATGGCCTTGCCATTTCCTCTTTCTTTCACAAACCTGTCTCCACCATGAGACCAATCCTAAATTAACCTGCTAGAGGATGAGAGGTCATGTAAAAGAAAGCATAGTTGTCCCAGCTAAGGCCATCCTAGGCCACCTCACAGCCAACCAACCCCTTGCATGTGAGACAACCAAGCCAAGATCAGGAGACCTTCCTACCATCACACAGCTGTCTTCAGATCCATGGGTGAAACCAACTGAGACCTTAAGAACCATGCAGTTACCTTGTAGGCAAATAAAAAAAAAAAAGAGTTCATTGCTGTATGTTACTAAAACTCGGTTATTTGTTATGCAGCTTTATTGTGACAATTGATAACCGATACCCAAGGCTTGATGAGACAAGCGTCTTTCAGCAAAGCCATGAAGAATGAGGAGGATTGTATCAGGGAGTTTAAATAGAGGTCCAGGCCAAAGGAATAGCATCAATAATACCATGGAGTGAGAAAGCTGAAAGTATTTTCACAGAATGGCAACAACCCAGTTTAATGAAAAGAGTTCAGAATTTCAAAATGACTCCTATCATGATATCAAGTAGAAGAACTGATCCAGAGAGTGGTCATTCTCTAGATAAGCTGCTCTATTGAAAGAAGGTTCATTCTGACATTGGGCCCCCTAAATGCCGGAGCTACGGAGATACAGATTGCACTCCTCACTGGGCTGGGCCAATAAGGTGCAAGAAATGGAAAGAGTTAAATCTTGTAATTGCTGCTGTTTTAACACATGCATCTGAGCAAGGCAAGAAAGGAAATACTTTCTTGAAATGAAAATAACATGATTGGATTGTGGAACAGAGAACTGGGACGAGTGAATACAGGTGTTTTAGCTGAGACAAACTTTTTATTTCACTGAAATTTAGAAGCACTCAAATCAGATTTTTGTATCGGCTTGTTGTTGTTCTACCAAGAAATTAAATCTAGGAACTTGCAGGTGTTACTGAGGGGCTATCAAGTTGGACTGCCTCAAAAATCTTTGGGGAAGTAGGTGGCATATGAATAATCGATACATAGCTAATCCCTTTTTAAAGAAACTGGAAGAAAAACAAAAACATAGTGTTGACTTCCTCATATTGATTGTTTGCTTTTACTTTATGTTCCCCCCTCCCATTTCCTGTTATTGCCAGCATGCTAGGTGACCGTTCTGTGTTTAATTACTCAAAAGAAACACACAAGAAATGAATGCCAGGGGAAAAGAGCTTCTCTATCCCTGAATGTCTTGTCAGAATAACCACCCCCAAGCTCTTTCTTCTCTGTGTAGGATAGGCAATACTTGTTTGAAATGAACAGAAAATAAAATGGAGAAAGCATATGGCTGTAAGGCCAGAGAAAGCAGAGTACAGGGGGGACAACTAAGCACAAACATGTTTCTCCAAGTAAGAGGCTCAGTGTCATTTTTTGGAATACAGTGGTTCCTAAATGGCATATTCCTGGGAATTCCTAAAACAGAATTCTCTTAAAATAGAAATCAGACACTTCTATCAGGGGACTCTGAATAATTAGATCCAGTTATCTTGCCCAACTGCAATAGCCATTATTCCCAACCTAGCTATTGCATAGACAGAGCCTCTGATATAAACAATGCTGAAGAGAATAAGAAAGATGTGACACTCAGTCAAGTGTCACACACCACTCTCTCCAACAAGCACAGAGGAAGTAATATTAATTTCTTCTCTCATTATTTCATTTGTACCCAATGCCTTCAGTGCCTAATAAAAGCTACTTTACTGCCGTGGATTATTTTCTGATTTAGTGACTATTTTATTTCACTATTATGAGGCTTGATAAAAGGAGCAGGGAGTGACACAGGAGAACTTCAATTTGAATTATAAGATTTCTCATTTGCAGTTTGGGCACCGAGACAGAACAACTTGACTCAATTTCACAGCCCTCGAACTGGAGTCCACACTGACAGGGAGGCAGTTCAGAGGCCTTGAGGGGGTGCATGCCAGGGGGCACCATCCAAGTCTGTAGAGAAACAACTTGGAAATTAAAATCTTTTAGTGAGAGTTAGAACAAAGCAGTGTGGGAGGGGGTGAAGTGGCAAAGAAAGGAATTATGTCTGTGTTAAGGATTCTAATACTTGAGATATTCATCTATTATGCCATTCTAAGAGCAAACGGTATGAAAGGGCCACACTTCGGTGTATATGCTTAATTAGCCACCTCAGTGCTATAGGTTGAATGCTTGCATCTCCCCAAAATTCACGGGTTGAAATCCTAAGCCCAAGGTGACAGTAGTAGGAGGTGGGGCCTTTGTAAAGGTGGTTGGAGCAAGAAGGCAGGGCCCTCATGATTGGGGTTAGTGCTCTTATAAAAGGGATCCCAGAGAGCTCCCTCACCCCTTCCACCACGTTTGAGCAAGGACTGAGCAAGAAGACTGCCATCTAGGAACCAAGAAGCAGGCCCTCCCTAGACACCAAATCTGCCTTGATCTTAGACTTCCCAGCCTCCATTACTGTGAGAAATGAATAGACGTTGTTTATAAGCTCCCCATATTATGGCAGCCTGAATGGACTAAGACTACTCAGTGACTAACCCAGATTTATGAACTTCACCATATGGATGCCAGTCACAGGCTGGCTCCCCAGGCCACACTCTGTTAAACTCAGACCCAAACACCTAGTTGAATTACTTCACATTGCTTTCCCTTTGTCTTAGCAGATTATCAGTTGAGCTAAAGGAAATGAACATCCTCATCTTTCCTGCACTGGACATTTTCTCTCAGGGTACCAGCCACTGGAAGAATGATGACCATAGAGTTTCTTGATTGAACTCATGATCTCAGCTTTTCTGGTCACAAGAACTAAAAGTCCCAACTTTAAGTGCTAGCCTGAGAACAACGCAAGTGTCAAGATTGCTCAGGAAATGTGACTTTCTTATCTTGCTCACAAAAAAAGTCATTGTTGCTAAAGCGGGTCAACAAAATTGATTTCAAGGGCTGAGATAGTGATTTTTCACCTGTGCCAAGAGAGCAAGTACTTTTTTCCCAGTGTTTTTTTTACAGACAATCATTTAACTTTGCCTGTAGATGTCAGTGTCCCAGTAACCTCCTTTGGACATGTTAGAAATGGTGTTGAGAACAGACTTCATGGTTTCTACCTTCTGCTTATCACCTCCCCAACAAATGCCCCCTTGTCTCCAATTTCTACGTACAAGAATATCGGTTTTCATGTCTCAGCTTGAGATCCTTGATTTAAATCCCTGATTTATTTTTACTCGTGTCCCCAGTGCCAATGTGGGAGAGTTCAGACATGTTTTCATATTCACTGAGATGTCAGAGAAATTAAAGAAGAGACAGATTTTTCATATCAGTCAGTTAAAGACTAATTACAACTGTGCTTTCCAGCAAACCAGTGATTGTAGGCTAATTTTCGGTTATGAAACAGAAACTGAGGTTAATGAGGCTAATTGTGTTTACCAGCATTTTTGAATAAAAGAAAAGAAGCCAACTCAATTTTGAAGAGACTTCTTTGTCAGGAACAAATTGGGGAAAATTGCTACAGTGGTATCAGCGTTTCCTAAAACTGCTAAGTGCCATGCTTGGGAAACTAACATCCTTGAACACAAGCTAGCAGTCCAGAAAATCAGGTCCTTAGACAGTGAGGCTTTCCTGATCCAAAAGGTATTGCTGCATGACAGTGATAGCTGAAATCTTGAAAGCAATGCCACATAGAGACATTCAAGTGGCTAGCCCTCGATTCTGTCTTCTTGGGTAAGGGGGAGAGGCAGGAGGAATAAGCATATGTTGATGTCTGATAAACCAACATTCTGGCTTTGCTGACTTCTACAGTTTGAGGGAGGTGACAGAGGAATGGAATCACCTGAGAAGAATACTGCTTCCAGCAGGAAACTAATGGGTAACTCTGACACCCCAAATGTGAAGTCACTGCCTCATGTTTTGGGTTGCTCACAAATGGTAATCCCTACTTCCCAGCAATTCCAACAAGGAAGAAGATTGGCTGTAAAAACTCCTGGGGAAAATCATCAGTCAAGAGCCAAAGTTTCCTGAGGCCATGAACCTCCACCAGGTAACAGTACAAGTATTACTGAAATACCAAGTTCATGGGGAAAGAGAGAAATGAAAGGCCAACATTTCCCATGTGGGCTCTATCGGCTTGGTGTGAAGGCTCCTCCCCTTTGATTACGCTAGACCATATGGCAGAGTTAACTGTGCTCTAGAAGAGGTTGATATGTGGCCACTAACATCAGATTACTTTAGTTCTAAATTTAGGTTCCAAGATCTCAATGTTTCTAATGAGGCCTCTATAAAGGATCCTTTGGAGGCATTAGGCAGACTCTAGTGGTACAGTAGCTTTAAGAAGGACAGCAGTATTTTGAAATGCATCACATTGACTATTATAATTCTGAACAACATACCCTGTTTTGAAGGATATCTGGGGTCCTTCAACTTCAGATTGTTTGAAGTAATCACAAACTATTGATATTTGTAATGATGGTAATATGTCCACGATCCAGCTAGGACTAGTGGAGCACAGGACATATGCCTGAGGAATACAAGAAAAAAAGATGACATGGCTTGCACTAAAGGAGTTTACTCTCTTCCAGGGAGACCAATCCCACCCACAGTTGACAAAATTGGGCATGAAATAAATTGTATGTTTTAAAGGACGGTCACATTAGGTGTAATTACATGCCGTAGTACAAGATACAGCAAGTGCTAAACACAATCAGAAATCAAAGATAATTCACATTCACTAAAGCTCTGTTCAAATGCAATTTCTTTTGTGGTCTCATCCCTCTAGTCACTGTTAGTCACCTTTTCCTCGGGGTATACTTGTCTATCTAACTAGTTTTTTCTTTAAACCGTAAGCTCTTTGAGGATAAATATCCTAACTTGCCCTTATATTCTTCACAGCACATAATAATGACATAAAATATACATTCAATAAATATTTACTAAGATGCAAATTAAAAAAGGGAAGATATTTGTGTTTTCTAGAGGTTACTGGGGAAAGAGTTATGGAGAATATAAAAAATAAGCCAGAGCCACAAGAGCTAGAGGGAGACAAATTTAGGTGAGAAAAAAGAAATTGACTGAGCAAATACAGAGAAAGTAACCAACTTGTTTGAGTGGCAGGGGTGGAGTGGGGATCAATAATGAGAAATCTGATGATAGATGAAGAATTGTCATAGATGAACGAAGAAAGCTGAGACAGAGTTTAGAGAAAATAGTTAAAGTATAAGAAGCTTAGGTTTGCCAAAATTCAACTCATTGATCCTTTATGTCCTTTTATGAAATGCATGAAGGTGTTTCTGGGATGGGCTTATGTGAGCTCAGAAAAATGTTTATGACTGCGAGCTTGCAAGGCTGGATGCCTGCTGCACTGGTCCTTTAGAGGTTAGAGTAGTAGGCTGCTTAGGTCAACAATGGAAGTTCAGAAGTAACCCTATGTACAAGGAGTGCTTATTGAAAATCAGGCCAAGAAACTATTTATTGTGGGTATCCAGGCTGTGTCTGTATGCACAAAATATCCTGGCCAACTCTGATTAGCCTAACCTGCCTGGCAAACTAACATGGTCTTGGCTCATAGGATCGAAGTACTGGCTCTCCAGGATCAACAAGGTTAATTAGTCATTTTCCACTGTGGTAACTTTTTGGATATTACAACCTATGCAAGGCATATATTTTCACATTAGATTTTCCTACTTGCTCATAGGATCTGCAGGCTCAGTCCAGGAGAAAACAAGCCTATGGCCACACTGGTGTGCAAAGACTGCAAAATCATCTAGGGATGGTGGGCTGGCTACTTTTTCTGTGGTCACAGGCCTGAGTGTGAACATCCCTATTCATACCAAGAGCCATTTGGTCACAATAGGGCTTTGAGGTCACTTGAATTCTGACATTCTACCCAGCAATCTCCAGAGTTCTCCACAGCAGATCCAGGCCATGGGTAGTTCACAGTGGGCACAGAGCCTCAGCTCATTAACATTTTATGTGTATGAGATAACTGCATCTTGTTTCTGAATAGAAAACTAGTACAGAGTGGCACCCAAATTTCCCCATGTCCAGGCATTCTATGCACTATTGTTTGCAAAATTATAGCAAAATCATGCATTCCTACTATTTTATAACAGGAGAAGGAGGACAAGGAGGAGGAAGATAATTGAGGAGGAGAAGAAGGAGTAAGGGGAGAAGAAGAAGGAGTAGGGGAAGAAGAAGAGGAGGAAAGAGAAGGAGGAGGAGGAAGAAGAGGAAGAAGAGGAGGAGGAGGAAGAGGAGGAGGAAGAGGAGAAGGAGGAGGAGGAGGAGGAGGTCGTCATTATTTTGGCCACCACCACCAAAATGTATCCTGATTGTTTCTCATATTTTCCAATCCAACATTGCAGAAGACTTTCTAATCTCCGTATTTATACTTAGAATTTAAAAATATTCTGAAGGTCAAGAAAGAAGTAGGCAAATCCCCAGGACAGACCCAGCCCTTATGCTCCTCACAACCTGCCTACTCTTGGCTTTTGCAACCTTGAGTTCAACTACCGTCACTTCATACCACCTGTCGCTCCCCACACATGCTGTGTGCTTTCCTGCTTTGTTCCCTCTCCTAGGCTGCAGCCCCTCACCCTCTGCCAAGTTCTAGAAGTGCACAGCATTCCTGAAGGCCTGGTTCAAATACCATCTCTTCTGGTAGGCAGGCAGAGCTCGTCACTCCCTCCTCAGCATGCCCACCCCTGACACTGAGCACTCTTGTCCACTACCTAATTTGTCATGTTGTCATGAAGTTAGTGTTTGATGAATGTGTCCCTTGCTTCTTTGTGAGCTAAGTAAGGATATAGAATGGAGTTTACTCTCATAGGCTGGCATAAAGTAGGTATGCAGAAATAACATTTACTGGATGAATCAATGCTTGCATGCATGAGTGAGTGTATTAAACAATAAAGTTAAAGAAAGAGCCCTCTATTTTCTTCTGAGAGAAATCCTTTCTAAATAAGACAAGGATAAATTCTTCCATGGCTGTAAACTACTCTGTGGGCATAGAGCTAAAGGTTTTGAACTTACTCTTAGAGGACTCTGGTAACTGATATGATACAAAGAACCTAGGAAGATATAAAAAGAACCAAAGGCATTCTGTTACCTCACCTGAGAACAGAGAGAGCAAATTTTCTGAATTAACAGAGTAGACTCCTATTGCTGCATATTTTTGTATATATGAGTGTGTGTGCACACGGGAGGACACACCTGTGTGAGTGGGGGGGGCAGTGTGTGTATATGGGGCAGAAGTCAGGGCATAAGGATTGAGGAACACATGGAGAATGTATCTGAGTTGATAGAGTTAATAACAGACTCTACACAATTACAGGAAACACTTGCACACTGAAAATAATCACAAAAAATATAGAAAATTTGGCCGGGCGCAGTGGCTCACGCCTGTAATCCCAGCACTTTGGGAGGCCAAGGCAGGTGGATCACGAGGTCAGGAGATCAAGACCATCCTGGCTAACATAGGGAAACCCCGTCTCTACTAAAAAATACAAAAAATTAGCCGGGTGTGGTGGCAGGTGCCTATAGTCCCAGCCACTCGGGAGTCTGAGGCAGGAGAATGGCGTGAACACAGGAGGTGAAGCTTGCAGTGAGCTGAGATTGCGCCACTGCACTCCAGCCTGGGCGACAGAGCAAGACTCTGTCTCAAAAAAAAAAAAAGATAAAAGAAAATTTGCAGATTTCTAGAAACAACTTTGACCCTTAGTCCTTTAAAAAAGCAAATAAAAATATGGACTGCTTATGACTGCAAAATTCACTCTTCTTCATATTATCAACTTCTTTGTATTCTTCTATTTTCAAAAAAAGTTAATATTTTGTCTCCCAGGTTAAAAGCAGGAGATTTCCTATTTGTCTAGCTGGACTAAGTTCTGTCTTCTCAGAATTAGGAAGGCAAGAGCTTAGCATCAAACAGGCTTAGACCTCACAAAGCCATTCCTAGCAACAAACAGGAAGTAAAATGCACAGATTTAACAATATGAGACGTTGGTAGAGTAAGTCAGTATTTACCAGGTTGACTGCGTTATGCAGTATAGAAAATTGGTCTATTTGTGAATATTGTGTAATTTCATATACAATTGTTTAATTATAATTTCATTTTAGAAACAAGCTGCTTAGCTGGGTGTGGTGGCGAGGGCCTGTAGTCCTAACTACTCAGGAGGCTGAGGTGGGAAGATTGCTTGAGCCCAGGAGTTTGAGGCTGCAGTGAGCTATGTTTGTGCCACTGCACTGCAGCCTGGGTAACAGAGTGAGACCATGTCTCTAAAAAAAAAAAAAAAAAAAAGTAATAATAAAAATTAAAATAAGCTGCCATCTCTAACATACATTATACAGATTATAAATGAGTCTAACATGCTATGGAGGGAAAAAACTCATGTAGGCCTAGTTCATACTAACAAAACTGCAGTCTGAAAACAAGTGGTTAAAGGGATATCCCTTGCCTCAAATGTTTTCACTATTTTTTCTCTAAAATTATGAGAGTAGTTGCCTAAGTTCTCCAGTTCTCTATGTATGTGTAGCTATAGATGAAAACTCGTTTGCTCTGGAAATAAAATGCTTTCTAAAGCATTTGCTAATGCTTTCTAAATGAAGGTCAAGAAAAGAAAGAAAAATAGTATGTTTTGTTGGAGGAAAGTTTCAAGTTTAATTAAATTATAGAACATCATGATTCAAAGGAACTTCAGGGATCGTCTGATAGAAGTCTTCATTGAATTATCAAATCCTGGCCCAAGTGGACATCAGCTGCTACTTGGATCTTCTAATGACAAGAAGTGCAAGAGAGAGTATCTCATTTGTTTCCTGAAAGTTCTGATTGTTTAAACTTCTAAGTACAATCTGCCTCCTGAACATTCCATTGTAGTTCTTTGATCTGGAGCCGTACAAAAGCTTCCTCTTTTACATGTCAGCTTTACACACCACCCTCAGCCTGGAGGATAATTAAAGTTGCTTGGAATTTGCCACTCAAGGAATCGTATCCTACCTGAATGATAATATCCCACTAGGAGAAAATCAGGGCAAGCTCATGGTCAGTGCCAATAAACCTTTCAGAAGTTATGGACCAAATGTCCAAATTCCTATGTTGAAGCCCTAATCTTGAATGTGAAGGTAGTTGGAAGTAATTAGGTTTAGATGAGGTCACAAGGATGGGGCCCCCATGATGGGATTAATGTCCTTTTAAGAAGAGGAAGGCACCAGAGTTCTCTCTCTCTTTCTGCCATGCCAGGTCACAACTAGACATGGCAGTCTGCACGCCAGGAGGCGGGCCCCTACCAAGAATTCAGCCATACTGATGCCCTCATCATGTGCTACCCAGCCTCCATAACTGTGAGAACAATTGTCTGTTGCTTAAGCCACCCAGTCTATGGTATTTTGTCATAGCAACCAAGTAGACTAATATAAGAAAGAACCTATAAGCCTGCTCTGTCCAGTATGGTAGTCATCAGCCTGCCAATTGTGATTATTGAGTGTTTGACATATGGCTGATCTAAATTGAGATGGGCTGTGGGTGTAAAGTACAGAGCAGATCTCAAAGACTTATATGAAAAAAGAATGTAAAATATCTGTTTAATTTTCTACATTGATTACATGTTGAAATAGTAATCGTTTATAATATTGAATAAATTAAAATAATTTACTAAAATCAATTTCATTAGTTTTTTTTTGTTGTATAATGTGACTTAGAAAATATAGAGTCATATACATGACTCATGCTATAGTTTTATAGAAGAACACAGCTCTAAAGGCAAGCAGCTGTTCACAGATGTGACAAATCCAAGTCTAGCCTGGCCTCTGCTTTATCCTTTCTTACTTCTGCCTTTCCCCAATCCCACTGGCCCATGTCCCTTCTTTTCTGCATGTTTGTAGCAGGGTTCACCCTCATCCTCACTAATGTCAAGTCAAACCTCAAATTTGTATGTGGCTCCTCAATTGAGTACTCAAAACTCAGGACCACATGTTTGAGGACTCTAATGATACAGTAATTGGCCCTCAATAGGCTAAGCTCCATTCACTCAAACACTCAACAATTTTTTTTGCAGTTACCTCATGCTAGGTATTCTGTTGGGAATAGAAAAATGAATGAGATAGTCCCCTCTTGTATGGAACACATGCTTGACTGGGAAGATAGATGTTAGACAAATATACATACGTGCACATACAATAACTTGTCAGTTCAAATTGTGATAAATTCTATGGTGCAAGTAGTATGACCAGAGGATCTTGTATACCTTGGAAATCACAGGGAGCATTTTTAAGGAAGCGGTAATGAAAGGAAGATTTGAAAGGCAGGAAGGAGTAATCCGGGTGAAGACCAAGAGAAAGAACTTTTTAGGTGTGTGATGGCCTCAAAGTGAGAAAGAGCTTGGCCACATTCAACTAAATGGAAGGAGGCTGATATAAACAAAGGGCTTGGGGTCAGGAGGAGAACGGGCCAAGATGAGGTTGGAGATGGAGGCAAGGCCCATATCAAAAACTGCTGCAAACCATGTCAGGAAATTTGTACTTTAAGTATACTGACTGCCAACTGAAAGATTTTAAGCTCTACAGTGACAGGATGACAAATGTGTGGGGGTTTTTTTGTTTGTTTGTTTCTAAAAAAGATTACTCTAACAATCATGTGCAGAATAGACTACAAGGGTCCAAGAAAGAAAGCAAGAAACTAGTGAGGCTATTTTTGGTGTTTAGGAAAGAGATGTAGGTGGCTTAGTCTTGAGGGAATATAAACTTAGATAGTGGATGGACTCAAAATAAAATCTATAGAACTTGGAAGAGATTGTATAGAGTGAGTGATGAAAAAATAGAGATCAAGGATTGCTCCAAGTTCCCAGCATCAGCATTTGGAAAGATGAAGATGTCTTCACGAGCAGAAGAAGACAGATGAAGGAACAGCAAAAAGAAAGATCAAGAGTTCAGTTTAGACAGACCAAGAACTCTGTTCTTGGCAAGTCATGAACACTATGATTAAAAAGAGCCAGATAGGGTAGAGGTCAAGGGTACGGTGAGAAGTAGTAATAGTCATGACCTTTCTCACAAATAAGAATGGGCAAATGTTTTGACCTATCCCACATTAACAACATAAACTAAGAGGCATGATTAGTCAAAGGTTTCAGAAGGAATCTTGAAAAACATAAAGGACAGTCTTTTGATGACTAAAATTATGACCAGGAGTGAGTGTGTGAAATTAGCCTGACTGTTTTTGGGTATGGCTGCCTAACTCATGACCAAGGGAATGTGTGTTCACCTGAATGCAACAGGATTCAAGCTGGAGGCACTGGAACTATCCATCAAGCTTAGTATTTGCCTTCAGAGCTTCTTCTCAAATATTTACAAAAATGGTTAAGAATCCTGAACCTAAGGCTGTGCACAGTGGCTCACTCCTATAATCCCAGCACTTTGGGAGGCCAAGGCAGGCAGATCACTTGAGGCCAGGAGTTCAAGACCAGCCTGGACCACATGAAGAAACCCCGTCTCTACTAAAAATACAAAAATTAGCCAGGCATGGTGGCACATGCCTGTAATCCCAACTACTTGGAGGCTGAGGCACGACAATCACTTGAACCCAGGAGGCAGAGGTTGCAGTGAACTGGGATTGTGTCACTGCACTCCAGCCTGGACAACACAGCAAGACTCTGTCTCAAATAATAATAATAATAATAATTTAAAAAAAGAATTATGAATCTAACATTGAAGTAAAGAGGAAGCACTAGGAAAAAGTGGGAGTACTAGAAAGCATCTTACTCATAGCATGTGTCTCCCGGGAAGCTTATAGAAACTGGATTCTTCTGTGCTTTCTAGTTGGCAAGAAGAGTAAATTCCTTACCAGGCAAACTTAGAGTTCTCCCTAAGTCTCTCACCCTGTTGAATATACAGGAAACCCCACAAAAGAGGACAAGTCTACTAACTTCCAAGGAAATAAAATATGCCTATGCTGCTGTATCTTTCTTACAGACACAAGGAATGATCCATGGAAATAAGGAAGCAACCCCAAAACCCAGTCTGTTGGAAGTCGAGTTTTTGATGATTAAAAAGGCAGGTACAGCCGGGCACAGTGGCTCACGTCTGTAATCCCAGCACTTTGGGAGGCCGAGGCGGGTGGATCATGAGGTCAGGAGATTGAGACCATCCTGGCTAACACGGTGAAAACCCGTCTCTACTAAAAATATAAAAAATTGGCCGGGTGTGGTGGCGGGCACCTGTAGTCCCAGCTATTTGGGAGGCTGAGGCAGGAGAATGGCTTGAACCCAGGAGGCGGAGCTTGCAGTGAGCCGAGATCGTGTCACTGCACTCCAGCCTGGATGACAGAGCGAGACTCCATCTCAAAAAAAAAAAAAAAAAAAGAAAAAGAAAAGGCAGGTACCACCCTGCATGCATAAGGAGGTCCCCTTCTTGGGCCCGTTACATTGCCTGCCAAATCTGAAGTCCCTGCTATGAAGGAACTGTGAAACACTGACTCCAGATCCAGATTTTCTTGTCTTCTGGAAATACAGCGCTGCTCCACTCCCATACTTTAGCAGAATTCTTCTCCTCCCTGCACATTCAACCCCCATATTCTAACCATTGGTACCATTCCAAAATCTTACTATACTTATGCCCTTCTTTCCTGTGCTATGTTAAAACTTCTGGTTAACTATGCTGTCCATATTCTACACATTCACGTCTTAAATAAATACATTTTTTTTTATATTGGCGATTCCAAATTGCCTACAAAACAATTACAAAATACGTCAAGCACACAGTAAAGACTAGTCAAGTATGAAATAGTATAGAGTAAAAGTGTTTCAAGGCAGACAAACTGACCTAAATTCACAGTCAATTGTTCTGCATTGTTAGGACTTCACTAATGATTGTATTTGTTC
Source organism: Homo sapiens (assembly GCF_000001405.40). NCBI lineage: Eukaryota > Metazoa > Chordata > Mammalia > Primates > Hominidae > Homo > Homo sapiens. The sequence continues at coordinate 47,853,310 of NC_000015.10, forward strand.
CATCTTGTCAAGGTTGATCTGCCATTTATGCAATCCATTGATCTACAGACAAGAATTAATTTCGAACTCAACAACTTCTGTCAAAGTAAGGAGCTTAGTTTGAAAATATAGTTTTCTGTTGCAGATCTTTGCTGATATCTTCTAAAACTGAAATTCAGGCAGTACCAACACTAAAATAGAAAACAAATCGAAACAAAAAATCAACTCCATGCAAATGTAGGCTTAAATGTAGGATGAATATATTTGTATCCTACCTTTTCCTCTACCTTTTCTCCTTCCACCCTCTACATGCCTCCCTGTCACCCATCCATTAGCATTGTCAAAGTTGTTTACATTCTGTCCTGCAATCATGAGCAAATGTACTTTGTGTAAACTGATAGAAAACATTGGAAACAAAAACAAAAACCTGTTTACATTATCATGATCATGCAAATGCTGTTCATTCCTGTATTGAACAGCATGCCAGGATTACCTCTTCTTTGTAGGTCTCACCTTGGGATCCTTGAGTCATTGGTAGGAAAAGTTTCTAGCATCAAAGCTAAAAGTGTGTTTTCCCATTATACTCAATTAATTCTATAAAATCAATTTACATTTGACTTTGCTTCACGGTTGGACCATTACTCTCCTTCTTTTGTTTTCCTTGGAGTTTCTAATTTTTTTTTCATTTCAGTTTGTGCTTTTGCCTTGAACATATCACCAAACATGTCCAAGCTATCTTGCAAAGACATTTGTAAATATTTTTATACTCAGAACCTAAACTCTCTTTCTGTGCTGGGGAATTTTCCACAGGGTGCGTCTTTTGGAGTCAAAGCCCAAGTTCCTCTATTGAAAGCTGAAAATGCCCCAGTCTACTTCCCTGATATCCTTTGCATCTAGGCCATGAACAAGTTACCTAGGATTTGCCTATAAAATTTTACTACTGAAGACTTTAAATTAAGAACTAATGACTCAAAGAAGTGGGCACCATGAAGTGTTAAGTCTGGATGGTATGGTTGGCGGCAGTGGCTGGAGTGATGAATTTCTGTAGACCCCAAGACAGTGGTATTAGGGTGCCTAGTGCCCAGGCCCAGGAGCAACCATGAGACAAACTGCATGTTCAGCCTTCAATGGAGGTGGGAGTGGTGTCCCACGGGTCTAAAGCCATGGCCTAATTTTGGCAACTCTCTCTGGCAGCTGCTCAGCTGCCCCTTTTCCTCCACTTTTCTCAACCTGATATTTCAAACTTATCAGTAATGAGGTGTACATTTTCTAAATACTTACTGTCTAAAAGGCTTTCTATTCCGAACTCCCACTTCAGTGGACATAAACTTTGAGCTTGAGTATAATTTTCCGTCAAATTTGAAGTTTCTTGCTTCATTGTCTTCTACCTTCCAACCTTGCTTTTTGAAAAGACTGATGCCAATTGCATTCTTTTTTCTTTGTAGGGATTTGGGAAAATAATTTCTGAAAGATTTGCAGGTCTTCTCTTTGTCCCTGGTGTTCTGAATTCACAAGGCTGTGTCTAGAAAAGGTTTATTTCTATTATTTGGAATCAGCACTTTGTAAGTCCTTTCCATTGGATGGTGCCAGTATTGCAGCTCTGAGAAAATTCCTTTTTTTATTGATTTTTTACTTCCTTTTGTTTTCTTAATTCTTTCTTTCTAAGAAGCTTATTAATCCAATATGCACTCCCTGGATGTTTCCTTTCCCTATGTCTCTTATCTTTTCTTGCATTTTTTTCCCATTTCTGTCTTTTTCTTCTATTTTCTGAGAAATACCACAGACTTTAATTCTTTTATTGATTTTTTGGTTGCTTTTGGCAATTGTATGTTAATCAGCAGAGGCTTTTTCTTTTTTCTTGTTCTCTCAGTGTCTTTTTATGGCATTCAAATCTTGTTTCGTGAATATATTTTCTAATCTCTCTGAGCTTATTACTGAGGAAGGGTTTAAATGCTTCTCTTTCATTTTATGAATCACTTCTTTTCCCCATAGCCTTTTGTTGTATGATTTGGGTTCTAATAGTTCTCCTCATTGGCTTTGTGCTTTTTACTTTCCATTACTATTTACACAGAAAACTGGGTACAAAAATGGTGTTCCTCTGATACCATAAAAGTAAAACTACCCCTGGCCAGAATAAAATACAATTCATATTGGCAAGGCTTTCCTATTTTTTGGCAATAAGAAGCCCATGAAATTATAATTAATGTGTAATTGAAGTAAGTAAGGTGCTTCTCTGGACAAGGTGTTTCCATAAAAAACTCATCACAGAGCAACGGGATGATGTATATTGTGAAGCCAGAATACAGGCACCAAAACCAAAATACATTCCATCTGAACCAGGCTCCAGGCCCATGATGACAATACTCACACTTTCTAGGGGTCTGAGAATCACCTTCCTTTACTGCAGACGGACCTTCCCTATTACTCCTGTCTCCAGCTATAATTGACCTTTAATCTCTCCGAGTGACCTACCAGCTACTGAAGTTAAGGAAACCTTGTTTAGATTGGTGGTTTTTCATTTCTTCTAGGTCACTGACTGCTTTGAGTGTCTGACAAGAACATCAGCTCTTTTCCCCCAGAAAAATGTATATACTTAAAATTGTTTGGATATAATTATAAAAATTTCAATTCATCCATAAACCTTGTGGCCCAGAGGTGAGAAGCTCTTTTCTGTGTTATGAAAAGTCCAAATTTTAACAACTGACATACTATCCAAAAGCCAATGCAAATGTCTAACCACCATATCAGAAAGTGTCCTGCTATCAGCATTATTCTAGGAGTAAGCAAAGAAGTGCGATAATAGTATTTTATCAAAAGATCTTCCAGTGACTGAAAACTAGAGCTTAAAAAGCAACTCAAATATCAAGGGCACAAGAGCTGGAAATTCCAGTCCCCTGATGAGGAAATCTATGCTACGTGAAAAGATGCTTTAAAATTAGTTCCCAGATTGGGCTGGGCACACTTGTTCACGCCTGTAATCCCAGGAATTTGGGAGGCCGAGGCTGGCAGATTGCTTGAGATCAGGAGTTTGAGACCAGCCTGAGCAACATGGCAAAACCCTGTCTCCGCCAAAAATTTAAAAAATTAGCTGGGTGTGGTGGCACTTGCCTATGTAGTCCCAGCTGCTTGGGAGGCTGAGGTGAGAGGATCACTTGAGCCCAGAAGACAGAGATTGCAGTGAGCTGAGATCATGCCACTGCACTTCCAGCCTGGGCTACAGAGCCAGACCCTATATCAATCAATAAATCAATAATTAAAATAAAATTTTAAAAATCAAGAAAAATTAGTCCCCAGCTTGATTTTGTGCCACTGGCCCAAGAATAAACCAGTTTTCCTGTCTGGTGACACACAGGACAACTCTCTGGAATTGATGTGAAGATAGAGCTGGGTTTGGTTCACAGAAGAAACTGTGCAGGTGGGAAGTCAGTTCCGCAGACTCGCCATGAGTCTGACCCAGCTCACTGTTCTCTATGAACTCTTCTTCGTCTTGTCCCTGTGAAGAAAATATTCAACCTGGTCTGTCTTCTACTCTTTGGGTCTGGAGAGATGGGGTCTTGTAGTCCACACAAATGGAGAGTTTCACAGCAGGGCAATACAATGAGGTCAAGAGTCACTATTATCCTTACAGATTACATCAAAAGATGTAATTTATCTTTTTGGAGTTTGAATCCAGAAGTGTCAAGGCAGCAAGATGAAAAGCAGGAATTTATACAGCATGTTCTTGCCCACTTGCCCTCATACCTGGAGGAATGAGTCCTCTAAAAGTTACATACTATAGCCTTAACTCACATACCTTAACTTTTGTATGGAGAAGTGCATAATCCTTGAAATTGACTTGTTTGGGCGTAATGACTAACTAGCTATAAAACCAAAGTTTGAATTGCTAATTTAAAAGTCCACAGGCTGACTGACATTAAGATGTAAATACAAATTTCCCAGTACACACCTTGCATCTGACAGCTACATGACCACTATGTTCCAAAGAAGTCTAACAGCCACAGGCCATTGCTGGGTGGCAGAGGTAAGAGACTCCATGGGGTTATTTGGCTATATTTTATTACCGAGCTCAGGACTTGCTTGTGCCAGAACCAGGAGATGTTGACCTTTTATAATTGAGGCAATCTCCTTAAAGGTCAACCCTGACAGAAAAGACTGTAATTGTGATTGGAATTGCCAACTCCCAGGGCTACGTGAACTCAGACAAGCATTTGCTGTTTTCTCTCACCGCTCTTTCAGCAACTCTACTCAGGCCACGTGGGGTTTTAATATCATCAACTGGGGGGAAATCAACCAAATACAACAGCTGCCACTCCTTGAGGGCAGGGATTGGGTCTTTTTCCATCATGTTACCTGTAATATTTAGCCCAGTGCCTAACAAGTTTACTAAATATTTGTTCTCTCACTGACCAACTGAACAAATGAACAAATGTTCTCACAGTAAATAGTAATGAAATGCCAGCATTTTCCTGGAGTTTTCCCAGAGGGATGTATTCAATTTTACCATTCCTGGCAACATTGAGGGCTCTAAGCTACCTAAACCTGGAAGCAAAACAGAAAGGTAAATTTTCTTGAGCCATTATATGTTTCCCACAGTCTTATCTGAGCTCCCCTTGATGAGGAATAACCTGTCATGTGCCTTAAAGCCTCAAAACCACAACCTCATATAGGTTATGATGCTAATTTTACCGATGAGGAAGTGGAGACTCAGACTGTTTAAAGAGCTTTCCAAGAACCTACAGATAAGTACACGTGGATCCGGGATTGGAAGTCCAAGTCTGTCAGATTCTGACATGTAAAGCTTTCTCCCCCACACAGACCCAAGGGAGCCTTTGGAGTGGTTCTTCTTGTCCTCAAAGACTCTCACTTTCTCCAAAGTTCCCATCACCTGTAAATGAGAAAGGTGACCCCATCAGGCTCCAATTCAGACATAGTATAGCATTTATCTAATGTGGGCTTGAAGCCCTTCACTACTAGCTCTCTGTTGAGTCAAATTCCAGTCAAAGTGAACATGAGTGTGACATGTGTGCAGTAGATTCTGGCCAAGGGTGTAGACTGTGAAATAAATGCCTGCACTCACAGACTGCTTCTTAGGTGTGTGACACTGCATTGAATCTTTCCTTGCTGGTGCAACAGGAGAGCCCAGTCCAGTGCCTCTTCTACTACCTAATGCTAAATGTGTTCAATATCCTTTAGAGGGCAAGGTTCTGTGTAATGCGGAACACTCCTGACTCTACCTGGAGAATTGCGTGAACACCCAAGATCAGAAGCCAAGATGTCAGATCAACAAAATGCCACGGGGCAGGCACTCACCTCAATCTCTCATTCAGAAGGGTGTGCAATTCCAAGTGGAAGTGGGACCCCCAAACCAGCTGTGAATTCTGAAGGCAGCTGAAAAGCCGGGAGATTCACAGCATACTGTCTCTCCCCAAGGTGTGGGTGCAGGTTTCTCTCTCGGGACATTCTCACCTCCCGCTGGGGTACCTCCCCCAGCGTTCAGCAAAGTGCAACAGGAGGTCAGGAGCTCCCAGGACTATGATTCTCTCTCCCTACCAGACAGGGATGATTTGATCTGGTTCCAGTCCAACCCAAAGCTACTTCAGTAAACAGTGTTTTTTTTTTTGTTTTTTTTTTTCTGAAGATTGCCTATTTCTGTCTTTTACCTCCCTTGCATATGGCAAGGAGAAATAAGATAATATATGTGCAATGCTTTGAGCTCCTTGGGAAAGCAGCACTCTTTAAGTGCATGATATTAATAATAGCAATATTTCTGTTACCACGAAGACAAGCTGAGTCCATCTTTCACATGTCCTTTTAAGTCATTTTCCCTGCGGCTGCCTTTTCTGGTAAAATGGTTCTAAATGAGCCATACAAATCTCTAGTTTTAAAATACTCATTTGGGGAAAATGCTGGTTAGGCTGTATCTTACCTGGAAGGGGAATATTCCTATGTTTGTTTCTTGAAATGATGATGATTCCGGTAGGTCAGGAATGGGAGGGCAGTCAACCACCAGGAAACAGACATGTGAAATATGCAATTGGTGTGGAAAATAGAAATCCACAGATACCCTGCCCACCATGGCCAGGATTCCAGGCCCATTTCCTGCCGAGCAATGTGAGCAAGTGACAATAAACTCCTTTTCTGAGAGTTATAAAACACAAGTATCTAGCAGCCAAGCCCCTCATTCTGTTAGAAAGAGACCTGACATTACTATTCCCAATATTAGCAAAAATACTGTGATGATGATGACAACAGGCATCATTTATCAAAATCCTGCCTCATTCAGAAATTGTGCTAAACTCTATATTCCTTGTCTCATTTTATTCAATCCTCCCAATAAAACCACGACAGATATTATTATCTTTAAAACTCCGAGATGATTAGTAACTAGTCCAATGTCATACAGCAATAATTTAAAATTTGAACTTCAAATTAAAAATAATATGCTCTGGTTATTTTTTTAAAAAAATAAAGAAATAAGTGGAACCTGCTCCTTTACTGTACCCCCTACCACTCCTCTCCATCCATTCAGATGCATTTGGTGCTTGGGATGTTTAATTTTATGTGTCAACTTGACTGGCTCATGGGATGCCCAGATAACTGGTTAAATACTGTTTCTGGGTGTGTCTCACCTTCAGTGTGAGCGTGTTTTTGAAAGAGATGAGCATTTGACATGGTGGACTGAGTACAACAGATGGCCGTCCCTAATGTGAGTGGGCTTCATCCAGTCAGCTGAGGGCCTGAATAGAATAACAAAAGGAGTGGAGGGTCGGGGGAGATTAAATTAACCCTGCCTAGCTGCTTGAGTTGGGACATCGTCTCCTGCCCTCGCTGTTTCTGCTTCTCAGGCCTTCAGATCTAGACTGGAATCTATCCCATCAGCTCTCTGAACCTCAGGCCTCTGAACTATACTGCTGGTTCTCATGAGTCTCCAACTTGCCGAAGGTAGATTGTAGATCATGAGACTTCTCAGCCTCCATAGTCTCAAGAGCCAATATCTTATAATAAATATCTTCATATATATGTGGTGTGTGTGTGTGTGCATGTAGACAGACAATCACACACACACACACACACAGAGAGAGAGAGAGAGAGATAGAGAGAGATCCTGTTAATTCTGGAGAACCCTTACTAATACAGTGCTTTTTGCATATTTGCTAGGCACTTTTAGGTTCTGGGAATACGGCAATAAACAAAAGTATCCATCCTGGAGAAGCAGGGACCCACCCCAAATGATAATTTGAGGGCCTGGAGCACCAAAGTGAAGTTCATGTTTCCTAGTTTTTCACTAGTACAACCACACAAATGACAGTCTGTGAGCCTGTGGTTTCCAAATATTTAGCCTCTGATCCTGGGCTCTGCTCTGCCTCCAATGCCTTTCTTTCTTAGAAGGCTGCAAATGTGTTATAAATAAAACCAAATAACAGGGTGAAGCCAAGGGTCCTCTCACCCTTGGGCCTTAAAGAGCACAGTCTTCAGTATAAATTAAAGTTGTGTTTTACCTGTAGATCTATCATCTACTTGCTATGTGACCATGAGCAAGTCACAGCCTCTCTGAACTTCAGTGGTTCATCAGTAAATGGAAATAATATTACCCATGGCAAAGGGTGGTTGAAAGCACTGAATGAGCTGCACTTAAAGGGTCTGACACAGGGCTTGGCAGCTATGTGAACCTCATTTATGGTAAATGCTCTTACTGTTGTAAAATCCAAGAAGAATGTGCAAAAACAACCAGGCCTTAAGGGTAAAACCTACTGGAGACTGGTGAAGTGCCAGCATGACCATTTTGAAGCCTGTGAAATCCGTAATAGAAATCCTTCCAGCATCCACACTTGTCCAAAACTCGTCTGCACAGGAAGATTGCTAATAAAATGGGAACAAAGGAAATCATGAGGAAACCATCCATTCAACAACCAAATAAAGCCAGCGCAAAACCACCCACTGCCCCCTACCACAACAGACTGATGGGTCACAAGGCAGGGGGCCCAGGGTTGCTGCAGAGCCCCCTTATTAAACAGAGCCCTGAAGAGAGGCCATCCATTCACAGGCTGCAGCCCCTGGGGGGCTCTGGATTGTCCACCCTTTCCTTGCAAGCACTTACATCTTCAATAGGGGATTGACACAGCATTGGGCATAATTAACTGCCTTCTAATTCATCCCAGCACTGGGCCTTGTTCTCAGGAAACTGAGAATGAATTTGGTATTTAGCCTTAATGAAGGAAAACAAGTCTAAGTGTTAAGAAGCCCCCAACTTCCTTGTGTGACGGGCAAGTGTATCTCGTTTTATTCGTTCACAACAACCACACATACTCTATTTTTCTTTGCTTGCGGAAGAATGTCATCGTGAGGCAGAACAAATATGACAATTTAAATGCGTACCCCGGGGCTTAAGTAGCACAATGCCAAAACTTTTAGTGATCGTGGTAGATACAGACAGTCTGACCCCCAGCTGCAGACCTGAGAAAAGGAGGCTGTGCTGCCCAAACACAAAACAAATAAGATCTCTTTTGTAAAGGATTCTGTCAAGTGTCTTTTTTATTTATGTTGCCTTTTGTCACACTCAATCAGAAGTCAGAATATGAAAACTCTTTCCTGCTGTTTGCCTATTTTCCTTTTCTCACTAAAAATTTTTCTTGCTTCATGTTAAAAAATACACAAACAAATGAAGTTATTTATTTTAAGATAGGGCTATAAAATAACAGGCAATGAAAAAGAAATTAAGCATCCTAGAATAATTATTAGCATAAATAGTAGCAATCTTAGGAAATTTCACGAATATACCAAAGACACTTTGGCTGGTCCCTGGGTATCAATGGCCCTTCTTCCTCTCTGATGGGGACCAGATTTGGTTGGGTGTCCTCTCCTTCTTCTCACAAGTCACAGGTACATTCTGAATTGCCCAAGCAAGTGATGCAGACTTCCTTTGGTAGAAACAGGCTTAGAAGTGGGCAGGGATGCCAGTCCTGGCCAATGAAATGTGAGAAGAGGCCCACTGGAAGTCTTCAAGGAAAGGTTTTAATAAGAATTAGCAAGCCTGAGAGCTACTCTACTGTGTAACATTTTGTTTGTAAGATTTTTTTTCCTTATTCTTTAAGACTGTTGAGTTGGAGGTTTCCTATTTGTCACTGAAAACATTCAAACTGATAAATGATAACTGCTCAAATCGTTTTGTAATCTTCTCTATGGAAAATGCTGTCAAAATCAATTTAACACCATCACAGGGAAAATTCTGTAGTAGTTACCTGTTGCTTCTGCTCAGCATCCGTTTCCCTTTCTTAGTAAGAGTAACCGGTGTTTCTCAAACATGAATGTGCAGATGAGTCATCTGGGGGTCTTGTGAAAACACATGCTCTGGTTCAGTAGGCATGGAGTGGGAACTGAGACTCTGCATTTCTCTCTGGTGATGCTGATGTTACTGCTCCCTGGAGCACTCTTTGTATAATAGGGGTCTATATTTCCATTGGGACAACCAGTCCAACCAGTCTTTTTCCATAGCCCAAAATATTTAGGTGAAATTATCTTAAGATAGTAGGAGAAGTCCATTTCTGGGCTACAGTTATTGGTTCAGAGATGGGCAGTTCACTCAATATGAGCCAATAAAATAGGAGATGTTTGCTGGAAGCCATTAAGAAAGAAGGCTTTTCACTTTCCAAGAGAGCTGTTGGGAGAGTTTTCTTTGGATGATATGTAAAAGGATGTGGTGGTTGGAACTATGCTAGCCATTTCTGCAGCAATGAAGGGAGGACAAAGCCCACTCACTGAAGAGGGCAGAGCTGAGAGAAGCATAGAGATGTGAAGCCCCTGGGGATAAAGTTGTAAACCTCTGGGGTGAGCTCCACCTGAAATTAAAGATTCTTCCAGATTCTTTATTGACATGAGCCAATAAGCTCCCCTTTCCCCTTTGCTTAAGCAATTTTGGGCTGGGTTTTATATTAATTGCATGAAAACAGTCTTAAATAACACAATTAGAATCAATGCTGTAGATTACAGCAGGGGCTGCAGACTATAGTCAGAAGCCTCTGTATGGCCCTAGAACTAAGACTTCTTCTTACCTTTTTAAAGGATTGTAAAAAAGAGAAAGATAAAGAGAGAGAGAAAGGATGTCAGCAAGGAAGGAACGGAGAGAGAAAGGTGAAGAAGAAGGAGAGGGAGAGAAAGATGGAGATGAAGATGAAAAAGAAGAGGAGAAGGAGGGATTGGGAGAAGAAGAGGAAAAAGAAGCTGGGAAGAAGAAGAAGAAGCAGGAGGAGAAGGAGAAGGAAAAGAAGAAGAAAGAGGAGAAGGAAGAGGAGGGGAGGAAAAGAGGGAGGAAGGAGAGGAAGAAGAGGAGAAGGAGAAGGGGGAGAAGGGGCAACATAGACAGCATATGGCCCTAAAGCAGGGATCAGCCAGCTTTTTCTGCAAAGAACCAGACAGTTAATATCTTAGGCTTTGTAGGTCATATGATAACCACCCCAACTACTCAACCTGCTGTTGCAATTGAAAGCAGCCATAGAAGATATGTAAATGAATGTGCATGGCAGTGTATCAGTAAAACTTTATTTACCAAAAAGTAGAAGAAGGAAAAAAAGAAAATAATAATCTAATCAAATGCCTTATTCAGTAAACTTGTTTCCAAAAACTCAAGGAATGGTGAACATTTATGTTTGATAGGGACACTACAAAAAATGAGCCAAAGATCTTGAAGGAGCTCCAGCTAAGGAGTGACTATACTTGTAAGCAGTGACTGCCTCTGCGTAAGTGCAGTCCTTCAGATAGCTACCTTGAGGCTTCTCTGTAGCCACATGAGCTTTGGCATGTTTGTAGAACCCATATTTTCCAGGTCCACCAGCCTGAAGATACAAATGGCTAACAGCTAGAAACTCAACACAGGATTTCTCTGGCTTGACCACCTCACCACATTTATTCTGTGGGAAATTTGTCCCTGATATGGTTTGTCTCTGTGTCCCTACCCAAATCTCATCGCGAATTGTACTCCCCATGTGTCAAGGGAGGGAGCTGGTGGGAGGTGGTTGGATCATGGGAGCAGTTTCCCCCATCCTGATCTTGTGATAGTGAGTGAGTTCTTATGAGAACTGATGGTTTTAAAATGCTGGGCAGTTCCCTTCCCCCTCTCTCGCCTACCACTATGTAAGATGTGCCTTGCTTCTCCTTCCCTTTGCCCATGATTTTAAGTTTCCTGAGGCCTCCCCAGCCTCATGTGAAACTGTGAATCAATTAAACCTCTTTTCTTTGTAAATTATCCAGTCTCAGGTAGTTCTTTATAGCAGTGAAAAGGAACCAATATAGTCTGTCTTCAAATCCTCAAATGGCTTGCATAGCTATAATCTCTGCAGGCTCTCAGTCTTTTTGGCTAAATTTTAAAAAATTTCTTTCTTTTCTATTCCAGAGTGCTACAGTAGTAACAATGGTGGAAGCTAAGCACATGATTATACTACTGTCTTCCAAGCTAAGTGCTGAGTCCAAGGCCAAGAGCACTGATATTTGAGACAAAGGTGCTTACGTTGTGAATAATGACTTATTGACTGATATTAAGTTTCCCCGTACTGCTGCTGCCCTGTTTTTGCTCCTGGTTGCTTAGCCCAGTCTACCGGTATCTAGACTTTAAAGACATGGCTTTTTTCTCTTGACATTCTTATCACAACTTCCTTGACCCCAAATTTAGCAAAGTTTTGCATTTGGTCCTTGCGGTACCCAAAAAATGATATCCAGGCCCTAATTGCCAAACTTTTTTTTTTTTTTTTTTTTTAGACAGAATTTTGCTCTTGTTGCCCAGGCTGGAGTGTGATGGCATGGACTCGGCTCACCACAACCTCTGCCTCCTGGGTTCAAGCAATTCTTCTGCCTCAGCCTCCTGAGTAGCTGGGATTACAGACATGTGCCACCGCGCCAGGCTAATTTTTTTGTATTTTTAGTAGAGACGGGGTTTCTCTGTGTTGGTCAGGCTGGTCACAAACTCCCAACCTCAGGTGATCTGCCCCCCTCGACCTCCCAATGTGCTGGGATTATAAGCGTGGGCCACCACGCCTGGCCACTAATCACCAAACTTTTTGAATGTTACCTTATATGACAAAAGTGACTAGTGATTAGATATAATTAAAATGAGTATTTTTGACACAGGTAGATTACCATGAATTATTTGAATGGGCCCCAAATGTAATCAGAAGTGTCCTTATGAGTGGGAGGCAGAGAGGTTTGAATACAGAACAGGAAAAAGTGTTGTGACAATAGAAGCAAAAATTGGAATGATGTGACCATAAGCCAAAGAATGCTGGCAGCCACCAAAACCTGGAAGAGCCAAAGCATTCATTATCCCCTGAAGCTTCCACAATGAACCAACCCTGTCTACATCTTCATTTTACCTCCATAAAACTCACTTTGGACCTATGGCCTCCAGAAATGTAAGAATACATTTCTGTTATTTTAAGTCCCTAAAATAACAAATAAAATATTTGTGATGATTTAAATAAGAAACTCATACAGGCCTGGAGATAATCCTTGCGTTCAGAATCCTCCATTCCTTCCAAGTTCCCTTAATCAACTATGTTTCCTTAAGATGCTCTATTGAAGACACTCCTGCCAGGCACACCCCACCAGTCCTTTGAAAACAGCCAGATACACCTAAATACCAACTAAGGCTAAAGCAAGAAATCCTGATTCTTATCTCATTATAAATATGTTATTCCATTTGTGTTGCTTTAAGGAAATGCTTGAGGCTGTATAATTTATAAGGAAAAGAAGTTGATTTGGTTCCAAATTCTGCAGATTGTACAAGAGGCATGGCACCATCTTCTGCTTCTGGTGAGGGCCTCGGGAAACTTCCACTCATGGCAGAAGGCAAGGGGGAACAAATGTGTGCAAATTACATGGCAAGAGAGGAAGCAAGAGAGAGGGGAAGGATGCCAGGTTCTTTTTGACAATCAGTTCTCAAGGGAACTCTCTTAGGAGCTAATAGAGCAAGAACTCACTCATTACTGTGAGGACAGAATCAAGCCATTAATGAGGGATTCTCCTTCATGACCTAAACCCCTACCATTAGGCCCCACCTCCAGTATTGAAGATCAAATTTCAATGTGAAGTTTGGAGGGTCAGATATTCAAACTAGAGCAATGGTAAATCATGTTACCTTTGTAAATGACCCCGGAATGGTATCATTTGAAAATTTTCCTGTTGCTAATTTTCTCCCCATTTTCCCCACTCTCAAGTTAAATTCTGCTAGTTAGAATGGAGAGAGAGATGGTCCATCTAGCTTCTAGCTTCTGAAGTTCCTTCCAATTCTATGTTGCTATGGTTCTATCTTGTAAAGAGAACTAAAAACAATGAATATCATTCTTCCCAAGGGTGAACATCTGTACCATGCAACGCAGAGTGGCCTTTTAGGAAGAAGCACCCTGGTGCTATAGAGAAGGAAGCCCAGCCAATTTGGCAGAAGGTTTCAAAAAACTTTAAAAAATGTTTATACATTTTCAGCCAGAAATCCACTCCCAGGGATGTGTCATACTCAAATTAACCCAGATGTGCATGATGTATCTGCAAAGGTGTTGGTCACAATTTACTTTATAGTTGCAAAAAGCAAGAAATAGAAGAAATAGATAGAATATCTTATAACAGGAGAACTGATAAATAAATCATGGTACTGCCTTAGGATTGACTGCTATGAAACCATTAAAATGATGTTATAAAAAATTAATGACATGGAAAATACTCATATGAAATTATGAAGAGAAAAAATCAGGTTGTAGAACAATGTTTGTGTTTGGTTCCTATGTGTATATACAAAGATAAAAAGGCTGGAAAGGCATATGCTAAAATGTTAAAAATGGCTATTCCTTCATGATGGGATTAAGAATGATTTCTATTTTCTTGTACATGTCTGTATCTTTAAAATCTTCTAAAATAAAAATGCTACTTATGTAATATATATTAAAAGTATTCATTTAAAAATTAAAAATAGCCCTAGTCTGAGAGTTAGAATCCTGAGTTTCATTCTTTTTGTTTAACTTGTATCTCTTAATAATTAATAGCATATCATCAATGTTAAGGAAACAATATAAAGCCTAAGATACATATAATTTCTTATCTAATACCTGACTCTTCTATAGCAGGCCCTTCTCACCCTAAACTTTTTTTTTAATACTTTAAGTTCTGGAATACTTGTGCAGAATATGCAGGTTTGTATCATTGGTATACATGTGCCATGGTGGTTTGCTGCACCCATCAAGCCGTCATCTACATTAGGTGTTTCTCCTAATGCTATCCCTCCCCTAACCCCCCACCTCCAAACAGGCCCTGGTGTGTGATGTTCCCCTCCCTGTGTCCATGTGTTCTCATTTTTCAACTCCCACTTATAAGTGAGAACATGTGGTGTTTGGTTTTCTGTTCTTGTGTTAGTTTTCTGAGAATGATGGTTTCCAGCTTCATCCATGTCCCTGCAAAAGACATGAACTTATCCTTTTTTATGGCCACATAGTATTCCACGGTATATATGTGCCACATTTTCTTTATCCAGTCTATCACTGATGGGCATTTGGGTTGGTTCCAAGTCTTTGCTATTGTGAACAGTCCTGCAATAAACACACGTGTGCATGTGTCTTTATAGTAGATTGATTTATAATCCTTTAAGTATATACCTAGTAATGGGATTGCTGGGTCAAATGGTATTTCTGGTGCTAGATTCTTGAGGAATTGCCACACTGTCTTCTACAACAGTTGAACTAATTTACACTCCCACCAACAGTGTCAAAGTTTTCCTATTTCTCCACATCCTCTCCAGCATCTGTTGTTTCCTGACTTTTTAATGATCGCCATTCTAACTGGTGTGGGATGATACCTCATTTTTGTTTTGATTTGCATTTCTCTAATGACCAGTGATGAGTGATGATGAGTTTTTTTTTTTTCATATGTTTGTTGGTGGCATAAATGTCTTCTTTTGAGAAGTGTTTGTTCATATCATTTCCCCACTTTTTGATGGGGTAATTGTTTTTTGCTTGTAGATATGTTTAAGTTATTTGTAGATTCTGAATATTAGCCCTTTGTCAGATGGATAGATTGCAAAAATTTTCTCCCATTCTGTAGGTTCCCTGTTCACTCTGATGATAGTTTCTTTTGCTTTGCAAAAGCTCTTTAGTTTACTTAGATCCCATTTGCCAATTTTGGCTTTTGTTGCCATTGCTTTTGGTGTTTTAGACATGAAGTCTTTGCCCATGCCTATGTCCTGAATGATATTGCCTAGGTTTTCTTCTAGGGTTTTTATGGTTTTAGGTCTTAATCCATCTTGAGTTAACTTTTGTATAAGGTGTAAGGAAAGGGTCCAGTTTCAGTTTTCTGCGTATGGTTATCCAGTTTTCCCAACACCATTTATTAAATAGGGAATCTTTTCCCCATTGCTTGTTTTTGTCAGGTTTGTCAAAGATCAGATGGTTGTAGATGTGTGGCATTATTTCTGAGGCCTCTGTTCTGTTCCATTGGCCTATATATCTGTTTTGGTACCGGTACCATGCTGTTTTGGTTACTGTAGCCTTGTAGTATAGTTTGAAGTCAGGTAGCATGATGCCTCCAGCTTTGTTCTTTTTGCTTAGAATTGTCTTCTCTATATGGGCTCTTTTTTGGTTCCATATGAAATTTAACGTGTTTTTTTCTAATTCTTTGAAGAAAGTCAGTGGTAGCTTGATGGGGATAGCATTGAATCTATAAATTACTTTAGGAAGTATGGCCACTTTCATGATATTGATTCTTCCTATCCATGAGCATGGAATGTCTTATCTTCATCAAAAATCTGCTGGGTGACCTTGGGTGATGCATTTCGTCTCTCTGGGATTTAATGTCCTCATTATGGGA
The DNA here is from genome assembly GCF_000001405.40 of Homo sapiens. Taxonomy (NCBI): domain Eukaryota; kingdom Metazoa; phylum Chordata; class Mammalia; order Primates; family Hominidae; genus Homo; species Homo sapiens. The sequence continues at coordinate 47,869,123 of NC_000015.10, forward strand.
TAGAGCCATTAGGGTTCCACACAGGTGTCCAAGGAGCAGCTGAATAGGTGAATGCTGTGGAGCTCCATCTCTGCTCTCATCAGATCAGCTGTGTTTTTCTCTGTCTAAATATCTGTCATTGACCTTATGTTTTGTTTGAATAAAAGAGGTTAAGATCATTTATTAATTGTTAAACATTACTGATTTAGATAGCTGCCAAAATCCCTTCCAGCAACAACATTCTTTGACCTAGTCATTATAATTTTCACACCCGTTTTCATAACTATTTCCCAAACTATTCAGACCATGTTCTGCTTGAATTGGAGACTGCCACCAAGTGGACTTGAGAAAAGGTGGGAGACCCAGAAAGATAATAAATAAGTTTATCTGTCAGGTTTGGCATGTGGCTGCAGCAGACTCAAAAGGTGATTTTGAGTCTGAAAAATGCATACTACTAATCTACCCCCAACTTCGTGTCCTCTACAAGTGAGGACTGTAGCTCCGTATTGGCACACTTTGCAACCCTCTATGTGTTCTGCAGATGGCAGATTTTCCTGGGTCTTTCTTGTCCTTTATGACAGCCAACATGGACAACCAAACATGTGAGTGAAGACACCTCCAGATGATTTCAGTCCCAGCCACCAGGTCACCATTAGCCTTTGAGTCTTGCTAGCTGAGGCCCCAGACATCATAGTGCAGAAGAAAGCTGTCTTTTCTGTATCCTCTTTGAATTGTTGACCCATGGGAAGTGTAAGCAAAATAAAGTGTTTGTTTTCTGCTACTAAGTCTTAGGATGATGTGTTACTCAGCCATAGTAACTGTTGTTTCCCTAGACCTCTTCAGCTATAGATTAAAACGAAATGTTAATAACTTTAATACACTAAACATCCTGCTTTTACACCCACTTATTCACACAGGCCTTCTGCTACAGTCTACATGTTTGTCTCCTCCAAAAACTCACATGCCGAAATCTAATCCCCAACAGTATTAAGAGGTGGGACTTTTGGGAGGTGATTAGGTGATGAGGGCAGAGCCCTCGTGAATAGGATTAGTGCCCTTATACAAGAGGTCCCAAGGAGCTTGTTTTCTCCTTTCACCATATAAGGATTGCAGTGTGATAGTGCCATCTGCAAAGCAAAGAGCAAGTCCTCACTAGAAACTGAACCTGTTGACACCTTGATCTTAAACTTTCCAGCCTCCAGGACTGTGAACAATAAATTTCTGTTGTTTGTAAGTTACCCATTCTATTGTTTATAAGTCTTGTTGATATTATTTTGTTATAACAACCTGAATAAATGAAGACACCATCCAATCCCTGCAAAATCTTGGGTTCTCCAAGGGAATCCCAGGACATTTACTCTGGCTTCCTTTCAAACCTCTGTTGATGACCAATCTTGTCCCCTGGGCATTCACAGTGGCCCATGGCCAGCCGCAATAAACTTAAGAACTGGAGCTTCATTCCAGCAAGTAAAGTTCTGCTTCCCCTTCTTTAGGCCTTCAGTGAATTAAAATTCTGGCCCCAGACCCTTATTTGCTCTGATTGCTACCTGTTCATGGTTTTCCCTAATACTCCTATCATCACTGAAGATCCTTGCTGGACCTCTGTGATAACAATCACCACCTATCTCAGTCAAATTCCACATAACACCTGTGTGACTGTACCCTCCTCCTGCTGGGCACAACCTGTCAGTCTAGACCTTCCTCCATACTACCCTGAAAATCTGCCCAAGTTGTCTGAGCCTCCCCAGTGGGTGTATGCTCAGGGTCTTGGCCTCACAATCTGGCCTGTCTGAAACCAGCCAAGCCCTGGTTCTGGCTCCATGCTGAGCCCCTAACAGATAAAATTGTAACTATAGTGCCCATAACCTATGTTTTACTTAAGTAGTCATTAGCGGCCAGTAGTTGTAGATGTATCCCAGACTGGCTCATGAGAAATGGGGAAGGGAAAACTTTGACCTTCATTCCTTTGTTTATGACTCAGACTCTCCTCTAGCTTATAAAGCTCCCCAGCCTCTGCCTAGCAAATACAAAGCCACCATCTGCTAGCTCATGAAGTACCAAAGACAGGAAGCTGGCATCTTGGCTTGGGTTCAGATTTGCTGTGTAATTTTGAGAAGCCACTCTTCTCTTGTCTGTACTGGGGCTAATACCATCTACCTTCCAGGGTTGTTGGGAGACTTAATGTGCTGTTAATCTCTGCAGTATCTGGAAAGTTACAGCTACCATTGATTATCAGAAGAAAAGCTTATTTTCAACAGCCAATTACAAACATACATGGAATCCAGAGAATTATGCAAAACAGGTTTTATTATCTCCCATCCAGTTGCCCATTTGCCCATACAGACCTGGACCTGGATGGGTGTCTGTTATCTCCTGGATCTCCACTCTTTTCCCTTTTATTTCCCTCTTCCCCTCACCCAGAGAACCCTGGCCCCCTGTTTACCAGGAGCCACACCATCTAACCATGGTGACAGTTTTCCTAGCTCCAGTCTGATAGGACGTGTGAATGCAAGTTTTCTCTATCCTGTGATGACAGTGACATGCCAGCAAAGCTTAAAAGAAACCTCAGATCGTTCTGTCAATCTTCTTGGCCCCATGAACTACTTCCCACCAGCATCTCAGCACCCTTCATCTCTGTTGACATTGTCTGTCTCCGTGTGCAGCTGTCAATCACATAGGTTCATTTCACCCCAGCACATTGGCATGGGGCCCAGACTGACCACTGAGACCTTATCTTAAAAGATTGCCAAAATGTTAAGTGAGAAAGGAGCTCTGTGTGCAAGGACACCATCTAGGTCTGGAACTACTAGTGCCATGTTGATGGCATATGAGAAGAATTGGTCTGCGGATGAAGCCAATACAGAGGGGTGGGAAGAGTGATGGGAAGTATTTGAGTTTTGCTTCCATAGAAGAAGAGCCTGAGATGGGGATTTTCATTCAAGCTATTTATTAAGAAATTAGTTTCAAAAAAAAAAGTGTGAGTGTGCATTGTGGGGGCAGGTGAGGAAAGTAGGCTAGGACAAGAAATTAAGCTAAGTAAGGATGTGGTCTCCATTGGGGTCCAGCTTTCGCCTGATCTCACAGAGAACTCTGGAGCAAGCATTGCCCCTCAGAGTTGGTCATGCTTGTGGTAAGGGAACCAGCCTTTTGTACCTCAAGTTGATCAATTAATGACTGTGAGCTACTCCAGAAATAAAGAGGTATGGGGCAGTGGGGTAAGAAATAACTTCCAAGGTAGAAGAGGAGGCCATGAGCTGTCAAGGGTCAACACTGACAGTACTGAGGGAGTATGCACTGCTGGCTCATGTGGATCTGGTGGAATGCCAAGAGTGTCTACTACAGGGAAAGAGAAAGTCCTGGTGAAAAATTCAGGGACTAAGGACCTGAGCTTTGGAGTCAAAAGCTCAAAAGCTTTGGGTTCACATCACATTTCCTACACTTGCTCCCTGTATCATTCTGGGGAAGTTACTTAGTTTTTGCACCACAGTTTCTTTATTTGTCAAGGAGGGATACAAGTAATACCTACCTAATGAGAAAATGTGTGTAAAGCACATAGGAGAGTGCTTGCCATGTAGAAAGAACAGTGCTGTGTCCCTGCAGTAGAGAAAGGCAGCCCCTAAGAGAGTCAGTTCCCAGGACATTTGATGAACTCACACTAGGCCCCAAAGCCTGCTCTGTTTCTACTGTATATTGAATGTGAGAAATGAAGTAAACAACAAAAATATTCAGGACTCATGCATTACCGGGGCTGGATATTACCAGGAACAAGTGTCTCTAGAGAGGCACTTTTCAGAGACACTTAGCAGAAGAGAGAGTGGGGAAAAGCAGAGTTGTTCACTGGGCATTCCCCGGAGTGATTTCTGAGGGTTCATTTCTAAAGGCAAATACAGTAAACTGCCCCACTAAGGAGTGACCCAGTGTACCAGAGGCTCTGGAAATATGCAGATGGAATTTCTGGGATTCATGATCTTGCAATGGGTTGTTTTCCCTTTCGTCAAGCGGTAGTCCCAAGGGGACTGGCAGCAAGCTTTTCTCAGTACCATAGATAAGCAAAGAGCAGCTGAAAGGGGCTCTCTTGCCAGTCCCCGAGGTACAGGCTGTCAGCTGAGAGTCCTAGCAAAGCACACAAAGGGACACAATTGGCATTTACACTAACGATGCAACGGAGCTCTAATCCTCTGCCCTTTGACCCTGTACTATATTCCAATAGGTCAGAGCATCCTTGCTTGGCTTCCCTAATGCACATTATCTTCTCTGGTCAATAAAATTCCCCTCTGTCTCTGCACTGACAATAGATGTGAAGGTCAGCTCGCCCCCTCCAGCTGCAACAGTGTCTGAGCTGTCAGTGGGAATTTAAATTAAGGATATAGGTAATCATTTCATTGCTTTTAGGCAAAAATGGAAGATTTGTTGCTCTGGCTGCAATCAGATTCTCAGAAGAAGTGAAAAGATCTCTGGGCTCCCAGGGGAAGATATTTTAAAGTGCCTGAGGGGGTAAAGCACATGGTGGCCTCACACAGCAAATCTCCTAAGAGAAAGAAGCTATCCATTACATATTTCCTGTTGCAAGTCACCTTCTTTCTCAGCTTTCACTGTCAAACACTGTCACATCTAGTGGACGGGCAAAGTCATAATTGGAGTGAAATGAATTTTGAACAAAAAGAAGTTCAAGAAAAGAAAGGCAAGCATAAATAAAGGAGTGGCTAAAGATCTGGGAGGAAGGGAACCTGCGTGTAGGTCTGGGGGCCTGAGCCCTAGGCCAACTTTGGAACTTTGCTGCTGACCAGTTCTGGGACCTTGGGTAGGTCCATTTACCTCTCTGGGACCCAGTGCCCTTATGAGCAAAATGATTTGATTGAGGTTAAAAGTCCTCTAAGATCCTTTCTCATTCCAGTATTTCCTGAGCTTAGAAGTCATTTTGGCTTATAGCTGTTTAGGGTACACTAGTCTCATTTTAGAAAGACAGGGGATAAGAGATGTGGTTTGCCCTCAGAATCCTCAAATCCTATAAAGTTGAACTGGAATGGAGCTCCACAGATCATCCTGTCCAACCTGCTTATTTTGAAGATGGAAAAACTAAAGTGACTTTTCTACTTGGTTTTTTAAACCAAAAACTTTCTCTTGATCTTTTTTCTTTCTATCCTCTTTTCCTAGCTCTCTTTTCTTGACCCTTCTTTTAGACTATTGATGGAAGATCTTCAAATTTGGTTCGAATTTTTTCTTTCAAGGCAGTGAGAAATAGAGAAAAGGATTAGGAAGAGAAGGAAACTAATTCATACTTCTTTGAAAAGAGTCAGAAGGAGATTCCAATTGTTGACTTTATACACAAAGAATTTCCAGGACGATTAGAGATTTAATTGCAAAAATCAAAACAACTTAGTACTAGATGCAAGTACACACACACACACACACATACACACATATAGAATCTTGTTATGGGTGAGAATATGATGCTTAAGGTAGAAAAAATGAAGAGACCAATATATTACAGTCACATAAAAATTAAGAAGAATTGTACACTCAAAATACCTACACAACATTATATGTCAAAAGAAAGTCATGAAAAAAATGTGCATTTCATGGAACAGATAGTTAGTCTTCTTAATATATGAAGTTTTCTTACAACTTAATATGAAAAATATGAACACATGGTAAAAAGAACAAAAGATATAAATTGGCAAGTCACTGAAGAAATAAAAATACTCCAGCTCAATAAATACAAATAAATACCAACTTAAAAAAATTGTCAGATATGTTTCACTTATGAAGTTGACAAGTTTATATTACTTTCATTTTTTATAGTGACAACAGCTCACTTTGGTAAATGTGGTAAAAAATCTCCTGGTAGAAGTGTAAATGGGTATTGTTGGTAACATGGCAACACATGTAACGCTCTTTAAAACTGAGAACACCCTCTAACCTAGAAATCCCACCTCTAGGAATTCCATATATAGGAAACAATCCAAGAAAATAGTCAGGGATGCCTTATTAGATCCCCTTTCAGCAGCTTCTGTAGAGTGAATTTCCCCCTGAGCCTAGGGTAAATGGGCTCTTGTCTATGCAAATCCACAGGGCTGCCCAAAATAGACAAGGCTACATCTCTACTCTTTACCCTAAGCTTACCAATAACACCATGAGTGACCCTGCATGTTGGTTTATTCAGTCTGCCATAACAAAATGCCACAGACTGAGTGGCTTAAACAAAAGACATGAAGTTTCCCACAGTTCTGGAGGGTCAAAGTCCAAGATTTCTGGTTTCTGGTGAGGCCTCTCTTCCTAAATTGTAGACAGTTGTCTTCCTACTCTTTACACACACATACACACACACACACACACACACATCTCTTATGTCTCTTCCTCTTGTTGTAAGGACATCAGTTCTATTGGATTAGGACCCCACCCTTATAACTTTATTTATTCTTAATTACATCCTTAAAGGTCCTATCTCCAAGTCATTGCGGGAGTTAGGACTTCAACATATGAATTGGCAGTGGGGAGGGCAATATTCAGTTCATAACACTCTAAGTGAGCCTATTTATTTGCTCATTCAATTGTTCATTTAGCATTTATCAAGCAACTATAATTGCAAGGCCCTGTGCTATGTCTGGGATGTGTGTTTGTTATACTTGTCATTCTTCCCTGACCATGGGTTATATGAATCTGGGCTGAGATTTCTAATATAAATTATCAAAGTTGTGTACTAAAAAACTGAAAGGCAGAAAACTTATTTCTACACTAAAACCTGCACATGAATGTTTGCACCACCTTTATTCATAAACTGCCGAAACTTGGAAGCGGCCATGATGTCCTTCAGCAGGTGAGTGGATAAACAAACCGTTACTTCTACACAACGGAATATTATTCAGTGATGAAAAGGAATGAGCTATCAAACCACAAAAAGACCTGAAGTAAATGCAAATGCACATTCCTAAATGAAAAAAAAAATCTGAAAAGTTGGAATCATACAGTATATGATTTTCGAAAAGGCAAAAACTACGGAAATAGTAAAAGAATCAGTGGTTTCCAGGGGTTGGCAAAGAGAGAGAGAAATGCGTGGGGCACAGGGAACTTTTAGGGCAGTGAAACTATTCTGTGTGAACCCTAGTGGTGGATACTTCTTAATGTACATTTGTCAAAACCAATAGAAGGTACAAAACAAAGAGTGAGCCCTAATGTATACCATAGACTTTAATTCATAACAACGTATCATTATCAGTTTATCGATTACAACAAATACTCCACACTGATGCAAAATGTTAATAATAGGGAAAATGGGAGCAGGTGGTGAGTGGGTGTAAGGGAACTCTCTAGTTTCTGCTCATTTTTCTGTAAACTTAAAAACTACTCTAAAAGATAAAGTCTATAAATTTATTTTTTAAAGGCAAAAGATTGAAGCGTAGAAAACATTGTTCTCTCCGCCCTTCCTCTCCTCCATCTACACATACACACACATCTGCGGTCACTGAAAGGGCTTCCAGAAGCTTCAAATCTGAATATTTCAATACCTGGAACCCTGTCTCAGGCTGTTCCTTGGGAATACTCCTTTCCCATTCACCCTGGCTGGACTTTGACTTGGCATGCTTGCTGTGGTAACACTTCTCAGACATTATTCTGAAGGGAAATGCAGCCCCTTAGCAACATTTATTGCTATCACAGTTCAGAATTGGACTGATAAAATGACTCCAGGATAGCTCCTGGTGTGGTAAGTCAGCCCAGAAAACACCTTGTGAAAAAGATGACCCCCACCTCCTTAAAGCTGTCTTTGTTCTGTAAATCACTTAGAGACAGGAGAGTTCTGTCAAGTCACAGTGGAGTTTTGCTTGCAGGTCAGAAGTAGAAGGAAAAAAAGAAAACTGAAGAGAAAATTGCTGAGGGTTTCAAGTTAGCCAATCTTGGGATTTTCTTCTTTAAGTTGTGTAATAGAGGTCCATTTTCCTTTAGAACAGAAAAATCTGAGTCTCAACTTTGATGCTTTATGAATGGGACCAGGAATCTGCTACATAATATGACGATTAAATTTTCAAAGACTTTTCTATTAGATTCCAATGCCTGCCACTCCACGTGGTCATCAGACCTTCACGTGGGTATCATAAGGCATGGCTCATTTCTCCACGTCCGGATGGCAGCTGTGGGTGCTGGGCTGACCTCAGCTCATCACCCCATTCCCCAGGCCCCACAGCCAGCCCTCAGGATACTGTGTGAGGAAACATTTAGTGCAGTCAGAAAGGATACAGGACAAGGAGCACTGTCCCTCTTCCACTTCTCTCTTTCTTAGACAGGAAAAAACATTCGACAACCATTGCCATTCTAGCCTTAAGGGGAGAGAAATAAACCCACTGACAAGCAAAAAGATACTATGTCCAAACTGGCTTTTGGTTATTATAAAGTTACTCTAGGTATTTTGGCCTTTAAAAAATATTGTAATTATGAGTCCAAACTTATATTTTAAGTAAGGCCAAACCCCCTTCCCTGTCCCACAATAGACCATAATATATGAAGGCCACTCCCCCCTGAAAATGGCATGATTGGAGATGGTTAGGAGGATGTCAGAGGCCAAGCCAAAGTGGCATTTCTCTACCTCTCATGGAAATGGTTATTCTGCTCCCTTGCAAGTGTTAGAGTGCTTTACCGTAGTAATAATGCATGAAATGGTATTCTAAGTGGCGTTAAATAGTTAATAAACCTCTCTAAGCACCTAACTTTCTTCTGGGGAGGGATTCAGACACGGGGGATAATGGGACCTATAGCTTATTATCTGTACCACACAGACTCCAGATAACCAATGGGAGCTCAATATCTAACCCCTTTATAGTATCACTGCAAATTGGAATGCATTGAGCATCACCATCTCTAAACTCCTAGTCAAAATTGAAGCTGTGTCTAATCAACTGGAACGACAAGACCATTGAGCAATAGAATCTGTCACTTTGGATCACCATGACCTGTCTACTCAATCCAGATGGATGTGCCTCAAGTCCCTGACCACTCGGAGAGTGATGCGCTGTGAAGATGGTGTGGTGGCCAGCTCAGTGATGTCTCAGGCTGGTCGTTTCATTGCAAAGACGCCTGACCTTGAATCAAGCCATTTATTCTTAATGTCTGGCAAACAGTGTTCAAATTTTTAAGTATTTGAATCTTTAACCGATGGCTCTCTTCCCCTCCAAATTATATGCCAGAGAAAAAAGAATTATGTCTTAGAAATAATGTTCATCTGTCCCAAGTGCTATGAAGTTAACGCCTTTACGTGAAGGTTTGCGTAAGGGGAAGAGGGAAGTGCTTTTGTCCATTCCACAGACTTACACAGCTGTCCTGGATAAATCGGCCCTAAATGACCTTTGCCAGAGCCATGGCTTTTTATTCCAGTCTCCATTATCTATTGTCTATTTGTCCAGTTTTGCTAGTGGGTGACAGAATGGAAGGGGAGTGAGATTCTGAGAGACTAAAAGTCTTACGTTCTGCCAAGCATCCTGGCTTCATGGGTCTGGCTGCTTGTGCCAGTCGATTTTATTGACATTATTGTTTGTCCCAGTTTCAGTATGTAATTGGCTAATTTTTTATCTGTGACTGCGAGTCATTTGTTTCTCTTTGATGTTAACTGTATGAAAAGCAGCTGAAAGGAGAGTTCTGTGTTTCTTCTCTAACAGGAAGCATGCTTGAAAGTCACAATAGAGGAAAATGAGAAAATCTGATTCGTCAAAGGTACCTTTGGAAGATAAATGACAGTCATTGATTGTGCTAGAAGATTCGATTTCCAAATGATTCCCAATGCTCAGAAGTGTAGCACAGCACTAACTCCATTCAACATCTCATAGCAGATCAGCAAATGATCAGCTTTCAAACAATAACAAACTCTGATAAGAATATCTGTGAAAAAGGTGACTCGAAGCTCATCCTTCTTGACTCAAAAACTATCTCTTACTTTTTGTTCACTGAAGGTCTATTCTGATTTAGGAAATATCCAGATGAGGTGTGCCAGTGTGCAAAACATATGACAATTTTAAACTTTACCTAGGGATGAATTGGTGTCACTGAAAACCAATATTTCAGAGACCACAAACACACATAAAAACCTGGAGAAACTTGCAACTAGACTGCTTGAAAGATACTTGTCTTTTATTGTTCATTTGTTTGCCTTAAAAATTTTTACCACCTATAGGATACAACTCTAGAATATGACCCTTTGACTTTTAATATTTGCTATGATCTCCTGCTTCTTAGTTATGCATGTCTTTTCCTGAAGTCTCCCTACCAATACCCTAAGAAGTATCCTGTAAAGATAGTTTCTCCATTCCCCAAGCAATCACACTGGGAAATTTTCAATTAGGAAAACAGTGATTGGAGATTGAAGTCTGCAAGTCTATGGAATTCTTTTGAAAATATCTAAACCCAGTCATAATACTTTTCATGTCTTAGATGTAGAAACTTATTATGAGTTGAAGAATATATCAATGCTTTAGGGGAAATTTACAGTAATGGAATAACAGCTGGTGCAGTATATGAGGACCAAGATGGCCATATACAACCACACAGTTGAGAGAAGTCCTGTTTTCGTTTTCATGAATGATCAGACTTTCACCTAATTATCATATCTAGCCTATTTTTGTTAGTGTTCACATGGTAGATTGAGTGCTTGATTGACTAATGATTTACACTATGCAACTGCTAAAGATCATGATAGTAGCAATTCAGAAGCATATCAGTGCAATTTGTTTATTGTGCTAAATCAATCAAAATATTGTTCCCAGGTTTCCTTTAATGGTTTTACTGAAACAACTTTACATACTCTGCCATTAGCCATCCAACCGACACTTTCCCTTTTGAAGCTACAAAAGAATTTTAAATTTAGGGTTTGGGTAGAGGTGTATGGAGTCACACATATAAGAATCCATTCTTGTTTTCAATAAGGCATTTCTATTAGCTTTGTTCTGTAGATGATTTCTGTAGATTTGATCTAATAGATCTAAATTCTATTAGATTTGTTTCTGTAGATGTGATATTACTTTGAAATGGAAAGTAGCTCTGTGAGGGATCACAGTGTGTTTGGCTAGGCTAGACCTAGGACTCAGATATTTCTGATCAATAGAATTAGTAAGGAATACCTTTTATCCTAATATATATGTACCCCCTGATTACATAAGAGCTCAAGAGACTCCTAGGGGCATTATGAGCAAAAACACACTGTGGGAAAGAGATATTAATCAGTCACAAAAATGAGTTTATAATTAAAAACTATAATTAGCGCCATTACCGAGTGAATTACAGAGGGTCAAGAAAGACTTTCTGGATAAATGATGTTTAATTAACAGCTAAAGAAGATATAGGAATAATTGGTTGAAGAGGTACAGTTTGAGGATAGAGGTATGTGAGCAGAAGAAAGAAATTATGTGAGCAAAGGCCTTATAGTAGGAAGGGAGTATACAGCATTTAAAAATGTGGAGAAGTCTACTGTGCTCTCCAGGACTAGGAGAGGATGACAAAGATGGAGACTCATGGGGCAGGCTCAAGATATCTGGGAGACAGAATATACAGGTTTGGTGAGGGACATCATATGGTAGGAAGGTAGGTGAGGCAGATCATTCCCAGCTTTCTCACTTGCATAACTAGATGGCTGTGATATTTAATGGGCTACAGAACCCTGAAAGAGGACTAATTTTGGAGGGAGTATGAATTTGTTCTGGGATAAGTTAAACTTGAGATGTTCATGAGGCATCCAAGAGAAGATGCCATGTAGGTAATGGCCTGTATGGTTTAGAACCGAAAGACAAGATATGGGCTATAGATATGTATTTTGATATGACTGGCACATGACTAGTAATTAATGGTTTAGAACCCAAAGACAAGATACGGACTATAGATACATATTTTGATATGACTGGCACATGACTAGTAATTAAAGTAGAGGACATGAATAAGTTTCTTAGGAAGAATATAGAGAATTAAAAGAAAAGAGGGCTAAGGTTCAATCTTGAAGAACTCAAATATTAATGGTCAGCAGAGTGAAATATTCAAGAAAAGGCTTTAGACAAAGAAACTGAATAGCTAGAAGGAATATAAGAAGGGTGTGCTATCACAAGGACCAAAGAATAAGAGAGCTTCAAGAAAAAGGAGTATGGACGACAGTGGAAGGATTGCCAATAGATGAAATACAAAGGGCATTGAAAAAATATCCATTGTACTTGGTGACCTGGAGGCCATTATCAGAACTGCTCTCTAAGCCAAAGGGGTCAGAAACCAGCCTGGGACAGGTGGAGGAAAGGGACAGGAAGTAGGGAAACAGAAACCTCAGGTAGAGAAAACCTTGTCAACTTGTAAACCCTTGTGGGGATTCCTAGGAATAATTAAGGAAGGAGACTCTGTAAAAGTGTCAAAAGCTAGTGAAAACTTAGACTGGTGAGAACTAGGTGTGAATGATGATATTAATTGTATCTGTACTGACTTCTTGTTGAAGCTCGATTAGTATTCCACAAAAGCCAATAAGCCTTAAACGAGGGGCCCCTAACCCCTGGGCCAAGGATGGGTATTAGTCTGTGGCCTGTTAGGAACGAGGCCGCACACCAGGAGGTGAGCAGCAGGCAAGCAAGCCTTACTGGCTGAGCTCCACCTCCTATCCGATCAGCGGTGGCATTAGATTCTCATAGGAACATGAACCCTATTGTGAACTGCACATGCAAGGGACCTAGGTTGAATGCTCCTTATGAGAACCTAATGCCTGATGATCTGAGGTGGAACAATTTTATCCTGAAGCCACCCCCCACCCCCACTTCCAGGGAAAAATTATCTTCCACAAAACCAGTCCCTGGTCCCCAAAAGGCTGGGGACTGCTGCCTTAAACAATTAACCAAAATATGATCAGATCACATTTTGTCATCTTAAAAACAAAATTAAGTCATAGAGCACAGCAAACTAATTGATTACTTGGCACTTGGCCTATAAATAATTGATCCAGGCAAACATATAGTTTTGGCTCTGAGTTGCCTCCCTCATAAGCACAGATATCCATCCACACATGGAGGCATTTAATCCTGGCTAACATATAAGAAGGTAAAAAAAAAAAAGAGGTGTCTTTGTGAGAAGGGTGCCCACAGTGGCTGGCAAGTAAAACAAATGATTAAAAAGCAAGCAACTGTGGAAAATTAGAGGTAGTGTGGCCCCTCCAGTTGGGGCAGCTGCTACTCTGTTTGAGCTGATTATATTCATGGGAGATGCCAGATATCCAGAGTTCTATGTGAAATCTGCTAATAGACATAATATCATGTCAACATTTGAAAGGTATTTCTAGCCTATGGCCTGCCAATTTGTGACTTCTGTTGTAGAACTACAAACTTAAATTTAGTGGATGTTTTACAAGCACTTGCTAACTGCAAATGCCTATACAGGCTCATGGAGAAGTAGAGATGTCATGGCCCAGATCTCCGGAGGTCATTACCAAGCAGAGAGGCATCTCTACTTCTCCATGAGCCTGTATAGCCATTTGCAGATAGCAAGTGCTTGTAAAACCTTTAAAATGGAATGAGCAGTTAATTTTGGCTGGAGAGAGGGCCATCACAAGACTTTATGAAGGTGACACTTGTACTGGGCTTTGAAGAATTTCAGTGGAGAGGAAGGGAATCAGAGGAATAAATAATTTCTCAGCAGTACACCAAATCTTCTGTTACAGTATGTAGTGTAACCTTCAGAATCAAAACAAATGCCAGCACAAGGCACAACTTTTCTAGGTTCAAAAAGCTTTGTTTTGACATGCTAACAGCCCCAGTGCAGATAGAATCACTCTATTAAAGAGGTGATTACTTAGCAAATGACACCATCTGGTAATTTGCTTGTTGCTCTTAATGGTAAGAGTAGCAACCAACACATGCATTGCTTTATAGTTTACCTACAGCTTTTACCCCATCTCATTCAAGGGTGCAATTTAGCCAAGACGCTCCCAAGCCTGGATGGCGATCTGGTGTCATTTTCAATGCCATGCAGGGACTCCTTGTAAACAGTCCCAGGGCTAGTCTAGTTCTGTTGTCTTTGGACACTGTCTAGATCCTTTCCATGGAAGAGGCCAGGCATTTTTGCACTCATTGAAGATATTCTTTCCATATTCAAGTAAAATATAGTGTGTTGTGGGGGAGGGGAGGAACCCACCCTAGTTCAGGTTCACAGGAACAACATATTCTCATTGGCCCTGAATCTCGGAGCCTCCATCTCACTCCTGTGACAGAATGTTAGCCTGTGAATTCCCTGAGTCATGCAGAGGGCAGTGTTAAGTGGGACAACTCAGGGATAACATAGTTCTTGTCCTGCTATCCTGCCTTCTTCACCTCTGTGGTAGCTTCTGTCCCACAGGGTCAATTCCTGACAGGCATAGCTATGTGCAGGCCCTTCTCAGGGTTTTTTGAAGAATATTGCAAGAAGGCTTTTCCAGAGGAAAAATGCTTATTTCTTCATTCTAGTGGCTACAAGAACCTACCAGGAAGGAAACAGCAGGAGCACCTTGGGTTCAAAGTACCTGCTTCTTGTGTTTCATCATGATGGCAGAAACAGTTTGGTTTAAAAAAACAAAATTGGGACCAGTACCAGTGGCTCATGACTATAATCACAGCAGTTTGGGAGGTCAAGGCAGGAGACCTGCTTGAGGTCAAAAGTCTGATACCAGCCTAGGCAACATAGCAAGACCTTATCCCTACAAAAATACAAAAATTAGCTGTGCACAGTGGTGCACATCTGTAGTCTCAGCTACTGAGGAGACTAAGTGGGGAGGATCAATTGAGCCTAGGAGTTCAAGGCTGCAATGAACTATGATCCTGATACTGGACTCCAGCCTGGGTGAAGAAGTAAAACCCTCTTTCTAAAAACAAACAATAAAAATATAGACATTGAAAGGTGGTCTTTTCACACAGAATGGAAGCAGAATGGTGATTCTTAGCAGCAACTTTAATAACATCTGAAATCAAGCCTCCTTGCCCTCAGTCCCCACCCCTTACCTCAATGGTTCTCAAATATTCAAACATTTCTGTGCCCAAAACAGCCACCTAAGCATTGTAATAAATGCAAACTCCTGAGAACCAGTCCAAAGAGACTGCCTCACATGGTCTAACATGAGCCTCTAAAATCTGAATTTCTAATGGGAATTTCAGATCATTCTGAATCAGGTGACACTTGACTGTGAGAACCACTGGTGAGAACCACCTATTTTTCCAATCACTTCCCACTGCTAAGATTTATTCAGCACCATGAACTGGTAGAAATGAAGTAAACCTATCAGAAGAGTGACAGGTGTAGAGTCTCTTGTGCCCAGGGGCTCCCATTCAATGTGAATTGTATTTTATAATATACCAAGAGCCCCCAAACACAGAAGTGACCTGGACCTCTCTCAGCATCTGTAGAGGAAGCATTTTAGAAAAGCGGAAAATAAAAGGTAAACTTTCAAAACTGTTGCTTTGTAGAATTTTAAATATGCACCACTAAACTAGAGTCATTTATTTTGTCTTAGAGTCTCAGGCTTAGCATGGCTGAATTGCTTCCCGATTGTACCATAGTACAATAGGAATTTATCTACCTTAAGATGAGGAAAATAACTTTTCACTCTCAAAAGCTGAGCCAGAAGAAAGGCCTTTCTCTAGTGATCACTAAGCTGAGCTGTCTCTGGACAGATTGTAATAAAACATTCATTCAGTTGGAAGCTCTAGAACATTTGCTTACGCTTGCTGCATGTTTACCATCTATTTATGCTCTCTCCCTCTCTCTTTTCTCTTGCCTTCTCTCTCTCTGTCTCTGTCTCTCTCTCTCTCACACACACACAGAAACACACACACACACAGAAACAACAACTAATCTTTCAATTGATATAGTTGGTGCATCAATGATATGAGCCATTTCCTGCTGCTGATCCCATGACTTCCAGAATTCTAGAGGGCAACTCATTCCACTATGTTTTCTTAGCAAATTCCACAGGGGGACACCCATGATGGGTATTTAGCAGAGCTGCATAGGTAATGGGATGCTGGGCAATTTTTGTCAAACTAGTTGTTTTTGGTTGACTTATCTGTAATACTGAGGGAGCTACACAATGTTATCTGTTTGTAAATAATTGGAAATACTTCCTGAGCTTGCAGGGGAAAATGCTTTATGGCTAAATGGTGTCGATTCCCCTGGTAGTTTAGGTATAAATCTCCTTGCTGACCTCAAACTGATATCTACCTTTTCTCATCCTTTTTTTTCTCCCTAGAGGGGGAAAAGCAAATAAACGAAACCACACTTGTTACAACACAATAGTTTGTTAAGAGTGAGCTAGAATAGCTGGTGATTAGTGTTGTTTTAATCAAATAGGATGCAAAGATGAAACCAATGGGAGGTTATTTACCTGCAAAGGAAATAAATTTAGAGGAAGAGATTAGTACAAAGGGGAGAGATTTTTGTATTGTGGTTCGGTAAGAGCTGTTTTTTAGGATTATACCCAATTTTGGAGACCAAGGGTATTTAGACAATTTTTAAAAATTTAATTCCTGGGGTCAATTAAAATAACAATCCTTTGCATTTGTGTTATGCTTTACAATTTACAGAATGTCTTAAGGTAGTTAAGTTTCAAGTTTTTCTTTCTCAGTATCCTACCTTCATGCATCAAAGTGGGTGGCCTTTATCCCATTAACGGCAATTACGTAAGACAGATGTCCCTAGATGAAATCTTACAGTTCTTTTAAATGAGTTTCTGTAGAAAACAGTATCTTAAAAATATTTGTTAATTTTAATTAAAATACTTTCTTTATATTGGTGTACATTTTCCATTGTGCAAATTTTAAAAATCTGCCACTCAAAAACTATATCTGGCTACATTTTGAGCCCAAACCAGTGAAGACAGAAATAAAGCCTAACTTTTCAGAAGCCCTCTGCTTCCTTGTAACTCTGAGGGACAGGTAGTGGAAATTATGAGCACACTGGTAATTTCCAATCTGGGGAAGGGAATTGGCATTGGAACATGCATCTATTAACCACGAAATGGACGTGACTCACAGTGTTAAGTAACAGCAAATTCCACAGAGGGACACCCATGGTAAGTTCTTAGCAGAGTTGCATAGTTAATGGGATGCTGGGCAATTGGATGTTAGAAAAAGGAGCCTCCTGTGACAGAGCCTCAACGCAAAGGGATGGATCCCTTTGTGTACATTCTGTGTGATGCAGTTGCTTTCCAGGACTGAGGGGGTCAGAGGATCCTGGTAGCCCAGAGTGGCACGGGGTGGGGAGTGGGGTGGAGAGGTGAAGAAAAGCAGCAGCCCACTGGTTTTTGGGACCCCAAATAGGAGTGTGTTTTCTGTGAAAAAAAATGAAAATTAATATTGTTATAGGTAGTTAGCCATGAGTGGGGCAGGAGAGAGCTCTCCCCTGACCCACTAGAAATGTTGGGTGATGGTTCGGCAATTATTGCATTGCCGCTCTAAAAGTGATAAATTGGAAGCCAATGCCAGGGAGAGGCCATTTCCTGAAGGTCTACACCTGTTAACATGTTAATTAAAGGCAGATCCCAGGGAGAAGCAACTTCCTGGGGGTGCACATTAAGAGATAAAAATGGTGAAGTATGATCTTCCGGGTACACTCCACCAGAAAAAGGAAGGAAGCCTCAGATGGGCATGCGTAAAATTCCCTAAACACACTGTGTGTGCTCAATTCCCAGGGGTAAAGAGGGCACCGCGCATGTGGAAAGCCCTAAGGAGAGAATCATGGGGGAAAAGGCGAGCCTATACAATCCCAGAATCAAGGCTAAAGCCACTTCTTTCCTCTCTTTGACCTTCAGGTGCCCACTAGGCTCTCTTCCAAGGGTTCTTTCCTTTCTTTCCTGTTATAAAGCCTTTTAATAAACTTCCACTCCTGCTCTGAAACTTGCCTCTGTCTCTTTTTCTGTCTTATGCCCATCAGTCGAATTCTTTCTTCTGAGGAGGCAAGGACTGAATTTGCTGCGGGTAACTCGGGGTAACTCGAATCTCTGCCACTGCTAAGTATATGAGGTTTCGTAAAAATTCAAAATAAGCGATAAGAAGTAAATAAGATAGAACTGGGATCACGAAAGGAGAAATCAGATCTAGACGTAAGTGTATTTTGCTGAGGTCACCCATGCTCTTCATTCAGAGAAAATTAGCTTTAAAATCACAATGTCAAGAGTTCATAGAAATCCATTTCCCAACACTCTCTGCCCATGTTTCTCTGTCTCGTTCTGGTACCACAGGTTGGCAGTCAACTCAAGGCAGGCAGTTATGGTGGCAGACACATTCCAGATGGAAAGATCATTTTGTTTCTAGACACTGTAACAAAGGCTTTGGCAGTTGGTGAGCAACCCTCCTGCTGGGAGCAGGTGTCTTCCCTTTGACAAGATTGCATTTTATACAGAAGAGCTTGAAATGGACTGTAACTGGTATCAGGTTGAACAAGTCAGGATTTTGAAAAGGCTTGGCTAACCAGCTTGAGATGAGGAACAATGACATGGGAAACGAATTACTTGTTTGCTAATGTCACAATAATTCAGCCATTCATCTTGAGTGGAGCATGCAGCATTAACTGTCCTCACTACCAGCCTCATGTTCTAGTCACTAAAGGCTCAATGGAAATTGTTGGCTGGGAGGACGCTGAGATAGACACATGCACGTGCACACACACACACACACACACACACACAGCCCCACACCAAAACATACAATACTGTCCTCAGGATCGGAAATTTTGGAAAATAATTCCATCATGTTAGCTAGTATTTTCCCTTGGTGGACTATACCAGATCTCTAAAATATGAGTTTATTCCCTTTGAGTTAATGTTTTCTGCAAACAATTTGACACTATAAAATATCTTTAGAATAACTACTCAAACACCCAATGTATTAGTCCATTTTCACACTGCTATAAAGATACTACCTGAGACTGGGTAATTTATAAAGGAAAGAAATGTAATTGACTCACAGTTCTGCATGGCTGCGGAGGCCTCAGGAAACTTAACAATCATGGCAGATGGCAAAGGAGAAGCAAGTACCTTCTCCACAAAGCAGCAGAAGAGAGAAAGAGAAGGGGGAAGTGCCAGACACTTATAAAAAAATCAGATCTCATGAGAACTCCCCCACTATCAGGAGAAAAGCATAGGGGAAACTACCCCCATGATCCAATCACCTCCCACCAGGTCCCTCCTTTGACATGTGGAGGTTACAATTTGGATTACAATTTGAGATGAGATCTGAGTGGGGCACAGCCAAACCATATCACCCAACAACAATAAAATGGCTAAATAGTAATAGAATCGCACAATGAATGAACAATTATAAATATATGCAGAAATATGGATGATTCTCACAAGCACAAGAATGAGCAAAAGAAGTCAGACCCCAAAAAGGGCATACTACATCATTCCATTTATAAGAAGTACACAAGAGGAGATACTAGTGTATGTGGTTGGAAGGCAGGAAATAGTTATTACTCTGGGGATTGGAGAGGATAGTCCAGTGACTGAGGGGCCAGAGAAGGTGCTAATAATGTATGGTTTCTTGATGTAGGGTTGCTTACATGAATGCATCCAGTTTGTGATGATTCATCAAACCACTTGTATGCACTTTCCTTGATGTACCTTCATTTAAAGTCAAAGTATTAAATATTCTTATCACACCAGATTTCTGATAAACAAAATCATGTTTTACTTTTTTTTTTTGAAATTTGGGATACTCATCTGCTGAACTGCAGTAAAAGGATAAATTAGACTTTAGATATTGTTCTTTATGTGTGATGGCTTTGTCCGTGGTTTAGAGAGTCTTGGATTATGAACAGACTTGAGACATGAGGCATCTGAATTAAGCAATGAGTGTCTTATGGGTTAACTTCAAACATATGTTTTCAATTCCTTCCCCAATCAAATTCTAACCATGACCTATTTTGGGTTAACATTAAACTGGAAATGCATTCTACTGCTGTCTCATGTTGAATGTAAAATCCTGCCTGGTGTAAAAAAATAAATTATGTTTTTAAAGTATGTACGTGAGCTTTGGGGACAAAGTTAAATTGAACCCTCTTTTTCCCTAGATTCTTTTACTTTCTCTTGCATACATATTGATCTACCAGATCTTTTTCCCACTCCGTAGATTGTAAGTTGCTGCTATAACTTGACTTTTATTAAGTAGTGAGTTGTATCACAAAGCACGTGGTGGTAATGAACTTAGACGCATGTTGGCAGTGTTGATGTTGTATCCCAGCTCTTCCACTCTCTTACTGGGATCTTAGGCAAATCATTTCCTCTCTTGGAGTCCTCAGTTTCTTCATTGGTAGAATGAGCCATTTGATCTGAATAATCTCTTAAAGATTCATGGATTAACACAAATAAATAGACAAAGGTTTGACAAAGCTTTATACACTATTGTAAAAATACCCCCCAGAGCTAAAAATTAAAACAACTGAACCTGTGGAGATAGAGAGTAGAAGGATGGTTTCCAGAGTCTGGGAAGGGTAGTGGGAGGTTGGTGGGGGGGATGTGGGGATGGTTATTGGGTACAAAAAATAATTAGAAATTATGAATAAAGTCCAGTACTTAATAGCACAACAGGGTGATTATAGTCAATAATAATTTAATGGTATATTTAAAAATAACTAAAGGAGTATAATTGAGTTGTTTGTAACACAAAGGATAAATTCTTGAGGTGATGAATACCCCATTTATCCTGATGTGATTATTATACACTGCATGCCTGTATCAAAAGATCTTATATACCCCATAAATATATATATATACCTACTACTTACGCATAAAAAATAAAAATAATTTTAAAAATCCCACCAGAAGGGTTTCTACTGGGTGATTTTAAGGGGGATAGGGGGTATGGGTAGAGGGGCAGAAAGGCCCTAAAGGTTTACTGGGTTATGGCAAAGAGTTTCCTCACTTATCCCAGAATAAAAATTATTTCAAATAGCATTGGAATGGTAGTGGAAAGTTCAGAAGTTATGACTAGGTTTTTCTCAGACATCAATTCTACCTTTATCCTTGGGTATTACTTTTTGTTGTCCTTACTTAAAACATGGAGTTCTAATAAACAGAAAAGAAAATAACCCCCAGAATGGAATATGTCAAACTAGAGTGACATTTGTCATTCAAAGCCAAGGAAGTAAATCTTAACTGAAGCTCAGGAACTGTGTAATTATAGTGAATCTTCCCCATCAGCTTGTAACTGGGATTCTAGTATCAGGAGAAGCCATATTCCCATCCCCCAGAGGAGGAGCGGTTATGAATTTCTGGCATGTTTGGGGTTCAGAGAATGTTCTCAACCAGAGTAGATACCAAACTGAGCAATACTATGTCACAAAGGGGCCGTTTTCAGCACTGTAAAATTTCCTTATTTCTTCTACAACTTAGAGCTGGTGTTAAGGTATAAGGTTATCAGAAAAGAGGATTTAAGTCCTTCTGGGCACATAATTCCAGCATAACATGAAAAATGTCAAGTTTGGGATGGGAGAAGAGCTGCCAAGTCAGATTAGTTCAATTCTTTTCTACCTGGCAACTGTTGACAATTGGCTGCTGTTTGTCATAGATTCATGGAGAACTGAAAAACAAACAAGCAAAGAAACAAAAAACAGTCTTTCTGAACTAAATGCCTCAAGCTTCAGGTCATTTTAAAAGGAAAAGGCTATTTTAATCACCCTGTTTGGAGTTCGGCCCTCTGAAGGCCATTTTAAGGTATCCCATTTAGGCTGTTTATTTCAGTAAAAAAAAAAAAAAAAAAAAAGCTGAGGGTAACCAGCTCTTTGATAGCATGTCTATGAGATTTGTCTCTTGACTTCCTTAAAGCTGTCTTTTCTGAGTTAGAAATACTCTCCAGAAGAATTGCCTGTGAAATCATTGGAATCGACCCAGAATCCTCTTCTGGCACATGACCTCACAGAATCTCCTTAAGGCATCTTTTCTGATAGCTGAAGGGAAAGCAACTGAATAGATGGCTTGGACTGCCCTGGGTTGTTATAGTTGCTTTAAAAAAAAAATTTGTCAGATTAGAACCTTGCATGGCCCACTAATGAAACTTACAAAGCTTAATAGGAGAAGATGATTTACCTTATCCAAGTTACAACAGCTCATTCAGAGGGTTTTTTGGACAGGGGCAGAAAGACTTTTACTGGTTTATACCTAGGTGAATTAAGTCAATTATTCCTGTCAAAAGAAAAACTTTAGACAAAATAAACTTAACAGGGTTTATTTGAGCAAACAACAATTCATGAATGGAGCATCGCTCAATCGGAAATAGGTTTAGAGAACTCCACTGCAGAATAGGTTTAGAGAACTACCCACAGCCTGGGTAGCTGGGAACTTGTAAATGCAAAAGGAGATGCTGTCTGGCCCTCAAAACATATCCTTCTCTTACTAGTTCTATAATAAATGTATAATTCATTCAGAAATGAATTATACATTTGAACATTGCTACCTGAGCTAATCTCACTCAAACTAATTTCAGATACAGGGTCCAAAGATATCCCATATTGTTGATAGTACAAATGGTACATTACTAAAAGGGTAGATGGTGTCTGTGTTGGAGAAGAGATGATATAACTGATGCCTTTATTCCTGTTTAGAGGAAAAAAGACTAAGGAAAACTGAATAGAATTTGAGTCATGTAAGTATGCATAAATATTCAAAGGGCAGTGCTAAGTACCATTGGGGATTATCTATTACTAAAATATTGACATGCAGATGAACCTTGACTTATGATAGGGTAACTTCCCAATAAACCCATCAGAAGTTGAAAATATTATAAGCTGAAAATGTATTTAATGCATCTAACCTATGGAACAGCATAGCTTAGCCTAGCCTAACTTAAACACGCTTAGAGCACTTACATAAACCTACAGTTGGGCAAAATCATCTAACACAAAGCCTGTTTTATAACAAAGTGTTGAATACCTCATGGAATTTATTGGACACTGTACTGAAAGTGAAAAACAGAATGGTTGTATGGGTATTCAAAGTATGGTTTTTATTGAATGGGTTTCCCTTTCACACAATCTTAAAGTTAAAACCTCATGTCAATCTCCTCCAGGTTTTGGTATCAGGATGATGCTGGCCTCATAAAATGAGTTAGGTAGGCGTCCCTCTTTTTCTATTGTTTGGAATAGTTTCAGAAGGAATGGTACCAGCTCCTCTTTGTACCTCCGGTAGAATTCGGCTGTGAATCCATCTGGTTCTGGACTTTTTTTGGTTGGTAGGGTATTAATTACTGCCTCAATTTCAGAACTTGTTATTGGTCTATTCAGGAATTTGACTTCTTCCTGGTTTAGTCTTGGGAGGGTGTATGTGTCCAGGAATTTTTCCATTTCTTCTAGATTTTCTAGTTTATTTGTGTAGAGGTGTTTATAATATTCTCTGATGGTAGTTTGTATTTCGGTGGGATCAGTGGTGATATCCCCTTTATCATTTTTTATTGTGTCTATTTGATTCTTCTCTCTTTTCTTCTTTATTAGCATGGCTAGTGGTCTACCTATTTTATTAATCTTCTCAAAAAACCAGCTCCTGGATTCACTGATTTTTTGAAGGGTATTTCATGTCTCTATCTCCTTCAGTTCTGCTCTGATCTTAGTTATTTCTTTTTTTTTTTTTTTTTTTTTTTGAGATGGAGTCTCGCTCTGTTGCCCAGGCTGGAGCACAGTGGCACGATCTCAGCTCACTGCAACCTCTACCTCCTGGGTTCACGCCATTCTCCTGCCTCAGCCTCCCGAGTAGCTGGGACTACAGGCACCCACCACCACGCCTGGCCAATTTTTTTTGTATTTTTAGTAGAGATGGGGTTTCATCATGTTAGCCAGGATGGTCTTGATCTCCTGACCTCGTGATCCGCCCGCCTCAGTCTCCCAAAGTGTTGGGATTACAGGCATGAGCCACTGTGCCAGGCCAGTTATTTCTTGTCTTCTGCTAGCTTTTGAATTTGTCTGCTCTTGCTTCTTTAGTTCCTTTAATTGTGATGTTAGGGTATAGATTTAGATCTTTCCTGCTTTCTCCATTTAGTGCTATACATTTCCCTCTAAACACTGCTTTTGCTTTAGCTGTGTCCAGAGATTCTGGTATATTGTGTCTTTGCTCTCAGGCCAATATCCCTGATGAACATTGATGCAAAATCCTCAACAAAATACTGGCAAACCAAATCCAGCAGCACATAAAAAAGCTTATCCACCACGATCAAGTCAGCTTCATCCCTGGGATGCAAGGCTGATTCAACATATGCAAATCAATAAATGTAATCCATCACATAAACAGAACCAATGACAAAAACCACATGATTATCTCAATAGCTGCAGAAAAGCCCTTTGATAAAATTCAACACCCCTTCATGCTAAAAACTCTCAATAAACTAAGTATTAATGGAAAGTATCTCAAAATAATAAGAGCTATTTTTGACAAACCCACAGCCAATATCATACTGAATGGGCAAAAGCTGGAAGCATTCCATTTGAAAACAGGCACAAGACAAGGATGCCCTCTCTCATCACTCCTATTCAACACAGTATTGGAAATTCTGGCTGGGGCAATCAGTCAAGAGAAAGCAATAAAGGGTATTCAAATAGGAAGAAAGGAAGTCAAATTGTCTCTGTTTGCAGATGACATGATTGTATATTTAGAAAACTCCATCATCTCAGCCCAAAATCTCCTTAAACTGATAAGCAACTTTAGCAAAGTCTCAGGATACAAAATCAATGTGCAAAAATTACAAACATTCAGATACACCAATAATAGACAAACAGAGAGCCAAATGATGAGTGAACTCCCATTCACAATTGCTACAAAGAGAATAAAATACCTAGGAATGCAACTTACAAGGGATGTGAAGGACCCCTTCAAGGAGAACTACAAACCACTGCTCAACGAAATAAGAGAGGACCCAAACAAATGGAAAAACATTCCATGCTCATGAATAGGAAGAATCAATATCATGAAAATGGCCATAATGCCCAAAGTAATTTATAGATTCAATGCTATCCCCATCGAGATACAATTGACTTTCTTCAGAGAATTGGAAAAAAACTACTTTAAATTTCATATGGAACCAAAAAAGAGTCTGCATAGCCAAGACAATCCTAAGCAAATGATAGACTGGATAAAGAAAATGTGGCACATATACAACACTGAATACTATGCAGCCATAAAAAAGGATGAGTCCTTTGCAGGGACATGGATGAAGCTAGAAACCATCATTTTCAGAAAACTAACACAGGAACAGAAAACCAAACACCGCATGTTCTCACTCATAAGTGGGAGTTGAACAATGAGAATGCATGGGCACAGGGAGGGGAACATCACAAACCAGGGCCTGTTGGGGAGTGGGGGCTAGGGAGGGATAGCATTAGAAGAAATGCCTAATGTAGATGATGGGTTGATGGGTGCGGCAAACCACCATGGCACGTGTATACCTATGTAACAAACCTACACGTTCTGCACATGTATCCCAGAACTTAAAGTATAATAATAAAAATAAAATGGTCATGCTAAATGCAATGAAGTGTCTTGGATCAGATCTTGGAACAGATAAAGGATACTAGTAGAGAAAGAGTGGTAAAATCTGTAGTTTAGATAATAGAAATGTATTGATGTTAATTTCTTGGTTTTGACAAATGTACTGTGGTATATGAGATGATAGCATTTGGGGAAAGTGGGTAAAGGGTATGCAGAAATTTTCTGGGGTATCTTTGTGATTTTTCTGTAAATCTAAAATTGTTCCAAAGTAAAGTTTATTTTAAAAATTGAAAAAAAAATTCCTGTCAATCATCGTAACTCAGGGGCCATCTGTACTTCCTTCTTAACACTGAAAAAAAGCCTCTCCCCTCAGCCCGAAAGTGGCTGCCTCAGCTCTTCCCTGAGGATCCCAGAACTTCCCCACATCCAGAAATTAAAGGGATTTAACTGGCACAGCAAGGAGCCTCCAGTACACAGCTGGTGCACTATCGCCTTAATCAGGCTACCTGATTAAATCAGGGATCTCCAATAAGCCATGGCCAGTGTGGATATATGGATGTGCTATCAATTAATAGCCTGGAACCAACATTGTTGTTCCTCCAATTATTAGCTAGACAACCTTGGGCAAGTAACTTAATCTTTCTGTGCCTCTGTTTCCTTATCTGTAAAATATCAATAACTCCATACAGTTGATAGTGTTTCCTTATGTGTAATATCTATAAGTATAATAGTATCTACTCCAAGGGGTTGTTGATACAATTAAATTGAGTATATGTATATAAAATTCTTAGAACAGGGCCTAGATAAGTGTTGGGGATGATGATGATGAGGAGGATGATGATGAAAATGATGACTGATCTAGACATGAGCATGGTCACGTGTCCATGAGGCAAATCTCTGATGATGTGGAGTGTTTGATACTGAAAGGTGAAAACTAACCTGGTCATATCATCTCTTTTGGGGATTATGATTATTGATTTGCACTGAGATGACTCATTATTTCAGTCTGAGCAATAATTCAAACACTGGTGAGCTACCATTCCTATTATCCATGAGGCATGGTGCATATACCACAGGGTATAATAATAAACTCCCATCATCAAAAGCAGTCTGGGTTTTTCTCCTTTGTGCTGCCTGAAAGAGCATAAATAATACAACTAGAAGGACAGTTCTGATCACCAACTCACATATCTATATGCAAAGTGCTTATTATAGGAATCTTTCAAGAGAACATAAATCCCTAGGGCAGTGGTTGTTGCCCTTTCAAATGAGGTCTACTGGTCTCAGGGTCCCCCAGACTACCTGCTGACCAGCCAAGTGTGGCATTTTTGGCCTATATGAAGTCCATGGCCAGTCTAAGATTTAAAAAAGAAGAAGTAAGAAGTTGGGGATGGGGGAAGAAAGAAGTTTTGTATCTTGTATGTCTAGAGTAATTCTTCCCAGCAAAGAGTGAGTTCTCTGGATGGATTCAAAGCGAAGTCTTAACTATTTTTACTGTTTTAAGTGGAAAGTATGCCTTACAAAGGACTGTAAGATCCTTTGAGATTAAGGTAAGAAATATTGTCCACAGGTTAGGAGAACAGGGAATACAAAAGTATGGATGAATAAAAGTACATCTGCTGGGCTAACCTAGGCCCACTCTGAATTTTCATCTTTTCTCTATTTCCTCCTCTCCCCATCCCTCCCATTTTATTTTCCTCCCAGTGCACCACTGGGAGACAGAAGCCTAAAGTGAAGTAGCAGGAAATGACTAACCGTGATTGGAGTGGGTCAGAGGGCATTACCCTTGGGATTGGAGACAATTGAAGCAAACACCTGCTCCCACGACAATGCCTCTATGGACTTGGCCCACTTCATCTGCTGTGACAAGCATCTTCACAACAGATGAAGCAGGAACTTCATCGCAAATAAGTCCATGTAGCCCCCAAACTGGAGAACGCTATCATAGAAAAATCAAAGTGTGTTTTATGGTTCTGAGCCATCATAGACAGCCAGGTAGGGAAAATACCAGTAGGGAATAAAGGCCATAGGGAATAAAAATGTATGTCATTGAGACATTCTACCTACATGGCATTTCCCTTCTCTAGTCATATTCCTCAGTGGCAGTAAGATTACATCTGAAGGATGGAAAACAGTGGGCTCAATGCACTCAGAATATTAATAACATATTTTCTTTGCTCTGCACCTCTATCTGTTGAGTTATTTGCCAAATTGGGGATGACATGCCTTTGCCATTTGTCTTGCTTATGTGTTTTAAGATTTCTTGACCCACAGCACTACAAAGAGAAAACAAGTTCACTTTTGGTGTGAATGAGAATTATATTTATAATTTTCTAAATTATATTAACTGAATAGTCTAACAGTAAGAGTTTGAATGGGAGAAAAATGCAGTTACACTGCTGGAATTCTAATCAAGAGACTTTCTTGAGATATACAACAAGAAAGAAAGAGTGGAGTAAGAAAGTAGTTTTGTTATGTATATGGTGAGTCCACCTTACCTCTGATTTGTGCAGAAAATGCTGACAGTGATAGAGCATTATGAGAGAGGAAGGAAATATAGTTGGCAAATTTTCTTCGATTCAATATGCAGTCTTGACAACCCTGAACAGAGTATTGAATGTTGGTCATCAAACTCAAAGCTCTGAAAAGATATAAAACTACCTGAGGGATCCTTGCCCCCAAATGTTTTGTCCATGGTGGAGTCTTTGTTTCATTAAGGGGCCAAGGGATGAGGCAAAGCTGTCAAGAGGACGTAAAGATTACCTCCAATTGCTAAGAGCAGATGGTGGCTAATGGCAAGTGTTTTTAACAGAGCTTTATTGTTCCAGGTTGAGGCATTAATACGTCTCCGTGGGGTTTTTCTGGTTTTATTTATTTTTTTTTATTTTAAAAAGTCACTTTGTAAAATGACCATGTGACATGCTTTGTAATTTTTGCTTGCACTGGCCTTCCATGTTGTATTAATATTTGTCTCTCATTTTCCTGATGTGGGGATGGCATTTGGGATCCAACCAAAAGCAGGTCTGTATTATTTTGAGCTTTCACATTAAAAAGGAAAGCATTGATTCTTCCAAATTGGAGCAAAGACTTGTCCCCCTTTCCTGAGCAATTGCAAGAGCTTTGAAATAATAGTAAATATAGCCTGTTTCCACATGCTAAAGGGGTTTGACATGACTCAATGCAAACAGTCCCAAACTTGTTTGTGCCAGCTACAACTGTTTAGTAGCCTTAGAAGAAAAGAAAGCTTCTTAACACCTTTATTTCTCTAACAAAGCAACTTCAGTCACTGCAGATTTAAATCTGATTTCGGAGTGATTATCTCTTTGTTTGATTTCTAAATCCCAAGTATTTTTTTGGACTCCATCTAGTCGTGACTAGAGCACAGGGCAGATGATTAATGCCAACACAAAAGAACACTGAAAACAGAGAGTCTGAAGCCCATTTTATACTTTCTTTGCCATCAGAGTACATCCAGTTATTGATAGAGGAAAATTATAACCGGTGAGAAACTAGCCTTCCCCCCGTCCCCCTTGCTCTTTCCAGGGATCCAGGGAGTCTTTCATACTCAGAAGCCCAGCTGTAGATATGACCAGTGGAAGTTAGGTAACAACAGCGGCGGTTAGCATTGTGTTTCCTGAATCGCTGGAAATAATTCCTGGGCACAGTCTGAAACACATTTTTAGGCTCTAGAATATTCCTTCTCCATCCCTCATGCCCCATATCAAGACATGTCTTTGTCTCTTTGTAAAACTAAATGCAGTAAACTTGAGATAAAGGATCCAACTAGCAAACATCCTTCTCTGGCTGTTATTGGATTGCTTGGAGAAAGTAGTAGGAAGGAAGGGTAGGTATCTATTGACCTTGGGGTATTTTTTCCATGTTGGCAACCACTTTCAGAGCAAGGTACTCCCAGAAAAGATATTCTGGAGCAAGCCCTTCAATCTCAAACAGGCATCTCCCCTGATGCATTGGAATTCATTGGAATTCAGACCAGCCCCCAAAAACCAGCCTCAGTGTGTCCATGACAGCTTCGCAGTTGGAAGCCTGAGATCTACGGCCACCAACTGTTTCCAGCTTTAAAGAGAAAATAACAAACAAGCAAACACAACAGAAAGAAAGATCAGGTTCCTTATTTGGCAGTTATCAGCTGCTTAGACTTGTTGTATTCACTCAGGAAAAGTTGTAGAAAAATCTCCCTCCCTTTTAAAATTATAAAGCAAACAGCTCAACCTCTTAGACTCCAATACTGCCATGGGGTAAAGGTGCCAAATAAACACATTTTCCACATCCCACCCTCCTCCCTGCAGCACCAAGTGTCTTGGACTGTGTTTGTACCTGGAGAGAAAAGGAAAAAAAATCAGGAAATTTTGTACTTTTGATGCAGCCAGGAGCCCTATTACTAATTAAACCACAGTAGCTTCTTTTTTTTGAGCATGGGATCACCAACCAGTGGGAACTTGGTACCTCCAACAGAGTTAGAAGGTTCCGTTGAAATGGGTAATAGAATTTTGCACCTCAAATAAAATCCTAGAAATAGCAGCAGCCTTCTCATCTCCTCTTTATCACTTTTTCCCCTACCTAGCCTGTCTGGGAAGAGTGAAGATATCTTAAACCCTTTCTGCCGTTGGCCTTCAAATCTTACAAGGTCCAGTTGAGCAGTGATTAAGCCAAGACCCTCAATGATTGCTATTGTATCAATTAGGATGACTTGGGCTGTAAAGGGCAAAAAAAAAAATCTTACCTTACCTGGCTTAAACAGTAAGGGCATTTGTGATCTTATATAACAAGACTCCTAGCATCAGGTGGCACTAGGATGGCTCAATAAAACACCTCAAGGATGTCGGGATCTTTATTCATTCTTTTTGCCACTATACCAACCTCAATATACTGGCCTTGTCCTTGACAAACTCCTCAAACTTGCAAGATGACATCTACAACTAGAAGCATCTTTGGCAAGAACAGCATCCAGTCGAATGAAAGGGATGTTTATTATCATGTGTCTCTCTCTCTCTCTCTCTTTTTTTTTTTTTTGAGACAGAGTTTCACTCTGTTTCCAGGCTGGAGTGCAGTGTCACGATCTCAGCTCACTGCAGTCTCCAATTCCCTGGTTCAAGCAGTTCTCCTGCCTTAGCCTCCTGAGTAGACTGGGATTACAAGCACAAGCCACCATGCCCAGCTAATTTTTATATTTTTAGTAGAGACGAGGTTTCACCATGTTGGCCAGGATGGTCTCGATCTCCTGACCTCATGATCCACCTGCCTCGGCCTCCCAAAGTGCTGGGATTACAGATGTGAGTCACCAAGCCTGGCCTTGTCTCTTTTTAAGAAAGAAGATTTATTTGCTAAAAAAAACTCCCACCAGATCCCCCCTTACTTCTTATTGGCTGTGTCACATGCCTGCTCCCAAGCCCAGTTACTTGCTAGGGCAATGGAACAACAGTGACTGACTGAGATGAATCAGGATTTTCACCAGACTATGTTGGGAGAAGGTAGAAACCTGAATTAAATCAGAGTGAATGGCTATTGGGCATGTAACCAACATTCCGGTCCCAGCTTCAGTAGCCAAATTGGCTCCTGAATACTTTTTACTTAGTATTTCATTAAATTCTCTCTGCAAAATGTAGAAATAAAAATAAGAAATGCTTACTTATAAATATTTTCTGGTTCCAGTGCTCACAAGTTAAAGATGTACATAAGAATACATAGAATAATCAAGAGTAGAACTAAAAATACATATATATTTATTTCTCTAGGTTTATTTTTTCACTCCGAAATCTTTGGGGTTTCAAAGACATTATTCTGGCGAGATTGTCTTTCTTTCAATAATTATTTTCTTCGAAATTCTTAGAAAAGCAATATGTTCCTTTTTTCCCCACTAAATAACTCCAATTACCCTGTATGGATGGGAGCCTCCAAGTTATTCTAAACCAGCACATGTGGACCTTGCCCAGCACAGAGACTTTTTTTCAGTATTAAGGACCAAAGACTGGAATTCACCTTCTTCTCTAGGTGATCACCTTTTCCTGAACCTAGAACATTTCTGGATGGGGCACATGTGTTGACCCAGCCAGAATGAGCCACAGCCCATTCTTATAGAGATAGAAGAAAAAATAAACCTGGAGCTGGAGGGCTGATCAATATCACTGTTTGTAATAAACAAATCCCATACCTTATATATCCTATGCCAAATTCAATGATTTTTCTCAACTACTGAGGCCATAAGGAAGAATTTCTTGTATCTGTTTCATTAAACAATAATTATATTTTCTAATGTAAAGGATAACTACAGAAATAATTTATAGAAATCGTAAATCACAGTGTCTGTTATTTGGCAAACCCATGTGTTCCATCAACTCAAATCATTCAGAACTTGCTGTACTTTACAGACTTTATAGGCTGTGTTGCTGCAGGGCCAGGCAGGCTGGTCAAAACTTGTTGTGGGAGGAGTTCAGGTTTGGGAAAGATGGTAGATGAAGATAATGTGACACTTCTCTATCTACAAAGACTTAGAAAATGCTTCAAAATGTAATAAAATGAAATGTTTAAATGCAGAATGAACTCACAAGCAAGAAGAGGAACACCCAAGCTGTCTGAAATAAAGGAAGAACTAAAACAAGAATCAGAAACACATAAGCGAATGGGTCAGGAAGGCCAGAGTGTGGTGAGGTGGGGACCATTTTAATACTATGTGCCAGGATAGGAGATAGAGTCTTTAAACCAAGGGTAAGGACAGTGGGAACCAAGCCTCTGGATTAAAGCTGGGTGTCTCCAAGGGTCGTAGCCTCAGTGGAAAGGAAGACTTGAGAAGTCCTAAATGACTTGAGACGAACACATGGATTTGCCAAATAACAGACACTGTGAGTCACCATTTCTATAAATTATTTCTAAAGTTATGATGTACATTAGACTTGCAGATGCTACTGTGGTAAGGGGTGTGATATAGAAACTTGTCTGTCTCTGCCTGAGATTTGGGTAGGAATGCAATTTTTTCCAGAGGGAAAAAAAATAAAAAACAGGATAGTGCTAAGGTGGTCGATCATCTTGGTTTGCCCAGGACTGTCCAAGTTTTAAGTCTGGAAGTCTTGGATCCTGGAAACTCCCTCAGTTCTAGGCAAAGCAGTAGAGTTGGTCACTCTTCCTGTTGCTTGTATTATCTGGAGTCCAAATGCACACTACCATTTCCAGGAACTCCCCACACCAAGAAGCTGGTGATACCTCTGTGGTATTTGGTAGAAGAAAATGCAGATCCTCTCAGGTCTCACAGGCCAAGCCATAGGGATTCCTGGCATGAGGTGGAGCATGGGAATAGAGTGTCTATTAAAGATGAGCCAAGAATGAAAATAATAAGTACACAAGGCAATAATCCACCACATCACAACAACCTGGAATGACAGGGCAAGAATGTAGAAGAGAGTATACAGTGAAAATATTAAAAATTACTAAAGATGTAAGTGTGTGTGCATGTGTGCACGCTGAGAAAAGCACTAGGCACAAAATGAAAGCACAGGCAGGTTTGAAAAGAAATCAATAAGGTTATATATTTGTTATTTTTTCCTTGTAAGTCTGTCAATTTTTTTGTGTATTTTGATGCTAAGTTGAAATTACAAATTAGTAATTGTTATATTTATCACTGGTAATAATCCCTTTTAACATTAAATTATGATCTTCTTTATTACTAATAATGCATTATGCCTCATAGTATTTTGCTAGTATTAATATAGCTATAACAGTTCTTTTTGTTAGCTTTATTTCCTTTTGGGAGGTCAGTGTATTTTTCCATTCTCACATTGCTGATAAAGATATACCCAAGACTGGGTAATTTATTTTTAAAAAAGAGGTTTAATGGACTCGCAGGTCCACATGACTGGGGAGGCCTCACAATCATGGCAGAAGGTGAAAGGCACATCTTACATGGTGGCAGGCAAGAGAGAATGACAACAAAGCAAAAGGGGTTTCCCCTTATAAAACCATCAGATCTCATGAGAATTATTCACTACCATGAGAAAAGTATGGGGGAAACCATCTCAATGATTCAATTATCTCCCACTAGTTCCATGTCATAATACATGGGAATTATAGGAGCTACAATTTAAGATGAGATTTGGGTGGGGACACAGCAAAACCATATCATATTGCCTCTCCCAAATCTCATGTCCTCACATTTCAAAACGAATCATGACTTCCCAACAGTCCCCCAGAGTCTTAACTCATTTCAGCATTAACTCAAAAGTCCACAGTCCAAAGTCTCATCTGAGACAAGGCAAGTCTCTTCCACCTATGAGCCTGTAAAATCAAAAGCAAGTTAGTTACTTCCTAGATATAATGGGATACAGACATTGGGTAAATACAGCCATTCCATATGGGAGAAATTGGCCAAAACAAAGGGGCTACAGACCCCATGCAAGTCCTAAATCCAGGGTGGGGGGCAGTCAAATCTTAAAGCTCCAAAATGATCTCCTTTGGCTCCATGTCTCACATCCAGGTCACGCTGATGCAAGAGGTGGACTCCCACGGTCTTGGGCAGCTCCACCCCTGTGGCTTTGCAGGGTAAAGCCCCACTCCTGGCTGCTTTCATAGGCTAGCATTGAGTGTGGCTTTTCCAGGCTCACAGTGCAAGCTACCAGTGGATCTACCATTCTGGGGTCTGCAGGATGGTGACCATTTTCTCATAGCTCCACTAGGCAGTGTCCCAGTGGGGACTCTGTGTGGTGGCTTCAACCCCACATTTCCCTCTGTACTGCCCTAGCAGAGGTTCTCCATAAGGGCTCCACTCCTGCAGTAAACTTCTGCCTGGGCATCCAGGCATTTCTATAATCGTCTGAAACCTAGGAGGAGGTTCCCAAACCTTAATTCTTGACTTCTGTGCACCCATGGACTCAACACCTGTGGAAGCTGCCAAGGCTTGGGGCTTGCACTCTCTGAAGTCATGGCTTGAGCTATACCTTGGCCCCTTTTAGCCTTGACTAGAGCAGTTGGGACACAGGGCAAGTCCCTAGGTTGCACACAGCAAGGGGGCCCTGGGCCAGGCCCAATATACCATTTATTCCTCCTAGGCCTCTAGGCCTGTGATAGGAGGAAAAAAGTCTCTAACATGCTCTGGAGACATTTTCCCCATTGTCTTGGTGATGAACATTTGGTTCTTTGTTATTTATGAAAATTTCTGTAGCCAGCTTGAATTTCTCCTTAGAAAATGGGATTTTCTTTTCTATCACATTGTCAGGCTGCAAATTTTCTGAACTTTTATGCTGTTTCCCTTTGAAAACTGAATGTTTTTAACAGCATCCAAGTCACATTTTGAATGCTTTGCTGCTTAGCAATTTCTTCCACCAGACACCCTAAATCATCTCCCTCACATTCAAAGTTCCACAAATGTCTAGGGTAGGGGCAAAATGCCACCAGTCTCTGCTAAAACATAGCAAGAGTCACCTTTACTCCAGTTCCCAACAAGTTCCTCATCTCCATATGAGACCACCTCAGCCTGGATTTCATTGTCCATATCATTATCAGCATTGTGGTCAAAGCCATTCAGCAATTCTCTAGGAAGTTCCAAACTTTCCCCACATTTTCCTGTCTTCTTCTGAGCCCTCCAAACTGTTGCAACCTCTGTCTGTTACCCAGTTCCAAAGTCACTTCCACATTTTCAGGTATCTTTACAGAAGTGCCCCACTCCCAGTACCAATTTACTGTATTAGTCCATTCTCACACTGCTGATAAAGACATACTTGAGACTGGGTAATTTATTAAAAAAAAAAAAAAAAAAAGAGGTTTAACAGACTCACAGTTCCATGTGGCTGGGGAGGCCTCATAATCATGGCAGAAGGCAAAAAGCACATCTTACATGGTAACAAGCAAGAGAGAATGAAAAACAAGCAAAAGGGGTTTCCCCTTATAAAACCATCAGATCTCATGAGACTTATTCACTACCATTAGAAGAGTATGGGAGAAACTACCTCCATGATTCAATTATCTCTCACTGGGTCCTTCCCACAACACATGGGAATTACAGGAGCTACAATTCAAGATAAGATATGGGTGGGGACACAGCCAAACCATATCAGTCAGTGTGTAAGTCTGGGCCCTCTAGCCCTCCAAGATGACTTTGAAAATCAAAAATAATTGTGGTTTTTGAGAGAAAAGTTTGAGAAAACTGGGAGAGACTGGAAGAGTCATCAGATCTCTATGCAAATCTGACCCTGAGGGAAGGAGAGAAGAAGGGAGGGAGGAAGAAGTTTGGGTAGAAGCATCTTAGACTGAGGTACAGCCTAAAAGATGCTTGACCAGGCCATTAGAGAGTACTGGAGCCAGAGGAATCTGTCAGAGGAGTCTCATGTCTCCCAGGAACTGGCCTGCTGAAGGAGCCCTGCCATGTGGAATCATTGGTTGAAAGCAGCCTATGGGAAGTATGAATTCAGAGCACAGCAGCTGGGGCCCTTGGTTTACTACGCTACCTCCACTTGAAGATCCAAGAGACATGTACTCATGATGGTCACAATTGGCAATGGACTAGTATTTTTAAAAATTTTCCTTTACTTTTAATTTTTTATTACCTGTGGAGGGCATCATTTGTAAAAAATTTATAGCTGAAGTTTTAAATTTCCAGTCTGAGGATCCCTAACTTTTAACTGATGAATTTAGTTCATTTACAATAATTATGATTACTGATATATTTGACTGTTTCTTTTATAATATTTGTTCTTCTCATCTACCATATACTTTTCTTTGCCTCTTTTTCTCCTTAACTACATCCTAATGATTATTTGTAAAGTTTGTAAAATGGATTTGGTAGTAAAATAGTAAACATATTAACATATAAAAAGACATTATATGATTATAGGCTGAGTGTGGTGGCTCACGCCAGTAATCCCAGCAATTTGGGAGGCAGAGGCGAGTGGATCACCTGAGGTCAGGAGGTCGAGACCAGCCTGGCCAACATGGCGAAACCCCGTCTATACTAAAAACACAAAAATTAGCCAGGTATGGTGGCACCCTCCTGTAATCCCAGCTACTTGGAAGGCTGAGACACAAGAATCTCTTGAATCTGGGAGGTGGAGGTTGCAGTGAGCCAAGATCATGCCACTGCACTCCAACCTGGGCAATAGAGTGGACTCCATCTCAAAAAAAAAAAAAAAAAAAAAAAAGACAGTATATGATTACAAAGATGCCAACTTAATAAACTATATTTTTGTTATCTCCTTTTTACTTAGTACTCATTTTGAAATTATATATTCCATTTCTATTGTTTAAAATAGTTACCCTTTGAATTTTAGAATGTCTACTTATCTCAGCAAAGTTCAAAATTGATCATTTTTTTCCAAATTAATCTAGAAATGTAATACAATTACCTTAAATACAATACATAAAACTGGCAGATTTTTTCACAGAACTTAACAAATGTACTTTAACACTTGTGATGTGATTCTAAAATACTGTATATATGGAATAGCAAAAAAAATAAATAGTCTACGCTGGGCATGCTGGCTCACGTCTGTAATCCCAGCACTTTGGGAGGCCAAGGTGGGCAGATCACTTGAGGTCAGGAGTTTAAGACCAGCCTGGTCAATATGGTGAAACCCCGTCTCTACTAAAAATACAAAACTCAGTTGGGTGTGGTAGTGCGCACTTGTAGTCCCAGCTACTCAGGAAGCTGGGACAGGAGAATCGCTTGAACCTGGGAGGCAGAGGTAGCAGTGAGCCGAGATTGCACCACTGCACTCCAGCCTGGAAGTCACAGTGAGACTCCGTCTCAAAAAAAAAAAAAAAAAAAAAAATTGCCTAAAAATTTTTGAAGATGAAGAAGAAAGATAAAGGAGAGAAGTGATTTATCCTCTCAGAAACAAGATTTGCTATAAAGCTCAAGTAAATAATGTGGTATTGGCAAAGCAACAAACAGCAGAATAGAGAGCCCAGAAATGATCTCTCCTCCTTCTTTTTCTTTCTTGCTTCCTTCTTTCTTTTCTTTCTTTCTTTCCTTTTCTTTCTTTCTTTCTTTCTCTCTCCTTTCTTTTTTCCTTCCTTCCTTCATTTTTCCTTCCTTCCTTCCTTCCTTCTTACTTTCTTGCTTACACACACACACACACACACACACACACACACACAAATTAGTGTATGACCAAAGTGGCATTTCAAGACAATGACGAAATAATAGTCTATTTAATATATGATGCTAGGACAATTAGGTACCTAAATAGATAACTTTATAGAAAAAGGTGAAATTAGATTTTTATTTAATTCTATAAAAACACAAACATACACAATTTTAAAAGAATTAAAACTCAAATGTGAAAAAAGCAAAACTTACCATTTGAGAAAAAAATACAGAAGACTCACAGTATAAGACTGTCATAAGAAAGAATTTTTAAATAAGATACAAAATATGTAAGTTGCAAAAGAAACACTGATAAATTTTACATTAAAAATTAAAACCAATGTATGATTTTTAAAAAGCCTTATTAAAAGTTGGGAAAAAATGTTTTAGTCCAGGAGAAGGTATTTGCAATCTATTTTTAATAAACGTGAAAGTAATATCTATAAGGGATGTTACAAATTATTAAAGGTTGGTGCAAAAGTAATTGCAATTTTTGCCGTTACTTTTAATGAGAAAAACTAACCCAGTAGAAAACAGATGTTAACTTTGAAATTCTGCGATTTGCTGCAGAGGAAATGTGAATGACCAAAAAACACATAAGAATGTGCTCAACTAAACTAATATCCAGAGAAATGCATATTAAACAGACAAATGAAACACCACTTCACACACATCACATTGGCAAAATCGTCAGATAACACTGAGTTTTAGAAAAACGTGAGGAAATGAGAATGTGTATATTGTGCTGCTAGATATGAAATATGTTTACAGCAATGTTGGCAAACAGTTTGGCAGTTATTAGAAGGGTTCAAGATGTGCTTACCCTCCACCCGTAGAAGTCTTCCTTTGGAAACTCCCTGTGTATGCACAAGGAGCACATATAAAGACACTACTACAGCACTACAAACCAAAGACTAAAAGAATAAGCCACCAGCTTGTACAAGAGAAGAGATAAATAAAAGTAGGCTTATTCATACAATGGAGCAGCATATAGCAGTTAGAGTGAATTAGAGTGAGTTAGAGCTAAATGCTTCAAAAACTAATGCATGTCCTATGTATATAACAAAAAGAAACGAAAACATCTGTCCACACAATAACATATACATAAATGTTTACAGCAGCATTTTTCCTAATAACCAAAAAATGGAAATAACCCATATGGTCATCAACTGATCAATGGATAAACAAATTGTGGTATATCTATATGATGGAATATTACAACATAGACAGACCTTAAAAGCATATGCTTAATGAAAGAAGCCAGTCACATAAAAATACATATTATTAGATTCCACTTATGTAAAATTTCCAGAATAGGCAAATCTATAAAAACAGAAAGTAGATTAGCGGTTGCTTTTCATTGCAGAGGGGCAGGTAATGAGAAGTGATAGCTAAAGGGTATCGAGTTTCTTTTTAAGGTGGTTGAAATATTACAAAATTGACTGTGGTGATGATTTCAATTATCTGTGAATATAATAAAACCCAGCAAAATTGTTTTGTATTTTAAATGGATGAATTGTGTGTTATGTGAATTACATACCATTAAAGTTGTTACAAAAAAGGTGTAGACTAGTAAAATATTTAGGTAAGTAAGTAAAGAAAAGTAGATATTGTTTGGGGATACACATACACATAGTAAAACTTCAAAATATGCATTGCAGTGATACCCATGAGATTCAGGGTGGAAGCTGCCTTTGCAGAGGGAAGCTGGGGAATAAATGGGAGGGCACAGTGCTTCTTTTAAAATGCATATTACAAGAAATATATCACAATGTTAACATAAGTTTACTCTTAATAATTCATACATAGATACTATTGTATAATTTTCTGGGTTGGAAATTCTTCATAACTTTTTAAATTTAAAACCAAAATATTCTTGTAAGCCTTTTAAATTAATTAAAATGCAACTTTAACCTTCAAGGATGAAATAAAATATTTCATTTCCTTGCTCTGATCTTATAGACAATAAATCCATCCTCTTTTTCTTTCTTGGGCTATGTTTTACAATTGTAGAGGGTGATCTCAGGAGATATGTGTTTGAGTTCACAAAGTGAGTTTTGCATGAATCACACGCCTTTCAAAGGAAAGCAGTATAATTCCAGCAGCAGGGAACCACAAAATGATGCTTTTTGTCTGTTTAGAACAGATATTTTTATCCCTTTAGGAATGATATAAATTAAATAATTCTTCCTCATAATAACATGGTAGCACATTTTAGTTTCAGCTTGTAAATGGGTCACATTGGTTTGCTTTTCCAAAATGTAGGTTATTGGATGGCAATGGTGGTGGTAAGAGGAAAACATGCATTTCAGACATTTTTGAAAACTGAAATGGAGTTGGGAGTCTCTTTACATTCAATCCGTGAAGACGACAACTTGTTGGTTGTGAAAAACGTAAATATTTTGTAGTTCAACTAAATCCAAGTTTGAAATGTGAAAGCCACATAAAAATCATTATTGTGCTCTTATCTCAGGAAGGACCGCTTTTATTGCCAACTGTAAAATAGATTGAGCTACTCTAGTCCTTCTGAAATGGCATATTAAACTGGTATCTGCAATGATCTGAGGATATTGTGAATTCAGCTAAGTAAATGATATAAATCTATGTTGTATAATAAAAGAAAACTAATTGCAAAATATGTACCATCCTGGGATTACTTTTGTCAGAAAATAATAGGAATGGCTGGGTAGATCTTGTTTGAGGAAGTATTTATGGCCAATCCCTGGAGTGTCTGAAATCACTGATATAAGATGCTGGCAAAATCCACTATGCTTACTGGCTTAGCTGACCATCATACCCAGGAGGAAAGATTTTTATGGAGAAAAGTCTTTTAAATATGTGGCTGACTGCTAATAGATGGAACCAATTACCCAAGAAATTAAAATGAATAGATGGTTAGTCATCACTGCTTGGATTACTGTAATAGCCTGTTTGTGACTAGGTCTTCTTCCTGCAAAGACAATGATATCCCCTCTGAGGATGAATCCCAAGTTCTACAGACAATTAATAACTCATAATTTCTTTCACTGGAAATTACAGTTGGTGGACCCTTCTGTGCCTCTGTAATCCACCAAGATAATGGTTTATAAGGAGCTTTAGCGTTCCCTGTATATATCCCTTGAATCAACCAGAATGAAGTCTATTCTTTTTTCCTGGACTACTTTCAAAAGAAGTTTTCAAATCATCAGCTTGGTCGTAAAATTAATCGGATGGGTTTCTAAAACAGCCTAAAACATTTGATCAAGTATATTTGGAGCTAATGTTTGAATCACATAAACATTCCCCAGATCAACTAATTAGTGCAGCAGTCCCAAGAGCCTGAATAATTAGTTTCAGATGCAAACAACTTTTACTTGCAATATATAAAAGTATTGAATTCATTTGTTCTTTTATAATTGACACCAAATTCATGTTATGTCAATGAAAATGCTGAAAGGAATGACATTTTCTCATGTACGTGAGAAGTTTCTGAAAATGTTCTCTAGATTAACAACTTGAAAAGTAGGATCTGATATCCCTTTAAGATAACTATTACTAAACTAGTTAGTTAAAATTCAAATATTATTTAGATCATCTTTTTCCAAAATGTGTTCAAGATCACGCAAGTGAAGCTGGAATTTTTTTTTCAGAAAGGAGCACACTCTGGCCTCATTTTGGAAATTTCTAATATATATTAGCACATTAAGGACTCTGAGAAGTCCTGCAGCAAAGAAAACCCTAACTCAGCCTTGTCTGTATTTATTTAATTTGTGAATCTTATTTTTGCCTAACACTTATTCCAAACATTGCATATTGGAAAACACCAATAGGGACTGATCTACCCCCTTATGGAAAAGGCCTAAAGAGTTTAAAGTACTTACCCAAGATCACATGAGTACTAAGTTGAAGAGTGAGGAGACTGGCTCCCAATTCAGGGATCCTTCCTGGGATGATGTAATAAAGGAAGAGATTGCCCAAATAATGCCCCCAATTTGTATGAACTTTTTTTAAAATAGTAAAACAACAACAACAAAATCCAGTGATTTAGGAATCATCAAGAAATCCAAGAAACCAAGAAACCTAAGAATATTTAGGCATTGTCTTCCTTCTGGTTTAGAAATAGCTTGATAATGGGTAGGAGAAATTGGGTAGAAAACTACACTGTATAGCAAATAATATCATCTCACTTTGATTTGAAGCAAATCTCCCTCCTCCCCTCTACTCTCTCATTATCCACATTCATACTGCAGCTCCAAGCCCAGCTCTCCAATGAAATAATTTTTTTGACCTAAAAGAGTGGGCTCAGATCACAGAAACAGTGAGGGGAAAACTGAAACCTTGATAACACAGAGGACCAAGACTGGCACTGGTTCTCTTATTTACATCATACTTCTAATTATATATCAGTACTTGTTGTGGGAGACCCTCAGGAAAATCCCCTTCTGTGCCTAAGACCCTCTGACTTCACTGTGTAACCATTTTTCCTTCCCGTCAGAAGCAGATGGAATTAATAGACTGTGACAATTGTCTATTGTTCTAAACGAGTTACACTATGATCTGTTTGCCTCTTTCCCAGAAGATGGACGACAAAATGCAACGAGAAATGAGAATGTGTAATGTCTGAGGTTTTCCTATTAAAAGTCCCTCTTTGTTCAGAAGTCACACTAGCTTGATTTTCTGTGTTCTATTAGATAATATAAAAATCTTGCCCCTCAATGTCCCTGATGAAATTAGAGAATCATGATGGGGTGTCCTCAAGGTCTCAGTTTCCTGCCTTGAGGAAGCATATTACAGAAGTCAGAATGAACATCTCCTCCCTTGGAAAGGAATTTCTTCAGTACTAAAGACACCCCGCTACAGGGCAGGACACCCAATTTGTCATCTGCCCTCTACTGAGACAGCAAAGTCAGCCAGGGCTCAGAATCATTCAGATAATTTAAGAGCCCACCTTCAGAGGGAGGGCTAGAAGCCATGTGGGTAGTATCTGACATTTTAAACTTAATCTTTGATAGTCTAGTTAATTAATTTCTCTGAAATTTCTACCTCATTTTAGATAACCTAGGCACAAAAGGAAAGTCACCCCCAATTCATGCAGTTTCTAAGTCAGTATGATTACACTTTTCAGTGATTTGTTATATAGTTCATACTTCCGTGTTAATAAGTAGTGATTTTTTAATAGGGAAAAATCTAGCTTGTGGATATCTGCTAAGATCAATTATTAATGCTTGTGTACCCATTGCACTCATAAAACACCTGCCTAGAGCTCCAGAAGGAACTCAGGAAGGTGGAATAAGATAATATTTATTTAGCATCTACTGTGCCAGGCCTTCCATATATTCTTACTAAATTTAATTTCAATCCAACTTCA
Source organism: Homo sapiens (assembly GCF_000001405.40). Classification (NCBI taxonomy): domain Eukaryota; kingdom Metazoa; phylum Chordata; class Mammalia; order Primates; family Hominidae; genus Homo; species Homo sapiens. The sequence continues at coordinate 47,911,963 of NC_000015.10, forward strand.
GAAAAGTAGCCTTCATTGTTATCACTATTACAGATGCTAAACCTGAGAATGAGAAAGCCTGCTTTATTCTATTTACTCTGCAGTTATTACTTATGTGAAGGAGGAAGAGGAGAAATAAGAGAAGCAGTGAGGCTGAGATCATCTCCTCCATTGCTCCTCAGAGTATGGCACACATGGCATCACCTAGACACTTGCTGGAAATGCTGATTCTCGGGTGCTTCTGGAACTACCATGCTCGAATCTTTGTTCCAACAAAATTAAACAAAATACCAGGTGATTCGTGTGCACTTTAAAGTCTGAGAAGCAGTGTCTATACAATTAAAACTTCTCCCAGAGGAAAGGAAAGGGACAGGAAGAAGACAGTCTGTATGGGCAAGACAGAGAGATGGAGTTGAGAGACACAGAAGAACAAAGGAGAGCTTGCAGGCCATTGCGTTGAGTTGGGAGACTGAGAGGGAGGTTGGGAAAGTAGCATTGTGATAACGTTCTCCTGCGGCTTTTAAATTAGATCCCGTTTAATGTCTTTTAGGAGAGTCCAGTACCCTTTTAAATTTTGTTTTCAATTATTCTTGATTTCTGGTCTGACACTGGCCTTTCACTGTGCCATGATGCCGCCCGACTTTCAAATAGGCGCCACCTAATTAAGCTTCTGAGCTTAATTGGATTGAAAGACCAGATGAGAGTCGTTGATTCTGCAAAAGAAGCATGGGCTTGTGGAGCTCATGTCTTCTCTGTTCCCCTGGTGTACTAGTGGGGAGTGGAATATTGGGTGCTAACAATCTTTATTTTGCTTAGACCTACGTTGTCCAAACGGCATGTGGCCCAAGACGGTTTTGAATGCAGCCCAACCACATGTTTATAAACTTTCTTAAAACATTATGAGTTTTTTTGCATTTTTTTTTACCTCATCAGCTATCACTAGTGTTAGTGTATTTTATGTGTGGCCTAAGACAATTTTTCTTCTTCCAATGTGGCCCAGGGAAGCAAAAAGATTGGACATCCCTGGCCTAGACCACACAGAAGTCAAATTCTGGGCAGCAAGTTGGGGTCTATGAACTGCTCAGAGCTCAGGAAGATGTACCACTTAGCCCAACCTATGGCCACTATGAGGTGCCATTGAGCCTTGCTACTCAACCTGTGAATGAGGGGACAAGCAGCATTGACATTACCTGGAAACTTGTTAGAAATGCAGGCTCTGGGCCGGGCACGGTGGCTCACGCTTGTAATCCTAGCACTTTGGGAGGCCGAGGCAGGTGGATCACTTGAGTTCAGGAGTTCGAGACCAGCCTGACCAACAAGGTGAAACCCCGTCTCACTAAAAATACAAAAACTAGCTGGCCATAGTGGCAGGCACCTGTAGTCCCAGATACTCAGGAAGCTGAAGTAAGAGAATTGCTTGAAACCGGGAGGTGGAGGTTGCAGTGAGCTGAGATCACACCACTGCACTCCAGCCTGGGTGATGGAGCAAGACTCTCTCTCTCTCTCAAAAAAAAAAAAAGAAAAGAAAAGAAAAGAAAGAAAGAAAGAAAGAAAGAGAGAGAGAGAGAGAGAGAGAGAGAGAAAGAAAGAAAGAAAGAAAGAAAGAAAGAAAGAAAGAAAGAAAGAAAGAAAGAAAGAAAGAAAAGAAAAGAAATGCAGGCTCTAATCCTCCTCTTCAAACCTGCTAAATCACTTTATGCACTTACCAACATGCCTGGGCTACTTGCGTGTACTTTAAAGTCTGAAAACATTGCCTTAGCAATAGCCACAGTATTTTTTGAAAACCTCTTACCTCAAATTAATTTCCCTTCCTGAAGCTGCTCCCTCCTGAGCCTGTGTCCTAGGCACACACACAGGGACTTGGTTAATTTTTGGTATATTTCTCTACAAATATCTCCCAGGCCAGACCTCCCAAAGTGCCTCAGGAGATAGTATGATCCTGAGCAGATGCCAAATGCAATTTTTGGCAGAAGTCAAGAAAAAAATCTTGGATTATCTGCTCTAACTGGGCTAGAGGGCAAAAATATTACCTTTTCTGGGGTTTGTTTACTTAATTATAAAACCAGTTATGCCATGGCTGTTCTAGCAAATCTGGCTCCAAGTTTTGAATCTAAGTATGAAAGATTTCACTACTATCTAATTTGGAGCCTTAGGGATTTTCATATTCAATGTCTAATTTGGTTTTAGTGATACTGATAGAAGAACCTTCTTTGCATAGCTATGTAGAAAAATGACTGGCTTACTGCCTGACTCAGTAATTCCACTCATATGTATGTACCCCCAAAAATGAAAGCATATATCTGCACAAAATCTTGTATGTGAATATTATTGGCAGCATCATTCATAATAGTTCCAAAGTGGAAACAACCCAAATGTCCACCAACTGATGAATGAATAATTAAATGTGGTATGTCTTAGTCCATTTTGCAGGGCTGTGACAGAATACCTAAGACTGGGTAATTTATCATGAACAGAAATGTATTTTCTCATGGTTCTGAAAGCTGGGAAGTCTGAGATCAAGGGCTGGCATCTGGTGAGGACCTTCTTACTATGTCATCCATGGTGGAAGGTAGAGGGTGCATGTGTCAGAGAAAAGGGGGCCAAGCTTGTTCTGTAACCCACTCCTGCATAATGGCATTAATCCATTTGTGAGTTCAGAACCCCCATGGCCTAATCACCTCTCAGTAGGCCCCAGTTCCCAATAGTGTTACATCCAAGATTAAGTTGCCAACACATGCTTTCTGGGGACACATTCAAACCATAGCATAGTATATCTGTATAATGAAATGTTACTTGGCCATATCATGGAATGAAGTACTGATACATGCTTCAATAAGGATGAACCTTGAAAACATTATGCTAAGCAAAATAATTTGTCCTACAGTAGGACAAATACTGTGTGATTCAATTTACATGAAATGTCTACAATAGGCAAATCCATAGAGACAGAAGTAGATTTCTGGTTTCCAGGGGCTAAGGGAAGGGCAGAGAAAGAGGACAGGAAAGAAACTGCTAACCAGAAGATTTCTTTGGGTGATATTGAAAAATGTTTAAAATTGACTGTGGTGATAGTTGCACAACTCTGTGAATATGGTAAAACACACACACACACACACACACACTGAATTTTACACTTTTAAAGGGTGGATTTTATGATATGTGAATTATATAGCAATGAAACTGTTTTCAAAAATGACTGGCAAGGAAACAAGAGCCGCTCTAAGTATGAGATTGAAGCCTGCTGGAGGGTGGTGTGTAGCCCTTGCCCAGGACAAGGGACAAGGAGAAGTGCAGCCCTCATGGCCATCTGTTTTCATCATCCAGGCCCCAGCATGGACAGCTGAACATGGGAGCTGCTTAACAACCAGGTCCAAAAGTGGGAGCATTCTCAAAGTAACACTTTCCTCCCTGACTTACACAGGTATTGCTGACACTTTTTTTTTCTCCTCCCAAATGAACCTTACTTAGTTTTTGATTAAGTCACTTTGCCAGGACATAAGTGTCTAAATTTAGTCATAGTAAAAAGAATAATTATTATTGTAAATGTGTTAATTCTCCTCTGTTACACATTTGGCTTAAGCCCCTTGTTAGGAGTTACCATACCCTGTGGAGAAAACGCTCTCCAAGTGAATCAATTCTACAATGCAAGATAGGTCCCATTACAGATCTGAGATAGGTAGGATAGATGGTAGATATAGGACCAGCTACATTCTTGGTGGGTTTCAGTACAAAATGAAAATGTGGGGCCCCAGTTCATTAATTATTTAAACATTCAAAGCAGTGCAGCAGAGCAAGCACAGGGACCCTGTAAGCATGAGACCCTGTGGGACTGCACAGATCACACCCATGAAGCTGGCCCTGGAGAGATACATAGGGGTGTGTGTGTGTGTGTGTGTGTGTGTGTGTGTGTGTGTGTTTATGGAGAGAGAGAGAGAGAGAGAGAGGAGAGAGAGAGAAGTCCCCATTTTATGTACTTGAAAAGAATTTTATGATCTTTATTGGACATGCTATTTCTTGTTAATAAAAACTGCTTCAAAATGGTATATTTCTAATTTTAAGGAGCTTTCCTAGTATTTCATTAAAACTGTCCATTTCACAGGGTTTTAATTTGCAAATTATTTTATTTTACCTCCCAACATTATTGTGATGTCAAAAGACAAAATTTTAGCATCCATTTTACATATGGGGAAATAGTCATGCAAGGCATTCTAGGGAGATGTCCAAAGGCAGAGGACCACAGTGAAAAAGGCAACATGTTATGTTTCTCTCATATATTTTTATAGTGAGTGACTGTATCTAGGATAGTAGTATGGGAAGACTGCATATTAATTCATAATACTGACATGTCAGGTATTAAGGATGATAATAAACGTAAGTAAAAAACATATTATCAAATGTTTATGACACACAAGGCACAGTGTTAATCCCTTTATATATTTTATGGTATTTGATTTTCATTCCAAAACTCTTACCCAAATTGATCATGTATACAATGAGAGGTAAATATGTGTCTCTGTCAGTCTGTGTGTTTGTGCGTGTGTGTGTGTGTGTGTGTGTGAGTGTTGTTGGCAGGGTACAAACCTAAAATTAGCTTTAGTTAGTAGTTATTCTACTGAAACAGAAATATTTTATGTAAATAGTTCCAAAAGTACTCTCGAGTTTACCACGAATTACACTGTGAGCCTAAGGTGTCCCCCTGTTTCAGAGAGGCAGTGGAGCATGATGGTGAAAATGTGGGCTTGGAAGGCAGCATGCCTGGGTTTGAATCCCAGCCATCTTGCTCACCAGCCATGTTGCCATGAGCAAGTCAGTTTCCCTCTCTGTGACCTGATTTTTCCTCTTTGTAAAATGGAGGTTACAACAGCACTCACATAGGCTTGTTGTATGGACCAAATAAGTACACATACAAAGTATTGCATTACACCAGTGTTAATGCTGCTGCTTCTGTTTATTATTATTTTTGTTATTACATAGAAAACCAGAATTTTAACATCACAGTAATCAGTTGAGATTGTCCATCAGCCTGGTCCATGGTTCTCATGTACATAGCATGTCTTTATATTTGATTAAATTGTATTTGAGTACAATGCATGTTGGTTCTCCAGCCACATATAGGGGCAGAATTTGTGGTGGGAAAGTGGGATGTAGATGCTGACTCCTGGCCCAAGAAGAACAGAAAAGAATAGTGCCAAACTCTTTTAAATAGTATTTAAGCCAATACCAGTGTCAGTCATGATTCAAATAACATTTGGCTTCCAAGTGGGGCTTCCAATTGGGCCAGCAAGGGACATGGACCCAAATCCAGAGATCAGAGTGCTGGAAGACAGATAATCATCCTGCAAACTCTCTCTGTGGGGAGTAGGATCCCAGCAACTAGGCTGGAGTCAAGGATGAAAATTCCCACCCCAGAGAGGAGGAAATATCATCAAAGTTAAGGCAGAATCATAAATCCCTGAGTCCAGGGACCAAGCAATAGAAAAATTCTAGTCCTAGAAGAGCAGGAGCTGGGCAGAAGGCAATTGTAACTTGCATAAATCTCAATCTAGGCATCACTCCAGGGGGACTCATTGGTCTGGGTACGATCAGTGAATATAGAGCAATGCTGGGAGCCCTGCAGGTGTGTATGGGCCATTTGACCCCCGGTGCCTAATGGTGATGTAAATCTGGGTGTGTAATCCTGGTGGAGAAAAGACTACGGACGTACTCTTCAGTTAGCATCAAGATTGGCAAAGAGCAGGACCAAGATGGAGAATACGTGTGGAGGGGAATCAGTGGTCCAGCTGTGAGAAAATGGGAAGCCAGAGGCAGAGGAAACAAGACTGCCAGCACTACCAGCCCAGCTGCGCTTGTCACCCATGCCACCCCGACCCCTGGTCTCCGGTCTGACCCTAGTGAGCCTTGTGAGACCAGTGTGTTGTGGGCTTTTTTGGAAGAATGACTCCTGTGGTCTTCACTAAGAAGTACTGTGCTTACCTTCAAGACTAACCTGAGATGGTATATTCTTTGCTGACCTTGCCTTGCTCCTCTTCTTCTTGGGAAGAGCCCTGACAAGGACCTGGCAGTGACTAAGAAAGGACACATGTGAGGGCAAAGACGGTGACTCAAGAGCTGATGCTAAACACTCTTGAGTTTCATGGGTTATTCTAGAACCTCCCTTCCTTTTTTACCCCCAAACCCCAAAGCCACATGTTGAGAAATACAGGTCAGTCCTCCCCAATCTTCACATTGGCTCTGCAGTCTGTAGGTTGTCTTTATGCTACTCTTTCTACATTTCAAGCTAGAAGTTAATTTTAGCCTACTCTTGCCTATATAAAAATATTAGAGAGAGGAGGATACAATTGGAAGAAAACACAATATAATTAGCCTTGGACCTGAATCTCTGAAACGGCCTTAGCTAGACCTTTGTACATCAGGAGCATAGTAGGAACTCCAAAATGCTTGTTAATGAGTAACTGGATAAAAAACCTTTTTAATATTCTGAGTTTATAGTGGGCTGTCTAATGTCTAAGGGCTCTGTTGAACAAGAGAAGAATCTGTGTATTAGGGTAATAATTTACATAATGAGGCTTAAAAAATGCTTAGTACATCTTTGAGCAGAAATCACCTTTTTCTTGAATGCTGTGTTATCGTCCCCATGCTCCAACTTAAGCCTAAAGAGAGAGGCAGAGGGAGAAAGAGTCAAGGCTTCGATCTAGGACAAAGTTAGGAAATGGAAGCCTTTGGGTAAGGTACATCTGAGGCATATAACCGTGTATTTTAAATTCCCCAAGTTGCTTAGACAGTTTGTCCACATGTGTCATGCCAGCTTATGTAAAGCTCATGCCCCACACCACAAAGGGCAGACAATGCTGAGCACATCCACTGACTTCACAGTGACAAAAACGTGACGTTGGCCTGAGAGCTTTGTGAACTGACATATTAAAACCTGCCTATTGTCAACAACCGAAGTTGTGGAGGGGTGCGGGATGGTGGTAAGCAAACTGAGTGTGTGATGTTTATTGCATCTACAGTTTTAGCAGCCTGTTTCTCAAAAGCAGAATGTGCTAAAAAATCCCTGTGCCTGAAGTTTCCCTCAAATAGTCAAACCTGAGGTTATGGAGAATAACTTTCAGAAAAGTTAGATAAATACTGCAATATCATCAATTTAACCTCCTAGCCTCAGAATGAGCAATGAACGTTTGGGGCTCAATAAAATGATGACATAAAACACACACATACATATTATTTTTAATGAACTATGGCCAGTTTAGGGTGGATATTTGTCAGTCAATAGGTCAGAAATGTTACTGGCTCCTACTCCCCAAGTGAAAGAGTTGAGAGTTTTAAGAGATATAGAGTTTCTATTTGATATATAATGAATTCATGTGGGAATAAAACCAGAGTATGAGTTGGCATCTGTTAAGTCCAGAATGATTCTCTTTTGCTGATCCCCATAATTTTGGTCCTAATGGTTTCTGTTTTCTTATCACCTCCTAAAAGTATGAATTGATTGGCATGTTTCCTTACTGTCAGAGGTGAAATCTTTGAGTTAGCCAATATCATCATCCTCCATGCATGCTGCTCAGATTTTAGGAGCTACAACAGAAATGAGCTGCTCATGATTCCCCAGTAACTCTTTTAATGTATGTGCTCTCATTTAATGTGGTTTTCCAGGGATAATAATAGTTTAGGATTATTTTTGTTTTGCAGGAGTCTAATGATATACCCTAATGAATGACTCCAATGTCTCCCATGGAAAAACTAAATCATTGACAATGGAGATATTTGTGACTAAGAATATATAAATGTGTTAATTAATTTAGTCAATAAATATCTAGTCATTAAAAGAGGCATAATGAAGTCTCAATGTTTTGAATCCCTAGGCACATCTGTGCAAAACCAGAATATATAAACATCATCTTGAATGCTCATCAGCAAATAACAAACACCCACATATGTGAAGGCAAGGTAGAATTATACCAGTGAACAAAATGACGACAACAAAAAGTCTATTAAATTGTTTGTAGGAGATATATATATATATAGCAGGATATGTATAGGAGGATAGATAGATAGATGATAGATAGATAGATAGATAGATAGATAGATAGATAGATAGATAGATAGATATAATAGCCCAATTTCCTGATCCAGGCAATTCCAGGTGGATCCATCTCATCTTTCCCTGAGAAAAGTCCAGCTAGTAGCAGTAGTCACATTTTCGTCATCTTTTTTGCAGCAGCAGCCATTGGTCATGCTTGTTAGTCAATGACATCAGCCTTGACCAGAGCTACTGGCATGGAAATCCCCTTCCTATACAATTCACAGCCAGCAGTCACAAACTTGGAACATGATTTGAAGATGGCCATTGACCTTCCACTCTCTTGTCCACCTTACAACTTCTTGCTCCTTTCTCCAAAACTTTCAGAATAAATCAAGATGTTCCCATATGCACTAAGGCTTAGAATATCACAATACCCTGGTAGTGTTAGCAAAAAGAAACAGACCAGAGGCCGGGCGCGGTGGCTCAAGCCTGTAATCCCAGCACTTTGGGAGGCAGACGCGGGTGGATCATGAGGTCAGGAGATCGAGACCATCCTGGCTAACACGGTGAAACCCCGTCTCTACTAAAAATACAAAAATTTAGCCGGGCATAGTGGCGGGCGCCTGTAGTCCCAGCTACTCGGGAGGCTGAGGCAGGAGAATGGCGTGAACCCGGGAGGCGGAGCTTGCAGTGAGCCGAGATTGCGCCACTGCACTCCAGCCTGGGCGACAGAGCCAGACTCTGTCTCAAAAAAAAAAAGAAAGAAAGAAACAGACCAGAATACCTATCCAAGCTAATAGTGTTTTCAACCTTGTTTTCTGGAGGTCATACACATCTGGATCACTTGTAGCTGAACCTGGGCAGCCAGCTTTGGATTAAAAAGGCTTACATATTCACTCTAAAATCGCTTTTTCGGTGGTGGTGTATTAATGACATATAACATCCTAGCCAGGGATCCTTTTGTTGCACAAAACAGAACTACACTCAAAACAGGTCAGGCCAAGAAGACAATTTCATTGATGGCAACATCTTCTAGGGTCCAACTGGCAAAGGTCAAGAAATGAGGCTGCTTCCCTGTATCTGAATGAACTCCATAGGCTTTGACTTTTTCTCTACTCGTCTCTTTGCAGACTGAGACTCTTCTGTTTCCCCAAACTTTCAGTTTGCATAAGATTTTTCTTGGCCCCAAATCTATATCACTTTCACTTCATATTTATTTCATTATATAATTCGGGGCTCCTCAAATTGTGTCCTCAGACCAGTCTGTGAAAAAATTTTTGCCACTCTGTGATAAGAAAAGTAAAGAAATTGAGAATAAACGTTCAATCAAATAGCAATTTGATCTTGCCCCACCATCCAAGTCCATGATGAGTGGACCTGCCTTGCTGAACAGGATAAGGACCAGTGTGGGCATTGCTAATCTCAGCTGGGGAGTTGTGCGGGGCGCACAACACGTGCAGCAAGGCTATGTTACAACATGTGATAGTTTAGGATTAATTTTTCACTGCGACCTTTAAAAAGATAAAATTCAGAATTTATTTCACTCACCACAAAAAATTTAATTTTAATTGTAAATTTACAGGTTAAATTTTTAGAAGTGGCTACTGAATCGTATGGAAGATGAATTTTGAAAATACATTATCACTTCACTTTGGATAAAAGTTAATATCCTAGGCTGATGTAAATTGCTTTAAAAACATCTTCCATTTCCATCAGCCTATTTCCATAATATTGGTCTCTCTATGACTGCTATGAAGATAAAACACAGAAGTAGTTTAGATACATGTTATCCCCTGTGAGTAGTAGTATCATCCAACCTAGACTATATTAGTTAACAAACAAGAAGCAAACTCATTTTATACATTAAAAACTTTAAATATTTATACACATGGTATTTAAATTTAAAACAGGTATGCACTGTGGATAATCAATACCAAAACCATAACTTTTCTTTAGCTGTGATTATGGAACAACTAAAAGTTACAAGTGTAACAGTGATTCTCTATAATATTTACCCATATGTATATCTCCAGTGAATAATATATGCATTTTTTATGAGTACTGAGGTAGACATAGAGATGTACAACATAGATTTCTCTTCAAGAAAAGACTTGGTGGCCAGTGGCAGGTAATGGGGCCCCAGACAGCTTCTAGCTGTCAGTCCCTTCATGGTCTGTCTCAGCTGCAGAGGACTGCATTGCCTCTTCCTGCAGGTGGCCCAGGAAGAGGACACCCTTCCTGGGCCATCTGCATTCTGCTCTTAAGTCAGGTGGGGTTACAAAGTCCCACCATTTTGGCCCCATCCTGGACACTGTAATGGAAAATATTCTCTCTAGAGCTCCCCACTGGGTTGGCCAAGGTTTTATCAGATCTGTATCATGGCTTAATGTCTTCAACCAGTACTGATTTGTCTGTCTTCTATCCATAACTGTTGATCCTGAATGAAAATCTTTTACCCTCAACTCTATATCTGTGTCTGCTTCTGGAGAATCAAACCCACACATTGCCATTTTAGCCTGACACACAGGGCTGGAGGTCGTACACATCTGGATCACTTGTAGCTGACACATAGGGCCATGTGAGTCCAGAGCAAGGGAACTAATTCAGAGCGGAACCAGGGTTGCTATGAAAAGACTCTTTAAGAGGGGATGACATTTCAGTTGAATCTGGGAAAATGAATACAAAATTGATGCAGGGAGCAGAGCAAAGTGACCACATTCCCCCAGGTAAAGGAAACAGATTGTGTAAAGGCAAGGAGGCATGTCCCTGGCATAGCAGGCTCCTGTCACTTGGGCTCTGTTCAACTATCACCTCCTCCAGAAGACTTCTCAGACCATCTAATTTAGAGTTGGCATCCCTGCCCCTGTTAAGAAGTACATCTGGCATGGTAGGCAGGAAGAGATCAGAAAGGGCTAGGTTGGAACTTAATCCTGAAGGCTGCAGGAAGCCTTTGGGAGACTGTAAGTGCACTTCCTTTACCATCCAAACTGTGCCTTAGAAATGCACTTGGGGGCTGCATGAAGATGTTAATGAAATGGGGTGAGAATGGTGATTGGAGGATGGGTTTGGAGGCTTTTGTGACAATACTGATTTTTTTAAAAATTGTGATATGTCGTGCAAAGCAGTGGTTCTCCAATACTAAGGTAACTTTGAATCACCTGGGAATTGTTAAAATACCCATTCTGATTCAGGATGTCTGGGGTTGGACTCAAGGCTGCATTGCCAACAAGTTTCCCAATGATGATAAATGCTGGCAGTCTACAGGGATGTCAAGACCTAAGAATCAAGCCATTAATCAGCAGGTGATATGTACCAACCTAATAGGGAGAAGGATAGAGATGTTCATAATTCTGTAGGCATAGTCACACTCTCTGAAACCAAATGCCAGGAGAGATAAGCATAGTCTTTGATGCATAGATAGTTGGAGATATACCAGGCAAAGAGATGGCTAACTCATCCCAAGTGACCATAAACCTCTCCAGGTATGAGATGCAGATATGTGGTTCATTTAACTACAGCTTCATGTCACCTGCTATTGACCAGGAATTAGATCAGTTAACTACAAATGAATTGAGTCAGCTTTTGGCTTCTGCTAGAGCCCTAGATTCATCACAGTTTTAGCTGTTGTTCATTCATCTGAAATGTGGTTTTCACAGGAAAAAATTCACAGCTATCCAAATTCTTCCCTTGGTTACTATTATGCAACATTATTATTAAAGCTAATTATCAAACTTACCTTCAATTTGCAATTTTGGATGGGTGCATCTGAGTACTTAATTCTCCTAGTAAAGTCAGCTATGAATTGCACTTTTTTATGATCACACATGAGGAAGGGTACACCAGCCTTAAGTAACACTTCCTATTTTTAGACAAGTTAGTGTTTTTCCTCTCCTCTCCTTCACCTCCCCTCACCTCACTCTGCCCCCATATCCATTAGATATTTGTCACCCAACAGAATATGGAATTCCTGGTACATGACATTGAACCTCAATTATTTTGAAACTGAGTTTTTTTCTTCTCTGTCTTTAAATCTGGTTGGAGAAAATTTGGAAAAGCTTCCAATTGTTAATAAATTTTAAACTAGTGTTATTTCCTTATGCATATATATATTGCTGCCAAGTAAATGAAAATTGCCTCTCATATTAATCACCTATAAAACTGCATGATGCAGTTTATATATTATACGTAAATATATATTAATAGTATGTATTATTTTAATATATATTAATCATCTATAAAACAGCACAATACAGCAATATATGAGCATGTGAGCACACACGTGTATAGAATGAAATTCTTCAAATTCTTCTATGGAATTTGATTGGATTCACAAACTTCAAAAATTTTAGCTTTAAAAGTAAGATTTTAAAAACAGTGACTTTTAGGGGAGAGATCAATATGTTTACCGAAAGTATGCAGTTATCTAGATTTTATTTTTTAATTGTCTCTTCATGAAAAATGGAAAGTGCCATCTTGCTAGTCTCAGTTCATGTATGGTGGCACACAATCTATAAAGAACAAATATCTGACAATACTGTGCAGTGCCCCTGGGACAGACAATTTCACACAGAGGGAAAGGACAGGAAGTAGTAATTATGAGGTTGTGATTCAATTTGGAAGACTCTGAGGGTATTGTCTAAGTTTAGAATAAATGCGCCATAAAGTGTTAGTAATCTGCCCCCACTGCTGGTCGTTTCCGTTTATATCCCGAACTTGCTTTAATTAGGAATGAACTTTGTGGACTGAACAACATATAATATTCTTTAAAAAGCAAACTATGGAAGGACCACAAAAGTTTAAGAATAAAATTGGAAATTCTATCTTGGGCCAACAGCCATTTCTGATGCAAAAATAGTAGTACACGTGGGTTAATGTGTATGAAACTGCATTGAAAAGCATAAAAAGTTATACAAATAGCTGAGGCAGGAGAATGGCGTGAACCCGGGAGGGAGAGCTTTCAGTGAGTCGAGATCGTGCTGCTGTACTCCAGCCTGGGCGACAGAGCGAGACTCCATCTCAAAAAAAAAAAAAAAAAAAAAAAAGAATTTTGTGAAAGGAAGTGAGGTCTCATAGTGGGAGAATCATAAATTTTCAGCGGGGAAAATAAAATAAATGCGTACCTCTGGCAGAGCAAACAATACAAATGTAAAAACCAAACAGAAGCCAAGTGAACCCATTCACATACCCATGGCTGGAGTGTCTTCCTGCACACCATTTGGATGTTACAGAAAACAGGAGCTCAGATATGCTGGGGTTATTGTGAGGAAACTTTTCATTTCCATGAAATATTTCCTGAATGTCCATGAACAATGCACATAGTGCTATAGTAACACTATTGCACAGTCCCCTGGGATTTGCATACTTTGGTTAGTGGTGGCTTTAGCATGGAGTTAATAAAGCTAAAACTTCAAGCCCCTGCACTTGCATGGGCCCCTGTGCCTGCTGGCAGTTGTAGAGTGTTCTGGGTGCCAAGGAGAAGGCAGGTTGCACTCAGGAATCATTTCGGGGTAAGCATTTCTGGTAAGTTGCCTAAAGACATCAGGAAAGGAAAGGTGCTGAGCTTCAGGCATTTGTCATGGTTTATTTTCTCACTCTAAATAAATATGCACATCCATACCTATCTTTGTATTTGAATCAAAGATGAGGCAACTAACTTGATTACTTTTCTTGGATTCACACTTCTGTACGATGTTTAGTAAAAGCTGACCTGTCTGTTTTTCAGTGAAAACTCTTTAAGTGCCCGCTCATCTAATTTATCCATCAGTCATCAAATTGTTATTGACAAAATATACTAGTCAATAGGCTGCCTAGAATGGTCTAGGTAGGCTGTTTTGCCCACCACACCTGGTGTCATGTACCTGGGAAGCATGTCACCTTGACTTCACTTGGAGCTTGCGTCATATGCCACACTCTCAGTCATCAAGGCTTGCGCATTTTCCCTCCATTTCTCTTCACATATGAAACCTCTTCCTATTTGCTATGCCCTGCTAGCAGTGTTTTGTAGATATTATTTTACAACAATCCTAAAAGATAGAGGTTAATACCACTCTTATTTTAAAGAACTCACAGGAAGCCACCAGCTGGTAAATGGTTTGGTCATGATTCAAGACAGGCAATCGTCTCCAGAGCCTGAGATCTTAGCCAAGGGCTGCACTACCTCGGTGACTGTAAACTCTTATAAACTCCTACCCATGTCTCTTGTCCCAGTGCATCTTGGTTCCAGTCCAACCATTAAACCAGTGGTTCTCAACCATGAGCAATTTTGGACCCCAAGGAACATCTGGCAATGTTGAATACATTTTTGATAGTCACAATTAGGGAGGTGCCCCTGCATCTAGTGAGTAGAGGCCAGGGATGCTGTTAAACATCCAACAATGCACAGGGCAGCCCCTGCAACAAAGAATTATCTGGCCCTAAGTAGCAACAGTACTGCTGTTGAGAAATCCCATCTTAAGCTAGTACCCAAATAATCCATCTTAAATACATCACCCCGCTTTAATAACTTCTTCCTTTCCAGATAAAATTGATAATATTTTAACTTGAATTCTATGGCTTCTGTAAGATGTTCTTCTCTATTTTTCCACTTCTTCTTTTTTTTTTTTTTTTTTTTTGCTACCACCATTTTGACTCCAACATATTCTGTAGTAGACACATGGAGCCAAGACACAGAACACCTGGGGTTTGCTCCTGGCTCTGTCATATTACACTGGCATGTCACACAGTCTCTCCAGGCCTCAGCCTCCTCACTGTGAAATGATGGAATTAAGCTGTGTGATCCCATGGACCCCTTCCAGTAGGCCACTTGCTCCAGCTTCTCTCAGCAGGAAGAGGTGTTCCCAGCCAAAGGCCAATCTTTTCACTCAGGACCTGACTGATAACCAGGATTGCCACTGAAGGAAGGAGGAATAGAAGCACACCAAGGGCAGAGACCAGAGCTATAGACAGGAAAGGAGGCAAGAGGTGGAGAGCCATGGGGACGGGAAGACTGAGCTAGAACAAGGTCGAAAACTCACAGGGTAGGTCACCAGCATAGAAAGAATGGGTTACAGTAAGAATAACAGGTGCTCATTCTTATCAAGTGTTAGACACAGCATGGCCTGACATGTGTCAAGACCGTAAGTAGGCTCCCTGGGTCTGCGCTGCTCCTGGAACAGCCCAAGGTGACAGGATGGGGGAGGCTGTTTTCGGGTGCATAAAGACGTGATGAGTGATGATGATCGGACATTGGTGTGATCAAAACCCACCCTGGCAGCCCCACCCAAGTCAGTCTCAGTGGGCCTCACCAGCTGTAAACACTGCTCCCCCATTGTCTGGTTCTGTGCTGTCTTATTTTTTTCAAAGACCCCCTAAAGGAGCTGCCCTGAATGGGAGACTCCATGTTGGCTTGCAGCCATTCTCTCTGCCACAACCTTAGAGATGAAGAAATTTTCTTCTTAAGTTCCCTGCCTCTGAGCCTTCCACAGCAACACCTTTCCTTCTTCATGGTCCTCAAGCATAGTACTCTAAACAACTGGTGTGTGTGTGTGTGTGTATGTGTGTATCCGTGTTTGTGTGTGTATGTGTGTGTGTGAGAGAGAGAGGAAAGAAACAATCTCAAATGCACGGAAGAATTGCAAGAACAGTACAAAGATGTTTTGTGTAAACCACTGAAGAGTAACTTCTTAACATGATGCCCTATTACTCCTGAAGACCTCCTGTATCATTCTTACAAGGACCTTCTCCTATATAAGCCAATACAACCATCAAAACTTGGAAAGTAACATTGATAGACTACAACTATCTAATTCTCAGACCCATTAAAGTCTCACCTATTGTCACAATAATGCTGTTTAGGGCAAAATAATCCAGTCTGAAAAAACAAGTTGCATGTAGTTACTATGTATATTTAGTGTCCTTTCATTTTAAAGAGTTTTTCAGTCTTTCATAATCTAGACATTTTAAAATTACAGATCAGTTATTTTGTAGACTGTCCCTCAATTTAGGGTTGTCTGATAACTGGTTGTGATTAGATTCCGATTACGCATCTTTGGCACAAATGCCACTGAAGCGACACTGTTCTTTTCACTGCATCCTGCAAGGTGGCACATGATTTCAATTTCTTCCATCACTGGTGATGTTAACTTTGATCAGTTGATTAAGGCGGAGTCTGCCAGTTTCTCCACTGTGAAGTTAATCTTTTTTTTTCCTTTGCATTTAAAAGTATTTTATAGGGAAGTACTTTGAGACTTGATAGATATTCTATTCCTCATCAAACTCTCAACTTATGAGGTGGGTGCAGTGGCTCACACCTGTGATCCTAGCACTTTGGGAGGCTGAGGCAGGAGGACAACTTGAGGCTTGGTCAGCAGGAGTCAGAGCAGCAGCCCCCTCCCTAGCAGCCCCTGCCCCTTCCGCAGTGGCCTTTGGACACCTGAAAACCAAAAAAAGGGCCCCTAAAATGTTACTCATGTATTGGGAAGTCAAAGCAAGAGACCTATTGCTACCACCGTTGTTTCTTGACATCCAAGAAGCAATTCTGGAAATTGCTGCCAAAAAACTACCACCTTTCCAACCAGTGGTAACAACCTGAAGCTGCAGACAGATTCCATTTTTCTCACTTTCGTATTCTAAAAACCCCACCCACAAGTGCATCTCATTAGAGGAAACTAATTCATGCAGGACTCTAGCTTCAAAGGGTGCTGGTAGGTGTTCTGAGGTGCTTGTAGATATTTGTTTGATTTGTTCCTTAGAGTTTGTTTATTTGTTGATTCCCAATTTACTCAAGGAGAAAGAGTAAAATGGAGGTGAAGGGGTTGATCCCAGGACCTCCTCTCTCTCATGCCATCCCTCACCATTATGATATCCAGTGATTTACCGTGTTAGAAAATCTGTATTTTACAGGGCACTCAAAGAAATATTTGCATCGAATACACAAAATATTCAGATCTTTTCATGGATTTTCCAAGCATATACATTATTTAATTTCTTCAGCCAATGCTTATATTGTCTTATAAAGTGAAACAGAAATAAGACCTACAAGAAACTCCAAATCCTGGCCACAGCTAATGTGGGCCTGTGTGATTCCCTTTTCTGCTCCCAGACCTGAAATTCTCTTAGCCACCCAGTCTCCTAATGCATCTCCCAACCAGTGCCTCTGGAAGGAAAAATGGATGTTTGTACCATCAGTTTCCTTTTTGTTTCAGTTTTCCCTCCACCCACTTTGACTCTTCCCCTTTGGCTTTCTTTTGCATTTTCAAGTTATCCCCACCCCTATACAGATATGGACAAGAAGTTTTACCCTTTATGATTCACTTTTGGCTTGAAAACATAGCCCCATTTACATTTAACACTCATGGGATTGACTTTGCCTAAGGCGGTTGTCGATGGAGTTGTCACTCACAGCTGTGCAGGGTGGCCTGGTAGTCACAGGATGCCTGGGGTGGGAGATGCACTCAGTGCTCCACCCTGATGCCTTCACATCCTTTGACCATTGTGTGCACACCTGTCTTCCTGTGTGTTTGCATTCCGGGTAGGCAGCACCTGCATCTCTTTGTCAGACAGCTGCCCTCCAGCTGCTGGAACCCACTTTGCCAGCCAAGAGTGAGAGACACCAGTGCCTGGGAATGTCCACATTCTCTCCTTCAAGGCCTTAAATAGTGACTAAGGAGGAGGTATAAATACTCCAGCTCCGCAGGCCCCTGTTAAACTCTGAGATGTGGCTTACACTGCCTGTCTCCAGAGCAATCCTGCCAGGCTAAGCCACGGTTCCCATCCATTCTGCTTCACTTGATACTACACACTTGCTTCGTTTCTTTCCTCTCCCACTCCCACTTTTCCACTCTCCTCCTAACTTTTCACTTTCAAATGTATCCTCTGGGGCTGGTTCTGGGAAACCCAGTCTAAGACTCGTGGAGAGATTGAATCTATTCTCTTAGTTCCCTTCAAAACAGGACATTTTGTAGCACAAATCCATGTGTTAATGCTTCTACTTCTATCAGTACAGGCTTATCTGTAATAGTAACTATTTAATAGTTATCATTTCTGGTTGGAAGACCCCTTTATCATAATTGAAATGAGTGTCAACATTTGTAAAACAATATGAGGGTCTAATAAGTTTCTAAATTTGCACATGATTTTCTTTAAAAAATCTGTTTTCTAACTAACTGATAAAATGAAAAAAATCTTCACGTTCTCTAGAAATAAAATAATACAAAGCCAAAATTTAATACTATTTTTTGCTTCCAATTAGCAAAGATTTTGAAAATTATCTCATTCAGTCCTGGCAAGGGTGAGGTGAGATACACTCATTTGCTGGTGTTGGGAGTGTAAATTGGTACCACCCTCTGGAAAGGCAATTTGTCAAAATATGTCAAGAGTCTTACAGGTGTTCCAGCCCTTTGGCTCAGTTCATACACTTTCAGGAATCTATCCTAAGGAAAATAATTTGAATTTTGGATAAAGAGTTATGCGTAAAGGTGTTTATCATTCAGCATTGGAAGTAAGCAAATACTCAGAGTGCAATAATTGAATAGATAAAGGAATAGTTACATGATGAAAGAATTTTGTGTGGCTGTTAAAAGATATGAGGGGTGTTTAATGATATCATAAAGTATTTTTTTAGAAAACAAAGCAGTTTAATAAGTTGCACATACCGCCTAGAAACAGTAATTCCACTACACAAAAGTTTAGCCTTAGATAAAATGATAGGAAGGAAATTTAGTGAAATCCCAAATGAAACCATCTCAAATGCACAGAAAAATTGCAAGAACAGTGCAAGGATGTTTTGTGTAAACCATTGAAGAGTAACCTGTTAACATGATGCCCTATCACTCCTGAAGACTTTCCTGTATCCGTTGTACAAGGACCTTCTTCTATATAACAGAACACAACCATCAAAACTAGTCAACACACTAGTATTTATATCTGTCTGCTTTTGTGAGAATGCAGATTTTGGATAACTTCCTTCTTTCCTTCCCTCTTTTTTTCCTTTCTATAGTGTCAACACTTTCACAATAGGTATGTATTAGTTTTCTAATTTAAAAAACATATTTTTTGTTCTCATATGTGGAAGCTAAAAACATGGATCTCATGGAGTTAGAGAGTAGATAGGTGGTTACCAGAGCCTGGAAAGAGTAGGAGGGTGAGGGGAATGAAGAGATTGATTAATGAACTCAAAAATACAGAAGAAACAAGATCTAGTGTTCAATAGTTCAGTAGAGTGACTATAGTTAACAATAGTTTGTGGTCTATTTCAAAATAGCTAGAGAAGAATCCGAATGTTCCCAACATAAAGATAAATGTTTGAAGTGATGGACATCCCAGTTGCCCTGATTTGATCATTACACATTGCATGCATGTATTAAAACACCACATGTACCCCCCAAAATATGTACAACTATTATGTATCGATTTTTTTAAGAGCATACCTTTTGGTAAATATTGAAATACATACATATACATGACAAAAACATGCTTTAAATCATCACAAGCTTTCACCTTCTGAGTGTCTCCAGTATACACGTTATTGAACTTCGCTTGGTTTCCTATTTTTTTAGTCCCATAATACCACTTTTAGCATCTACTTTAAGAAGAAACTTTCTTGTAAAGAATTAATTGAAAGGCAGGTGATACTCTATATTCCACTCTAACGAAATATTGTGATGCAACTCTGGGTACGAAGCTCTTTTTGTATGTGAGTCTTACTTTTGCTCTTCCTTAATGATACATTTATATACAAAGAAAGTTTGTGGAAATTTAAAAAGTATGCCTCCATTCCTAGTGCCTGTCCTGTCACAAAAACTATAGGAGTTATTATGTAAGTCATGCAATACAGTGATAAGGGCTTCACAATCTTCTTATCTGCCAAGAAAGAGACAGCAGAGGTCAAGACAACCAGAAAATGCAAAGTTTGAGGAAAAAAAGTATTAAAACAATAATTATGGAAAAAATAATCTATGTAAAATGAAAATTGAAGTCCTATTTCCATTATGAGGTTTATTAAATTTTCTTATGGAGTATAAACATTGTAAGAAATTGTGTGGTTTGTTCCTGTTTAACAATTATTAATCATTAATTAAATTGTCTCTGTGTATAATGCAAAACAGGCTTTTCAGTGGTATAATTCCCAGACTTCTAATCCAAGTAAGTCTCCTGGCTCCATTCCCTTCTAAGCACCTCAGAAAAGAATAAAATAGTAAAATAAATTCCTTTTTTAAAAAGATCTCAATGAAAATTGCCATTCCTTCCAATTCAATATTCATTGGAAATAGGCACTGATTCTCTTGGTGGATGAAAACCATTCACTTTAAAAGCTTTGGACACATGAAACTAGATGTAATGTGTCATCAAGGACTGGGAGGCAAGAGGACAATAAGCAAGGAAATGGCTGTGAGCTGCACCTGGGCAGTGGGTCCCTGTGGGAGGAGGATGCTGGAAAGGCAGGATCAGGGCAAAGGAAGAGGCGAGCCCAGGAGAAGGAGCTGTAGTGGGTGGCCGGGAAGTCAGCAGCTGGCGTTTAAGCACAGCCAAGAGAGAAGGGGATACAAAGTACTAAAGAGGGACTTGAGAGATTGAGGGGGCCTAGGAAGAGAAGTGTGTTCAAAAGATCCTGGGAAGAAATCCAAGGGACTAGACATTAGGTTAACAAGGCCCCAGTGGCTGCTAAGAGCAAGGATTTGGCCTGGAACTGAGGGTTGGGCTTGGAACCCCATAGAAAAGAACAAATAATCCCAATAAAGGACAGTACTAATGTCTAACCCTATGGGGGTGGGGGATGGGGGTGGGAGAGACAGAGAGAGAGAAAGAGGAATTCTTTATGTGGTCAGCTCTACATTATATGGTTCTAATGTAAATCAGTCAGCCAGCAGTCTGGGTCCATGTGGTTTGTCTTTGGTGGCCAATATTTCTTTGACCCCCTTTGGTTTGAGGCATCTCTGAATAATAGGTGATGCACAATGAAAAGTAGAAGTGGTTGTTAAGTTTTCTGGAACTCTGAAGCCCAACATCACACAGAGAGTGAAGCGCTTTCTCAAGCAGCACCCTAGTAAGGTGCCCAGAACTTGTATAAATTATCGCTTTCAGCCTGTGGTATGTTAGCAGGCAGGAAGGGGCCTTGAGCAAACTGAGTTTGTGATCATGTTTAATCGGCTGCCTTTCCCAGGCCACTCAAGGGGACTTGTCTGTAAGCTGGAAACGATTTATTCCTGAAGGGAACATGAAGCCAAGACTTTGTTCTCCAGCTCATAATGAGAAAAGAAGAAAACTACCTAAGCCCTTGAGTAATTCCTGTTTGAGAGTGCCTTACTCACTCTCTTCCCACAGAGTTCTACACTCCAGAAGGAAGGAAATGATTTAGAGCCCTGAGCAGAGATAAACCCGCTTTCAGCTCTAACCTGGTTTGCTGTCAGCACTGTTTAGATGAGAACATACAGCTGGTCCTGTATCTCCTTGATCAGGTTCCTCAATAATCCCAGCAATCTACATAAGTCAAAGGGGAATTAAGCACATTTGCCCAAGGGCCAGGATGTTGGCAGGGATTCATTCAAGCCTTTGCAGCTAAGGTGTGACTCCCATCGAGTTATATGCTAATGCATAGCCATGGTGTGACAAATGGAGGGGGTAAAAAGATACAGGCCCTGAGAGACATGTGAATAGAGTGAGAAAACACAGATGTTGAGATTCTTCTATTTTTACCTGGCAGTCAGGTTGTTTGCTTTGGGACATGTTATCTGTTATCCAGTAGGGAAATGCCTAGAAGTTCTCCAAGAAGTTCAGTCTGTGGCTCCCCGGGATCATTATCTATCAAGGAGGCAAAGGGGAAGCGGATGTCTTGCAAAGACGGCACGCTCTGGGATTAACTTCTCATGGGAAGTCAGGAAAGGAAGAAGGTTGTGCTGACATTTCTCCGAATCTAGGCTTGGCTTCTTCCACAAATGTTAAGGAAAGATGGGTGAAGCAAACCAAGATTGCCATAGGTATCTTCCTCTTTCTCCCATTTTCCTCTCTATCCCATGTCACCCACGTCACCCAGGACTCTCATACTGGCTTGTCTGTCCTGAAACTCCTTATGTGTTGGTCCCTCATTTGAGCGTGTATTGAGCACTGTCTAAATTTGTGCTGATATAACAAAATACCTGAGACTGGGTCATTTATAAAGAACTAAAACTTATTTCCTCACAGTTCTGGAGGTTGGGAATTTTAAGATAAGGTGCTGGAAGGTTCAGTGTCTGGTGAAGGCCCTGTCTTCTGCTTCCAAGATGGTGCCTTCTTGGTGCATCTTTGGGAGGGGACTAACACTGTGTCCTCACATGGCGGGAGGCAGAAGGGCAGAAGGGATCAATGCCAGCTCCCTCCAGCCATTTTATAAGGTCATTAGTGCTACTCATGAGGGCTCTGCCCCCACAACTTGATCACCTCCTAAAGACCCCACTTCTTGATACTATTATATTGGTGATTAAGTTCCAACATATGAATTTTAGAGGACACATTCAGATCATAGCAAGCACCTAATATAATCCATGCATTTTGGCCAGTCACTAGAGATATGAAACTGAATGTGAAACAAGCCATGCTCTTTGGAAGCTCACAATTTTGAAGGGTGCTAGGCTATAAGTCTTAGAATAATGGTATAGACATGTTATGGGACCACAGAGTCTGCCTGTCAGAAAGCTAGAGTCTAGAGTTGGGGAGTGAAGAGTCTAAGTGTGTCATTTGAAAAGAAGACATTTCAGTCAAGAAAGGAGTGAATCTAGGGACCAGGCTTAGGACAGTGTGCAAGGCACTCTGGGAAGACAGGGCCAGCCAGGGAGGCTAAAGCTTGAGGAATATGGGGTTGGTACAAGGGGCAGAGAGTCACCAAGAGGGGAGTCTAACTGGGAGGTTTGTCTTTGAAGGTTATATTCTATAGACTGGACATAGAATAGATGGGAATTTGAAATAGGAAAGTGGCAGTAAAGATATAAGAGAGAGGGACTATTCAGAAAGATAGTTCAGACAGAATTCTCAGGACTGGTTGATCATAAAATATGAGTGTTGAGAGAAGTTGGAATGTAAGATACCTGTGAGGTTTCTGGCTTGGGCAGTGATTAGAGTGGCATGTCCATGGACTGAGACGGGTTTGGTGAAAATGCACACGGGAACTGATGAGTTCAATGGAGATCAGTTGATTGCAGGTGTCTAGGAGATGGGCAGATGAATTGGGTTCAAACTGGAAGAGAGGGCTAAGAGTGTACATACCAGTTGGAGACTTATGAGTACATTGCTGAGAGATACATGAAGGGAATAGAAAAGATCAGCTAGGAGGGCCTTTCAGCCTTACGTTAGGCAGTGTCTTATATTTTAAAATTACTTCTCTCCATCTCTTCTATGAATTAAAACTCAATCCTGCCCCGCCACACTCTTAAGAAGAAAGCAGATGCTATGTTGGAGCTAACTAAAGGAAAAATGACTGATTGCTAGGTTGGAGGATTAGTTTCCTGAAGAGTATTTGCTTTTGAAGTAAGGTCCAAAATCTCAAGGATGAGAGTGAAAAAGCTGCAAAAAGAATAATACAATGTACATACTACTTGAACACTACCACCATATAATTTTATAACACTCTTGGAAGGCAGGTGGAACTGATATTATTAGTTTTATTACATAGACAAGCAATCTAAGGCTTAGATTAATTTAATGACTTCTCTGAATTTACATATGACAGAGTTAGAATTGAACTGGTTTCTTAAATTCCAATCCAATGGGTTTAACTAGTTTCCCTTACACTAGTCTGCTTTCACAAACAATAAGTGGAAAGGTGAGTATTACTGATTGCTGTTGGGAGTTAAAAAGTGTCTTCCTTCCTTACTGTGGAGGGGGAAGAGGAAGGTCAGTGGAAGGTTTATGATGGCAAAAATGCCCAGGAAGTAACATTTTGGTAGTAAATCTCCAGATTTGCTTTGTTGTAGGATTTCAAAGATGAATGAATGCTTGTTTGCCCAAAGGTCTGCATCTCGACGGCTGGGCCGTGACAACTGTGGGGCTTCTCAGGTCACAACACCAAGGTGCCCACTCCCTCAAAGATTTGCCCTGTCTTTTAATTCTCAATTGAATTGTGATATATCTATGCATATTTCCAACCAAAATCACTCAAACTTCAAAGTTAAAATGAAAGGCTAGCACTTTTAGAGTTATGCATGTTGTAAATATTCCATGGTTTTCAGCCCCAGAGTAAGAAATATAATAGTTTTTCATTCTAATGCCCTATTATTTACCTGACCTGACTGGAAAAAGAGAAAGAGAAAGACCTTGACCTTTTGCCATTTTCTTAAAGCGTATTTTATAGTCTGCATAATAAGGCAGTGGCTGTTTCAGTGATATTTTGTCCTGAAATCGATGTTAGAGATCGCCTCACGAGTGATTTGTAATGGAATTTTTATTTGATTTGCATTTTTACATTTACAATGCAATTTTCTCTGACACGTTATTTTTCTTGTAAGTTGCACTAAAACACGATATAAATAAGTAGATTACATTGCTAAATAAAGGACAGGAAAAACATTAAAAAACTAGAATCAAATAATTAAACTTTTTTAAAGGACTGGGTCAATATATATATTTTATTATGTTTGGAAACTGAAAAAGTTAAACAGATATGAAATACTCATAATTTTGAAATGATTTTGCAAATTGGGAAGCTATAGTAATAGAATAAGTTATTTAAAAATGTGTATCAGTTTCACCATAACTTCACTGGCATTTATTCATTCAACAGATATTTATTAAGCACTTACTAAGTTTCTATCACTGATCTTGGTGCCCAGGATAAAGCATTCAATCACACAAAATAGTTTCTCCCTCATGGAACTTTTATAACCTGGTAGGGTAGAGTGAGTGTGTGTAAGTGTGTGTGTGTGTGTATGTGTGTGTGAGTGTGTGTGTGTGTACACACATATGTATGTGGAGATACTCATATATGGGCACATATACATATGTAAACATACACATTTACATCTATAGTTTACTAACTTACTAGTTTAATGGGGAGATTGCATCATTGCAGCTTCAGCTGACATTTGATTTCTAGTGAGCCTGGGCATTCTTTCATTATTTCTGTCAGTTCTACTTCTAGAAACATTTGCTGTTCATATCTGCTTCTTACTTTAGGCTTACTGATTTTCTTATCAGTTTGAATGATATATTTACATAATCATGCCACATTTACTGATAATGTTTTCCAGCCTTATATATTTATGTGAAACATCTGTCTATATGAATGTACACAAGTTATTATGTAATCAGTTTATCAATCTTTTCCTTTCTGATCTGTGTTCTCACTTCCAAACTTAGAAAGTCTCACCCAGCACCTCTTCATCCTCTCCTTCCACTAACCTGGGTCCAACAAAGGAACAGGAAGAGAAAAGATACAATTTTTTAAAACCCTATCTTTATGTAAACTAACTTACATGTATGTGCAATTTACCATATATTGTTTCATAGGTAAACATTGGATCGTAATTTTCTTGCTATCTTATAACCTGGGACTTTTATCTTTCTTAAAATAACAACATTTTCCCATGTTAATAGATACATATCTAGTTCTGTTTGCTAATTTTTGTACCCTCCAATTAACAAATATTTATATTTGTTTTTGAGGTTTTTTCACCATTATGACTATTGTTGAGATGGACATATTTGCTTACATATTTTTTCTCATATTCTTCCCTTAGGATATATTTCTATAAATACATATTTCTATAAATAGAATTTTGGAGTCAATTTTTTTTTTAAATACATATCGCCAAATAAAGTGGCATTATTAGAGGACAGCCAGGTTTCAGTTGGGGCTGGAAGTGAAAGGAATCTTCTGTGAGAACATTGGGAATGAGAGAGAAGAAAGGAAGGAAGAAAGGACGAGATGGAGGAAGGGAGGCAGGGAAGGAGGGAGCAAGGAAGGAAGCAAGGAAGGAAGAAAGAAAGGAGGAAGGAAAGAAGTGAGGGAGGGAGGGGAGGAAAAAAGGAGGGAAAGAGGGAGGAAGGAAGGAAGAAAAGAAAAAAGGAAGGAAGGAAAGAAGGAAAGAAGTGAGAGAGGGAAGAAGTGAAGGAGGGAGGGAAGGAAGAAAGGAGGGAAAGAAGAAGGGAGGAAAGAAGGAGGGAAGAAGGAAGGGAGGAACAGAGGAAGGGAGGGAGGAAGGAAAGAAACAAAGAAAGAAAAGTAAGAAAGAAAGGAAAAGAAAGAGAGAAAGAGAAAAAACAAAGGAAGAAGGAAAAGAAAGAAAAGTAAGGAAAGAAAGAAAGAGAGAAAGAGAAAAAAAGTAAGACGGAAAAGAAAGAAAGAAAGGAAGGAAGGAAGAAAGAAAGAGAAAAGAAAAGAAAAGAGCCAAAGTCACAGAGTGCCTAAGTTAGCTAGTATACTAATGGTGGGGAAAATGGGATGGAGGTGGGTTAAGGACAATAAGGGAATGATAATATGAAAGTTATTAGGTGGGGTGGGGAAGGGAATGAAGAATGAAAAGGAAGTGGCCACCGAGCTCATCTGTGAAGCAGGATGAAAACCTACCTCAGTGGTATCCAAGAAGAAAAGTCGAATTCAGGAAGCCAGGAAGGAGAAAAAACACTTTAAGAAACATAGAGTAATCAACTGTGGCAAACGAGATTGAGAGATTGTGTAATTCGAGTGCTGGAAATTGACCATTGGATTTAGCAAGATGTAAGTTGCCAGTGGTCTTGACAGAATCAATTTAGCATTGTGTTGGGACTGAAAGTCTGAAGAGGTAAGAGGAGGTAAGAACGAGTTGACAGTGAGTTAGACCAAATTTACTGGGGAGCTTTGCTTTAAAAGAGGGCATTTCTAATAATAGGGTGAGAGATGGAGAAAGACAAGATCTAGGCAACATTTTTAAGATAGGAGATTCTGGGATTTGAGAGAATCCAGTAAAAAACATTATCTTTATATATGACCAAATTCTGAATCTACTGAGAGATAGGAAACAGGCAGTCAAAGATCAAAATATTACTTTCATTACTGACAAAAGTGTTGGTAGGTGGATTTAAGTCTATTAGCTAAAATACAATTAATAATATTGTACCGAGAATTAAGCAGACTTATCTGCCCAGTTCCTGGCAGCTCTGAACAATTGTGGGCCTTCCTCATGGGGGTCTACCCTTTTAAAACATAATTTTAAGGAAAGAAATAGAATGTGGGCTTTCTCCAGGCAGGGGGAGCCCAAGGAGGAAAGTGAAAGGAAGAAAGATCTGAGCTCAACTCCTCCATTTACCAATCACAACATTTATTTTTCCTGCCCTGGGAGAATGAATGAGGAATTCTTCCCTAAAAACGGATATTCTACCATGTCTTCTCATTGATGGAAATGACCAAATAGAAAGGGAGAAACTGATGATGCAGGAGTGAAGGGGAGAATTTCAAGACCAGAGTCCTTGAGTAGTTTACAGGAGATGAGATCCAGTACCCAAGCATTTGATAGGAACTAGGAAAGATTATCCCACTTACCAGGAATGAAGGCAGAAGATAGGGGTACAGATATATTTAGACTGACAAATTTTGTGTTGAAAGATACATTTTCTCTTCTGATTGTTCTTATTCTTCAGTGAAATAGGAAGTGAGATCATCTGCTCTGAGTGAGAAGGGGAGAACAGGTTTGAAGAGACAGAAGGTGTGAAATAATCTTCCCAAAGAGTGGAAAAGCAAATTGCCTAGAGAGACAAAGAAAATTGGTTGGGCAGTGCTGAGGGTTTGTTTGAGTTTTGTGGTTTAAAATTTCAAGTGAGTCCATGCAGCATAATAGTAGATTTTTTTTTTCTGGCCATGCTCTGCTCAGATGCAAGGAGAGGGGATGTGGAGAGTTTTAATTAACCAAGTTTGTGCTCTTGCAAAATGAATCCTATGGAAAGAAAAGGGGAAAGGTTGTTTAGGTTGTATGCGAGGGACTGATGGACCATAGAATTTAGTCTAGTTTGAAAAGATGGAAATGAGAAGAGAGGTTTGATGTAAAGGAAAGAGATGAATGGGCAACAAACTGATGGTCTCTGTGGGTCAAAGGGCTTTTGCGGTTTGAGTACTGGAATAAATATGTTAGAAAATTAAGAGTGATTGTCAAAGATTGGAATGCCTGAAATTGATATTTGGAAAAGTTAAAGGTAATAATGAGGTTCAGAGTTTAATTATGAGAGTGAGTGGAGTGAATGGCTGAGGTCGATTGGTTGAAAACATCAAAGTAAAAAGATCTGAGAGGAAAGTTGTTGAATGGAAGATCTAGATAATTGTTGAAGTAATCAAGAATGATTACTGGATAGTCTGCAGGCTGAGGTGGGAGGACAGCTTGAGGCCAAAAGTTGGAAGTTGGAGTGAGCTATGATTGTACCATGACAGAGAGAGACCCTATGTCAAAAGAAAAGGAAAGAGAAAAGAGAGAGAGAGAGAGAAGGAAGGAAGGAAGGAGAAGAAAGAGAAAAGAAAGAAAGAAAGAAAGAAAGAAAGAAAGAAAGAAAGAAAGAAAGAAAGAAAGAAAGAAAGGAAGGAGAGGAAAGAGAGGAAAGAAAGGAAAGAAAGAGAGAGAGAGATTAAGGAATACTGACAGAGATATACCATTAACTGAGTGCTAAAATCTTCAATAAGTTGTATGACTGAAAGGCCAGAAAATGATTGCAAGATGGAATAGTAGAAGGTAGTTTAGTCTAATGACATATGCCTCAAAAGATTTTTGAAATAAAAAAGAAAAGAAAAGACCTAGAAAAACAATGATGAATAAGAAGGGCTCCAATCACCATCTCTTTAGTTTATGATGTGGGCATTGTGTGGGGAAAAGCAGATACCCCTAAGAGGGCTTCAAGGAAAGTAGTGTCCTCCTTTTAGGAGACAATTAGGTTTTAGATAAATCATAAAATAAAGGAATGAGTGTTCAAAGGAGAGACTGAGGATGCGAGAGATTATTCCAAAGAAAGGACAGGCTAGGCATGGTGGCTCATGCCTGTAATACCAGCACTTTGGGAGACCAAGGCGGGTGGATCACCTGAGGTCAGGAGTTCGAGACCAGCTTGGCCAACATGATGAAACCCTGTCTCTACTAAAAATACAAAAATTAGCCAGGTATGGTGGCTGGTGCCTGTAATCCCAGCTACTCGGGAGGCTGAGGCAGGAGAATAACTTGAACCTGGGAGGCGGAGGTTGCAGTGAGCCAAGATCGCACCATTGCACTCTAGCCTGGGTGACAAGAGCAAAACTCCATCTCAAAAACAAAAAAGAAAGAAAGAAAGAGAAAGAGAGAAAGGAAAGGAAGGAAAGGAAGGAAAGAAAGGAAAGAAGGGAAGAATGGAAGAAGGAAAGGAAGGAAGGAAGGGAGAAAGAAAGAGAGAGAGAGAGAAAAAGGTGGAAGGATTTAGATGATTAGAGAATATAGATCTTTATATATGGAGATATTTCCGCATGTTCTTTGATGATGTGGGTTCTCAAATTTGTGAAAGAGATATACTTTTGGTACTAAGGTATATGAGGCATGATGGCATTTATTCCTGATGATTTCTTAGAGAAAAGAGAGACATCTCTTTCATTTACAACCATTTTTGATTACAATAGAGGAGAAGTGGGCAGCGTCTAATAGTGAATGGTGATCTTACCACAGTCTTATAGAAATCTGGGAAGTTCCTCAAATTCAGCTGTGGGTAGTATTACAGTACATTGAGCTACCCAGTTTACTCATCTCTTTCCAGAATTTTCTTTGACATTCTGGTCCGTTTAGTCTATTGGATACAATGTAATACTACGTTGCAAGGTTTCCCAAAACACGTTGTTGATCTTGACTAATTCTTATGATTGATTTGGAGCATAGTAGAAAAATATTGGAATCTTCCTCTTAATTCCACTAAAAGGTAAATTCTCCCCCTCTTCTGAATTTCCCATAAGCCTTTACCTAAATCTCTCATATAACATTTTTATTGTAATTATTTTTATGAGTATCATATATCTATGACTTACACAACTTTCTATTACACTACAATGCCCAACACTGTACCTTACACGTAGAGGGTCTTTAATAAGTATATGTGGAATGAATGAATTTTAAAAGCAATGAACAAGATGGAAGTCAGACTGTATTCTCAAATTATTCTGCTTCTCACTATGTATGTGACCTTGAGCAAGATATTCAGCTTCTCTTATTTACATCTGTAGGGTGGGAATAATAACTATCCTGTTTATCTCACAGGCTGCTGAAGTTGTGAGAAGTGTGAGAGCTAGAGGCAACATTTGCAAATGCTTTGAACACTGATTGCAAATAAGCTAACTCAACACTCAAATACAAAAAAAAATTATCATCTATTACAAGACAATTTGATAACTTGGAGGAAGCCCTCCATTACATATACAACAATTATTTTTGGCTTAGACATATCTGGAAAGAAAATGTCTAGATAGGACTCATATGATAATTAGAGTCTCTCATTCTGCCATCCATAGAACAGAAGTACGGCTGAAGGCAGCAGCTATGAACTGACTAGCCTCGACTCCAAATTCAACAAAAATTTTCTATGGCTTCATATCATAACCAAAATCCCAGCATTTTTAATTTATTCCTTGGAACTAAACATTGTCTTTATTCTTTGAGTTCTAGTTCAAACAAAATAGAGGAATGGTACAAATCCCAGCTTTGTGATTAGCTGGGCCTATGACTTTCACAAAGCTTCCTAATTTGTACAATAGGTACAATATTATCATCTTCCCTTTAAAGTTATCATGAGGACAAAATAAGATAATGTAATGATACCTGTCTCATGCCAGTCCCTCAATAAATGTTAGAGATTCTTTATCACAAAGTCTCTAATAACAGCGAAGATGGTAGATGAAATGGAAAACAAAGTTATCACACAAAGAACCAAAAATTTGAAAGACAGCTTAGAAAGAGGTTAATAAAATAACCAAACCTATGGGAAAATCAGTCAAGAGAAAAATCAAGGAAGAACACACAGAAAATGCTAGAAATGAAAAAGCGCTCTAACTGCAGATATAGCATAGATTAAAATTTAATAAGGGAGTATAGTTAGTACTTAATGGCAGTAAAAAATTATGTTACCAAGTTTATAAGAATAGATATTAATACATTTCTAGAAAAAAATTATAAATTTCCAGGTTTATAAGTAACAAAGTTGGAATATTCCTATAACCATAATTAGGTAACCATAACTAGAGGAGCGAATATGTAAGATAAAGTAGCTTCACATTTTGGAGTTCTTTGCAGCAGTTAGAATGCCTAGATATGCATAAAAACACCTAAATATATGTGAAAAACAAGGCTGAGAAGAAAAGAATTAGAGAAATATATTATGCAATATCATTTAAAAAATTAAAATACATGCTGAAACATATGCTACAATAACACAAACCAAAAGATTCACATCAAACAAATTAGAATATTTGCCTGTGAAGAGAGAATGGGGAATGGGGAAAGGGAGGGAAAGAAGAAGAGAGGAAAAAGGAAAGGAGGAAGGAAAAAAGGAAGATAGAAAGCAAGGGAGGGAGGAAGAGAAAAAGGAGAGAGAAAGGGACAGAAGAAAGCAGGCAGCATGTTCAAAGATCCAAACAATCACTATTGTAAATACATTCATTCTCTCCAAATTGATTTGTAGATTTGAGAAAATTCTAATATAAATTCGTATTGGGTTCTTAGTGGAAGTTGACAAGTTGATTCTAAAATTCATGTAGAAGAACAAAAGGTTAGAGTAGTTGTTATAATCCTAAGGAAGAATAATAAGACAAAAAGACTAACAAAAATCATAACTTATTGCACAGCTTTAATAGTTAAGAGCATGATCTTGGCACAAGTGTAGCAAATAGATCCATGGAACATAATGTAGAACTCAGAATGGAACTCTGTATAATACAGAACCCCACATATATGGAAACCTGATATGTGACAGAGGTGGGAGAGGGGGGAACGTACACTGTGCAGTAAATAGTAATGTGGTGAGGCATTTGTTATGGACAGAATTGTGTCCCTCCAGAACTATGTTGAAGCTCTAACTCCTCATGTGACTGTATTTAAATAGAGATAGGAGCTATAAGAAGGTAATACAAGTTAAATGAAGTTATAAGGATGGAACTTTGATCTGACAAGACTGGTGCCCTTGTAAGAAGAGACAACAGAGATCTCTCTCTCTCTGTGAGCACAAAGAGAAGAGGCCATGTGGAGACACAGGGAGAAAGCAACAGTCTACAAGCCAGGAAGAGAGTTCTCACCAGAAACCAACTTGATGGCACCTTGCTCTTAGACTTCTAGCCTCCAGAATGGTGAGAAAATAAATTTTTGTTGATTACTCCATCCAAAATACCACGTTGTAATATTTTGTTATGGCAGCCAAAGCAGACTTATATATACGT
Organism: Homo sapiens; assembly: GCF_000001405.40. NCBI lineage: Eukaryota > Metazoa > Chordata > Mammalia > Primates > Hominidae > Homo > Homo sapiens. Next base: position 47,944,305 of record NC_000015.10, read on the forward strand.
GGTCATCCATTTGAAACAAAAAATTTTTCTTCCCATGCCACGCATAGAAACCAATTACAGATGTATTAAATGCTTAAGTATGAAAACAAAACTTGAAAACTTTTAGTAGATGAAGCAGAAAAATACTGTTATGATCTTGATGTCAGGTATGATTCCTTAAACATGATGAAAAAGGTAACCACGGCAGAAAATATATTTTGACTAAATAAAAATTTAAAACTTCTGTTTATCAAAGGGCATAATACAGAAAGTAAAAAGACATTTATCACATGGAAAAAAAACAAACAGAATATAGTTTTTTTAAGACTTGTATATCAAATAAAAGACAAAAAAAAATACCCCGAGGAAAAATAGCCAAAAGACATGAATGCAAAAGAGGAAATATAAACAACCAATAAACATATGAAAAGGTGCTCAGCCTCGTTAGTATTCAGAGAAGTACAAATTAAAATCCCAATGACGTACTCTTTCATACACATCAGATTGGCAAGCATTCTAAAGTCTGGCAACCCCAAATGTTGGCAAGGCTGTAGGACAGGCTGATCTTTCATATATTGCCAGTGGGGATGTACATTTATACAACTACTTTGGAAAACAATTTGGCACGAGGCAATAAAACTGATGGTGGACCTACCCCACGGCCCTGCTCTTTCACACATATTTTGTGCCCTAGAGAAAATTCTGCATATGTGCACAAGGAATCAGACAGGAGAATGATCACAGAAGCACTGGTCATATTGGTATGAAACCAGGAGGAGCACAATGCCCATACACAGTAGAATGGGTAATAAGCTGGGGTGCAGCTATAGCATAAAATGCTATACAGTGGTAGAAATGAGTACTACAGTCATGACTATTACCACAGATAAATCCCAAAGTCATATTGAGTGGAAAAAGCAAATAGCAATCACATAAAGTATTCTATTTATGTAATTTTAAAAACACATAGATGTAACAAAGCTATTTTAGGGAAACTTACACATGTAACAAAATGCAATAAAACAGGAGGGAATTATAAACATTAGGAGGAGAGGAACAGAATTCAACTGGGGTTGCCTCAAAGATGTAGGTAACCTATTGTGGTCCTTTTTGTCTGAAGCAGTATGCTACATATGAAGTGTTCACTTTATGTTAAATATTATACACAGATACATATACACACAAATGAGAATGTGTATATAAATATGTATATGTTCATTCATATTATACACATTATATTCCTTCTTTTGTATGTTTGTAGTATTTCATAGTAAAACTGAAAACAAAGGAAGAAAAACAGAGAGGTAAGCTTCTAGTCAGCATATAAACGGTCTCCAGGGTAAGCTATGAGAGGTGGTGCTGATTTCTTCTCCAAGCCTGAATTCACCCTAACTTGTGCTTTTACACAAAGATAATTCCAAAAAGGCTGTGGCTGGGGACACGAATGTTGATGCAGATCCACAAAGACACCCATGCATGCAAGCACACACACAGATTGCATTCATAACTGTCACCTTTCCTTCCTCTTTTCCAGAGACACAAATTAGACTAGCAATTTAGCAGGCCACTCTCATTAATGGAAGTGGAGGACCATGGGTATCAAAGATTAGCCTTGAAATGAACCATCTAGATTTCCTCCTTGGCCTGAAGGAGAAGGAAATGGATCAGGTCTGGGAGGGGAGACTTTGCAGAGCCCAGAAGTTTGTCATGCAGGAGGGAGCTGTCTGAAGAGGCTGGGAATGCTGGCCTACGGGGAAGGCATGTGTGGAGTTGACCTTCAGAGAGCAGTATCAGGCGTATCAAATGCACTCACCCTTCTGAGATTCCTTCTTCCCTTTGACATTGCTAAAAATGGAATCAGCTGCAAACGGTATGTGACTGTGTATGGTAATTTGCGTAAAGCTTGTCAAGTGTAACATTTAGCCAGAAACATGGTATGGTCTGGGATCGAAATATTATTTTTAAGATGAAGTGGAATAGCATTCTGGCAAGCCAGTGAAACCCCAGAAGACCAGCCAACCCTTTAAAAACTTTGCTTTCTCCCCAGACACCTCTCCAAGCCCTTGCAGAGGCTATGAAGGGCTTTCCAGTAGCTTGCCATGCTGGAGGTAAAAACACATCACTCACTCAGCTGTAGGCAGAGCCCCTGGGGACTACCTGTTACTAACAGGACCATGTCATTCCCCAAGCAGAGTCTGGTGAAATCCAGAAACTGAATGTCTTTTCAGAGTGATTACAGCTGGTGAAGTCACCGTGTTCTTTCTACAATTTTTTTTTCTTGTGAATTGAGACCACATGGCAATAGAACAAGTTACATTTAGGCCTTTTACTAAAAGGCAATTTTTGAGGTGATTTGTCTGCCTTTGGCTCAGAGTTAAGTTTACCTCCGTTAACAAGAACATTTAACTTTAGATGTCTTGAATTGAAGAAACTGGAAAACCCAGGAGTCCTGCCCATCAGCTGCAATACATTTATATTAATTCTAGAAACTGGAAAGCGTTTAAAGAAAGAAGAGCTCTTTGGGTTTTCTCTTAATCATTCGTGTGTATCACCGGATATAATAAAATCATACCACATAGTGTTTTATTTTGCTACAGTGAATGCTAACCTTTAGGAGTGTGCCATGACACGCCTGAGTAATGGAATTAGCTTGAGTTGAGTCTGGATTTAATGCAAACCTGAGAAATGGTTAGCATGGCCCGGATCTCAAGTTGGCATGAGTTACTTCCCCAACCTCTTTATCGCTTCCGCTGGTTGTATAGCACAAACATATTAGGGAATGTTTTAAAAATAAGGAAAAGGAGAAAGGAAAAATGAACAAGAGAATGAAGAAAGAGATAGAAGACAAAGATGAAATGAAGAAAGTAAGAAAAAGGGGAAAAAATAGATGTGAGACTAGTAGGGGAGGAGGGAACAGAGATAAAACATCAGCTTAGGCTGGGTGTGGTGGCTCACGCCTGTAATCCCAGCACTTTGGGAGGCCGAGTTGGGTGGATCACGAGGTCAGGATATCGAGACCATCCTGGCTAATATGGTGAAACCCCGTCTCTACTAAAAATACAAAAAATTAGCCGGGCGTGCTGGCGGGCGCCTGTAGTCCCAGCTACGCGGGAGGCTGAGGCAGGAGAATGGAGTGAACCCGGGAGGCGGAGCTTACAGTGAGCCGATATCGCGCCACTGCACTCCAGCCTGGGCGACAGACTCTGTCTCAAATAAAAATAAAATCAGCTTAGTCCCTGAATTGAGCATGTTTCTGCAAGCCTCAAGGAGGCTCCCAGGGACACTGCCTCCTCCCTTAAGTAGAAGCCTCAAGTCAAGGGTTTCAATGGAAGTTATTTTTGCTTTTTTCCCCCTAGAAGGAGCTCTATTAGATTAATGAGTAATTCGAGCAGGGGCCTGACTGTCCTAGCCTGATTAAGATCAAGATCCCAAAAAGCAAGGCGCAGGACATTCTATCCTGAACCCACATGCTCCTGCTTGACCCTTTGACCTGGTCAGCAATGTTCAGAATGACACAAAGTGGACTGCTCACGCCCGAAGTTTGCAGAAACAGAATTAATATCAAAAGTATATGATTCCCCCTCACCGACTTTTGGTTATTTGACTTAAAGGAATGCATACCTGCATACAGGCGCTCGCGTACACGCACACACACACACACACACACACACACGAGTACTTGAACTTAAGGCTTTTCAAGTAATTAAGCACAGGCTGCTTGTACATCATTGTGTCTTTCCACACACAATTAACATAAGAGTGTATTCAGGCCACTGGTGACATCCCCTTCATGATCTCTATCACAGGACCATCCCGCTGCATCATCACTTGCTAGTTGACTTCAGAGCCCCATCTTTTTCTCGTGTCAGTAGCCCTGAATGACAATGTCACTCTTTCTTATGGTTCTGAGGACACTCAGTTAGGGAGTCTGTTATTTATTCGCTGAACAAAAAGAAAAGCTAATTTCCCAAGCACACAGCAAAGGGGAGCTGGGCCATACCAGCTAAATCCTACTTTTGTATTTGATGAGCTTTATTGGGGATTTGCATACTCAGTAAGGAAAACTGACAGACATGTGCTCTGCACTGTGTTATTATTTCACATCCCATCACTGCTTCTCTTTTGTCCAGTTTGAAGCCCTGGAATATTCTCTTATTTTTTAAAGTTTTGTCATTTGTCATGGAGGTACAAGATTGGCAATGCCACCAAAATGAAGTGGTCAAAGATAAATGATATTCTTTACAAATGACATTGGAAAGAAGAAAAGGCATTCCTGGTTCTATGGCTAATGCTAATAATCTAGCATTTATTTAACATTAGATTATTTATGGTTAGATTATTGGAATAGTATTAGATTATTATTTAAACAAGATAACAAAGGGTTGCAATACATAGTTCTATGTATCTCATACTTACTTTGTACCAGTCATTGTTTATCTCTGTTAGTCTTCAATGCAAAACCAGGAGACAAGTATCATTACCTTCATTTTATAGATGTACAACCTGAAGCTTAAAGAAGGGAAGTGACTTGCTAGAGTCATCGGCTAGTAAGCAGAATAGCAGGGATTCAAACCCCGCTGATGGGCTCTCAAACGATGACCCTTATCTCTGCCTAGCCCATGTCCTGAATTAGACTATATGGATTCAAATTCTGGCTCAGCTATGTTTTATATATATATATATATATATATATATATAAAACTGATGTATGACTGTGAGCTGATCACTAAACCTCTCTGTACTCAGTTCCCTTATCATAAAATGCAAATAATGATAGGAACTGCCATCATAGAGTTATTGTGAGAATTAAATGGAATGTACAAGTTAAGTGCTCAGAACAGTGCACTTAACTGTGCTCATGATAAACCTCCATACATGTAGCTGTCATTTCCAGTGTTTGTAATTGATAGATATAACTGCCCTTTCTTGTATGGCACTTGTTTCCTTATCCTTGTTTAACAAATCTATGGTACACATGCCTTTTATTGAAAGCCCACTCAGATCTGTTTTGGAAGTAAAATGGGGATAAGTAACAAATGCTTGAATGAATTTCTGATTTTCCTCCATTGAAGGGCCTGATGCAGAAGTGCTTCTCCTTCCCCTTGCCCCTGGACCTGAGCCGGAGCTGTCTATCTACATGAGGACACCATCTGGCAACACTGAAATGTTGCCCTCACTGTATGCCATCACCAGGAAGACAAGCAATAGATGATGAGTGAAAATAAAATGTTTAGTTGGAAACTATTTGGGAATGGCTTTATGTCCACATATGGACACAGCCTGGCTGGAACTGGGGAGATCTTCCCTTTCTGGTGTCTTTTCAAGGTCTTGAGATGAGCTCTAACAAATATCTCAGGCCATCTGGCCTAGTTTTTCATAATTGTGACTCCTAAATGTAAACACGGTCCGAGAGAATATCGGGAACAAAAAAAAGGCTAATGAAATTCTTCTAATTTAACGGAGTTGTTCTGAGTCTCATTCAGTTACTTAAACATTTTTTTCTTTCCTTCTCGCAGTCATCAATCCTGGAAAATCTATTACGTACAAAGAGTTATGCTGGTGTGGAAAATTCATAGATGAGTATCTTAATAGTGATCATTTCTTTAATCTGTTTATTTAGCACCCCATGAGGAACAGGAAACCCTATTCAAAGTAGCTTAAGCAAAATAAGAAATTTACTAAAGCTCATAAATAAAACATGCAGGGGGTAGATCCTAGCCTCCAGCAGGGCTTGATCTGGGGCCTCAAGTGGTGTCATCAGGACCCACCTCTGTGCCTCACAGCTGTGCTTCCGCCTGGGATCGCTTTAGTCTCTGCAGACCTGTTTATCTATTCAGAGCTTCCAGTCTGTGTCAGGGAGGGCACTTCTCTTGGCCAGTTTCTCCAGTGAAGTCTCAGGACTTGGTCCACTTTGGTGCGTTTGGCCTGGCTAGAATGATATATCCCTCTCTGACTGGCTGGACCTGGAACATCTGTCCTCCCCTGGAGTCTGGAATAAGATTCACCTGAAGCTCATGGATTGCAAGATGGGGAAGGATGGTGCCCAGAGGAAAAGCAAATTACTGTAACTGGAAAAGGGGAAATGCACGATAAAACAATAGATGTCCATTATGGTTACATAGCAGAGAAAGCAGATCCCTAAATTCATTCTCCTCTGATTTTTAGTTGGACTCAAGGCCACATAGAATTACAGATTATATATTACACACCTTCCCTGGAAGCTCTACTTTCCCTCCAGGTACCGTCCTTAAAACACTGCAGGTCCTTGCCCTTTGCATCTCTCATGCTCATCCCTCCTCCTTTCCATCGCCTGGCCATATTCTGAACCACAGGCAGATGGCCACACCCTAGGGCCAGCTGGAAGGAACCAAGAAATGCCAAAGCCAGAATTCAAGCAGAGAATTGTTTGACTCTCTGTCCAATGCTCCTTCCACTGAGCTAGATCATTGCTCAGTATTGACTTTGTGGACTTTGAAGTGAGAAGCTCTTGTACTTTATAAAGTATGAGCAAGTAAACAAAATTTTCTTAGCCTCAGTTTCCACATCTATGAAGTGAATAATGATGTTGCAAAAATTAAATCAATCAATGTAAAGTGCCTAGCACACTTCCTGGCACATAAATTATAGCCCCATCCCCACTTCCCATCTTCTCCATTCTTTTCCTCTTCCTCCTTCTCCTCCAAGTTAGAATATGAGAAGTACCACAAGAAAAGCACTAAGCATTTTAAAGAAAGAAGTTAGTTCAAGCTGAGTCTTAAGAATAGATGTATTTCCATTTGTTGAGATAATCAGGCCTTATCTTCAGAAATTCTGGGGTAGGATAAGGAACCTGCATTTTAACAATCAGCTTTGTTGATTCTTCCTCAGGTGAACCACAGAACACATTTTGAGAAATACTTGATTAGGAGGTAATATTGGGAAAATAAATAGAAGGAAGGAAGGAGGGAGAGAAGGAATGAAAGAAGACGAAAAAATACAGCCTGAAGATTGATACTGTAAAGTCCTAAAAGTTAGGCTAGAAAATAGCCAGGGGAGTCATTTAACATTTTTCAAATAAGTTTTAACCTAACCTTTGATTTAGGAAAGATAACCTGGTAATTGTATGTTAGAACATTTGAAGGAAGGTAGCTAAATTAGGCATTTGCTGTATGTGCTGTTTTGAGCCTAGGTAACAGAAAGAACAAATAGAAATTGGAAACATTTTTTAAATGCTGTTTTGGGGGTGAATGATGAAGAGTTGGAACTTCAATGGGATCTATTTAAGATGCCATCAGGACATATAGTGGCCAGTGAAAAGGCTAATAATCTATAGTTGTTAAAGGATAAGTCAATAAAATACTATTATGTCATTCCTTAACTTTGGAAACTTTTTCCTTGTTAAATAATAACAACAATAGCAATAATAATTTCAGCAATAATCTGTGGCTATTTTTACTTAGCACATGCAACTATAGGTTGGTGCAAAAATAATTGGGGTTTTTGCCATTACTTTCAATGGCAAAAACCACAATTACTTTTACACTAACCTAATACATTGAAAGGATCCATGTTGTTGGCTCAAACTGTCATCACTATCAGTTAGTGAGTAACTGAGCTGCCTTTAAGGAGTTGAAGGGCAGAGAAAAGTGGAATGTATGTAACCCAATCCTTCCAGTGAAGCTGACCCACAGAGCGCATACAGTTGCCGTAGTTGAGGCCATATGTCCAAGTCTTGTAACTCAATAACTTTGTCAAGCTAATTGGCCACAGGTGGTCCACAAAGCTGAGCAAACAGCTGAGCCTGTTCACTATTTTTGAGGCTGTCTTAACAAGTTGCTTGAAATTGGGTGTTTATGATCTCTCCACTCCAGTGGTTCTCAACCAGGGGTGATTTTGCCCCTCAAAAAACATTTGGCAATGCCTGAAGACAGTTTTTATTTTCACAGCTAGGGGAGATATTGACAATGGCATCCAGAGGGTAGACGCCGGGGATGCTGCTCAACATCCCAGTATGCTCATGACAGCCTCCTACAACAAATAATTACTTGGCCCAAAATGTCAATGGAACCAAGGTTGAGAAACTATGCTCTATTAAAACGCAGATATGGGTTCTGGGTCTTCCCCTAATAATTTATTTTGTTTAGCAGAACACAATGGCTGTGTGATAATCAGGAACCAATGTAAAGACTTACCACAGTCCTGAACTTGGAAAAGGTATTCATGGGTCCTGAACTTGGCAATGGAAAAATATCTAACCTCATCTGTGTGTGTGTGTGTGTGTGTGTGTGTGTGTGTGTGTGTGTGTCTGTGTGTGTGTGTGAGAGAGAGAGAGAGAGAAAGAGAGAGAGAGAGAAGGAAAAGAAGGAGTCATTGTGAAAAATAATTTGCAAGCAGAGACAGCAATCCAAATCTGAACAAAGAAAATCGTTTAATGCTAAGCCCCTACAGCACATGCATAGCAATGCCAGGCTAGTGAATGAATGGGATGAATCTAACCCAATAACTTCCAATAAAATGTGCAGAAATTGTGTGCAAAAAGCAAAATCCCCCCAACAATAAACAACAAAAGACCAGTATGCAAATTCAGTCCTTCACAAAAATTCATCCTGTAATTTTCTACAGATTGGCAGTGATCATAGGAGTCGCATAACAAGAATATTGAAAGGGCAGGGAAGAAATGGCATTCCAGAAGCAATCAGAGTTGGCAGCACTTGGCCTCCACGATGGGCACTGGGAGTTTCCTGATGGGTTGTATATTATCTTCCCAGTGGGTGGTCCTGAAGTTGCCAAGAGGGGAGGACTCAGCAGGACACAAAAAATGATAATAGGAACGGTAGTCTGTAGCACAACTCTTGTTTTAGTCTTAACTCCAGGAAGTCTGTAGGTATGAAAGCTCTGGAGCTGCAGTATGCAAAGAGCAGAGGGTGAGCAAGTCTGGAGATAATGCGATTGGATTATGTAGGGAGAAAGTTGGCCTTTCCTACCGCATGGTTTCTTTACCACTAACCTTACCCCTTGATGCAGTGTCAGGAAAATGGCCCTAGCTTCTTTAAAGGTGGCTAGAATACTCCTGAGAAAAGATTATATAATGAATCAGCTCTGGAACCTGCCACCTTGGAAGTAGTGACTGCCACTGAGGAAAGAAATTAAGAAATTCAAATGGAAGTTGCCAGTAAACTTTCCTTTTCAAAAGGAAACATTGTCTTCTCCTAGGACATTTCTGCTCCTCTCACTCCTGTGATTTTGGAGTGCTTTCCTGCTTTACTGCTTTGGCATCGGTATTAGTTTCCGATGGCTACCATATCAAATTACTGCAAACTTAGCATCTTAAAATAAGTCAAATATCTTATCTTGCAATCCTGCAGGTCAGAAGTCCAGCATGGGTCTCACCGAGCTAAAAATCAAGGTGTTGGCAGGAATGCATTCCTTCTGGAGGTTCTAGAGGAGAATTTGTTTCCTTGCTTTTTCCAGGTTCTAGAGGCACCTGCATTCATTCCTTGGCTTATGCCTCCTTCCATTTTCAAAGCCAGCAATGGCCAGTTGAGTCTTTCTCACATGGCATCACTCCAACACTGACTCCTCTGCCTTCTTCTTCTATCTGTTAAGAACATTTGTGATTACATTGAGCCCACCCAGATATTCCAAGATAGTACTCCTATTTTAAGGTCAGCTGATTAGCAACCTTAATTCCATCTGCACACCTTAATCTTCCCTTGACATACAGCATCACATATACATAAATTCTGTGATTAGTATATAGACATCTTTGAAGAGGCCATGATACTTCCTACCACAGCTTCCCTGTTTGATCTCCCTTTTGCAATTTTGGGTTGGTTGCTCATTGAGGGTATACTTGGTACCAATAAGCTTCTATGAATAAATGTATGCTAAGTGAGTAAATTAATGACTGCACGAGGAAGTGAAGTGTTAATATTCCGCTTTCTGTCTTAACTTTATAAATTCTGAAAACAAAAGTAATTAGTAGAGCTTCTGAACTCTCACCCACACACTAATAAAAACCTTCAGAGACCATGTGTTCCACACTCTGGACAGCTTAGCCATGTTTCCAACTTCTGACTTCAGTGACTCGCCTCTTGGCATTCTCAGGATTTAGTAGTTTGAGACCAGAATGGGCAAGATCTGTTTCCCATCTTCCCCACATAATCAAGATGCTCAGTAATGCAAACCTTGTCCTCTCACAGCTCTACCCTTTATCCATTTGTTGTTTTAATCACTTTGATTCAGGATGTGTCTTTAAAAAAAAATCCCATGAATTTATTCCAACGAATTAACCTCTTTTCCCTTCACTTGAGAGTTTGGGTTTAGGAGCAGTGCATGAATAAGATCAGTCAGTCAGTGTAGAGTTTTTATTTACTAGACTCCTCTGGAAAGTATTGAACTCTTCTGGATTCAGATTTATTTTCCTATTAGGTTTTGTGAAGTTATAACAGCTATAAAAATAACTATGATGCTAAAATAGAACATATATGTGTAAAGCAAAAATATTTTATCCTTCCTCAATTAAAACAAATGATTTGCCCTTTCATGCTGGAGGCTATTAAAGACGTATTTAACTCTCTGTGTTCTGCAGGGGACTATTTAATCAATGGAGCTCTTGCTGTAAGCATGCCCTCCCATGCTGTGTCCCCTCCACCAGTCACTTGTGTTAAAAAATTCCTTCAATTAGATTACTGATTTACAGATGCTAATTTTTAATATTAGCCTAATCAAAATACATTTAGGATTTTAATCTCCTACCCTCCAAAACAACATTTATTCATTCCCACAATATTGTACTTATTTTTCTAATTCTATCATTCAACCCCTTTCCTCTGATATGATTGCTGTAAAACAGAGGGAATTATGTAAACATCTGGCTAACAGCTGTGACAGTCATTAATCTTAATAAGTTTCACACCCACATTCATTAAGGAACAGCATTTGGCCCAAAGTTACCCAACAATCAGTGACAGAGTTAATTGGAAGCTACATCTTCTCACAATGGAAATTGTGAGAAGTCTGACAAAAAGCTTTATCAGCACCAACCAACTCCCAGTAGTAGAACTGGCTGCGTGGATAGTAAACGTCACTATTGATTGAGCTTGGGCGCTTTCTGGAAATCAAGCCCTCTGAGATACTTGGAGTATATTTTCACGTAATTTTCTACTATCATAGGAGGTATGTATTATTGTCCCTTTTTTGTAGGTAAAGAAACAAGAATTTGGAGTTTTTGAGCAATTTGCCCAAAGTCACACTACTAAAAAGTGGCAGAGCTAGAAACTTACATTTTTACAGCTGACTTAAAAGTCAGATTATTAACTGATTTTTTTAATTCTTAAAGCTATGTTTACTCTTCTAAAATAAAAAGGGGAAAGTAAATAAAGATTATACTCGGAATTATTTTCATACTGGGAAGGGAAATATATTTACAAGATTAAAATTTTAAGCATTATTTTAAAAAGCCCTTTGGATAATCCTTTGCTTTGTATTTTCGAGTCTTTCTGCTGTTAAAATGGCGAGTTAGGATATGCCGTATGGGGTTTGCTCTATCTTCGGCTTTCACTTCCCAAGTCAATGCCCTTACTTCACAGTGTTCCTTGGTACTGATTAAACCTGCATTTTCATTATTGGGAAGGCAGGGGTTTCCCTACACATTGTTAATGGTCTCCATCTCTGACTGGTGGCATCAGTCAGTTCCATCTAGCCTTCTACTCTCTGGCCTGTCCCCCACACCCTTTCTGTGCTTCCTTCTCTCCCCTTGCTATCCTCTGCCCCATCTCCAGCCTCCTTTGCCACTCCATTCTTTCCTGCATTTCCATTTCATTTGTCTCCTCACATTCCACCTTTCATGGCCAAGTCCCAGCCAGCTGTTACCTTCTGCTGTCTCTCAATTCAGCACAGTTCCATTAAGGGCTGCTTGCATTTGCCACTTTTTCTTCCACACTTTCCAATTTTTCTTCTTCTTCTCTTTTTCTCACTTTTCTGTCACTCACAACTTTTTTTCTACCAAGCTCCAATAAGTAGTAGACAGGGGTAAGGGTTCAGACCTGTGTGTGTGTGTGTGTGTGTGTGTGTGTGTGTGTGTGTGTGTGTGTGGTGAGAATTGTGGTCCATGACTGCTTAAGCATTCACATGGCTTGTGGGTAATTCGGGGCCCTTTCCATCCCTCTGCTCTTCCTCCCTCAAGTCTACAGTATGTCTTTCAAAATAGGGTCCAGGTGTATTTTCTTTTTTTTTTTTAAACTTTTATTTTAGGCTCAGGGGTACATGTGCAGGTTTGTTATATAGGTAAACTGCATGTCACAGGGGTTTGGTGACAGATAATTTTATCATCCAGGTAATAAACATAGTACCCAATAGGTATTTTTCCGATCCTCTCCTTCCTCCCACTTTCCACCCTCAAGTAGGCCCCAATATCTTCTGTTACCCTTCTAATATCCATGTGTTCCTATTGTTTAGCTTCCACTTGTAAGAACATGCCATATTTGGTTTTCTGTTCTTGTGTTAGTTTGCTTAGGATAATGGCTTCCAGATCCATCCATGTTGCTTCACAGGACATGATCTCATTGTTTTTTATGGCTGCATAGTATTCCATGGTGTATATGCACCACATTTTCTTTATCCAGTCTACCACTGATGGGCATTTAGGGTGATGCCATATCTTTCTTATTGCGAATAGTGCTGCAATGAATATACATGTGCATGTGTCTTTATGATAGAACAATTTATATTCCTTTGGATTATACCCAATAATGGGGTTGCTAGGTTGGATGGTAACTCTGTTTTTTTAAGTTCTTTGAGGAATCACCCAACTGCTTTCTACAGTGGCTGAACTAATTTACATTCCCATCAGTGGTGTATAAGTGTTCCCTTTTCTCCACAACATTGCTAGCACCTATTATTTTTCAACTTTTAATAATAGCCATTCTGACTGGTGTGGGATGGTATTTCACTGTGGTTTTAATTTGCATTTCTCTAATGATTAGTGATGTTGAGCATTTTTTATATGCTTGTTGGCCACATATATGTCTTCTTTTGAAAAGTATCTCTTCATGTCCTTTGCCCACTTTTTAATGGGGTTGTTTGTTTATGCTTATAAATTTAAGTTCCTTACAGCATCTGGATATTAGACCTTTGTTGGATGCATAGTTTGCAGATATCTTCTCCCATTCTGTAGGTTGTCTGTTTACTCTGTTGATAGTTTCTTTTTTTGTTCAGAAGCTCTTCAGTTTAATTAGATCCCATTTGTCAATTTTTGTTTTTGTTGCAATTGCTTTTGTTGTCTTCATCATGAAATCTTTGCCAAGTTCTATGTCCAGAATGGTATTTCCTAGGTTATCTTTCAGGGTTTTTATAGTTTTAGGTTTTACATTTAAGCCTTTAATTCATCTTACACTGATTTTTGTATGTAGTGTAAGGTGGGGTGTCCAGTTTCAATCTTCTGCATATGACTAGCCAGTTATCCCAGCACCATTTATTGAATGAGGAATCTTTTCCCTATTGTTTGTTTTTGTCAGCTTTATTGAAGATCAGATGGTTGTAAGTGGTGTGACATTATTTCTGGGCTCTTTATTACGTTCTATTGGTCTATGTGTCTGTTTTTGTACCAGTACCATGCTCTTTTGGTTACTATAGCCCTGTAGTATATGTTGACATTGGGTAATATAATACCTCCAGCTTTGTTCTTTTTGTTTAGGATTGCCTCGACTATTCGGGGTCCCTTTTGGGTTCCATGTCAATTTTAAAATAGTTTTTTCTAATTCCACGAAAAATGTCATTGATATTTTGATAGGAATAGCACTGAATCTGTGAAATCTGTAAATTGCTTTGGGCAGTATGGCCATTTTAATGATATTGATTCATCCAATCCATGAGCATGGATTATTTTTCCAATTTTTGGTGTCATCTATGATTTTTTGAGCAGTGTTTTGTAATTCTTATTATAGAGATCTTTCACATCCCTGGTTAGCTGTATTCCTAAGTATTTTATATTTTTGGGGGGGCAATTGTGAATGGGATTGCATCCTGATTTGGCCATCAGCTTGGATGTTGTTTGTATAAGGAATGCTACTGATGTTTGTATGTTGACTTTGCTGAGGTTATTTATCTCTGATCTCACAGAGCCTTGGGGCTGACATTACAGGGTTTTCTAGATATAGAATCATGTTATTTGCAAACAGGAATAGTTTGACTTCCTCTCTTCCTGTTTGGATGTCCAGGATTATTTTCAACAACACTTAGCTTAACCCAGGATACTAACCTACTGTAATGTTCTCACAGACAATATCATCACTTACAATAAAAAAGATGTTAATACTGGCAAGAAACCTAAAGATAATATGGAGAGTAATTATTTACTGTAGGTTTTTCTTATTTGAGGAAAAAATTACCCTAACTCTAGGAAAACCTTTCCTTCGCAAACTTGAATAGCACCTGCCCATGACCTATTCAGGAACTGTGTTATCTCATAGAAAAAAATACATTTAAAAATTTTTTTCCATAGAAGTATAATGCTTCTAAATGAGGCACTCTATCCATTCATCTATCTAGCCAACAGGTATTTATTATGACCTTTTATGTACAAGACACAGTGCTAGGCATTATGGATAACGCAGGGAGTATAGACTACCCTACCTTTGCCCTAAAAGACTTAACAGAATAGAGTAGAGGAAAATAAATAAATACACAAAACAAAAACATATATTGCAACTTGAACATTCTGATGCAAACAAGATATTAAGAGAGATCCTCCCAGCATAGCATTTTCTAAACTGAATTCTCTGAACATGCAAGTGGCCATAGTCATTTTTTATTTTTCTATCACTTAGGGCCTCACCTCAACATGACATTTGGCAAGGCCTTGCCCATTTGGCTATGAACAGCAGTGCACAGGGACTGGGTACAAGGGAGTTTCAGTCTCTGCTCATTGTTCTGAGAGATGACTTTTCTGTTTCCATCCCAATCAGCTTCATTCTATTATCCAGGTGCCAGAAGCAGTGGCATCCTCTACTGAGAGCATAGATATGAGGAGGGCATTAAAGAGGAAAAATAAATGTTTCCTGGAAGGAACGCCCAAGTAAGCATGGCCAAGACTTCCACAGATGGAAAGGGAAAACACTACGCTCTCTTTGTGCTTGCACCATATTCAGTAACTAATTAGAGCTTCCTGCTCAGAGCTCTGAGCTGCCCTGGGCCCTTCCTTGCTCAGACTTATGACCATGCCAATCTTCCTAAAGCAGGAACCCCATCCTTCCCTTCCATCTATAAGATTTTTTTCTTCTACTGAAATGCAAGTACTCCGTGAGGATGACTCTTGTAGGTGGAAGGAAGCCATGGAATAAGACCCCAGAAACACATGCCCCTACTTCACCATTCTGCTCACAAGCAGCTCTGCTTGTGAAATCCACTAAGAAATCAGCAATCTAAGTATTTCCCTCAATATGACTCTAGATATTCCATTGTGTTGCTGGCCGGTCTTTTCTTCTTCACATTCACCCTTGGTCCAGAGCAATCTGTATGGCCAGCTATTACTTGAGAGTGACTCTGCTCCCATAAAGTGACTTCCTCCCTAGAGTAGATTGTGGTTTGAGAGAAAGAGAGAGAATAGTCATACCTGTTCCTTTTCTTCGGGGCCAAAATTATAGCTGTTATTTCTTCTAGGGGCAACAAGGACTAATACAAACCTCCCTCAGCACCTTACAAAACTGGCTCAAAAAAAAAAAAAAAAAAGTGAAGGGTGACTGAGCTCGACTGAGCCCTGCAGGGTGTTACCCAAGAGGTGAGCAGATGTCGTTTCAGAAAAGTCAAAAAGGCTCTAACAATGTAGGAAGAAGAAGCTTTTGTGACACTAAAATGGGGTTGAATAAGGCAGACTATAGCTAATGCACAAATCATTTGAAAAGCCTCTTTCTCTGGTGAATGACTCAGTCAGGGGATGTTTGAGCTTGTAAAAAATCACAGGAAGGAATCTACTGACTCCAAGTCCAAGGTGCAGGCCTGTATTCTCCCATGGGCCAAGCAAGACTTCTGGGGAAAGATAAGACACCCTTGTCCTCATACCTTCAGCTTCTCTGTTGTCAATTACCATTGCCACATAATAATTCTGAAAGCGAAAAACAGCTCTCTTGTCATTTCAGCTCAAGCATAGCTTCTTCAATGCATCCATCAGACTTCTCTACTCTGCACTGATCTTTCTTCTTCCTGAATCCCTTTAGCACTCATAATCTATTGTTCACTAATAAACAATTAAAAATGGCTTTATTGGTCATCTCAGATTCTTTTTGGAATGAGTCAGGGCATTATTTAATGTTCATATTGTCCTTCGTTCCACACATGATAATCTTCTTTCTCCACATTAGTAACTCTGTAAAGGCAGAACAAATATAATTATTTTAAACCAACAAGAATCTTATTTTCTGAATTAAAATTTGGCTCATATGGGTCTGCAAGCACAGGTCCATGCGAGAGAATAGTGGGGCAGAATATTCTACATTGGATCTGCCTCTGAACATCCACGTGATCACCACACTCTGTTTCCTGGGGTCATACTCCCACACTGGAGCCAGCACACTGCTGGAGTCTCCACTGCCTGTTGGGAAGATGAGAAGCATCTAGCAAATATCTTCCAGGAGCATTGGTTTTATTCCATGGTAAATAATCTACACATTATTTACACATGAAAACATATTTTCAAGAGCAAAATGGAAGCCTTATGTTATTTTCTAAGATAAAACTTGAATGAAATTTCTTGAAGTTTCTTGAATCTTGGAGTGGGACTTTCAGGCTTCACCAACAACCCCCACCCTTCCACAACCCCCTCCTCCCCAAGCCCATGCCAAGCTCTTCCTGGAGCGCAGGTCCAGGCTTTCCTGCTCTTAGTTACCCTGTGTTCACACTTAAGAAGCACTGCTCTTCCACTCCTACAGTAAGGCAGAGGAGAGTAAGTGCTTGATAAATATTTATTGACATATTGATTCATTGTTCCTTCAAAATTCAGAGCAGCAAAAGGAAGTTGAAATCAAATCTTCTTTTAGGTGTAGGTGGAAAGGTCAATCAATAGTGGCCTTTCTGGCACTGGAGAAACATCCTACCATCCTACTAGAGACGTGTTCTACTTTGTCACTGTAGGTAGGAAGACAGTAATGGCTCCCTCAATGAAATGGTGATAAGAACGAGAACATGGTTCAAGAGAAGAAAAGAAGAAATTGTAGAAGGATAGAACTGGCCAAATGGCAAGGCATCTATGACAGAAAAGAGCAACAACAGAGCAGAGCAGAGCTGAAAGAGACCAGTCTCAGAGAAGCAAACATGTTCAAGCAAAGAACCGGGCAAGTCTTGTTTTCCCTCCAAACCCAAACCTCCTAGAAACTAACAGTTGGTTTTTGATTTCTTTGGGCTTTGTTTTTGTTTTACTTTTGTGTCTCAGAAAGGACCAGAAAAATACAGGGGCTCAGGTGAAACCTTTATGTCAGCAGGAAAAACAAGACTCAGAGAAACCACCTTGGCAGTGCGCCCTCTAGCAGTTCCCAACCACAAAGCGAGCATCCATCCTGTCTTGTTTACAGAAGCCCCAGCCAAAAACAAAATTGCCTAACCATCTTTGCCAAGGGGAACTGGGGTTAACAGTTTTTCAAAAACCTCATAATTCGATAATTTGCAAGTTACCACGACTTCCTCCGTAAAACTGGGCCCCCATGACTAAGAGGTTTCGTTTCAGTTGCGGTATGAAGAGAAACTTGTTGCTGGGCACCATTTGTGCAGCATAAGCCCTGGGATCCCTACAGAGTCTCTCAGTAGGATTCAAATGTCTCAGGAGAGGGGTGGAGCTCATCTGGGTTTCCACATTGGCAGCCAAGGATGCCCAGTGGAGCCATCTTCTCAGATCAGGCATCCTGGTTGTGTTAGTACTTCTAACCACTATGCAATTCACCCAGGCTATCAACTTGCCTGGCAGAAATAGGTCCTTCAAGGAAAATACTAGAATTCCTCTAGGCTGCCAGCCTCCGTTTCAGAGACAGGTGGCAGAGGCTGTGAAGGGTGGCCCAAGAAGCACAAGGGTGAGACAAAGATGAGCAGAGTGAGGCAGCAGCCATCCCCATGTGTGCTCTCCTTGTACACCCCAGGAAGGATCTTAGGGATCATCCAGTCCCTGATTCTCATTAGACAGAAGTGAAAGCTGAGTCTCAAAGAGGTGAATGGTTGACTTAAGCTAGACAGCAAGCTACTTGTGGGGAATAGGGGTAGAAATTAATATTGCTTTTGCTTTTGGAGAATAGTCTCAATATGTCAGTCACTTTTCTAGATGTAATTAATAATATATATTTTTAAAACTTCAAAAACCTATAGGGTAGGTAACATCTCTATTTTTATAGCTTTGTTTTATAAAGAAGGATATATTGTCTGAGAAGTGAGTTCAATCTGGAGCCACATCTGTCTACAAAGCCCATGCTTTTTCCTCACCGTACCTGATGTTCATTCCCAGCTCAGCAGGATTCATGAGACCTTCCCCATAAACTAACCCAAAGGGCAAAAGACTGGGTTGCCATGCCCTGTGGCCATGTTGAGGGTGGTGAGAGGGAGAGTGGCTATTCTTAGGGCTGTAAGTTGTACCTAAGAATATATTTGTGCATAGGAATAATTTTATAAATTAATGTTTATGTTTACCATGCAATGACTAGAACCATCATGGGTTAAATAACATTTTTTGACCCTGTAGGAACTCAAAGACATGCTCTGAGTTCCCAGTAACTGATTATCTTTAATGTGCCTACTGGTGATATCATTAAAATGTAGATTTAAATTCAGTGAGGTCAGAGATTCTTCAATTCTGTAAGCTCCCAGCTAATGCTGATGCTGCCAGTCCATGGACCACAATTTGGGCCACATCCAATTCACAAATAGAGACTCACTCTAAATCAAAAGTTGCTAATTAGGCTGGAGTACCCTATTTCTTTTTTTAATATTGCTGACCCCTAAGCAAGTTCTACTTATCTGTCTGAAAATTGTTGCTGTTTCCAGTGCAACAAGTCACTGCCTACAACTAATATTCCACCTTCTCTAGGACATATCTAGGCTCTGCAAAAAGATGATCTTCCAAAGCTCCACAAAGAAATGCCATTTGTGAATGCTCAGGCACACCTGTGCCTGCTGGCAGCAAGCCATTGACTTTTTCCAACAAGCAAACCAAAGCTTAACAAATTCCACTGTGGAAAGGTGAGCAGTGTGCCCCCTGCGGGCAGCTTCCCACTTCCCCTCCCATAAAATGAGGGCCTTTCAGCCCCACCTTCTTAATGAAGTGTTCAGCGAACACTCCACCGCATCCACCTCCCTTCCAACTTGTACCTCCCACAAACATTTGCCCTGTAAGTTCCTCTAACCAAGTCATCTTTTTTGTTTCCACGTTTTGTCTCTCTAGCCAAATCTTAAGTTCCTTGAGAGCAGAGACTCTGTCTAATCTCTCATTGCATCTTCCCACAAAGCCCAACCCAGTCAGTGTTGTGTTCAAATTATAGGCTAAAGAAACATGTCTCCATTCCCGGAAAGTTTTATTTTCCTGTTGTGTAAGAATGCAACTTCCATTGGGCTTCCGAAGAGTGTCTGTGAAGATCACACAGGAAGGACTCTACAATTATTATGAGTCGATAATTAACTTCTTACCAATGGTAGTGATGGGATTGTATAAATTCACGCCAGAATTCACATCAATGGTATACAAGGATTATATGAGATAATGCATGTGAAAGCACTTGGTAAAGTACAAAGCCCTCTGTAAATGTAAGGTATTATCCTGTTGTTATTATTACTTAGGGCGTATGTTTCTAGCAGAAGTGAACAAACACAAGATCACCAAAAAATGACAGACAGCCTTTGTCTACACCTCAAACCCACTCCGCATGAAAAGGGATTCTTTTTCATTCATTCATCCTTGAATTATAAGTCAGTAAACCAAGATTCGCTCCTGAGCCAGGAAATTGAGGTAAGAGAAAAATATTGGGATGGATCTGCAAACCTAATGCTAGTATCACATGGCAACTCCCATTTCCTGAAGCTCAGGGGGAGCCAGGTACAATTTAATATGATCAAGGGAGCTATTTCATGGGCTGAAGGAGACAGTGAGAATGACTGTCATTCACAGCAGGACAACATAATAGCATCCATGTGTTTGTCTGAATAGACACAGGCACTCCGTATGCACAGCACTTTCACCTTATTGAATAAGGCAGGCTCCCACTTGCTTGCCTCCTGCCTGCCCAGACATTCCTCCACTCCCTGCCCCGACTTTCCTTCTCACCACAGTTTCTTTATCATCCATGTCTTGGAGTGATTCTGGGCCATATATCCTGTGCACTCTTCTCCTAGAACCTCAGCAGCATCTCCCAGCTCCTCTCCCTTTGAAGATTCATATCCCATATACTTCCACATGTTACCTTAAACTCTGGTGTGTGTGTCTGTGTCAAACTTTCCCCTTTTATGAGAACATCAGTCCTATCAGGTAAGGGGCCTACCCTAATTCAGTATGATTTCATCCTAACAGCTAATCACACACTATTTCCAAATAAGGGTACACTCTGAGGTATTAGGGGTTAATATTTTAACATATAGATTTGGGTGGGGGAGGGGGCAATTTAACCCATAACACTTGGTCTTGGTTACTTGGGAATCTCCAACCCCCAGCCCCGCATCAGCCAGCTCATGTAGCACATGTGGATCACACAACAACTCTGACTGTAGTCAAGAATGTCCATCAATGAAGCTCTGCTCATACAACTCTCACCATCTCATTTTATTTTCCATGATGTTTCACTGACCTTTCCAGATTGGTTCCCAGACAATTGGCAAATATACTTTATCATGCTTCACCTGGGAGTCTCCTAGACTTTCTCCCACTCACTCCTACCATTCTTTGATTTTCTCTCCTAAATAGTCCTCAAATTAGTCTCTGCTACCAGTGCCTTAACTCAGGCTCTCATCACATCTGACTTTGATGAGAACAATAGTCTAATTTTTCTCCTTCCTTCTAGTCACCCCCGCCCCCACTTCCATCATCTCTAGTCTCCCTGCACCCTAGGACCTCAGCAGCAACACCCAGCTTTTATCCCTTTGAAGATTCATATCCCAAATAGACTTCCGTGAGTCACCATAAACTCAGTGTGCCCTAAGCAGACACCAGAAGTACTTTCTACAGTCACACCTGACAAGCCACTCTCACATTTTAAAGCCTCTGGCGGCTCCCCACAGAGCAGATGCCATGCAGATGCCTTTGCTTCTGCACTCAGGGCCCCGTGTAACGGAACTCCTGCCTGCCTCCCTAGCCTCACATTGTTGTCTCCTGTTTCAGCCTTTGCAGGTGCTATTCTCTCCACCCTGGGTTCCCTTCTCCTCATTGCTTTCAACCTATATTCCTCCTTATCCTTCAAAACTCAGCTCAAGGGTGACTTCTTCTGGGAAGCTTTCCCTCCACCTGCAGACTGATTTATTCTGCTCCCAAAGAACTTCACGCTATACTTACTGCAAATCAGTGGATACCTTATCTGTCTCTTCCCACTTGGTTAGAGGACATGAAGATCATGAGCCACCAAAAACTGTCCCCACAAATGCACTTTGGGCTGGGCGTGGTTGCTCAGGCCTGTAATTCCAGCACTTTGGGAGGCCGAGGCAGGCGGATCATTTGAAGTCAGGAGTTTGAGACCAGTCTGGCCAACATAGTGAAACCCCATCTCTACTAAAAATGCAAAAATTAGCCAGGCATGGTGGTGCACGCCTGTAGTCCCGGCTACTCAGGAGGGTGAGACAGGAGAATCACTTGAACCAAGGAGGCAGAGGTTGCAGTGAGCCGAGATCAAGCCACTGTACACTCCAGCCTGGGCAACAGAGTGAGACTGCGTCTCAAAAAAAAAGCACTTTGTACCCCATTTTCCCTCATTATTAGATGTGTATCCTGAGCAAGTTGTTTAACCTTTTTAAGTCAAGAGTTTCTCCTCTGCAATATGTAGCTAATGAAAGTGCCCACTCATGAAGTTGTTATTAGTCTTAAATTAGATAATTAATACTGAAAGCTTAGCACAGTGCATGGCAAGTGGCATAGAATAGCCAAAACGGCTGCTGTTGTTACTGTGTGGTTACTGTGCTTGTTCTTGTCGCTATTGATTTCACAAGCACCATAGCCCCAGGAAGCAGAATGTGGGCTCTAGATTTGTATTGCTTGAAGAGTGAATTCTGGTTCCAAATGTTTATTAACCGTGTGTTCCCATGCCTGAGTCTCACTTTCTTCATGTATATGCAGATAATAATGACAACTACTTCGTAGATATTTGAGGATAAAATAAGCTACTTTTGAAGCACTTGGAACAGAACCTGGCATCTAGTATGTGCTTAGTAAATACTGGCCTCTAATATAACAGGCTGTCATAGAGTCCCAACAGGCTTCATTCACAACTGCAGGAAAGATTGAAAGTCAGTGCCCTAGTCTGTGAACTCCTTGACGGAGAGATCATGCACGAATCTTCGTAATTCAACCACACAGTATGCAGAAGGTGCTCAAAATTTTTTGAGAATGAATGAATGAATTGTGAATTGAGTTAACAAATACCAAGTTAAATAATGTCACTTTTTAAGAGGTCACAAATGGAGCAAACTCATTTCTTGAGAACATGGCTGGGAATAAGGAAATGGGACAAATAGATGTTCTGAAAATGGCACATAAAAGCTCACATACTTTATTCAGAGGAATCATAAAATGTGCAAGCTGGACTGGACCTTGGTGATGATCTATTACAGCTCCGTCATTTTGTAGATGAGAAAAATGAGCCAGCCCTCAGAACTGATTTCCTCTCCCTTTATACATCATTCTCAGAAGCTTTGTTATCTGGTTTCCTGGCCAAAGCACAATGAAAGGAGCAAATTTGGAGAGGAAAGGGAGAGAATTAGACCTATGTATACCTATGATAATTATCAAGAAATGAAATTCGGGCTTACGACAGGAAAGCTACATAAAAAGCAGACATAAAAACTGCAAAATCACCGGGGCCTGCAACATTGGCACGGCTGCAAAGGTGCTCACTCCTCAACAGACCCTCAGCACCTGGCTGCGAGACAGCCCCAACCATGGAAAAGATTGCATGATGCTTTATAAAAGCAAGATTTTCAAGAAATTTAACTTTCTTTCATTCCCAATCATTTCTATTGGGGGCTCCTATCTCATCGAGTTGATTAGGAATTCAAATCTCAAGCTTTTATAGTATCCTCCCACCCATTCTAAGGTTCCATCAGAGATTCCAAGAAAGGGTCAATAATGTCAAAACATTGGGGTAAGTGGAGAGCAGGTCACCAGGTCCTGGGCCATGTGCACACCCAGGTTAGTAGTGAGCTCTCTGTGGCTGGCCAGCTCCCCAACACCAGCTGTGGCTCGCTGCTGCTCTGACCTGGTCTTAGAGGGTAAAGATCTTTCTTTACAGTCAGGCTGGGTGCACACTCAATGCCTGTTTCCTTTCCAGCCTCATGATGTCTTTTTGTCCTCGTCCTCTACCTCTGTCCTCGGCTCCCCTGCTTTCGCTCCCTACCTCCTCTTCACTCCCTCCTATCTCCTCTCTCTGCCCAACAGTGCCACTATTTGTAATCTGGGGGATTACCCTTCTTTTTTCATGGCTCTGTATCCCCAAATCCTCTTTCGTTTGCCTACTCTGTGAGTTCTCTGTGTTGTTCTAAAGGCCTCGGTTTGAGGAATACAAAAGCCAGACAGACGTATAGGCTACTTCGGCCTTCCACCCTGACACCTTCTTACTCTGAGACAATGAACCAAAGAAGGCTGACCCTGCTTGGAATGGGGAAAGGAAGAAAGAGAAATGCAGGGAAGAAAAAACTTTGGGAAAGGAAAAATGGATGCACAAAAAATCAAAAAAGGAGTTATTTCAAATGTTATCAAAATGTTATCCCACCACATATGTAACACTAATGCACAGTCTAGTATTCAACAGAGTTTGTGTTCAGTTATCCAGAAAATGCATATCTGTGCAATAGTTTATTCTCATGCATCCTAAGTAAATAAGTACTTATTTATATACTGTAATATGCATGTTACTCTATGCCTATAAGAGCACTGAGCATCAAGTTCCAAACGTGTTGCATGGAACACTCAGTACTCTCAATTTTGACTCAGGAAGAAAAGTCTTCTGTAATCAAAGCAATTTTTAAAACACCATTCTTCTTGGAGATTTAGAAAGTATCTTATAATGTTAAGGAGTCTGAGAAGTCTAAACTTGGTCCTGCCCTATTTGACTGCAGGAACTTGATTGGATTAACATCCCTTGGAACTGATGTTATAAGGAACACACATTAGAAAGATCTGTCTGATTTTCATGCTGATGACCAACTCAAGGTGAAGAAAGGAAAGAAGTTTTCTGTGGTGTGTATTGAAAACAGAGATGCAGATTATGTGAGTCACCACTTCCCAGGGGGCAACAAGCAATAACCCCTGGAACAGGGAGCCCTTATTTTCAACCTCAGCCTGAAGGGTTTTGTAGCCCAAGGCTCTACCTGCCAAAGCTGTCAGGTCCACTTTCTAGTGAGTAGCACAGGGGATGCTGAGGCTCATGTTGCAGAGCCGCAGAGAGTGAGGCCAGAGCACAGGCCCTTGCTTGGAAGTCACCCTCTCTCCAGCCAAGATGATAGCTATTTGGATCTTCCAAAGTCATTACAGCCCATACCTGTTTGGATGCACAAGAAATCAGGAAAAAGAGTTATGTCAGATGTTGGTGTCTCTGGCATTATGTTCAAACAGAAAAAACAGTTATGTGGATTACCTCATCTTCCCTTTGTGCAGGTAGGAAAATGCTCAAACTCAAAAAGAAATGGCAGAATTGTTCTCCGAAAAGTTGAAAGGCAACAAAAACTTATGTAATAATAGGTCAAGAAAGGTGCTAAAATGTTCCAGCAGCTAAAACAGTAAGCTCATCATAAAGTTACAGGCACCAGTTCAGAGCCTCCTGACACATACTCTATATACTTGTAATTTCAGTTCAAGAACGATTATATGGATAGCTCATATGTGTTAATATTTTCCTAGGCACTTTAAGGATCATAAAATACAAAATTCAAACTTTTTACTTTGCCATCTAAGGCTCTTCATGATATAGCCACGGTCTAAGGAACTTGGAACCATATCTTGAGTCTTCCTTTTTTATACCCTATGTTCCAGGTTTAGAAGTATTTCTGCAGTTCCTTAATCTCATTGTATTTTGTTTTGTTTTTCACCATTCCATGTTACGGTGTTTCTGCCAAGGATTCCCTTTTTCTCCTGCCCACACTTCAGTCCATTGAGCAAATTTCTATTTCTCCTCCAAAATGCAAATCAAATATTAGCTCCGTTGTGAAGACTTTGTAGAGTGGCTTCTGTTCCCCAGAGATTTGGTTTGTTTGTCTTCTTGGTTCTCATTTATGTTATAAATATATCTATGGTAGAAAGCATAGTAGAATTTAAAAAGTAAATGAGGTTGGGCTCCTGCTCTCACACTTGGCTGTATAATATCAGGTGAGTTGCCTAACCTTTTTCTATACATTAACTGCCTCATCTTTAAATTGTGAATAATTCCCCCTTCACGTGAAGTTTAAGTGATGTAAGAATAGGTTTTGCACTGTGTCTATTACATATGAACATTCAACCAAATCTTTGGTTATTACATCGTAATTAGTGGTTTTCCACTCTTTGTGCAAGTCTCAATTTGAAGTGCTGCCATATTTGTTTATATTCTTAATTCTTAGCATAGTGTTTGACACACAGTAGGCACTCAGTAAACAGCTTCAATATAACCATTAATTAGCTAATTAATTGACGGAGAGATGAATGGGTTATGTTTCTAAGGGGGCATAATCTCTAGGAAACAAGGCAAGAATAAGGTAATAAACACACTGGGACAATGGGCTCTGAAGGTCAACAAGAGTTCAGAGCCATGAAATGCAAGACAGGCCATGGAGCTCAAAGAAGGCACCTGGGGGAGGTCCAAATGAGCACCTGTAGAAAGGACAGAATTGAGGACATAATTTAGTAGAAAGAATCAGGTAAAGCATTCTAAGCTCATTATACATGAAGGCCCAGAGCTGTTTCAGGATGAGGGAGGCCGATGCATAGTTGAAGTCTTTGGAAGAAAAGATCCACTGGGGAGGGGGATCTGAAGATCCTGGTGATGAGCCGTGAAAGGATGAGAGTGCAGCCTGAGTCCTCAGAGACAGTCAGGGTTGAGGACACAGTGGGAAGCCTGCCCAGTCGGACAGGAAAGCACCACTTTCTCAGACTAAAGTGTGGAAGAAAGAATGGCTTTGGAGGCCAAAAATACATAACATAGAAGGAGAAGGTGGGTAAGAAAGCTCATGTGTTAGATGGACTTGATCTTCTTAGTGACATAGGAAGCAAAATTGTCTTCTGAGCTAGTGGGGATGGGAATATAAAGAAGTGATCCAGTAGACTGGTCAAGAACACATACCCTACCCCCCAGTGTCGAATCCCAGCACCATCACTGACCCGCTGGGTGGCCCCAGGAAAGTTCCTTTAACACCTCGTGACTTCGTTTCCTCATCTGTAAATGGGAAAGATCATAATACTATTTATCTTTTAGGGTCACTGGGATGATTTAATGACTTAATAATTGTTGAGCACACATGGAATAGCCTGGAATACATTAAGTACTATAGTAGTATTTGCTATTGTTGTTGTTATTATCAAAGGAGCCTTACAGATGTTAGGACATGATTGGACTAGCCATTATGAAAAGTGCCCTGGGAAATCAATAGGAAATCATTACTGGAAAACACATGAATATACAGTGGACATGGCCAGTGTGATCCTGTGTTTATCTTCAGCAAGCAGGGAACAGAGGCAGAGAGCAGAAAAAGTAGGAATTTCTTCCTGGGGGGATTGGGACAAAGCAGTGTAGACAGAATGCAAAATTAGAAGACAGGATTCTAGAGTAGTGATGAGGACATTAAATAGCAAATGTGAAGTTCCAGCCAGGCAAGGAGTCAAATGAAGCTAAGTGTGGACTAATGGACTGATTATGGGCCCATGGAGTGATTCTTATCCATTTATTAAGGATAAAGTTAATGGATTTTATGCTGTAGTATAGGCAGTCTCTACTGGAAGTGTCTATTAAAGTTGGCAGTGAGAACCAAAAAGTTATTTGGCGAGGAATAGGTGTGAGATATTCTTCTGAGCAAAGGGGTGGCTCTGGAGATAGATGGTATAATTATTCTAGACTTCCTTCCCATCCATGCTTTGTCTCTCCTTCTCATCCTCACTCTGGATACACAGACAAAGCCTCAAAGCAAGACAAGACCATTATTCAGAGGAATGGAAGAACTGCTGATGCTGAGGGACAAGTTCCATCCCTGATACAGTAGAGAAAAACCTAGTCAGGAAGGCTCTGTTGGGAGAGAGGGGACATGAAGTGCAAGATCTTGCCAGGTCACCGAAGTAGGGCAGGGCAGGGAACAGTGAGTCAGTATTGGTAGACAAGCCAGCAACATGATGGCTAGCATGAAGGATGGGAGGAGGGGCTAGGCAGAGTAGGCACCGGTGTCATTGGGATCTAAGTGGAAAAAAAAGACACCTCTTGTGATCTGGGGCAGATTATATTAACAGACAGTGAACTAGAGGAGGAAAGAACAAGGTGACTCACTCAGTGAGACAGATGTGGACTGGAGACAAAGGAGCAGAAAATAGACAACATGTTCGCTACTAAACAGTATTTCACAAAGTCGAGCAGGGAATCTTAATTTCCCTAAGATTGTTTAATGCATTTCCCTCAGCAAAATTTACCCTTCTTCCTCCTCTGTCTCTTGTCTGGGCATACAAAGATCCCTAGCCTCTGACCTCACTCATCACACATCTCCAAAACTCAATAAATCCCCACTAAATATTTGTTGACTGACTATTGTGTCCTCCAGACAACACCTGAACCAGTACCTCCCAGAAAAGATCTAAGGCAACCAGAAAGATAAAGGAATAATGCATGTGAGAATCCATCGAAAAGTACAAAAACCCATTCATATTCAAGGGATTATTATCATTTTCCCAGGGTTTTCTTCTCCATTAGGAGTCCCATTTGAAAAGGAAGTTCATGGACTAATTCATACCAATGTGTTAATGGTTCACCATATATTAGGCTATTAACCCACCTGAGTCGCTGGATTAACCTTTTTCCTCATTTTAGGAAAATGCAAAATATATTGAGGAAAAATGTTTAAATAAAAATAAAAATCACTCTCATTTTTATAATTCTGAAATAACTACAGCAACATTTTGGTGACATACTTATTTCAGTCCTCCTGCTAGATCCCAACATACATATTTGCAACATATTTTTACATAGTATGGTAAGCAGAGTAATAGTTTCCTTAAAATGTCCACATTTCAATCCCCAGCACTTGTGAAAATGTTACCCTTACATGGCAAAAGGGACTTTTGTAGATATGACTAAGGTTATGGGCATTGATATGGGAAGATTTCATGCTGGATTATCCAGGTGGGGCCAATTTAATCCTATGTGTCCTTACAAAAGGGGTACATTTCCCTGCTGAGTCAGAGAGATAGGATAAAAAAGAAGAAAAAATTCACGGTATTTAAGGAACTTGACCAGACTTTGCTGACTTTGGAGATGTAGGAAGAGGCCATGAACCAAAGAATGTGGGTGGCCTCTAGAGCTGGGAACTGCTGTCAGTTGACAGCAAGAAAACTAGGATCTCAATCCTGCATCCACAGGGAACTGAATTCTGCCAACAACCTAAACGAGCAAGGAAATGGATTCACCCCTAGAGCCTCCAGAATGAAACACAGCTCTGCTGATACTTTGACTTTAGCCTGGTGAGACCTATGTCCGAACTGTAAAATAGTAAATTGTGTTGTTTTAAGCCATTACATTTGTGGTAATTTGTCACAGCAGCAGCAGAAAACTAATATATTTGTTTTGAAGTATACTTTATAAATTTTTTTCTTGCTATTTTTAACATCAAATTATATGAGAACTGTTTTCTCATTTCGTGTGTTTTGTGTTTTTACATTGCTTTATAGCAGTCCATCACACAGGTTTATTGTGATTTATTTCACCATTCCCATCGTTGTTTGTTTAGGCTGCTTCTAATTTTTTGCTTTTATAATGAGCATCCTCATATGTGCTGTTTCAGTCCACAATGCTTCTTATTTTCTTAGAACTGATTTCCAGATGTGAAATTACCAGAACAGCTCATGGGGACATTTTTAATTTTTTATTCTCAATTCTAAAATGAGTTTCTAAAAAGTATCAAGTTGTACACCCATCCAGAGTTTGGGAGTGTCTATTTTATCTTACGATCACCTGAGTTCCATTTGACTGGTTTTTAAATGCCAATTTCTTACATCATTTTATTTTGCATTTCTTTGATTGCTTGCGACATTGAACATTTATTCATATGTGAACTACCTATTTTTTTTACTGATTTTCCAATGAAAGTCTTAGAGTTTTCATATTGATTTGGAAAAGCTTTTTATTCCTTTATGATATCAGTCCCTTGGCATATTTAATGCAAGTTCCCCCAGTTTGACATTTACCTTTTAACGGTGTTTATAATCTATCTTGACACACTGAATTCTTAACCTAATATGTGGTTAAATCTACCTTTTTCTTCCATATTTTCTTCTATTGATTTACAGAGATTTTTCTGTCTCGAAATCAAGTAAACATTTACCTATATGTCTTCTTGTATGTTAAGGGTTTAACATTTTTCTTTTTACATTTTAAGTATTGCACAAGCCTGGAAGTTATTTTGGTTTATGAAGCTACGAAGGGAGGATTGTGTTTTTATTATTTTCCAAATATTCACATAATTTTGAATAATTTTTTTTGCCCTGTCTATGAAAGGCACTGCTTCTTAACTAAAGACGTCAGGAGACAAGATATCTCCCCCTCAAAAGAAACTAACATGCAATTTCAGGTTCTGTGATTAGTGGTGAGTTAGATTTCATCTTTTGAAAGGGTGTAGGAGGAGGTGGGAAGGGATTTTTCAACATCTCTCAGATGATCCCAAGCAAGCTTTACATCAGTTTCCTGAGGGTTGACACTCACTTCACCACTGTTCTTGCATTTAAGATCAAATATAAAGGAGAGTGAGACATGTGAGTTGCAATATCTGAAAGTAGAGCCTCAACAGGGACTCAAGTCTAACATGATGTCCATTTGGTTCAGGAAAGCATACATGCATCCTCAAAATAGGATGGGCTGTGTCTGCAGGAGAGTAAGCTCCCCAAAGACCGATACTCCTCTCGTATTTCCACCCTCCAGCTCCTCTTACATAGTCCTCTGTAACCCCCAAACTTGCCCTCCTGACTTATTGAGAGTTCAGGGTACTGGTGACCAATCCTGAAAACTGCTCCTTGGCTCCAGACCCACCCTGTCTCAACCTCATATGCTTTATTTTTTGTTCCCTTAATTCTCCTCCTCCATGCTCTCCCTCCATCTGGAAGAAGGAGGTGCATTTGTGAGCATTTATCTTTCCAGGAATAGCCTCTGAAGCTCAGAAAAGGGAACAGGCAGAGGAAAGAATGGCCAAGCCTATGGTCAAGTAGCCAGGTAGGACTGTAGGACGTGAGCCCAGCTCTGAGCTCATCAGGGCAAGATGGCTGTTGCTAGTCTGTGGCTGCCAGCAGAGAGCAAAGCAGAGAGAGCTGGCTTCTCCCCAGTCACTTTCCTGGGTGACAGTGAGGATTGCTCAGAGCTGAAGTATGCTAGACATCAATGATCAGAGGTAGCTATATAAAGTCCTGCTTTTCTTATTGATGTAACTAGGTTTGGGGCATGATAGGAGGGTTTGGGGGTGGATGCAAGGGAAAAGGACTGGTCTGAAGCCAGTGCTGGACCTGTGAAGCGAGCACCTTAATTGCTGCTTAGGAAGGAGTTCTGATGTGTGGAGGCTCGGCTACTTCCCTTGGCTGGGGGCATGCCCTGCCCTACTTCAACCACACAGAGTGATAGGGACTTACTTTTTCAGACAGAACAGGAAACCAGGTAGGGCTGCCCAGAGTTGCCCTCGAGACCTGCACTCCTGGATCCCTAAAGAAGTTTGAGAGGCAGGGCCAGACACCATGTTCCTCAGCAGGCCAAAGGGCTCTGTGGATGGGGGCAGGTGTGCATAGTGAATTCATCAGGCATCAAATTCCCAAAGGAGGGGCACCTTTTCCAGCATCCACTCAGGGTTTGGGCTTGTGCCTGTGCCCTTTATTTCTCAGCTTGAGCTTGATATCTCTATGAAGTACCCCACTCCTACTTGAGAGAATAATAGGAGTAGAACAAGGCCAGGCAAGGAGTCCTAAGCAGTGATCTCCCCTCCATTCTTTTGTATTTGGCAGCTTGAAGGCTGCACTGCAGCTGAGGGCACAGTAACCATGGTGACAGGGCTGGCCCCATAGAAAGGGTAGGCTCCAGGGAAGGGTCAGCTTTGGGATATGTTTAGAGGTGAATCAGAAACACTTGCACTGATCTTATACAGATTTCTAAAGTTATGTTTCTCTCCAGTTATAGTCAGTGGAAGCCCCAGCTAGCATTTTACCTAATGGCCTTTCATATTCATCAAGATTATCCTGAAAACCTTTAAGAATTAGTTCATCAAATCAAAATAGCTTTTTACAAGCATTTACATGTGTGACACTCTCTGTATAACACACAAAAATACATAAGATCCAAACTGTACTTCAGGAGGCTTTTATAGCAAGGAAACCAAGGTATTAAAGTCTTAAAGAGCTGAATATAAGCTCTGAATGACAATGGAAGATAGCAATAGAAAAATAGTAACAATGTAGCAAATGGTTAATTGTCGATGAATAATATAAACAATATTTTATTGAAGGATTCGTACTGGGGAGTCTTGGAAGGCTTTACAAAGTGGGCAGCATTTGAGCTGGGTGCAGGATGGGTAGGATCTGTCTCCCTGGCTCAGAAGACTGGAAGAGGAGGGGCAGTCCAGGAAGAAGTGAAAGCATAGGGCAGAGAGCAGAATGTGTGCCCAAGAAGAAAGGGTAAACACTCTGACTGAAGTAGAGGCTTCAGGTGGGACCTATGAGGGAGATGAGTTTATTACAGTAGCTCCAATTTGTGGGAATGAACATGAAATTGGGCATATTTGATAGCAGGATGGGGTGTGAGCCTGGGATTTAGAATGAGGATGATCAAGACCATCAGGGAGGAGCTCCAGGTCCCCAAGGGATGAGAGCACCAAAGAAATCGGTAAGCCATGAAGATAAATTTACTCAATTTTGTAGCTTTGCTGTAGACCATTCCTGGGGATGAGAAGCCAGTAACACATTCATTCCAGAGCAAGCTCATCAGCATACAGAAAGGAATTGCTTCTGACTGTCTTGGGAAACTAACTCATGCATAATGAAGGCTAAATGCTGCCTTTAATAATTTTATAAATACAAAGCATGTGATTTGTCTACAGAAAACTGTAGAAAGTATCCTGTTTGGAGAAATCATGTGTAAAAAGGTATGTGCACATATGTGTTCACAAGAATGCAGGAGCTATCAGAACTTCAATATGTATGTGCAAACATGATATTGAGCTCCAAACATCAACTTATTATTGTTTCTTGGTTAAATATCCTCATATATTGTTTCAGAAGCAATTTCAACATCTTGACCCCAGAATCTCACAAAAGACAAATCACTTTTTCTCCAGCAAGATTCTGTGGTATGCCCAAGCCTGCTTTTGTCTCCTTACCAACGGTGGAGGGAATCTCAAGTTGAATCTTGAGAGCCCAGTATTTCAAGTGAAATTCTGTCCCATCTTTCATGGTCATGAAACCCTTTTTCATGCTCCTGCCAACACCAATCTTTCCAATTTTCCATAGATTAGATATATAATGGTACTTAGTTTTTCTGATTTAATATATATGACTTGTTGCCCTATCAAGAGTATGGGATCTTGTCACCCACAGTATGGGTATCACTTGAGAAGTTAGAAATGCAGAATTTCAGGCTCTACCCTAGACTAACTGAATAGCATCTGCAATTTAACAAGACCCTGAGAGATCTGTGTGCATATTTAGTGTTTGAGAGACATTTCTCTAGGAGACGGAGAGCGTATTTTGCATTTTACCCATATTCACATCCCTCTGTAATCTCATGGAACCATGGCAGCCATGAAGTAAATCGAACCCATTCTTAGTGAATTCAATTAAAACAATCCTCAATGGCGAACCACTCTAACAAAGAGATAGTGTTGTCATCATTTTATCTGATTCAAACAACCACCCAGGGAGACAGGCAAAACATACTGTTTTATCCCCATTTTACAAGTAAAAAAATGGAAACTCAGAAGGGTTTAATTGTTTCCTAAGGTCAAACAACTGGAACTTAACAATATTAATTTTTTCAACCCATGAGCATGAAATATCTTTTCTTTTTTTCTTTTTCATTTTTTTTTGTTGTTGTTGTCCTCTTTAATTTCTGTCATCAGTGTTTTACAATTTTCCTTGCAGAGATCTTCCACTTTTTGGTTAAATTTATTCCTAGATATTTTATTTTTGTAACTATTACAAATGGGATTACTTTCTTGATTTCTCTTGCAGACTGATCATACTAGTGTATAGAAATGCTACTGATTTTTGTATGTTGATTTTGTATCTAACAACTTTACTAAATTTGTCAGTTCTAAGAGTTTTTTGGCAGTCTTCGGGTTTTTCTAAATATAAGATCATGCTGTCTGCAAACAAGGACAATATGACTTCTTCCTATCCAATTTGGATGCCCTTTATTTCTTCCTCTTGCTTAATTGCTATGCTTAGGACCTCCAGCACTAGGATGAATAAAAGTCATGAAAGTGGGCATCCTTGTCTTGTTCCAGATCTTAGTGCAAACACTTTCAACTTTTCCCTGTTCAGTATATTAGCTGTGGGCTTGTCATATATGTTCTTTATTGTGTTGAGGACTTTTGATTATGAAGGGATGTTGAATTTTATCCACATCAAATACCAATGACATTCTTCCCTGAAATAGAAAAAAAAAATCCTAGAATTCATATGGAAGCACAAAAGACCCTGAAACTGAGGGCATCAGACTACCTGATTTCAAATGATATTACTAAGCTATAGTAACCCAAACAGCATGGTACTGGCATAAAACAGATACATAGACCAATTGAACACAGCCAACCCCTTTTTGGCAAAGTTGTCAAGAACATACACTGGGTAAAGAACTGTCTCTTTAGTAAATGCTTCTGTGAAAACTGGATATCCATATAGAGAAGAATGAAACCAGACCCCACCTCTCACCACATACAAAAATTAATTCAAAATGGACTAAAGACTTAAATGTAAGAGCTACAATGAAACTACTAGAAGAAAACATTGGGGAATCACTACAGGACATTGGTCTGGGCAGATTTTGAGGAGGTAAGATATTAAAAGCATAGTCAAGAAGAGCAAAAATAGACAAATGGAATTACATCAAGCTAAAAAGCTTCTGCACAGCAAAGGAAACAATCAACAAAGTGAAGAAACAACCTACAGAATAGGAGAAAGTATTTGCAAACTATCCATCCAACAAGAGATTAATTGCCAGAAATTATAAGAAACTCCAACAACTCAATAACGAAAAAACAAATAATCGAATTTAAAATAAGCAAAACACCTAAATAGACATTTTTCAAAAGAAGACGTACAAATGGCCAATAGGTATATGTAAAAATGCTCAACATCACTAATCATCAGAGAAATGCACATCAAAACCACAATGAGATATCATATCACCCCAGTTAGAATGGCTATTGTCAAAAAACACACAAAAAATAACCAATACTAACAAGGATGAGGAGAAATGGGAATGCTCATACACTGTTGGTCAGAATGTAATGTAGTACAGCCATTATGGAAAACAGTATGGAGGTTCTTCAGCCAACTGAAAATAGAACTACTATATGATCCAGCAATGCCACTGCTGGTATACACCCAAAAGGAAGAAAATCAGTATATCAAAGACATATCTACACTTCCATGTTTATTGGCTCACTATTCATAATAGCCAAGATGTGGAATTAACCTGTGTCTATCAAGGGATATTGATGGATATAGAAAATGTGGTGTATAATACAATGGAATATTATTCATCCGTGAAAAAGAATGAAATCTTGTTTTTTGCAACAACATGGATGGAACTGGAGGTCATTGTGTTAAATGGAATAAGCCAAGGCACAGAAAGACAAATATCACACATTCTCATTCGTAAGTGGGAGCTAGAAAAGTGGATCTCATGGAGGTGGAGAGTAGAATGGTGGTTACCAGAGTCTGGAAAGAAAAATAGGAAGGGGGGTTGAAGAGGAGTTGGTTTAGGGGTACAAAAATACAGTCAGATAGAAGGAATAAGTGCTAGTACTTGATAGTACAGTAAGAAAATTATAGTTTACAATAACTTATTGTATATTTCAATATAACTAGAAGAATTGTAATGTTCCCAAAACAAACATAAATATTTGAGATGATGGATGTCATAGTTACCATGATTTGATCATTATACATTGTATGCGTGTATCAAAATGTCACACATGCCCCCAAAATATGTACAACTATTATGTATCAAAATATTTTTTAAATGATTATTATAGACAGATGACTACCAAAGGGAAAGAAAGGAAAATCTATAAATGATTAGAAAGCATATTTACATTTAAGAAAAAATTTACTCTGGTTTATCTTGTAATCTTTATTTCAAACTTTTTTTTTTTTTTTGAGACAGAGTTTCATTCTGTCGCCCAGCCTAGAGTGCAATGGCACGATCTCAGCTCACTGCAACCTCCATCTCCCAGGTTCAAGAGATTCTCCTGCCTCAGCCTCCCAAGTAGCTGGGATTACAGGCATGCGCCACCATGCCCAGCTAATTTTTGTATCTTTTGTAGAGACGGGGCTTTGCCATGTTGGCCAGGTTGGTCTCCAATTCCCGACCGCAAGTGATCCGCCCACCTCAGCCTTCCAATTTATTGGGATTACAGGCATGGGCGACTGCGCCCAGCCTTAATTTCAAACTTTTGATCTCCTTTGCATGCTGCACATACCCAAAAGAATGATGAAGAGACTGTGTGGAATTTCGTTTGAGTAGATATACTCCTGGGCCCTGGAGCACATATACAAAGCCTGATTGAACCCACAGAATATCCTAAATTATCTTTGGTCAAATATGGAATAGAAAGATTTATCATCTGTGTTGTGTTTCTAACTGCCTTGTCCCAAAACAACCTTGCCTAAAAAGCAAAACATCCTTTACTTAAGCTATCTTTTAGGAAGGAAAGGAGGATCTATAATTTTTCTCATCTTGGTTTTCTCCAGGATGAATGGAGACTATTTTCAAAACGAGGATGCCTAGTACATTTTTACCTACTTTTGAAAAAAAGCATAGCACTAGATAGAAATACTGATGGTATTTATTTGAGAAAAATACAATAAGTTTTCCCAAAAGGTTGATAATAATTTTTAGGAAAAAATAAATATAATGATCAATTTCTTTCTTTTGCACCCATGACAAATAGCTAGAGCCAAAATTAAAAAGATTCTATTACAATCGAAACCATTAAATGCATATCTATTTAATTCACAACATAAATGATTTAATTATTCAAATAAAATTTAAAACTCCTAATGGGGAAATAAAAGATGAGAGGAATAATTGGAAAGATATACATTGCTTCGTACTGGAAAGACCAAATACCCTAGTAATGACAATAATTCCTAAGCAAATATTTATAGATTTTATGCAAAACCAAGATCCCAAATGAATACATTATAGACTCAGACAAACTCACAGAGTAATTCATCTAGGAGAATAACCTATCAGGAATATTGAAGCATTCCTTTTAAAAAGATAATTATAATGGCTTGGCATACGTGATTTTAAAACATGATTTATAGCAACAATTATCAAAACAATCAGTTATTGGATTAAAAATAAGAGAAGTTGACCAGTATTTTAAAATAGTGTTTCTAAATTAAATACTTAATATCTAAATAACTAAAGCAACAGTCACATTACACTGGTGACTCACATTAAATTTACTGTCAACTGAGAACTCAAATAATTTTCATATTATTATTTACCCAATTCTTTCCTATTCTCTATTTTGTTAAAGAATAACTTTCAAAATGAGGTAAAATCATGACTCTCATATAAATAAAAAGTGAACATGCATTAAAGATTTTATTTAACTCGTTATTTTATAACAGAACCAAGCAGATGCTTCTACCTGTTCTAAGGTGAATCCAAAGAACAGATACATTTTAGATTAGAAGGAGTGTTAAAATAAAATTGCGAATGGATACAAAACTGGCTGATCCACAGTGTCACTTGAACTTACACAGGACAGAATTTATTTGCAAGTCTATATATGAGAATTATTTTGGACTGCTGTGGGTTATCTATAATTTACATAATTGAAAAATAGCTCAAAGGTGATGAAAGGTGCAGAATGCCCATAGAATCAGAATCAGTTAATCCAGAAGTGGGTGCTCTAAACAATGCAGGTTACCACCGAAGCACAAATTTTTCTCTACAATTTGAACAGTGGGGTTTTTATTGTACCCAACCAAAGAGTGTTACATCTGTGTGTATTAGATCTGATATTGACAGATTCAGCTTATCATATTCTTATACCTCCCAGCTTCATGCATACACGTATTGGAATAGGACATTATCAATGTCATTGTCCAAACCATTAATTTAAAAAAAAGTTGAACAGGACAGAAAAATCAAAGTACCTCAACCATATGTATCTCAACCAATGTATCTCAACCATAAAGATGATATGTCTTTCTTTAAATTGAAAAAGTAGAGACAACCATCTGAGATAATAATGGTAGAGAAATATCTTTCAAATGGCAGAATGAGATAACCAGAGAACAGAAAGAAACAGGACAAGTAAAACAGAAGTGCTATTTCATTTATGCAACTAGTGTTTTTTGAGAACCACTGGTGCCAGGTATTGTGCTAGATGCTGACGACACTAAGACAAACGAAAGGCAAGCCCCTGCTCTTGTGGAGATTTATAGTCAGGAGTGGAATTGGGGAAATGACATTAAACAGACAATTTATACATTGGTGCAATGGTAAGTGATGTACCTAATGTGGTAAGTGATACCAGGAAGAGTTACACAGCTGTTAAGCAAGTGTAGCGTGAGTAGATATGAACATACTAATCATTCTAGTTAGTTTCAACCTTGTAACTATTAGGTCTTTATCTTTTACTTTGTGTGTTTGTTGGTTTGTTGTAAGGATGTTTGAAGTGGAAGCAAACAAAAACGATTTGAGAGTTGAGATGTAACTACTATTTAGCAAAATAAGAATGGTCATGGCTTGCCTCAATTTTCCCCTCTTCCTGAATAACCAGACAGTACCAATCAAGTATTTCCTTTACGTGGGATGAACATGATGAGGAAAAAGTCTTAGTTCAGATTCTGTTGTGACCAACGGAAATAAACACTGTTACTACAAGCCAGACACTAGCACATAAAATAGCTTTGTCATGCGGCCATAGGAATTTACTTTTTCTATGCAGACAAAGCTATCTCTGTATATGCATGTGATTTTAAACTCTATTAAAAATTAAAATTTAACTCACAACTAGCAGAAGACATTTGCTACATATTATAATTGACAAAGCATTAATATAGAAGATATTTAAATAATCTCTAAAATTAATAAGATATCCCATAAAACTTGGGCATATGAACAGGCATTTTACGGAAGAAGAAATACTTAGGGCCAAGAAATGTATGAAAATATGTTTAACCTCATCAAAAGGGAGAGTACAAATTAAAACCACAACTATCTTGCTTCCACTCAATTGGCAAAAATGTAGAAGTCTGACAACAGCCAGTGTTGAAGATGGTGTGAAGCAATCAGAAATCCTACACACTCTGGTGGAAGTGTAAATTGGTATAACCACTCTGGGAAACACTTTGTCATTATCTAGTCAAACTGAAGATGTCCGTTTCCTACTACATGACCATTCTGATCTTGGGAGACACTTGCTCGTATGCTCCAAGAAACATGGACCTGAATGTTCATACCAGCATTTCTGGAATGGTTGTATGGGGGAAGAGGCTAAATGTCCATCGACAAGAGCCTGTATAAATAAATTGTGGTATATTCTTATAATGAAATACCATGTAGCTGTAAAAAAGAGTTCTCAAAGCACAAAGATGAAGAGGGAAAGTTCCAGGAACACACACATATATATATGAATATGTATATATATAGCATAAATATATAGTATATATATGATATGTAATTATATATATACACAAATAAACAACATATATATGAATATGTATATTGTTATAGGTATATGTGTATATTGATAAAAGAAAAACTTCAACCAAATTATATTTAAAGGAGTTTAATTGAGCAATTAAGAATTCGCCAGTTGGGCCGCCCCCAGAATCACAGCAGATTCACAGAGGCTCCAGCGCAGCCACGTGGTGGAAGAGTTATATACAAAGAAAGGAAAACGATGTACAGAAATTGGCAGCGAGGTACAGAAACAGCTGGATTGGTTACAGGTTGGCGTTTGCCTTCTTTGAACACAGTTCCAACAGTTAGCAGTCTGAGTGGTTGAAGTATGGCCTCTGGAATTAGCCAAGACTCAGTTATTGTTACCGGCAAATGGTCCTAAATTAGGTTTTCAATTTTGCCTGACTGTTAAGCTAGGTTACAGTTCATCCACAAGGACTCAAATATAGAAGTATGGAGTCCTTTAGTTTGCTTTAACAATATACATATACATATACATAACATAATATACATAACATAATTCATAATAAATTCCATTTGTTAAAAGCACAAAGCTAAACTATTTGGGATATAAATGTAAAGAAAAGCCAGAGAATAATAATAAACACAAAATTCAAGACAGCGGTTAGCTCTACGGAACAGGGAGAGAGATTAGAGCAGTACAAGAACACAGGGGCATCAGGCGTATTTCTTAAGCTTGTTGGTGACTACGCTGCTGTTTATTTCAGTATTGTTCTTTAAACTGTTCATATAAATTATATATATATTCTATTTTATATGCGTTATAGTAAAATATATAAATATGGATATGCTTTTATTAATATTACATATTTATATATAATGATGTGTATATATATCATACATATAATTATATATGTACTGATTATATATACAAATCACAAATATTTGTTACCAATATAGTTACCAATGCTTAGAGGTCAGCCTACAAAGAATGTGGGGTTTGTGTGTGTGTGTGTGTGTGTGTGTGTGTGTGTGTGTTTTATTTGTTTTTTTTTTTTTTATTTCAATAGGTTTTTGGGGAACAGATAGTGTTTGGTTATATGAAAAAGTTCTTCAGTGGTGATTTCTGAGATTTTGGTACACCCATCACCCGAGCAGTATACATTGTATCCAATGTGTATCTTTTATCCCTCGCCATCCCCCATCTTTTTCCCTGAGTCCCCAAAGTCCAATGTATCATTCTTATGGCTTTGCGTCTTTATATGAGTTCTCATACATGTTCTCCCACATATGAATGAGAACATACGATGCTTTATTTTTCATTCCTTAGTTACTTCACTTAGAATGATAGTCTCCAGTTCCATCCAGATTGCTGTGAATGCCATTATTCTGTTCCTTTTTATGGCTGAGTAGTATTCCATGGCATATATGTATATACTACATTTTCTTTATCCTCTCATTGATTGATGGTCATTTGGGCCAATTCCATTTTTTTAAGTGTTTCTCTTGCTCTAGGTATTTTGGTAACTATTTGTTACTTTACAAATCATGGAAAGCTGAAATTCTCCAAGTTTGTTTTATTCCAACATAAAAATATCTCTGTAAAATAATTGCCATAAAATGCCTTCTCTTCTGCATTGCTATGTTGGGAAGCTGATATAAATTATCTTAGCTTTTAGATAAAAAAAAATTTCTAATATGAGTGCTATCTGGAAAGCTCTTCCTGCACATTCTGAAGTTCTTTATGCTGATTTCTTGGGTCATACTATCAAGCATAGCACCTGGCTGCAGCAGCTGTGGATAAAACCTGTCCACCTGCATTCTCAAGGGGTTTGTGCTGTTTAATTTAATTCCCACCTCAAATTAACTAGGATCTAACTAGGTGGAGTCATGTCCACGGGTCTTGGGTCTCTCCCTGAGTTACTGTTGGGATCTGCTCTCCGTCTCTGTCTAGTCTGAATGCCTATCTACCAAGTTCTGTGGGCTGCCTCATGCTGTTCACTGCTTCCTTATAGTCTCTACCTGGAATTTTTAGGGAAAATTAATCTCCTTAGTTCCCAAGCAATCAGGCATATCATCAACATCTCTGCTTGCATGCAAAATAAGGCAGCAATGGGTTTTTCTTTTAAAGATTTTTTTCAATACTATTACATCAATTCTTTTCACACCTGTAAATGCATTGACCACAGTGAGAGGGCTTATCAGGCTCTGTCAGTCATTGTTAGTAATTCCCTAAGTTGGATGATCAAGCCTTACCCACATTATGAAACCTTCCCAACACCTTTGGCATGGAGCTGAACAGCCCTTCTCTAAAAGACCACATCCTGTCAACCCCGGTTTTCTCTCGCTTCACCCCTCGTATCACAGGAAACACAAAGACATGTTACTGGGGATTATCAAGGATATATGTTCCCGGGGATCATAAGAGATTTTCCAGCACATTCCAAGATATACATGTCTTCAGTCCCATTGTCTGCCCTGTACATATGACATAATGAAAGAGTTGACCACTCTTACTAATTGACACCAAATATATGCAGAAACAAATTTCTCACATTAAAAAATCAGACATGTTCAAAAAGTTCATTTTTAGGTCAATTGATGATATTTGAAACTCATTCTTCTCTAAAAACAGTGTTTGTAATGCTGATGCTGACCACAGGCTTGACCCCAATACCCCATCTAACCCACAAAGTATCAGAAATAGCATATGATTGCAGTGAAAATACATGGAACACAACATTTTTTACTCTGCTTTGTTACAATACTGGTAATAAAATATGACACACAACAGTAAGAAAGAAATAAGAAAAGTAAGAAAATAAATTATTTTTAATTTTCTTGTATTCTGATGCTTGAGGAAAGGTAAATTCATCTAGGAGAGACAAAAATGTAGATGAAAATTTGTGAATACCTTAAAGGGAAGTTGAGGTAACTTTCAAGGATTTCTAGAAGCTGATGAGAATGACATTTTAGAAGCAGTAGTAGAAGAAGAATCATCACTATTCACAGTTTTGCTTCAACATTTCTGTCTTTCTTTTCCTTGGTACAAACCTATCACTTGTAGAACTCAAGCCATGTGTTGGGCTCACAAAATGAAATAATAGACAGAAGGGGAAGGTTGAAATTGAGAAAAGAGGGGCTTTCCTAAGTAAGCAAAAGAAAGTACCTTGCATAGCATTAATTGATTTAAAATCCATGTTTAGCATGCACTATCTGTCCAGTTCTATGCTGGGTCTTACGGATATAAAGAAGAATCGAACAGTTGCTACCATCATAACACCGACCTATTGCAGTAGGTGGTGAAACAAAGTGAGGCAGGGGCTGGGAGTCAGAACAGACAAGCACACCTGCAAATTACACTATAATGTGCTGAAAGCTGTCTTAAAGGATGAGGAAGGTGCTGTTTGTGGAAATCTGGAAATGCTCCCCTAAAATGACATTTAATTCTCAAAAATGAATAGAAATTTTTCAGAAGGAACAAAATGTACAAAGGCATAAGCATACAATCATTTTGGAAATGATGTGAGGTTCAGAGTAAATGCAGGGAAGGAGGGTAAGACATGGCAGATGAGGCTGAATAAATAAGAGGAAAATGCATCCTGCAGACTTTAATGCCCAAGGAGAGTTTAAACTCAATTCTATTGGAAACTCGGAGACAACCAATTCAATTTGAATGTTAGAACAATGAAGGAAGATTAACTGAGATGCAATTAATTGATCTTTGCATGGCTTAAAAGAGAGAATACAACATCAGGAAATCATGGTTGCCTCTGTGGAGACAGAAAGGAGGTCAAAAGTCATTAGATCAGAGTGTTCTCTGCTAAGGCAGCAGCTGAAAAGAGGGGGTGGCAATTAAAGGAAAAGTGAAGTTAGGGAAAGGAACTGGCCCTGGGGTCTTTAGGAATAGGGGAGACAGTGCTGGATGTTTGCAAGTGCATGTCTCATACTCATACAATATGATTTCATTTTAGGATTAAAAGTGGAGTTAATTTTGTATCTTTATGTCAATTACTACTGACAAAATGGAACTCATGTACCAGCAGGTCGTCTGCAAGTCGTGGGTCATATGGAAATGAGGAATTCATGTTTAATAATTGACAGTAGCTGATGAACAATCACTTACTTGTTTGTCCCACCCTTTGGCATTTCTGCAACATGGTTCCTAGAGTCATACTCTTCTCTTTTCCTTCCTCTTTGCCCCGGTATTTCACGCATGAAAGGGTGTTTTGGCAGCTAGAGATCTCTTCAGTGAAGAATGTTCTCTTATAGTAAATTCATAGCATTTCAGCATTTCAATACTTCTCTGTATCTCTGATTTCTGGCTTTCCAGAGATGTTAAGTCTAAAACCCCATGCAGAGGATAAAAATGTAATAAGTTAAACAAGAAAATAAGAAAAAATTTTAAAACCTCACATGTTAATTCAGAACAATAGTTCTCAGAATGCAAACTCCAGTTATCTGATTCAGCTGTCCCTGGAGGGGCTTTCTTGGGCAAGGAGTAGATGGCCCAGCATCTAACACTGTATGCATTGCAGGCTTCTCAGCTACTCAGGAAATGAAACCAGGCATATAGCTGTGTATAGAGAAGGAAGGCACTGCCACCTACAGGTTGTAAGATTATGGACCTAACACATTCACATTTAATTTGTAAAAGAAATTATTTTACTAATGTAATGTTGTCATAGCCTTAAAAGCCTCAAAGATAGTTGGTCTATCCTCCTACCTTTGGGCAGACCTGTTTCTAAATATGCAAGAACTTTCGTTGAGATGAGAGAAGTTCAGCTCTCAGACAATTAAAATCTAACCAAAGTCAGACTTGCCCTGCAGGAATTGAGGATT
Organism: Homo sapiens; assembly: GCF_000001405.40. Taxonomy (NCBI): domain Eukaryota; kingdom Metazoa; phylum Chordata; class Mammalia; order Primates; family Hominidae; genus Homo; species Homo sapiens. Next base: position 47,988,353 of record NC_000015.10, read on the forward strand.
AAGCTAGGCTTTGCACAAGGTAAGCGGTGAAGGGGTGGTTGGCAATTGCCTTCTAATGCAGTCTTTAAACTCTGAGATCTCTCTGGGCCTCAGTTACTCTTTTGTAAACTGACGTAATGGCCTAGATCTGTGGTTCTCAAAGTGTGGTCCCTAGACCAACATCAGCAGCAGCATCCAGGACTGGTCCTGCTGATGATTTACCTGGCCTTGCCCTGGGCCCCAGACCTATTGAATTGGAAACTCTGTAGGTGGGCCCCAGCAATGTGATGTCACAAGTTCTCCAGGTGACTGTGCTATACATAAAAGTGTGAGAATACCTGTGTTAGATGATTTAGAAATATCCCATGTGCAATTCCACACCACTGCAGGTGTTACCTGCAGTTTAACCATCTGTCTGTGGAGGAGCTGTCTGCCCAGGAAGATTGACCTGGGGGTGGTGGTGCAGGGGAGAGCAACTGAGGAAAAGTTAGAGCTGAGAAGCCGAGGTTCACCTGTCTAGTGAATGAAAATTCAGCCTCTGATGGACAGTCCTGATGGTCAACTGAATGTCTAAAGACCATTGGTCCAAGAGATTTCTCACCCTATTTCACCAACATATAAGAGCAATGGACTCTCACTCTGCTTTGCCATCCACTGTCTGAACGAATGCATTTCCCCTGGCTGCACCCCAACTACCAAATAACAAGGCTTAGGTTTCCCCTCTTCTTCCACAAAGACTTTTGTGAATGGCAATAAGTCCATATTTTTCCTTCCTTCCTTCCTTTCTTTCTCTTTCTTTCTTTTTTTCTTTCTCTCTCTCTTTCTTCCTTCCTTCCTTTCTTTCTTTCTTTTCTTTTTTCCTGAGACAGGGTCTAGCTCTGTTGCCCAGGCTGGTGTGCAGTGACACAATCTCGGCTCACTGCAGTCACCACCTCCCAGGCTCAAGCAATCTTCCCACCTCAGCCACCCAAGTAGTTAGGACTACAGGGATACACCACCATGCCTGGCTAATTTATTGTTTTTTTGTTTTGTTTTGTTTTGTTTTGTTTTGCAGATACGAGGTTTCACCATGTTGCCCAGGCTCGTCTCAAACTCCTGAGCTCAAGCAATCCTCCCACCTCACCCTCCCAAAGTGCTGGGATTACAGGCATGAGCCACTATGCCTGGCCCATATTTTTCTCTTTCTATCTGAATCCCCTTCTCCCCAACGTCCATAGCAGAAAATTGAGTACTTAATGACATATCATATTGGAGTATTTTCAAATTGTTCCCATGATTATCTCATCTCACTCACCAGAGCTCACTGAGGATTTTTGCTTATGTGGCTCATATACTCACCCCCATGTTTCTGGCAAGTTTCCAGAGCGACTCCGGCACAAATTGGTGTTTAACAAATTATTGATGATTGACTTTTATATAGTTATCTGAAACTACAAATGTGAATACATTTTAAGCCACCACAATTTTTCTCCTCTTTTCCCCATTATGATCCTAAAGGATTCTGTAAAACAGTCATATTGACTTAAAGAGGGCTAAAACCCACAAAAAAACAGCGAACTTGAAAAAGGTGAAGTGGTGAGGAATTCTAAGAATTATATTAGACCCACCTAGGTAGATCAGTGGAACAGTCACTCTTCAAATTTCCTCTGTTATGGGTCATGTATTTGAGCAGTTAAAAAAAATAAAATTTAAACCACACCGACCAAAAATTTGAATCATCCTTTTAAAGAAAACTTAATAAAAGTTATGTGCAGATGTAGCTAGTACTAGAAAATAAACCAAAATGTCAGCAGTCTTTTTTAGTATTGTGACTATGAGATTGTTGATGAGTAATTATTGAAAACCTCCCTGAATTTGTTCTGGACTTCCTTTCAATAGGAAGGAGAAAACTTAAAACAGACTGAGGTGTCTGTCCCTTGGTTGCTAAAGCTGCTCTAGAAGGGTGCTCTGTAGAGAGCCCTGTCTGTTATGAAGAAGAAGAGTCAGGGGTCTGACACTACCCCAAGCCCTTTTCTTTTACATAGGAAATGTGAACATACAAATGTGTTTGTACAGCGTCTCCACACCCAGTAGTGCCACCAGACACTGAGGTCAGAAACTACAACTCATGTTTGCCTCCCAGCTGCTAGCCAGCTCGCACATAGCGAGGCCTTCATTGATCTGAATTAGGCAAAACATACTAATATCCATAGTTATTTGGCAACAGGACCACGTAAAGTTTATCCTACCACTCTCAAGTTTTATTTATACAACTGTCACTTTAAGAGGCCTATTTGTTTATGGTAAAGAGACCACTTTGAGTAGGACAAAAAATGGACAGGGTCAAAGCTGGTTCTTCGTTGCGAAACAAACCAACATCATTTTAATGGATTCAGTCTGGTTTTCTGAGGATTGGTTGGAAAGTTGGTTTTGGTTTGTGTGTGCATTTTGCAAAAGTCCACACTTTTTCTATAACTTGTAGACCTCGATGTCCTTCTGAATTCTCCTCAGGCTATGACATTCTAAATGACCTAGGATTGAGAGATGCTTTCTGTACAGCCCAGAGCAGCTGCATAGTGGAGGTGGTGGCATTTCAACAGCACAGATCAGTGAAAGACCCTTTATTATCTAATGGTAGAGGACCAGGCTATAAAGTGGATTGTGTGCTCAGGAATCCTTTGAGATGAAAGGTATGGAAGAGGGAGAATGGGCTCTATTCAGCCTCATGGAGGGCAGATATGTGCCTGAGAACAGAGACTGTCTTCATTGACTTAGTGCTTTGGGTGGAAGAGGGCACTGGTAGCAGAGTCTCGTGGGCGCAGAGGGTGAGGGACCCTCCTGTGGCTCCTCTGGGTGGCTCTGAGTCCAGGCATACAAAGACATTGCTAAAGAATCACTGCCCTGTTGCAAGAATCTTGTGAGGTCCCCCTGAAACAAGAAACATTTTCTGTGTTCCCACCCAAGAGGGGGTGCAGAGTTCTCTCCTAGGGGTAGAGGGTGGGGACCACACAAATGGAGGAAGCATGATGCCCCTCACCACTTCCAGCCCTTCCCAGATGCTGGTTACTTTCAGCAGCAGACCTCACGGAAGGCCTGCAACACCTCTGTGAAACAGGGAGGGCAGGGATTAGTATTTCCATTTAGTCGAGGAGAAAAATGAGATTCAAGAGCTTCAGTGACTCACCCAAACTTATGTGCCAAACAAATCAGATCTGGGACCGGAACTCACATCTTCTCATCCCACTTCAGTGTTTTTCCTCCAACATGAGGCAGCTGCTCCAAGACTGCCTTTCAGGCATGTGCTAGAATGAAAAGCCACACGGCCCCACAGCATGGGGAGGGCTGCTTACCAACCTGCCCTGCTTCCTACCCACTTGACTCCTTCCTGCTTTCCACACCAGGTCAAATATGCACTTATGACAGTAGACTATTGACAGCAAGTTTTGGGGGGGACTGGTGATAAGGCAGGACATTAAGGTGACTATAATGGCAGCAGCAAAGGCACACTAATGTCTTCAAAGAATCGACAGTACTGCCTCTTAAAGTAGAGCCCAGGCTCCAACCCCAACCCCAAGGGCCTTGTGGAGCCCCTCAAATGTGAAGCAAAGGCAAACCAGAAGGCAGGCTCAGGTACTCAGTCTCTTCTTTGGAAGGGGCTGGAGACACTCTAGCTCCACTGAGCCATAATAAAAAGGAACTTTACAAATAAGCACAAAGTAGGCCAAGATCTTCCACATCTCCAGTCACTCCAACAGGCCTCCAATAGTACTCCAGTACTTTAGAGGGCATGACAGAAAATAGTTCCCTTGATGGGGAAATGGGCCTTTTTGGTGTGATCTTACAGAATTTCTGCATTGGATATAACCTGAAAAATGCAAAACCCCCATCGCCCTGACTCTTTTGGATCCAACAGCTGAGTGTATGGGGACAGTTTCCTTGACCGCCATGATGGAGACTAGGGATTGAGCACCTGCTCTGTGTTCTTCACAAAGGCAGTTGTATGTGCCATAGGAAAAGAGAACGCTACTTGCAAAATTGCTCTAAAATAGAGAAATGGCCAGGTGCAGTGGCTCATGCCTGTAATCCCAGCACTTTGAGAGGTCAAGGCGGGTGGATGATTTGAGTCCAGGAGTTCAAGACCAGCCTGGGCAACATGGCGAAACCCCATCTTTACAAATAAATACAAAAATCAGACGGGCATGGTGGTGTGCACCTGTAGTCCCAGCTACTTGGAAGGTTGAGGTGAGAGAATCGCTTAAGCCCAGGAGGCAGAGGTTGCAGTGAGCTGAGGTGCCACTGCACCCCAGCCTGGATGACCCCATCTCTGGTAAATAAATAAATAAATAAATAAATAAATAAATGTAAAATATAGAGAATTGACTGTTTTTTCCTTATTAGTGATAGGACAGAAATACAATGGCTGTCAAAGAAGAAAACTCTACATTACTGTCACCTAGAAAGGTAAGCCAAAAACTATTTGTTTCATTTCCATTTACATTTTTTTAAATGAATATAAGACATGCTGATTCTGAAATTTTAGCTGGTATCAGAACCTCCTGGAAGGCTTGCTTAAATACAGATTGCTGGGCTTGGCCTCAGAATTTCTGATTCAATAGGTCTGGGGTAGGACCTGAGATTTTTATAGTTCTGACAAGTTCCCAGGTGATCTCTAGGCCACTGGTCTGGGGATCATGCTTTGAGAATCACTGACATGGAGATTTTTTTTTTTTTTTTTTTTTTTAATGGAGAAAGGGTCTTGGTTAGAAGGTTACTCCACATCAGGACCTGAAATCCCAGCCAGAGTGACTGAGGTTGTTAGAGTCCAGTTTGACCCTGGATGACTTTGGGGATGAAACAGGCAGTTACCACCTTCTGAATGACAGTGCCTACAGCAGTGCAATCTGTTTCCAATTTAAAGAAGAGGGCGAGTGCTCCGCAACGCTCAGCTCAGTAAGCCTGTCATCCACAGGCGGCTCTGCACCTGGAACTGAGCTGGCATGATGCTTACGGGCTTCAGAGAACTTTGTGAAGATTATCACTGCCTTTACTCTGCAAGGGAGTTTGTCATGAGTATTCTAAACACCATTCCCAAACCAGCTCTAAGGAAAATTATTATTTGTTATTATTCTACCTTCTCAGGATCTTATCTCCCTGCTTCCATAAAACTCATCTCGCTCTTCGTCGCCTGCCTTTAGCCAATGCTTCTCAAATATAATGATACCCAAATTGCTGGGGGATCTTGCTGAAATGCAGATTCTGATTTAATAGGTCTGATGTAGTGGGGCCTGAGCCTCTGCATTTCTATCAAGTTCCCAGGGCTTGCCGATACTTCTGGTTCCTGTACTACACTGTGAGTAGCAAGGCATTAAATAATTTGAGACTTCTTAAGATTATCTATAAATTCTATCTTTTATTCTCTGGCTACCCTTCTGCTAGGTGTGACCAAATGCTAATGGCAAATCATATCTACTGCTGTTAGTATGTGAGTTTAGCAACCATTGCCTCTCCTGGCAATAGTATGCTAAAATGTGTAGGATTCTGAAGCTCCTTGAGAATGACACAGTAGAGACTTTCAATCCAGGGACTGGCCACTCAGGTAAAATTTTAGAGTTAGGGCCAGTTCTTATTGATCTCCTTTTGCTGGTGAAGGAAGCAATCCCTAAGGCAGGATGAATTGACTCAATTATTTATTTATTGGCAATTTATATCCTATCTCCTTCTAAAATGGGTTTAAAGCAGTGAGATCTGACTTAGGATCAGGCTATCTAACTAGTAAAGTCCAGTGTAAAATTTTCCTTTATGTTTGCAACTATGTCTTTTTATAAAGAAGAGAACAGGGAGGAAGATGGCAGGGAGAAAAAGAAGGAGAAGGAGGAAGACGGGGAAGAGGAGGAGGAGGAGGAGGACGAGCTGCTCTTTTCTCCAGCTTCCCTATGTGGATACACCCAGTCATTCTTTTACTTCTCAGAAATTTCATTGCATCAGATCAAAAATCTCAGTTATTCTCTTCCTTTTATCTAAAAAATGCCCAGCTCAAATAAAAGTAACCTAATGCCAAGAACCAAATGAAAAAGGTGGTTTATCAATAAATCATGGAACTTTCTTTGACCCTTCATTCTCCCCTGTCTCCTTTGCCCCATCTGTCACAGAGGCCTTGCTGTTCTGTCTTTCCCACTGCTCTCACATTCACTCTCCCTCCCTCACTTCGTTGGCCACCAAATAGTCCAGCCTTACGATCTCATATAGAACATTGCTATTAATACCTGGCATATACTGGCAATCTGCTTTGGACCAGCCACTCTACTAAGAGTTTTTTATGCATTTAATGCCCACTGTAATGCTATGCAATAGGTGTTATGACTCCCATTTTATAGGTAACAAATTTGAGGCTTAGAGGTTAATTCACCTGCCTAAGTTTTCGTAATTAGCATGTAATATAGTACAATGGGTTTCAAACTCAAGCTCCAGAGCCAAAGTTCTCTTTCACTACTGAACAAAACCACCTCCTGCACTTTAGATGCATCTGTCTGGGTGTGAATCTGTCCATGTGCTTATTGGTCTATCTCTGCTTACTCCAAAAAAGAAAAAAAAAGGAAACTACTTAGAAATTTTATCTGTGTCAGACCTACAGTTTTCTTCTTTTAGTGAGACATAACGATAAGGTAATCAGATCTCCTACTGTAAGTTGGTAAGCTCAGAAAAACATTCCTACCATCCTTAGGCAGCCCCTCTCATTTGAGTCTCTCTTAAAAAATTTATCCTGCAAACTCTGGTCAAATCACCTTCCCTGAAACATTGCTTTCCTCACATTGCTCCCCAGCTTCAATAACAAACAGGTTTCAGGAGATAACCCTTCTCATATACTTTACTGTCCAGTATCTGAACCCCATTTCCAAAGTTGAGGAATCCTCCATCTTAAGAAGCAGAGTCCATTGCTGAAAGTGCCAGAGGGTTGAATTGCTAGTCTTGCTTGCAACTACAGCCTGGGCATGTAATCTAGGACCCACCATCTGACAATACCACCCTAAATTTTAAATTGGAAAAAGCCTGGGCCTTGGCAAGGCAGTTTTAACGAAGGGTGGCAACAGCTATTTCTATGCTGCAGTTTTAGCATCAGAGTTGAGGACTGTGGTGCCCTGGAGCAAGCCATGCCCTGATGCCCGCTTGCAGTGAGAGAAGAGTCTTCTCTGACCAATTCGATTACAACTGGAGACACAGCTTCTGAAGCTTCCCAGAAAGTCTCAGTGCTTCCTGCTAGTGTTTGATCATATCTTTTCAAACAGCCAGAATTAAGTCACTCAGAATTGGGGTTAGGGCCTTGCTGCCAAGTACGCTGCCTGCTACAAAGTCCTTGCTTCGTCAAGCATGAGGAGCAGCCACTTTGGCCCAACCGTCACCTACAGCACTCGCACCTTAGAGGTGGAGCAACAGAGGGAGCCCTGTGAGAGAAAACCCTTGACCTCTCTTCTCTTTCGTTATGTCATTTTCATGACAAATTTATTTAAATTTACCCGCCGTGCCCTGCTCCAGTAAGGAGGGGTCGTTGCAAATCTGGCACAAGCATCTGCTATGACTACTGACCTGCAGGATGGGCAGAAAATAGGCCAGAGCCTCCTGGAGCCACCACCCCTAGGACTTGGAGCCTTGATCCCCAACCCTACTGCCTGGAAGAGAGGCTGGGGCAACGTATTAGTGAGAGAACCCCTCAAAATGTGCCTCTCATCTTCAGTGCACTCACATTTTGGGGGCAGGTGTCTGCCCTGCCCACAGCCCTGCTGGAGCACACCTTGTGGTAACCACATGGGACTGAGCCTCGTCTCCCCTCTCACAGGGCCCACAGCTGGCATCTGTGGCACATGACCCATGGGAGTCAATCCATGAACTCCCCAGTGATCCACAGCTACCGAGAAAAAATGACTTGGTACAAAATGCAACAGCCTGGTTCAATCAGATTTTCTCTTTGGGGCACTGAAATTGAAAATAAATACAAATAAATAAAACAGATATAAGCTGGCAGGAAAAGCCATGCTATAAGTCAAGATGTGGCTGGGCGCAGCGGCTCACCCTTGTAATCCCAGCACTTTGGGAGGCCGAGGTGGGCAGATCATGAGATCAGGAGTTCAAGACCAGCCTGGCCAATATGGTGAAACCCTGTCTCTACTAAAAAATATAAAAAATTAGCCGAGTGTGGTGGCATGTGCCTGTTGTCCCAGCTACTCAGGAGGCTGAGGCAGGAGAATCGCTTGAACCTGAGAGGTGGATGTTGCAGTGAGCCAAGATCGCACCACTGCACTCCAGCCTGGGCAACACAGTGAGACTCCATCTCAAAAAAAAAAAAAAAAAAAAAAAAAGACAAGACGTGAGGGGCCATTGTGGACCATGAAAAGCCAAGTTATGAAGAGGCAGTAAACCTGAATGAGTAGAGGAAAGGCAGATGAAATGTGAGGGAGACTCCTTGTAGAGCGAGAAGAAAGCCGGTGCTGGGAAGGCGGCTGAGTCTCATTAATGGGGGAGATAAGCGTAAAGACCCAGGAACTGCAACAAGGACAATAGTCACTCTGGGCCTGGAAGACCCAAAGTCCTGCCACTTGTCTTCCAGGTCACTTGGTTTCCTTAGATCTCTGAGCACAGGCATCCTGACCACAGAACGCCCAGGATTTGAGGTCATTTGAGGGCAGCTATGTTTTTTTGACCAGAAGAGAATATCTGGACATATGGACACATGCATCTGCCAATATAGGGCTCTGCTTCCCAAGCACCCAGAATTTAGGGATGGCTTCTTCCTCCCAAAGGCACAGAAAGAACCCATAGGCCAGCCATTCCAAATGTGACTCGCATATGGAGAAGCATAAACATGGCAGATTAAGGGATGCTCCCTTCTAAGAAAACAATATTGGGGAGATAACAATTAGCACTGTTAAAAAATAGCATAGCATTGCGTCTCACATCTATTGTTTCACTGTGTTTTAAAATTATTTCAGTTTTACTTCCTTCTCTTTGTTCTGTGCAATACTTTAGTGACTTTGCCCTCTGCCTTTGTACATAAAATCATGGTTAGACACAGAAGTTTAGCAATGGCGTGTGACTAAACAAGGTTTGGCCCATGCCTTTTGAACAGTTGCTGATCCCTGGGCTTCCGTAGTCAAATCTAAACTCTTCTGCTGGTTTTCAAAGTCCTCCTAGCCAGGCTCTACCCTCCCTATCCAGCTTTATTTCCCTTGTCAATAAAAACCCATTAACTCAGGCCCAAACTTCCATTTTTATAAAAGGGCTTATGTAGATTTGCCACAAACAGCTAATTTGTCATAACTTCTAAGCGCATTATATCCCCAGGACAAGGCTGGAAAAATAACGTCTGGGCCCTTGAAGATATTTCTTTGCCTTGCTGTTGTCACAGCTAAGTGGAGTGATTCATTAGCCCTGTGAGAAACGCCTGACTGTCATTCTTAGAAGATATTACAGTTACTATGCAGTAGCAAGTCAATATTCAAAGAAAATTGAAATCTCTCCCTTCTCTGAACTCCCATAGTACTTTGGGTTTACAATTCTCACAGTCCTTATCATGCAGAGCTTTGTACTGTGGTTATTTCTGCACATGCACAGCTCAGCTCCCTGCTGGACTCTACTCTGTGACAGCTGAGACAGGTATAGGCTCTCCTGTCTCTAACTGTGCCTGGCGCTGAGAAGGTAATCCATAACTGTTTGTTTTTACTAAAATGAAACATGAAACTTAGCTTTTCTTTTTTCTTTTTAAAGAAACTACCTTTCTTGTTCCAGACAGTGGGATAAATGATGTATATATTCTGTGGAATTGTTTCCCTGAATCCTCAGAACAGACTTATGAGGTAGGTCTCACTCATTGTCCTTGTGATCTTGGTTAACATGAGCATTCTTTCATTGGTAAACCCATGTCCTATATTGTTACACTTCAGGTGATTAACAAAGTAACTGAGGCCTTTCAAGTGAAGGAAGAATGCAACTTAACTTCAACAGCAAGCCGTCTAGGTTAACCTCTTCAACTTTCAACACTTGAAGAGTGTTTCCCCCATGTGCGGTCCTCAGAAAATAGTAGATTCACAGATATGGTAGACCAGAGTTTCTGTGAGTCATTTAATGTACAATCAAAATGCAGATTCCCGAGCCTCACCCCAGATCTACCTGACCAGGAGCTTTGTAAATGAGGTTTTAAAATACACCTAAGGTGATCTTGATGTGCATATAAATTTGAGAAACTGTCTTAGATTGAGTCCTCAAATCAGTCAGGATGGGCTAGGTATGCTGCAGTAACATATCTCACTCACACCAAGTCTTCTGTGGGTATCAGTAACTCCCAGGGAGGTGTCCTCCATGTGGTGACTCAGCGATCCAGGCTGTCCTGATCCTGTGCCCTTCATTCCAACCTGAGGCTTGAATGTTCACTGTGTCAGAAGAAGGGTACTTGTCTACAGAGGGTGTTGTGCAACATATTCTATGTTCCTAGTCTTAAGAAAAAAGAAATTGAGAAATACTAGTGATCACCAGTAAAGTGTATGTTAGGTAAGCTGCGTTTGAGTCTCCATGAGCATACTTCACCCTTCCAAGAAACCTTAAGTTTGCTCTCTAGTTGAGTGAAATCTTACAGCAGCAGAGGAGAAGGGTGTGTAAATCAATATTTGCATCTTCCAAGAGCACTGCAGACCTCCAGAGAGGAGAGCAGAGCAAAAGGCAGTAGTCATATTCCTCACTATTTTCCTTTCTTTGTGTTTCTATACCAAGAAAACTAACTAGATGTACAAATTTCATGTAATGTTGACAATAAGGATGCTAATATTTCTATGAAAATCCAAAGGAAGCCTCATGATGCTGCACACTTAACTGGAACCACTTCCAGTCCCTGCAGAGGTCTTAAGTATGTTTCTCCGGTAGGTCTCAGGTTTTCAACTACCTATTTATTTCCTTTGCTCTTTCTCCTTATTTCCCCTGAGTTTCTTACTCCTTGTTTTACCATGGAATAGGCAAATCTATGCAGTTTCTTTTCTCTCACCTGCCTGAAGACAGCACATAAGCTCTTTTGTTTGCTGGCTATGTTTCTGCTCAACATAATAATGAGGAGAGGAAGGGAAAGAAAATTCATTCCTTAGGAAAGGGCCCAGTAAAGTGGAGGTCACATAAGAAGTTATGTTTATGTCTGAATTGTCTTCTCTCTCCTGGAGGAAGGGACCACATGCCCATTGGTTCAGTGGAGGCTGGATGGAGAAGGTCAGTGAACAGAAGACGGAGGCCTACTGTGTTTCCAATTACATCTCCAGAGGAAGCCAGAGACTCTAGAACAGGGACAATGAGAACCTTGAAAGGAACTTTGCAAGTTCTATAAGTTTGTCATTTTAATTCTCCTCAGCTTGGAGGTGGCCTCACGTGCTTCAGCCAGACTTAGATGTACTATGTATGTATGTACTAGAATGCACTATAAGAATGCCAGGAACAAGTGTGGTCTATAAAGGGAGCCTCAGTGTAACGCTGAGACAGGCTCATTGGCAGCTCCAGTAGGAAATTATAAGCTGAATATTTTATATATATATATATATACACACACACACAATATGCATACACACAATCGCACACACATACATACACACACACACATTTTAAAAGCTTTCTGCAATAGCCATCCAAAATCTAAATTGAAATAAAACTGAAGCTAGGACTTAACAGTGCTCTCCTCCTCCCCTGATACATCTCTAATTTTTCTTCTGGGGGTTTGGCTTACCCAGACCCTCCATTTCAGATAAGTCTCTCTGTATTTCCACAAAGTACTGAAAGAGAGCTTAGGGACTGAGTCTAGAAGCCTCATTTTACATACAGGAAACAGGCACAGAGATGTGGTGAGAGGCTGAGACTAGATGGAAAGAAACTGGGTCTTTCAGCCCAGGACAGTTTTCTAACAGCCCACTGCCACACAATCTCAGGAGGACTGCAGCCCAGTGTGGAACTGTGGAAATCTCTTCCTCTTATTCTTGGGATGGGTTTGTCTAAGTCTTCTTCGCTTTAGTGAGAGTATCTTATCCTTTTCTCTGTGATGCAGCAATAAATAAGGCTAATGGTATGTAACTACATTTGTCACATCTCACGCTCAGGTCCTAGACTCTAGGTGCTCACGGAATCTCTTTTGTTTCTGGCAAGAAAATGGTGCATTGAGTCACTGACAGGGAAGCACAATAAGAGGCCAGGTGTAGGGTCCATGTTTACCTTCTCTCCTCCTCCCCAGCAGGCTTCCTGCGCACTTCTTCAGGCTACACTGGCCAACTTAAGCCTTTGTATATGAGGAAGATTAAGCCAAAATAGTCTCCTCTCCCTGTGGTTCTTCCTCTTAGCAAGAAGTAATAGTACTGAATCTTATTCCAAAAAAAAAAAGCCTAAATAAATATAACCATCCAGTTCCTTGTTTCCAGTTTGTCAAGATAAATCAGGCTCACTGTTCCTGCAGAGTCCCTTAAACCTTTTGTTTCACCTAAAGAGTAGCCGACAGTTCCTTCAGCTTCATCCATCCAGCCTGACCTGCCCCTCATGGCCAGGGCAGACCTGCACATCAGCCTGGAGACACAGAGAGACTTCTCTAAAAACAGAGCCTTTGTTCATGAAGACCATTGCCACTGCTTGTGGACTTCCTGATTTTTTTCATCAGCTGTTGAAGACCCTTGATTCTCACCCAAAACACGTCAAAACTGATGCTGGTAGAAGAAACTATGCAGGAAAGGGGAGAAATATATTGTTGGGTATTTTTTTAGCACTACAGTTTTTAATCAACTCTTTACCCAAAGCCTGATACCAGATCAAACCTTAAATTTCATTCCACCATATGGCTTAATGATGATATATTCCAAACTTCTTCATGTGGAAGCAAGGCTGTTGACTGGACATGCCAATACTGGGTACAGCCACATCCACAGCTCCTTCCAAGCTGACCAACTCACACCCCTTGGTAGAAGGAAATTCACCACATACTAGTTTTGTGAACCGCTAAGACTTAGTTTCCTCATCTGTTAAGTGAAGGTAATCATAGAACAAACTTATGGGATGATTAAATAAATATGGAGGTGAAGAAATGAATGTTGACTAAATGGAGATGATGATTAAATGAAATAATATATGTGAAATGCCTAGAACAATGCTAAACAAATCTTAGCGACTGTTGACTGTTATATTATAGGACTCTGCTTCTTCTGCCAGGCACAGCCAATTGGGCCACCATTGTGTATCTGAACACAATTTCATTCATACATTGGACAGCAACTTACGCTACTTAAGTTCCATGGGGTACAGATTAGCCTCATCCTGCAGGGTAACCCTGGAGGGTAAGTTATACCTCAGAGTGTGTGGCCCATCAGAAAACGCTTTCTGGTCCAATCACCTCATCCTGGAAATCTGAAGTCAGACATGCAGAAAGAAGGAGGTGGGTAGAAAGGGGAACTGAAGGTGAAACTAAAGATAGTAAAAGGCTTGGGTTATAGAAGAGGCCAAGAGGGCTTCAGCAATAAGAGTTACAAGGAGGCAGAAGCATGAGTCAGCAGAAAGCAAGATAGACAAAAGCACACAGAGGAGAAGGGGAAAGAGTAAACCCCTCCAGGTGGAGTTAGAGCAGATTAGAGCAGACACAGGAAGCCATAGCAGTGGCTTCACTAGGGTGAAGATCTATGAGTCCTGCTTGTTCTGAAGTTTCAGTTCCTCAAGATCTGTTATTTCTTATTTTTCCTGCTCTTCCTGGGACCAGGCCTTTCTTAGGTTCCCAAGCACATATATTTTTAAAATAAGCCATCTGTTATTTGAGATCCTTCTAGTGGATCTCGTTTCCTTGCAATCAAAAGAACCAAATTACAAAACAAACAAACAACAAAATAAAAGCACACAATCTGATGCTTCAGCCTGCCTTTGCAAGCTCCTCTCTCAGGTTTGTACTTCCTACCAGACATAAGGCAGTGTAGCCACACCAACCAGTCTCCCATCCCTAAACATACCTTCAGTAGTCATGCTTCAGGATGTGTTCTCACGCTATTATATAACTGATGCCTGCAATTCCCTTCCCACCCATCTCAAATTCCCCTTACAGATCGCAGATGGAGTGGGCACTGCTGGTGCTTCTTCCAGATTCTCTCAGAGCTCTATAATTATTTCTGTACACCTGGTGTCTGGCTTCTGGGTGCTTTTGCTTCCAATGGACCACATGGCAACTCTCTTCAGAAGCCCACCTTCTGGCAACCGGAACCAGTTTGTATATCATTTCAAAGATCAGAAGTGTCTGGGTCAACATAGCTTCCCAACCCTGCCCACTAAGACCCTCAGTCAAAGGCCGATGAGTGTAAGACAATAAGAAGCCAGTTGCTTTGCTTGGAAGCCAGGGGCAGACTGTGAGGTATAACTTACCCTCCAGGGCTCCCCTGCAGGATCAGGCTAACCTGTCTTCCATGGGACTTGAGTAATCTCATCCTTACTGGAGTCTTCTCCTTATCCTCCCTTGCTCCCTACACCCCCTTTCTGGTTTCTCTCAGGAGCACTTCCTTAATAATCCATTTTCCCACTGTCCTCAGGGTCTGCTTCTAGGGATGCCAAGCTAAACAGCAAGGTGTTTACGCAGGGTAAACACCTCCTCTCAGATTTCCCTTGGCAGTTCCCTCTTGCCACTAGAACTCTGTACAACATTAATATAACTGATAGCACACTTCCTGGTTTTCATGTCTGTCTAGATTATCAGTTCCTCAAAGGGGAGGGTTTTGTCTTGTTAATGTTTATTTCCCCAGTGCTTAGCATAATTCTTGAAAAATATACTTTTAAAAACATACTTGTTGTATATCTATCTACAATTACCCTAGAGCTAGAGAAATGAAAAAATTATATAAAGTCCCTGATTTCTTAGAGCCTCTGGGCTTCAGTTTCCTCATATTTGAAAAGAAGGTAATTATTTCTAAGGTTTCCCAAATCTATGATCTTATATTTGAGCAGGATAATGACAATTTCTCATAATCAGCCCTGCCAGTTAATGTCTCATATCAGGAAAAACTTGAAAACCTGAATGATTATCTTTCACCTTTGAATCAAGAGATCTGATTGTCCAGGGACAACTTACAAATCCTCAATTTTATAAATGTCTATAAATGAGTCAGACAGCAGCAAAAATATTTTTAAAACTTCTGCATCACATATTCATTTATTACTCTATCATCAAACAAATGTTTATTGAATGAGTATTATGCCCAGGGCACTGTAAGCACTGGATGAAAAATCAGGCTTGGATATACCATAATTAAAATATGCATAATCATTTACAGTCAATAATGCTTACATGTGCATTTACTCAATGCGTAACAAACTGTGAGGTGATTAATATGATCTCCATTTTGCCCAAGTCTCACCAGGAGGTGAAGTGGCTTATCCAAGGTCACACAACCAATAAATGGAGACCTTAAGCCCACCAGGTCTTTTGGCTTCAAACCTTATCCCACTTCCACTCCACCATGTTACTTTCCTTTGCAGAATATCCACAGGAATCAGCCCTTTACTATATTTTCTCATTTGCTTTAGCTCTAAAACATCTTGAGATGTTTTTGAACATCATCATTGATGGTCAGACTGTTTTAAATGTTGAAAATATCTGTTTAATAAGGTAAATGCTGCTTGTACTCATTTAGCCTCTACTAAGTCTTCACAAATGATGTGATTTCATTCCCAAGGAAAAATGACACTTTCTTTGTTGGGCACACATACCAATCCAATACAAATGTAGACACTTGATAGTAGATCATACCTGTAAATAAAGTTATATATTTATAGATGTATTCAGTTGTAATAATAAGTCATACATAAAGATGCATTTAGTTATAGAAATCTAAACATATGTTTATATAAAATGCCAACATATTTCTAGATAATGGTATCTGGCGAGAGTACAAAAAGCTTTAAAACACTTGTTATGTATTCCTAGGAAACCAGGATCATGCTCAGAGCATTCAAAGAGTAAGGTGGGGGAAAATGGCATAAAACCCAAACATAAAAAACACCAACACAATAAAAATACTACTGAAATAGCTAGAATCAAGCAACATACAGTGAGAATTAGGTCTGTCAGCCACAATAAAGTGAATCCAAGTTTTCATTTATGTCAGAATAAAAAGAAACACATAAACCTGGTTGGGAGACTAGGTGCTGGATGTGCTGGAGAATAAATGCAGAAGAGGGCCAGCTTTATAAGGGAGGAGGCCAAGTTTTGGCCTAAAGGAATAAGGACTAAGGCTTTTGCAATTAGAATGTCATCAAATTCAAATGTTAAGCTTGCAAAGATGTCCCAATAGCAATCAAGTTGCTTGTTTGGTGACAAAGAAAGATCCAGTTTCAGCAGTAGTATAGTTTAAGGCTTTCTAGAGTGAAGCACTTAACCACAGAATGAATGTCCTGTGTGCATGAGCAGGGCCTATGAAGATAAGCAGGGCCTAAGATGATGAAGATCTAATCTTTCATTGGAAGACACTTGGGTGATGCTATAGGATAATGAAGATTTCATCTTCCGTTGGAGGATACCTCAGATGTCCAGATCTTTAGGTCTTTTCTTTTAGGTAAGTTTCCCTTGAGAGGAATCTTCCAATCTCCTACCTGGGGTACTGGGTAGAAACCTGGGTTCCAGAAATCTAGGAACCAATTAGAAAAAAAAAAATGATGGAATCCTACTGTTCAGCGTGCAAACTTTAATTCAAGCCCTTATTTCTATCATTGTGTCTCCCCAGGCTTTGGCTGTATCTAGCATATCTCAATCCAGAAACTTTCTGGTCCACATTCTGCACAGTACACTTAACTCAGGTGGCCTGCTGAGGTCCTCAAAGGGGTCCTGTAGCTGAACTGGAAAATGGAAAAGGCCGAAGCCATTCTTCTTTCTGAGGTTTTGCAATGAAAACTGTCCTGTATTTTGTTGACCTCCCACTGCCATTGCTTCACCACCATCTACACCCACACCTCCCCACCCCCAGACACTGGGCTTCATGTTTCTCTGGTATGCCTGCTCATTTACTCATGGTCCATCCAGTTTCCATCATCCATATTTTAGTTGAGATCCTCACTCCTCTTTTTTTTGTCCTTGTAGATTTATAATTCTCTACTCTTCTGCTTTATTTTGTTTCTAGAGAACATGGACTTCAATTCACCATCTTAATTCAGAAGTATAATGATTTAAGAAGGCTCAGCTGCAGATATGTAAAGAGAGATTTGCAAAAGCATAATCAAGTCAAGTCATGGCAAGGTCATAAGAAGCAGTCACAAAAGCAGCAGTAATTTGAGTGCGAATGGCAGTTTTCATCATGACTATGCCCGTTCACAGGGACTCTTTGAAACAGAAGTTTGGTTGGAAGCATTTCCCATTCTGCTTGTGGCAGGGCATGAAAGGGGCACAGAGGCTATGGATGCATTGTTCCCCAGGCCCAGGCTCCTTCCTGGCTGTGTGATGATGGGCAAGTTGCTGGCCTCTCCAGTTGTGTCTTTGGAAAATAGATGTAATTGCACCTACCTCATTGGGTTATGCAGAAGATGAATGAGATCATGCATGAGAGTCCCTAGCACAGTGCCTGGCACACAGTCCCTCCCATCAACAGTAGTTGAAGCTCATTCCCTCACAGCCGTTAGAATCAATTGTGGGCCTAGAGGGCTTTCATTTTGTCTCTGCTTACAGTTCTTTGCCCCGCTGGAAAAGGAGTTAGAAAGAAAGAAAAATAAAACAATAAATCACATAGGCTGTAACCTTCAGAGTCTGAAGAATGCTGCCCCAGGCAACTCCCGCACCACCCGGGAAAGTGTGCTAGACCTCCCTGTTCAACCCCATTGCCCACAGAAGGCTGTGCGAGAGTGAAGGGTGGGAACTGAGAAACGATGTTTTCTAAGCTTTCAAGCATGATCCTACCCCTTAGGATATGGGTCAAATGACCTCTTGGGACGGGAGAAAGGGAAGGGAAAGGCATTCCATATTCATGTGACTCTTGACCTACTTAAAGGTCACTCCCTGAGTTACATCAGCCGCTTCTTGGGAACACTTAGCACCTGACTATAGAGGGAGCGGCTGGCCTCTTCTTTCTGATTTAATTAGTTCCCCATGGGGTGGTTGGCTGAGAGCCCAAATTCCACACAATCTCATAACTGGAAGGAACATTCAAGATCACCCATTCAGTGCTTAACTCTCCTCTACAACATTCTCAACAAGTAGCTTTTTGCCTTATTTGAGCCCCCCGGTGAGAAGAAATTTTGGAAAAGTCTATGCTGTCTGTGGACAGCTCTAAAAGCCACAAAGTTCTTATTTAAATCAGTTCATTCTTTCACTGACTTTTAAATGAAAAGTTAGGAGCAGCAAAGAATATTAGAATCCATCTCAGCCATCAGGGACCTGACAGTAAGGGAAGGAAATGGACATTAAACACATTAAGAAGTCTAGAAGTATGAAGAATATGATAGTGTTACAGAAAGGAAAATGCAGAGTGTTAGGGGAACATTAGTCTAAAGTAATGGTTCTCAACTGGTGGGAAAGGGGGTGAGGAGGGAGACAAATTTAGCCACCAAAGGGCACTTAGCAGTATCTGGAGACATTTTTTATTGTCACAACTGAAGAGATGCTCGTGGCATCTAGTGGGTAAAGGACAGAGATGCTGCTAAACATCCTACAATACACAGGACAGCCCCCTCTACCAGAAAGAATTATCTGGCCCCAAAGGTCAGTAGTACCACTGTAGAAAAACCCTAGTTTACAAGTTTCAAGGACGGCCTGAAGTTTCAACTGTTGCCCAAAGGATGAGTCAAGATTATCCAGGTAGCAGGAAGGGAAGGAAAAAGAGTCTTAGCAAAGGGAACTACATGCATCTAGAACCGGAGGCCATTCAGCAGGCCTCCAAAGAAGAAAGGCAATTTTGGAATTGGATGTATGATTTGGCCCAGTTCTACCAACCAGGATCTTGTAGGGCAAGTTCAGTCCTCCTTCCTCCAGGGAATCCTTCAAGTGTCTGAGGACAGATGTGCCAGCCTTGATGAAATTCTTTTCCTGAAACTCTTCAGCATTGCTCTAACAAACAGGTTTGTGACTCTTCCAATCCCAGTCACACCTTGTTTACCTAAACCCCTCACTCAGGGCCATGCTGCTAGCCAAGACATTCCCCCAGATGTGAGATGATGGGCAGGGAGACAGGTGGGCCCATTACCACTTCCAGAGCTGCAGGCAAGATTCTGAGGCTGTTTCCCTAGGGGCAGTTTTCTAGGTCGAATGAATCAGCCCTGGAGACAGCCCTGTAGTCACATCAAGTTTGTCCCGCTTGTATAGAAAATGACCCCTGGCTATAATTAACCTGAAGTGTTTCTTAAAGCCCTGCCCTGAAAAACTTGAATAGAAAAGTTGTGCAGGAAGGGTGAGCCAGCCAGATGCAGATCCTCAAGCCTGTGTCCAGGGGCAGGAAGGAGGGACAAAGGAGAAAGGGGGAACTTTCTCCTAATACCATTCCTGACCTTCAGCCTTTCCAACCAAGGGTGCACACTTACATAGAGCCACCACCTTCAGGCTGCCTCTCTGCAAAAATGCTTTTCCAACCACTTTCCTGGCCAGGGTCAGCCTCTGCAGACTCAGGGCAGAACACAGCAGTCAGGTTGGGCTGCAGAGAGGGAAAGGGAGCAAAGTAGAGGAGTAGATGGATCAGGAATGAGTTTCTTCTCCTTATGTGGGGAAGGCTGGGCCAGCATCAACCCCAGGGTACAGGGAGAGTAATATGTAGCGATGGCTGGGAAAGGTTCTCAGGACCTAGCAGTCATAGGATGGCTGGGTGAGACAATCTTTGTTCATGCAGATAGGTCTAACATTTAATTACATCTCTGATCTACTACAAACAGCCAATTTACCAACGGCCAATGTGGACTTAGCCTCGAGACAAGCCATTATTCCCTCTTCTATTATGAGTTAAATGTGTTTATTTTTAAGTGTCAAAGGATAGAATGTATTGGTGGAGATATGTATTGTAGTTTGAACTGATACATTCAATAATTACTGTTTTTAATCAGAAGAGAGTCTTTTGAGGAGGTCACTCAGAAATAGTTCAGTAAGTCAATATAAATTTAACTCAACCCACAAGTACCAGTCACTTCCCCTGCATAAGACTCTGTATTAGCTACTGGGAGGGACAAAAAGATGAAAAAGAAATTAATCCCAAAAGCTGACATCTATTCTCATGTATGATGGTTAAGTAAAAATACATAGAGGTACGAAGTGCCTGAGAACGCAGAGGAAGGAGAGGAATTCTGAGAAAGAAAATCAAGAAAGATGCCATGAAAAAGGTAGCGTGTGAGCTGGGCCTTGGAGGATGAGTACGGATTTTGATGGAGGAAGGGAATTTTAAGCATGTATGAGGAAGGGAGGAAGCAAGGAAAGGAAGGAAAGTAGAAGAGAAAGATCCAGTGTGGATGAAGGAGGCAGGTTTTCTTGTTCCAGCCATTAGGTTGACAGGGCGTAAGCCAGGAGAATTTTGTCAAGGCAAGAGCCACATGGCTCCAGAGGCACTGGCATGTCTTCTTGGGGCAGAAACTGTGCTCTACCTCTCTATGGGTTCTGAGGTGCTCCTGGTACAGACATTTATTTCCCCACAAATATCCAGGCTGACTGGGTTCACATGTCAGGTGCCCTGGTTCCGCTTCAGCTTTCCTTGTGCAATTCCAGGTCAGATGAAAGCCTAGTTCTGCACTCTTTACCTTGACTGGCCATCCCATTTACCTAAATAATTTTAAAGAATGGATATGCTGAGGCACATCTGAGACTTACTAAAACCCCAGGCTGTGGCCCGGGTAACTGCACTTTTGAATGAACTTTCCAAGTGTTTCTGATACCTGTCAATGATTCAGAACAACTGCCCTGGTTGGAAGGCCATAGAAGACACCTGTTCAGTCTCTCCCCTCAGGGCCCAGTCATAGTTGGTATTTAGCAAATGGTGTCAAAAGAGCACCTTTGGGCCTAACTCAACATGAGGAACAAACAAGGAGGCAGGTCACCTGTATTCTAGTTCTGATCCTCACTTTTCTGTATGAGCTTGAATAAACATCTAAACTCTCTGTGCCTCAGTTTCCTCATCCAATAGATGAGGCTTCTAGCGGGTAAAGTGGGTAAAGGACAGAGATGCAGTTGTTTGTCACACCTAGTGTGAAAATGGAATGGGATAATATTTGAAATAAGTGTACTGAAATGCAGAAGCATTCTATGCATATTTTGTTACAAGACGTTATCATTGACTCACCTGATTCTAACCCCTTATGGGCAAGGAGTGCTAGTGCATCCCTTTAGAAGGAAACATCTGATCGAGTTCTGCACACAAGAGTCTGTGGTGGGACTCTAGCAAATGAAAATCCACTGAGCTAAGGCTATCCTCTGCCAGCGCACTAAAATATCTCCTTTGTCCTTGGGTAATAACTGCAGTTACTATTTAATTAAGAAAGACTTCCAAGGAAGAACAATCAATTTGCAAATTACGTTGGGTAAAAAGCAGCCAAAGAATTGCTCAGCCATCATGGTAGCCGATGCATACTAAGTGAGGGGAGAGTTCTATCATGCAAGGCCTGCCTGTCTCCTCTCTGGCTTTGTGGATTTACAGTCTCCAGAGTTCATCCAAATTGTCAGATCAAGAAATTTTGTTGCATCAGTGTATTTCTTAGGTCAGGGGCCAAATCCACTTGGTAGAACACTGTCGCTTTATCAGTGGGAGAAATGATCAATCTGAAAGAGAATATATAATTCATGACCAAATAGAGAAAAGCATTAAGTCAGGAAGCCGACACCAGCCCAATTTATGACATTGCTCTACTAAGTGTATTCCCCACTGTGTCATCCAACGGCCCATCTTGATCTAAAAATGCCTGTTTTGGACAGTGAGGTTCTCTTCAGCGCTGGCAGAGGAAGGCAAAAAGCAAATTGCTTCAATCAGCAGCCATTTCTGTTGATGGAAAACCTTGTGGCCCTATGCCAGCAACATGTAAAAGTAAATAAAAATTGAAGTGCAGGTCTGAAACAGCGACACAGTATGGCTACATTAAAATATTTATGCCTTCAGACTTTTAGACATCCATTATCTACAGTATGTTAATAAGAATGCTGAACTGACCTTGGCTGGGACACAAAACTTCCAGTGCCCTGCAAAACAACTCTGTCCTCCCACGCGCCTTCATTGCATATAGAGAAGTATGCAATGGAGAATGTGAACCCAGACATTCTGACTTGGGTTAACACTCTTGGCCTACATTGGTGGGGGAAACTCGTGACTGGAAGCAAAAGAACTGTATGTGAGTTCTGCTTCTGCCAATAATTAGCTGGTGACATTGGGAAATGGCTTCACCTTTCCTCATGTGCTCTATGAGAGGATTGCCAAAGATCAGCAAATTCCAAACCTGGCAAATTGCATTCAGATTTTAAATGAAATATTTGAGCATGCAGATTGCCAGGCCCCCTCCCCAACTTCATGGGAATCAGAAGTGGGTGGGTTTCCCCGCCTTTACCACTATGTTCCTGATGGTCCAAGAGCAAAGGGAATCCTGGAATCCACATCCTCTGCCCTGCTTCCCCACACTAATCATGTATGACTGAGTCCTACCCAGTGATATTTCTAGGACATACACCTACTCACGGTTCTTCACTAAGAAAAACTTAAAATATTTCTCCTCGCCTGTGGAATCAATGGCTCTGGATTTGGTTCAGACTCAGGATGACATCCAACGCCTTCTTCAAATTTGGCTGCAACCTACTCTCCTAGCTCCTTTCTTTCCAACAAACTCTATGCTTCTGTAACTTGGGATTACTTACCATTCCCTAAGCAAGTCACTGTATTTCACACTTTCATACATTTATGTATGCATTTCCTCGAATGCTCCTCCCATTCCCTCAAAATTCTTAGTCTTTCCTTCGAGACTTGGTTTTAACATCTGCTTCCATGATTGCCTCAAAGTAAACCAAATCTCTTCTCTATTGTATTGTTGTCATTTGTTTGTATGACTGTCTCTCACACCAGACTTTGTACTCTCTTCCTCCTCTTTCTGATGGTATGTACATAGGAGCATGTGGGTGGCATGGGTTTCTCAAATGTAGGCCGGGGGCTCACAAAGTCACAGGATATGCATGACATATTTAACTGCAGCAATAGTTTTCTCCTAAGATTGGTGAATATTTTAAATATTTAAACAAACACGAATATATTATAAAGCCAACTGCAAAATGCACACGAAATTTTAACTAAAACAAAAGCCCTTGAACAAATATCAAGGGAGGTTATGGCAAGACAATTCAAATTATATGGCGCCGTCACCACCACCAGCAGCATCCCAAGCAAAACCTCTGTTTCCCATTCTCCTTCAATCTCTTTGATGGGCAGGGCACTTCACAGAAACATGGAAACAGCATTGCTGAGCCAAGACTTATTCATCACTGATGTTTCCCATTCCTCATCATCAGCACTATGCCTGGCACATTGTAAATGCTCAATAAATTTGTACTTATTGATTAATTGGGTGAGACAAATAGATGAACAACTTATGAGCATCACTGTTCATTTGGGGGAAAAAAAGCATTCCTTTATGTCAAATTTCACCATAGTGTCAAGATCTCTTCATCCCTCAAATTCCAACCTCCATTTAATATAAAGAAAGTTACATGTACTGTCATCGCAGGGCAATTGGCACCAACATCTTGAAACTTTAATGGGCTGGGCTGGGCTAAGTCACTGTTTAGCCCTAGTTGAAAACCTGCACAGATTTGTGTGAAACAAAATCTAAAAGAAGGAAAACTGTAGGTTGAATAGTAATTGAAATGTATCCTAGTATGATAGAGGAGGGGAAGTTTTGGTGCCATAATATCTCCCCTCACTGGTCTTGAAATGTGTTTCTGTTGAAGCTTCAGTAAAAGTTTAATTGTCTAGTGTCATTTAAAAAAAAAAAAGTGAAAACTGCCTGCAGACCCTCCCCACCCTCAAAATTCCTGAAGGCACCTCTGTGGGCAGGTGAGACTATTCTGTCAGGAATAAGCCTAACCAACTGCCTGAGGGCAGAATGGTCAGTGAATGGAAAACAACTAACAGAAAGGTTCTACGTAACCTCGGGCTAACTACACTTGCTCGGTCATTGGTGAAAGTTAGTGAGGAGAAAGAGATAAAGGGGGATGGGGAAATGCTGCCTATGGCCAGCAATCTACATGCCAGAAGAGGGGGTGGAAACCCAGAGCTGAAGGGCCAAATATCCATGCCCCCTCAGCCACCCTCACTCATGCTCATATACATGCAGACCCCCAAATCAAACAGAAAACTGAACCCAGGAGTTAAAATGCTTCACACAGTTAACCTCCAAAACAAAATTGCTAAAAGTTGAAAACAAATTGGCCAAATCAGGCTTAGCACAGTATTCATAGGTAGATGGAGTAAAAAATGAACTGCAGCCTTCCTGCCATTCTCTCCCTGTTACCTGCCAACTCTGCCTCCCCCAATCCCAGCTTCTGCCTTCATTTCTGTCCTTCCTGGCCTCCTGAGGGTCCCTCACTACTTCCCTTCTATCTCTCTACCCTCATAAGCAAACCTCCAAGGCTTGCCTCTTCAGTGTCGCTCGGTATCTCCAACCTCCCTCCCTCCACGGCTGTCATTCTAGTCCAAGACTGCCATCTTCTCTCTCTGAGCTGCAGACAATAGCCTTTCTGGAGACCCTGAAAGAGATCAGGTTCCCCCTCTGATTCTTCCCCAATCCGTAACCAGAGTAAGTTTCAAGAGACAAACTTCAGGCCTTTGCTTAAAACCCCTTCATCCTGTCATTTTTGAATAGGCATAAAGTCTAAAACCCTTACTCTAATCTACAAAGGTTCTTGCCTTCGTCTCCAATCTCATCTGATCTTGTTTCTCCTGACTCTCGGTACTCTAGATACTGTCTTCTTTCAGATCACCAGAGTAGGGGGGCCTTGGCATGCAGTATTTCCTCTGCCTGGAAAGCTCTCCCTGCCCCCTTTTGCATGTTATATCCTCCATTCCTGCTTCAGATCTTCCCTGACCTGGTTCTCTCCTTCATAGCGCTCGTTGCTGGTGTATATGTCCATTGCTGGGATAATTTCCATTCATGTATTTCTTTCACAGTGAATTGTAAACTCCATGAAAGCAACAATTATGTGTTCCTGCTCACCATTTTGTCATCAATATTTTGAACAATCTGTGGCCCACAATAGACATTCAATAAACATTTGTTGAATGAACAAATGAAAGCGTGGATGATTAAATGAGTAACCTGGAAGCATCCATGGAGCCATGGCAATAGCAGCTGTTTCCATAGTCTCACCAGAGCTGAATCTGACCTCTCCTTATAAGGTAGTGCCAGGGGCCACGTGATGAACAAGGAGAGGTGGCCCCTGTCAGCATCTGCTGAGGCTGGAGCTGGATGACTCTGCAGACTGCATCATCTTGTTTGTCAGTGCACTCACATAATCACACAAGAGTGGCTCCTGATCCCAAACACTGTCCTGCTTTCCACCAATCCATACCTTGGCCAAATGTACCTCTCAAACTTGATTGTTTGTCCTGGATATACTAACTGCAGATCTTGAACCACTCCAGGTCCAGCCTTTGGGCAGCCAGTCCTGCTTCCTGGTGAGTGCAGATGCTAGAAGCAGTGAGACATTTTCTTTATGGAGCTCACAAACAAAATCCCCTTCCAGTGTAAGTTTAAACAAGATATAGATAGATAGATAGATAGATAGATAGATAGATAGATAGATAGATATAGATATATATATAGATAGATATATAGATAGATATATAGATAGATATATAGATAGATAGATAGATGATAGATAGATAGATAGATAGAGAGATAAAGATGCATATATAGATATGGATATAGATAACAAAGATGAGGCACCAAAGAAGAGGGGATTTACAAGCTTGTAAACTCCTGAGGACAGAAATGGATGAATTCTATACACTGCATGGCACCTAGGATCCTACCTACTTATCTTAGTATTGGTTAAACTAAACTGACACAAAAGACCTATGGAGATGCTAGAATGATATCCCATCAACCAAAGCAGCCAAATAACTGTTATTTGTCAAGCCCTGGGCACATGGTGTCACCTGTTCCCTAACTACTGTTCTCTCTGTCAGTCTTTCTCTCTCTCTGATGTGAATGAATGAGACAATATCTAAGCTTCATGAGTTCTTTATTGCAATTGTTAGTGCTAGAATATTATTGTCTTAGTCTGTTCATCCTGCTGTAACAAAATACCATAAACTGGATGGCTTATAAATGACAAAAATTTATTACTGACCATTCTGGAGGCTGCAAAGTCCAAGATTAAGTCACCAGCAGATTTGGTATCTGGTGAGGGCCCGCTTTCCAGTTCATAGATGGTGCCTTTTAGCTGTGTCCTCACATGGTATAATGGAGGAAGAGTTTCTTGGGCCTATTGCACAAGGGTAATAATCCCACTTGGGCCCTGGGCCTCTACCTCATGACCTAATCACCTCTCCAAGAACCCTACCTCCTAATATCATCACCTTAGGGCTTACAATGTCAATATATGAATTTTGAGGGGACACAAACATTAAGACTATAGCAATAATCACAACAGGATTTTGGAATTGGAGGGATTTTAGAAAGGCATCATTCAACTCAGTGTACATTTTTTTTTCCTCAAGGAATCCTCTTTCTCATCCTCCTCCAACAATGACACCCTTAGAGAGGTTGGTGTGAAGCACTGAGAATTTGCACTATCCTCTGAAATTACAAGAGCAAGAATCGTGAAACCTGTTGACCAAACCAAAGAAATTAAAAATGTACCTTCCAACTCCAGTAGCTATAAGGATAATGATTCCATGATAACAATTTTCACTTACATATCACTCCACAATCATATTCATGAGCTCATTTGAAATCCCAGCAGAATCATTATTATCTCTCACTTCACAAAGCAAGAAATTAAGACTTACAAAGATTAAATGTATGGCTCAAGATTAGTAGAATAGCCAGAATTCAAGATCAGAATTCAAGCCAGAACTTTAAGCCTACCTAATTAGTAGAATAGCCAGAATTCAAGCCCAGATCTTCTGATTTCAGAACTAGGACTCTTTCCACGATGCTCTGCTTCCCAGCAGGAGAGAATCATACTCATCTCATTAACATTATTAAATTAAGTACTCATACATACAGCTTTGAAATAAACACCCTAAAATTTTAGTACTAAGGAAATATCCGGGTATCTCAAAGGTAGTAGCCGCTCTCCTGCAAAGAAAAAAAAAAGTCATGTCCTATCAGTTGAAAAATGCTTGCCAGTTGGCACTAGCCAAAAAGAGGAGAAAACGTGTCGGTAATGCATCATAAGTATTGAAAGCTGTCAGCTTTCCTCAGGTGAGTGAAAAATTCTGGCCATACAAGGATGAATTTTCTCCAGATAGTGAGACATCATACTAAATGCCAACTTCATCTCACTTAAAATGCTGGGCCAGAAGTTCCTACAAGCTGTCAGTCAAATTAAGCCTGCATCTGCCTCTGTACTTGAACTGATGGACCACTTCAGGGTCCTAAGGAAGAAGCAGAGGGAGGGAAGCTTATGGCTCACATACACTCCATTTCAAAACAGATGTAAAAGGAATTTTAGACCAGGCCATAGAGAAGCTCACACATTAAAGAAAATAAATGTTTTTGTTTGGGTTTGAGGGACTTTTAAACTGCAGTAGTTAGGTTCAAAAGATGGCAGTCATGCAATTGTGGTCTTAAAGAGAATTGACTACCAGGTAGAATGAAGGAACAATGCCACCGAAATCTTTATGAGTAATTTGAAATGAAATGCTTTAAACCAACTCACTTCTCAACCAGGACTCTGCAGATGCCACATAGATGACATATTTCTTATCATAAAAATGATGGAAAGTATACAATGGAGGTATTCAAAACCAAAGATTACCAGAGATCACTTTCATTAGAAGTACAGCACAGACCCTGGACTCCATCCTGGATATTACACATTTTGTCTCTTCACAGCCAC
The DNA here is from genome assembly GCF_000001405.40 of Homo sapiens. NCBI lineage: Eukaryota > Metazoa > Chordata > Mammalia > Primates > Hominidae > Homo > Homo sapiens. Next base: position 48,016,332 of record NC_000015.10, read on the forward strand.
TTGGTCTAAACAGCCATTGTGAATTTTAAAAGTTATGACTATGGAATCAGCAAACCAGAACTGGGTGGGGTTCAGACACATGCAAGTGCAGACCTTGTGCAGAAAGACCATTCATACTTCCACCAAGGGACAGAGTATAGATAATAGAAAGAGAAAATACATGTCTCACATGCTTTACATTCTAACAAGAGTGCTGGCTTAGCACACCTGAGGTCAGGTGATGGAATCAGGACTTGAACTCAACTCTTCTTACTTGAGATTACGTTTCCAGTACAAGTTGCCTCTGTGACCCACAACAGCAAGTACCTGTACCACTTGCCTTAGCAAATTATAATTCACAAACCCTTCGTGTTGCACTATCTCATTTATGCTCTCAAAAAACACAGAATACAGAAGTGCATTTCCGCCCAGATGACTCCAACCTCTAAGTAGGATGACTACAAGTGAAACTATTTTCCAGATAGAGTAAATTGGTGGAGAAGTAGAATGGAACTTCTTTCTGAACTGTTGCTGGAATATTCATGTCTCTACCAAGTGCACACCACAGGATAGCATAGAAGGCATCATAAGAAATTGTAAAGCATGAAGATTTGCACTTTTTTAACTAAGCCCTCCTCATTTGGTACCACACCACAACAGAAGCCTCCAAGGTCTTCTCCTAAACTAACTAACTTGTTGACAGTCCAAGTTATTATGAGCTAGGAAGTAATAAAAGTGCACTCCTTTGAGAGACACTGTGTGACTTCTGACTGGCTTCTGGCCTGGTTAATGTAAATAATGAGTCTCCTGGCATGCAATAATATCTCACATTAGACAATGCTTGCAGTTCACAAAATGCTTTCATATACACGATCTCATCTGATCCCGCAACAATATTATGGTGGGATGTTACTGTTGGCGAATGTGTATACTTGAGGTTATTGAGGTTTGAGGACACTAGGTGATATGCCCATGTTTACACAAGGAAATTTTTCAAAGCAGTTATCAGACCCTGAGAAGTAAGCACTGAAGTTGTCCATGAGTTGAACACCCCTCACTTTCCAGCTGTCACTGATTAGATTGATCTTACATCTCTTGAACCACTCTCTTTCATTTCCTTTTTTCACTGTGCACACTGCTTTTCTTTAATTTTCTTTCAATTCCACTGGTCCTCAATCTAAGCTACTTGCACCTTGTATGCGCTTCATACATCCTTCCTCACCTCCTTAAGAAAATTTTCCAAACCGTAACTCCTTCTCCTGATCGGCCTCTCTGATTCAAAAGAAGCAAGATGTTTGCCTGAACATAAGCACCTGAAAGCATGGGAAACATGTGAAAACAGAAATAGTGAGTAAAAGGTGCAAACGTTATCAATCTTTCTCAAGCCCTTTGTGTGTTTTGAGAGTTGTACCTAAGGTGTTGCTAGCGATGGCATCAGCTAAAGTAATTGCCTCTAGGCTGATTATAATTTTCCTCCAGCATGTTCTTCCTCATACATGCTTTCTTGCCCTTGTCCCCAAGGCCCAAGGACTCTCTGAGCAAGGTGAGCCAGCCTGTAGGAGTGAGGGAGGAGCCCTCACTGCTGGGAGAACACCGCTTGCTGCCATCAGCTATGTAAACTTTTCAGAGGACACGCTGTGCCCTGAGAAATGAACCTCCATGGGAAGGGGAAAGAGTAGAGGTTGGAAGGCTCAGAAAATCTCTCCCAGCTTGGCCTGGCATGTTCATACAAGCCCTGGCAGCTTACTGAACACAGCAACAGTCTCAGTTACTTTTTAGAAAACCACATTTTCCCTCAATGCTCAGGAAGCATAGAAAGATTTGGTTGCATCCGACACCAGGCAAGGGAGCAGTCATCAGCTGCTAAGTGGGATTTAAAAGTCCGAAGACAATAGGCCACAGATATTTCCAATTTAGGAGTTTCTGGATGGCCTTAGTCCAGGCCTTTTATTACTTCCAATAGTCATTTGATAGGAAGTAAAATGACTATAAATTAGTGCCTACTAATTCTTGATAATATAAGAGAGGTCAGTTTGTCTTTTGAAAAAAGCACAGGCTTACAGAACATATGAATCTGTTCCCAGTGTCCCCGCTGACTTTCTGAATAACCTCGATGGGCAAGGCAACTGCTCCGAATTTTGGCTTGGAAGGACAAAGGTCACAGCATCCTCTGACAAAGAGAAAATGAAGCCATGCAAGTAAACTCACCTAGTCATGGGGCATGGAAGCTGTGGCCTAACTAAACAGGCAGAAAAGCAACAATATTCTGATACTTAAAACAACAAAGACAACAACAACGGAAATTTGTCTTTGTTCTTTTTCATGGGTCTACGAAACCTGAATGAGTGACGACTGTGTCTGGAGACCACAAAGAAGAAGCTGCATCCCCAGACTTCTTTGAGGACTGTGGGAGATCAGTCCCAAACATCTTCTTTCAACTTGTACTTTTCCTGCTTGTAACTCATACAGGACAGTCCATGAAGACCTTTCACCAATCTCCTGCAAATGCTTGGTTCTGGCATTCAATTAGGCAGCAGGCTCATCAAGAAGCAGAATAGGCTCTGTAGGGCTACAGACTGCAACATGCCCACCTTCCTTCCTTACTGCCTGGCATCCCAGCCCATATACCTGAGTCGAGAGCACCACCATATCTTTGACCTTGTGCACTGGACTGAGGTTATGGCTCCAGTGCAGGAATGTGATTCTAGCAAAGGCTGACCACCCCCAGTTCCACCTTTTCTAGCCTTATCTACTCCATTTCCTTTCATGTTTCTCTGGAGTTGAACTCACTGCTTTCTATTTCTGTGTCTTTACTCTCTACCCCAAATGGTCTTCTCATCTTCCTGATCTTTATAACCCTGTTCTCCTGCAACTGGCTCCATGAAACTTTCCCCAATTCACTACCTGCTCAGACTGTCAAAAGTAATATGGGAATTTTAAGAAGAGTATAAGAGTACCATCCCTACCCTTAGAATACGTACAGTCTATTTGTGGAGACAATAAACTAATAAAAAGGACAAAATCATTTGGGATTCACTGCCAGGAAGAGCTGTAGAGGTCATGACAATTACTGTGTGTGGAGTGCTTACCATGTGCCAGGTGCCGCGCAAGAGCTTCATCCATGTTATTTTAGTTAATTCTCACCACAGCTCTAGGAGATGATAATAGCACTTCGTAGCTGAGGAAGCTAAAATTCAGACATGTTAATACGTTATCTACGCATAGCTAGTAGATCACAGAGCATGAGCTCTTAGAAACCACAGCACATTGCTATCTCATTTTCTCATGTTCATAGAACGCCCATTTAAAAATACATTGAGGATTAATAACCAAATTTTAAAATGGACAAAGGATCTGAATAAACACTTCTCCAAAGACAATATATATAAATCGCCAATAAGTAGATAAAAAGATGCTTAATATCATTAGTCATTAGGGAAATGCAAATCAAAACCACAATGAGATATTACTTTATACCCACTAGGATGGCTGTAGTCAAGAAAAACATACCCGGCTGGGTGTAGTAGCTCATGCCTATAATCCCAACACTTTGGGAGGTTGAGGCAGGAGGATTACTTGAAGCCAGGGTTTCAAGACAAGCCTGGGCAACAAAGGGAGACCTCATGTCTACATAAAAGTTAAAAATTAGCCAGGTGCTGTGGCATGCACCTGTAGTTCCAGCTACTCAGGAGGCTGAGAAAGGAAGATTGCTTGAGCCCAGGAATTTGAGGCTGCAGTGAGCTACAATTGCACCACTGCACTCCAGCCTAGCCTGGGCAACATAGTAAGGCCCTGTCTCTAGGGGGAAAAAAAAAGCACACCATAAGAAGTGTTGATTAGGATGTGGAAAAACTGAAACCCTCATACATTTCTGCTGGGAAAATAAAATGATGCAGCTGCTGTAGAAAACAGCTTGTCAATCCCTCAAAATGTTAAACAAGGTTTCCATATGACCAAGCAGTTCCACACCAACGTATGTACATGATATGGTTTGGCTTTCTGTTCCCACACTAATCTCGTCTCAAATTGTAATCCCCATATGTCAAGGGAGGGACCTGGTGGGAGGTGATTAGATCATGGAGGCCGTTTCCCCCATGCTCTTCTCGTGATGGTGAGGGAGTTCTCATGAGATCTGGTTGTTTGATAAGTGGCGATTTCCCCTGCACTCTTTCTCTCACTCACGCTGCCTTGTGAAGAAGGTGCTTGCTTCCTCTTTGCCTTCTGCCATGATTGTAAGTTTCCTGAGGCCTCCCCAGCCATGCGGAACTGTGAGTCAATTAAACCTCTTTTGTTTATAAATTGCCCAGTCTCGGGTAGTATCTTTATAGCAGTTTGAAAACGGACTAATACAGTACCCAGGAGAAATGAAAACATACATCTACAAAAAAAATGTACATGAATGTTCATAGCAGTATTATTCATAATAGCCCAAAGTGGAAACAACTTAAACATTCATCAACAAGTAAATGGATAAATAAAATGTGGGATATCCATACAATTGGATATTATTCAGTCATAAAGAGAAGTAGACACATGCTACTATGTGGATGAATCTTGAAAATATTATGTAAGTGAAAGAAGTCAGACACAAAAGTTCATATATTATATGATTCTATTATATGAAATATCCAAAATAGGCAAATCTATAAAGACAGAAAGTAGATGAGTTTTTTGGACTAAAAGGGCTGCAGGGGCAGGGAAATAGGGAATGACAGCTAATGGGTACAGGGTTTCTTCTGGGGTGATAAAAATGTTCCAAAATTAGATTATAGAGATAGTTGCACAATTCTGTTAATATAACAACCACCATTGAATTGCATACTTTACTTTAAGTAGGTGAATTGTATGGTATATAAATTATATCTCAATAAAATTGTTGGCATATATTGAGTTTTAGGGATAAATAATGTTTTACAACAAATCCTTTTAAAGCTGCCTCTAGAACTCTCAATTCTCAGTTTGGGACCTGTGTATGATATCATCAGAAGACTCAAGAGTTCTATAATAATTTATTTTAAGTTGGTGTCTTCATTTGATCAAATATTAAACCCAATTTAAAGCCCACAGTATATCTGGCAGATGACTATAAGTAAGTACTGCCCCATAATTTGAGAACCTGGATCTGTGGAATAATGACATTTCCTAGGGCTGCAGAAACAGAGCTTTCACAGCAAGGCAGCAGAGTGGAGTGAGCATGTATCATCCATCACAAGGCACGTGATTGTTCCAGCATACCAAAGTGCCTGCTCAGAGTAAATGCTGTGTATTCACACTGGCCAGGTGCAAACCCAGGCCTCATCTCTGCAGCGCTTCAGGAGCCTTTAATGGAGCAAACCATAAAATGTAGGTGATAAAATTTTTTGGCAAAAGACATATTCTTATTAAATTTTACTTTGAGATGTCTTATTAAATTGATTGGTTCATCAAACTCATGAATAAAATTTAGTCACTGTTAAAAATAACCGTGATAGTGATTCAAATGATATCCTCATAAGCAAAAGAATGAGGTCGATAAAGAAAATACTAAGCACATGCAGTCATGCATCACTTAATGACAGGAATATGTTCTGAGAAAAGCATCCTTAGGCAATTCGGTCATTGTACAAACATCGTAGAGTGTACTTACACAAACCTAGATGGTATAGCCTACTATACACCTAGGATATATGGTAAAGTCTATTGCTCCTAGGCTACAAACCTGAACTGCATGTTACTGTATTGAATACTGTAGGCAATTTTAACACAATGGTATTTGTGTATCTAAACATAGCTAAACATGGAAATGGTACAGTAACAATATGGTATAAAATATAAAAGTGGTATGCCTGAATAGGCACTTATGATGAACACAGTTTGCAGAACTAGCAGTTGCTCTAGGGGTGAGTGAATGTGAAGGCCTAGGACATTACCGTGCACCACTGTAGACTCTACAAATACTGTACACATAGGCTACACTAAAATTGTTTTTTAAAAACCTTTTCTTTCTTCAATAATAAGTTAACCTTAATTTACTGTAACTTTTTTTTCCTGCAAATGAGTTACTATCTCCTTATTCTTCATCTATTCTTTTTTTAATTATTATACCTTAAGTTCTCTGATACATGTGCAGAACGTGCAGGTTTGTTACATAGGTATACATGTGCCATGGTGGTTTGCTGCACCCATCAATCCATCATCTACATTAGGTATTTCTCCTAATGCTATCCTTCCCCTAGCCTCCCACCCCCTGACAGGCCCTGGTGTGTGATGTTCCCCTCCCTGTGCCCATATGTTCTCATTGTTCAACTCCCATTTAGGAGTGAGAAAGTGCAGTGTTTGGTTTTCTGTTCCTGTGCTAGTTTGCTGAGAATGGTGGTTTCCAGCTTCACCCATGTCTCTGCAAAAGACATGAACTCATTCTTTTTTATGGCTGCATAGTATTCCATGGTGCATATGTGCCACATTTTCTTTATCCAGTCTAACACTGATGGGCATCTGGGTTGGTTCCAAGTCTTTGCTATTATGAATTTGTCAACTTTTAATTTTTTTACAACTTTTTGACTCTTACAATAACACTTACATGAAAAGAATTCTCATTTACAATTTTCACCTTGATGTTTATTTATCCTTTATATGAAAATACATTCAGATTTTGTCTATTTGGAATGCAATTAGATTATTAATCCTTTAGATGATCACTATAAATAGGACCCAAATTATGTGAAAATCACATAATTGATGATTTTTGCTAAAGTTAAGAGAATAAATTTTATGGAATAAATATATGGTAATTTATGTATTATGTATGTCTTCATTTTATTCTCATGCAAATGTCACCAATTCACCAAAATAATCCTCAGACATGGACATTAATAATTAAATTCAGTCATCTTTGGTATTTCGCAGACTTTCAGACCTTAAAAAGAAGTTTTAAAACCCACAAAGCTTTACATATATTTGGTATTGCCACAGTGAGGATATGTTTGGCCTGGTAGGAAGATAGAACCTATTTTATAAAGTAATTTGTTAGCTTGATTTATAATTTTTAAATATGCAGGCATATGTTATATGAGCCTCCATTTGTACTCTAGTCCCAGGCCTCATAAATGTTAGGATGGACATGGATTTTTGTAGTCCCCCAGAGGTTTCTCTTTGGTAATAGCTTCTGTATTTATGAGTGCCTCCTTTGCGTAAGGCACTGTGCTCTTGATGTGGATGAACGGATGCCTAAAACCCAGTTCCTGCCTTTTTGAGGCCTAGAGCCTGTCAGGTGACATAGAAGTAACTACACAGCAAAGTTAACAGAAGTAACTATACAGCAAGAAGAGTGTATGCAAGGTAGACACCTACAAAAAGGAGTGGTGAATTCTATCCAGGAACATCAGAAAAGGTGTTTCAAAGAAGACGAAATGTGAACTAGGTTTTGAGGGATAGAGAGGAGTTCACAAGGAGAGACAATGTGGGTGAGGGAAGAGAGAGAGAGCAGCAAGACTCCTCGGGGAGCTGAAGCCGCAGACACACGGGGAGTCGAGAGGGCGATAGCAGGAGCCACAACTGGAGGCAGGCCTGGTCGGCCATGCTCAGGCACTTGAAATGCATTTCTCATAGATAATTGAAGCTCTGAGGGCTTTTTAGCAAGAGAATACAATTAATATGCTTGAATTTAGAAAATAATATGTGGAGGTTCTCTGAACAAATGATTACGGAGAAGGGAGTTTGGAAACAGGAAGATTCATTAGAAGGTTTAGATAATAATCTAGGAAAGAGAGGACAGGATGCCAAGACATAAAATGGCACCAAGGATGGACTCCAAATGACTAAAGTTGAGAGACACTTTAGCTTTCCAAGTTTCATTTGTTGTCAAATATAATGTCTTAACCCTTCTCCCGTTTGCCCCAAGAATACTCGCTGGCGCTTGCGGCTGCAGCGTTTACCCTGAGATAATTTTGCCATGAAATATCTCACTTTTAATGTTATTTTCACATCGTTCATTGACTTTGGAAACAAATGACATCATTCCATTTATAGCATTCTGGTTTTAGTAGTGGTACTTCCATTTACAAAATATAGTAATTCTCGAGTGCCAAAAATGTCAAATCCTAGAAAACGTACCATTCCTAAGCATGTTAATATCGTTCTCGAACAGTTATTGGCCAAAGATTCATTTGATGAGTCTGATTTTTTCCAAAATAGATGATTCTGATGATTCAGACAATTCTGGTGCTAGTTTTGTTTAGAAATAACTCCAAGAACAGTTTTTATATGTTATTTTCGCATTGAAAATCAGATTTGCTTCAGCCTCAAAGAGCAAGTTTGTGTAAAATTACATGAGCACTGGCAGCAAGCTGCACTCTTTTCTTCTAAATGGGAAAGGGTTAAATATATATACAGTTGTGTATGTGTGTGTGCACACCCATACGGCTGTCTGGCTGAGCTGTTCACTCAATTCAGAAATCTTCCCTACAACATCTCAGATGGTCTGTCATCCAGGTTCAACTTGAAGGCCTGTAGTATAAGGTCCAATTATTTCCAGGGTTCTACCATTAGACGATTTTGGTTTCTAGAAAATGGTCCTTTGTGTTGTTAAGTAGAAATGTACCTCTACCAAACTTTCACTTCTTGGTCTAGTTTTATTTTTTGGAGTAATAGACGGCTAGCCACTAGAAATTAGAACTGACAGCTCTTCCCATAATTCAGGTAGCTATTGTGTTTCTTCTTCTCAGTTGTTTATTTCCAAGTTAAACACTTCCAGTTCACCCTCTTCCCACCACTACCAGTAGCCTGATCAGACAACTCCAGATACATTCTGTTTTATTTAGTGTCTCCCTTAACATGCAACACCTAGCAATATGTCACAATTCGATTCATGCTTTTCCCTTTTCACACTTTTTCTTGTAATTAATGGAGATGACTGAGGTTTGAATGCAATTTTCTATCTTCAGGACCCATTTTTATGAGATTTACCACAAAGGTTTCATTTCTATATTCAGAATATTTATATATACAAGATTTTTAACTTACTCCACCAGGAGGGGCTAGAGAAGGTGTGTCCTTTGTCAGTAATCCTGGGCTCCAGTGTACAGGTTCTGCTTGGGTCATACCCTAGCTCCCAGCTTATGACATTGGATAAGTCTCTTCACCACTTTGAGTCTCAGTATCCTCATCTAAAAAACAGGGGACAATAGTTGCTGCTTGCTATTTTGTAAATCTTACATAAGATTATATATGGAAAATGTTTAGCCTTTTGCCTGGAACATACTTGGGATTGCCAGATAAAATATAGGACACCCAGTTAAATTTGAACTTCAAATGAACAATAAACAATTTGTTAAGTATGCCGCAAATATGACATTATTGCCATTTTTACTTCTTCCCCTCATTTTTTGTCCTTTTCTCTGCTTCCTTTCCTTCTCCTCCTCCTCCTTTTCTTTCCTTCATCCTTTCTGCTTCCTTGTAACCTAGTTCTAATCTTAAAACACATCAGAAGTAACATGATTACATTCTAAGTCTTATTAGTTTGGAACAACTATATCCTTTATTAGTGGGCTAATAAAGAGCTAGGCTGACAGCTGACCAAGATGTGTGCATAACTCTAAAAAAGTAAGCACTTTACTTCTCTGAGCTTAAATTTTTTAATTGTAAGATAGAAATACTTAGAAACCTATCTCAGAGGATTATTGTGAGAATCAAAGTTCTCAGGTGAGTGTCTGGGCCATAGCAGGGAATCAAGAAATGGTAAATTTCATTAGCATTACTGCTCCAGCCTAAAACATGCATTTAGTATTATAATACAAAGAAAACTTCCTTCATTCTGATTTCTAGTTCAAAAACCATTTTAAGATAAGGAATTTCACAAAGTTATTTAACAACCTAAGTGGCATAAAGGACTGTTTCCAAGACTTCCTGACATGGAGGACTTTCCTTTCTCTTCCCACTTCCACTCTTGCATGTCCTCAAGCAGCCGGTGAGACTGTTCCCATTTGCGATCTTATGTGGTAACGGATCAAGCTTACACACCTGAATATATCAGAAATGGAAACTGTTGTTTATAGTCTCAATCACAGAACACTTTACAAATCAAAGTATCATAGAATATCTTTTCTTTTTGCCTGCCTTCTCGCATCCTTTTTTATTTTGCTTCTTCATTAAACCTCTAAACAAAGGCTATGAAGAGGAATACTCGGAAGTACCAAAGCCATGCCTTCTCCACACACACTGAACATTCCTCCATTCCAACCAGGAACAATGAAGTCCAAACCACCCCAAGCTCATAGAGATTTGGCATATTCCTAGATATCCCCAAGGAAGATGATATGATCATTCCACAACCCTTGGTTCCAGACTTTAAATACACCATAGTATCATGGTCTTTCTGATACATGATCAATATCTACAACCCGATGAAACATACACACACACTTTTTCTCTTGTCTTCTTGCAAAAAGAAGAACAGGACCACGCAGGTTATGAAACTAATGAGAGTTTCTCCCATTCCCAGGATCCCCATTTTTAATCTGAGCATCCCATGAACAGACGGGATCCTCTACATACCAGTATGTGACACCCAACAGGAGCACCTCACATTCCTACAATGAATTCTCCTTCCATTACTCAAGAGATCTGCAGCACTCTTCTTTAAGGGGAAGAAAATATTAAAATGCTTCATTTCTTTCACAGGATATACAAATTAGTATAGTTATTCTCTCAGAATAAAAACATGTTTAGATGGATTCAGGACACTCCATTTAAAATATCCGTTACCCTCAAATCAAATTTTCACTGCCGTTGAGCAGCAAGGGGCGATGCCCTGGAATCAGTGAGCTGCTAAGATTTCTTCTGCTGAAGTGTTTAATTTCATTTTACTTTCCACAAATAAGCATGCTTGGAGCCACTGCCTGCCTTCCTCTGGAGTAATTGAAAAATTTAATTCACATTAAGCCAGAGAGGATGGTGTTTTTCCCGAAGGTCACCCAAGGCAAATATTTTAAACCTCTAACAGCCCATCATTCAGAGATGCCTGTCTCGTCTTTTCCTGATGAGGTGCTTCCGGGAGCCAAACACAGCCCAGCTTCCACCGCCTTGCCTCAGCCCCTGGGTGGAAGGTCACCCGAGAGGCTGGCAGACACATCTCAGATTTGGTCCCCAATGTGATTCTTACGATGTCTAAGGTATATGTCTCAGGCACCCCTCCAATCAGAGATCTATGAGTTTTTAGGCTTCATTTCTGCTTAAAAGATTAACGTGAGTGGAGACCAAAACCTCTCTGCTACCTCAATTCGAACTGCAAGCAGCTTACTAGAGAATGAGTATTTCACCAGGGCTGGGTTATGCTTCAAATCTTATCATCCCTTCCTAAAAACTAATAATGTTTTGCACTTATGTGATGCCTTTCATCAGCCTCAGCTAATATATGCCACATTGCTCGAACTCAGAGATGAGTAAATCATTAATTGTTCATAACGCCCTGCATAAGCGCTCTCAGATCGTCATGCGTAAGGATTCAATCAAGCACAATGACATCTATGCATATTTCTTTTTTATTCAGGTATAAAACATGTGCAATGACTTATAAACAAATTTCTCATGAACACAACCAAAAGCATATCATCACCAAGATGAACTCAAACCACAGAAGTAGAAGATACTCTGCCCATGTATCATGGTACTTTTCATGAGAAAGACCAAGGAGCTTCCAAGGAAAAAGAATAAGAAGGGACATAAATATTTATTTAGAAAAATATCTAAGACACTAGATTTTTCCCTTTCAGTGTAGCATAACATTCCTCAGTCACTTCTTGCAAAGATAATACTTTTTAAAAGGAAAGAAAAGCTAACATAGTAAAATGCAGTGAGATCTGATAAGAAGAGTTCCATCTGATTCAGTTCCTGGATTTTTCCTTTATTTGCATTATAGAGTTAGAATTCATACTTTAACTATGGTGCCTTATCATCCATAGAGACACAGTCACTCTGAATCTTTGTTGATTTCAAAGTATCAAGAAGCATTCATGAAGCCGGGAAGAGATGATGGTCACGAACCAGATGACCTCCTATTATTCGCCAGAAAAAGTGAAAGAGCAGAGAGAATTTTCAATAAGGCAAACCAGCAGGCTTTGTGTCAGCTCCTATGAGGAAGCAGGTAGCCACGGCCTGAGTCACAGACTGTCTAGGGTGAGCAGGCCTGGAAAAAGTGTGGAGGGACATTTGGAGAAGACAGGGATGTGTCTGTTTCTGTGGTCTCCTGTCTCGGTCCTAGGTAGAGAAAAGCTACGAGCAGAAAGAAGATGTTTTACATTCAAACACAGTCTTTTTCAATTTGAGTTTGATAAATGGGCTTTGCTAATTATCCTCCATTTGAATCCAGATTCATTTTCTGCTCTTCTCAGCTTGTGTAAGGTGCATTGCTTCATGCCACATCAGCCCTGGGGTGTCTGTAGCATCCTAACAATAGTGACAACACAGTACACCCCCCACATACTCTCCCATGAATCACAGAACCTCAAATCCCACCAAATGCCCTCCTGCAGGTTTCCCATAGATTTGCACAAGGCCACAGTAGCCATGCTTTCCCGCTCCTGGTGCCCAAAATCTCCCTGGCTGCTTCCACTGTGGGCTCCTGGGAGGATCAGCTGCCACCCTGCTCTTCTTGGCCTCCTGCCCATTGGCACCCCTTTCCGTTCTGCTCTGGCTGTCACTGGGGAAGGAGCAATGGGTGAGCTTTCTTCCCTCATCCACTGGGGATCCCATCACTAGACTGTAAATAACTCTGCACTGCATCCTCAGATTTTCAGGATTTTAGGAGACTCTGGGAATGCAGCAGTTCTCTTTGGTCTCCTCTTTACCACAGCCATCAATATGACACCATGATCTCATCGCCAACCTCTTCAGGGCTGTCCTCTAACCTAGGACTGGGCTGTACATACTCTAGAATTAGGGGCCCCTTTGTCTGCCAATAACAAAAACCCACTGAATCGATTTAAACAAAAATTGAAGTTTACCATATTACATGTAATTTTTTTTTTTGAGACAGAATTTCGCTTTTGTTGCCCAGACTGGAGTGCAATGGCATGATCTCAGCCAACCACAACCTCCACCTCCCGAGTTCAACCGATTCTCCTGCCTCAGTCTCCCTAGTAGCTGGGATTACAGGCATGTGCCACCACGCCCAGCTAAGTTTGTATTTTTAGTAGAGAAGGGGTTTCTCCGTATCGGTCAGGCTGGTCTCGAACTCCCGACCTCAGATGATCCACCCGCCTTGACCTCCCAAAGTGCTGGGATTACAGGCGTGAGTCACCACGCCTGGCTTACATGTAATTTTTAATATATGGTATCACAGCACCCCAGGGCAGGGATGCAGTGGGGCCTCTGGGATAGACCAGAACTTGTTCCTCTGAGTCTTTCATCTCTATGCTTTCAGCACTGCTGTCTCCTGCTGCAGGTCAGCTTTCTCAGCTTCTCAGGCCACCCAGAGCTCCTGCTGAATTTCAATTCCAAATTTTCTGGAAAGAAAACCAGACTGGCCCAGCTTGGCTTGGGGGCTAGCCCTGGAATAATCAGCTGCGGTCAGTGGATCAAGGCCACATCATATAATACAGTTGCCATGGGAGTCACCACAGTGGAGAGACAATTTCCAGAAAAAGCAGAAACTAAGCAAGCAACTCTATAAATGTGTACAACAGATCCTCAAATGTTGGCCTCCAACCAGGCTTAGTGTTTCAACTCTTCCTGCCTGCAGCAGAGAGCGTCCCCTGCATTATAAATGCAATGTCATGGAGGTAATTACTACCTAAGGACAGAAGAGGCCTCAGCCCCAAAAAGTCCAGCCAATGTTGCTCCTGATGCATCCTCACCCTCCCTCCCTCCCTAATTCTAATAGCCCTTCCCTATGCCTGAGCGCAGCTATTCCATAATGGGTTTACACCTGCTCCACGCTTTAGGGTTAGGCCAGTCTGTTCTGACTTCAGTTCCACCACTTACCAGCTGAGGGTCTTAGGCAAGTTATCTACTCTCTCTGAACCTCAGTTTCCTCATCTACAAAGGGACATAGTAATACCCATCAAAAGGGTTGAGTTGAGGTAACAAATGCCATATGGTTGAAACAGTGTCCAGTGCCATGTGAATGTTAAGTGCCTTTTCTTTTTCTTCTTCTTGTTAATATTAACCTTTACAATATAACCTACATGTGCCCTTTTAAAATAGGCAACTAATCTTCAGTTGGATTTCATTATTATAGACCTTACATCATGTTCCAAAAGTCTCAAATAACATGTTCTATAAAAGCAAAAGCCTAAAAAATAAGACAAAACTCAAAAAAAGGCAAATAGTGAATTTAAAGACTTTGTGTTTTGTTTGTAGTTTCTGATACCAGCAGGAATATGATCTCCTAATAAGAATTTATGTAAGAATGAAAGAAGAAAAAGGATATAGAACACTGTACACTGTGCCTAGATATAGAACACATTTAACATGTAGTGGTGGTGATTATTACTATAACTACTATGATTATGATTACGAGTATTAGTCCTAAGGAGAAAAGTGCTTAAACGTTCATTCCAAATCTTGTAAGGTGATCATTTCGTTGACTGCTGGGAAAAGCCATGAAGCTTCTTTTCCCAGTTAAGTTTGAATTGTATGTATACATGTGGGAACAGATATAAATCAATATATAGAACACAAAGTAATTTCTTCAAATACTTGGAAAACAGAAAGGGAATCATTGATTAATGCAGAAAAGAGAACAACACTTGTCCTGGGCAGCTGGCAGCCTTCTTGGTGGTATTGCAAGCGGTAGTTCCTGCTAAATTCCACACTACTTTCTCGCTCAGACAGCTTTTTAGCTTCTGTTAGAAATAAGTGAGTGCTTTAAGCCTCAAAGCAAAATACATCACCTCCCGATGAACCTGAGCAGCCCATCCCAGGTACCGGTGGCCAGATTCACCATTCATCCACGAAGGAACATGGTAAACAGGAAGGAAGGAAAGTTCGCTTTAAAAACATGGACACCTCCTCTGCTCTGGGCCAGATCTCCAGGCTCATTTGCAATGAGTTCTAAGGGGATGCACGGGGAAGGGATTCTGGTTCAAGAAAGAAGGAGTGAGGGGAAGTGGGAGGGGGAGGTACATAGTGTAGACTCTATTGCAAAAATATTCCCTTCTGCATAGAAATCCACAGGCTGGCTGCAGTCATTACAGTTCTTTGCCAGGGCCTGCAGAAGATATCTTCTTTAGATGGGCACCAGGGAAATGCTGCCTATCTGGAGCTGTTTGATTTGTTCTCTGGGTTAGATATTGATTTTTCTTTCAGTGGAATAGCAAAGGCAAGAGAGCATGAAGGAGGGAGAGAGAGGTGGGTTCCCTTCCCCCATCGCTGGCTCAGGGTGATGTCTCAGAGCACCTGTAAGCAACTCCTTATCTTTTACAGGAGATGAGAAATTGAGCCAGGACTCTCCAGTAGTCAGACAGCTGTTAGAAGCACAGTGTGCTATGACTGTGAGAAATACACTAACCCCCTCCCTTATCACTCTGTCTCCAGTCACATACAGCCTATTTAGTGTGTTGATAACCATATTAAAATCATCCACATACAGTTTGAATATTGATGAAAGCACAACTATATTTAGATTTGATTTTTCTTCCCTAGTCCTCACCCTCCCCAAACTCTCATCTTTCCTATTTCTTTAAGTTTCTCGAAAATTGTGCAAATTGTTAAACATTTATCAGAATATGTTTTTCATATCAAGACACATCCATACAGTAAAGGTTTTGGCTGAGCTGATCAGCTTCTCTGATCGGGAGAAATTGCTTCTGTGTAAGAACTAATACCCACCTGGTTTCAAACCTCAGCCGCTGGCAAATATGTCATAGCAAGAGACATTTCCTGTTTCTTTGACAGATTGGCCCGGGGCTGAAATTTAATCTAGTATGTCAAAAGTGGTAGGTGGGGAGAAAAAGCAGAGAAACTCTGTCCCCACTCAGATTTTTATAGACAACCTTTTTTGAAAGTACTGTGGTTATCAGTGGGACCTGATAAGCAGTAACGGTCCGCATTGTAAAATAAAACAATAAAGAGCCTTTATAGACCTCTAAATTTATTATTTTCAATGATAAAATATTCATACCAAAAGACAGATGTGGGGATTCACAGGCAAAAACCAAAATGATCTAGTAACAGACCTTACACCTTTCATAAAAATTATCTATGAATGGACCATAGACCTAAGTGTAAAACACAAAATGATAAACTCCTAGAAAATAATGTAGGAGAGAATATAATAGATGACCTCTGTTCAGTGATAACTCTTTAGATACAACACCGAAGACACAATCCATGGAAGAAATAACTGAAAGGCTGAACTTCATTAAAACTAAAAACTTCTTCTCTACAAAAGATACTGTCAAGAGAATGAGAGGACAAGCCATAACCTGGGAGAAAATGTTTGCAAAAGACACGTATGATAAAGGATTGTCAATCAAAATATACAAAGAACTCTTAAAACTCAACAAAAAGAAAACAAACAACTCTATTAAAAATAGATATTTCACCAACGAAGGTATAAGATAGCAAATAAGCACATGAAAAGATGTTCCACATAATGTTATTAGGAAAATGCAGATTAAACGAGATACCACTACATAACTACTAGAATGGCCAAAGTCTAGAACACTGACAACATCATGCTGGCAAGGATGTGGAATAACAAAAACTCTCATTAATTGCTGATGAGACTACAAAATGGTACAGCCACTTTGGAAGACAGTTTGGCAATTTCTTGCAAAACTAAACCTACCCTTACTGTATGATCTAGCAATGGCCTTCCTTGGCATTTACCCAAATAAATTGAAACATGTCTAAACAAAACCCGCACAGGGATGTATATAGCAGCTTTATTCACAATTGCCCAAACTTGGAAGCAACCAAAATGTCCATCAGTAGATGAGCGGATAAATAAACTGTGGTACATGCATACAATGGAATATTGTTCACCTCTAAAAGAGAAATGAGCTATTAAGCTATGAGGAAACTTAAATGCATATTACTAAGCGAAAGAAGTCAGTCTGAAATGGCTACATACTCTATGATTCCAACTTTATGACCTTCTGGAAAGGGCAAAACTATGGAGACAGTAAAATGATCAGTAGTTGCTAGGGGCTGGGGTAAGGAAGGAAAAATAGACAGAGCACAGAGGAGTTGTAGGGCAATGAAACTACTCTCTATGATACTATAATGGTAGACACATGTCATTATACATTTGTCCAAACCCATAGAATGTACAACACCAAGAGTGAACCCTAATGGAAACTACAGACTCTGGGTGATAATATTGAGTCAGTGTAGGTTCATCAGTTGTAACAAATGGACCACTTTGGTGGGAGATGTTGACAATGGGGGAGGCTGTGCATGTGTAGGGGTGGGGAGTATATGGACAATCTCTATATCTTTCACTCAATTTTGCTGTGAACCTAAAATGGCTCTAAAAAATAAAGGGCATATAAAAGAAAAACAAAGATAAGATAGAGTGGCAATATGATGAAGTTCTTTCCTATGGGAGGGAGAAAGGAAGATGGGAAAGGAAGTAGAAAATGTACCAATCAGATTTAAAAGCTCAACTTACTGCTCTCGCGATGCTGCAATGAAGACCTCATGGCACTAACCCCTTGTCTCTTCTTTGGTTGGCTCTAGTTTCCATGTCACCATCTCTCCTTTTCTTTTGCTCTCACTTTCTGTTCTTTCTTGTCCTCCCTTTACTTCATCTTCCTATTTGTACTTGTCTCATGCTGCAGGGACACATCTGGGTTCCAAATCCCCACAACCTTTCTAGTTGGCTGCCCTTCAGGACCTGGTTTCTTGAACCTTTTGACCACACTATAAGTAAGAGCCTTGATCTTTTTTCTGACTCTAAAGCAAGCACCTCCTGAAAGGGTGGAATGATAGTGAAGCTATCATCCTCACTACTTATATCCAAGAAACACTTTTTACATACTCACAAATCATCAGACTGTATTCTTAAAAAAAATAGCAATTTTCAAAAAGAATACCTACAGTGTGCTTGTCTTCAAATCTTTCCCCCAATTAATTCCATAAACTCTTATTGAGGTACTGAGGACATGGTTGCTGACCTTGGGGACAGGAGAGTTGTCTTTCTGACATGGAAGATAAACTTGTCCTCAAATAATTAAAGTCCAATGTGCTTAGTTCAACATTGGAGGACTATTCAGAGAAGGATGATTATAAAGAACATAATCTGAATTGCAAAGCAATGAGAAAGAAAAGAAAGACTTTCCAGAGGATGGGGCATTTCAGAGAAATCTAGAAAGAAATGACAATCCAGCTGAGGAGACAGCAAAGATTCAAAAGCAGGAAGGTACTGCAGTGTTGCAAGACAAGACATGCGGTGCTCCTGAGGCAGGTGCAAAGGAGGCATGGCAGGGATAAGTCTGGGGAGCAAGAGGCTAGATTTGGAAAGATCTTTTAGGCCACACTAAGGGATTTGGCCATCACTCTGCAAGAAGCCTTTGGAGGATTTTAGCAGAAAATGAAAATGGTGCTTTCTGGATGGTTGTGCTGGTGGTTGGAGGAAAGAAATCCTGAATAGGAAAGCCACTAGAGGAAGGCCTGTAAGGAGACCATCTCAGAAGGCCAGACAAGGATGGGGCAGCACTGCTGGTTGAGAGGAGAGGAGTGAGTTGAGAAATATGGAGAAAGTGAGAATCAATAAGATGTTTTCTTGGGGAATGGAAAGTAAGGGAAAACAAGGAGTCGAGAATGCACCGAAATGTCTGGCTCAGGTGGCTAACCACATGGCTGTATTGTTAACTAAAATATTGAGCATGGGGGCAGAAGGGTGTGGACTTTGCAAGAAGATGAAAGATGCCACTCTTTACATATGTAGTTGCTCAATGGATGAATTGATGAAGTATCAAAGAGCAATATCTTGGTGAAATACACTTTTCATCTATAGTGTGTCATGTCCTTATAGCAAGAACAACGCAATTTGCAGAATCAATAGACTCCAAGGGCTGTACATCATTATCTTAGAGCTCAACATCTCCCTGCTCCCTACTGACAAAAGCTCCAGCCTCATCTTCTACTGTGGGTGGCGGCCATAAGCCCCACAGCATACATGCTTCCACTTCAGGTCAGAGGATGTGCAGGATGTGCCGGCTTTCTCGCTTTCTCATTTCTGATATGGAAATAGTAATGCCCATCACTCCACCCACCTGCTGCCCTTCTTCCTTGATAGCCATTTTGAAAAGGTAAATTATCTAATACACTGACCATATCTTGTATTGCAAAAGTAAACATGTTAATGTAAACCCACCTAGGAGATGAAGAACGAAGCCCTCCATTTCAAATCAGGTTGCCTTTGGTGACACTCATTCTTTCATAACTTACTTCCTGCTAATAGTGCATAATTGCAGGTTTTATCTCCAAAATGTCTTTCTCATACATGCCACCATAGCTAATCCCTCAGGCTGTTATTGTTGTTGTTGTTGTTGTATAAACTATAAATAATTACATAGCATTTGTTACTTGACAAGTACTATGCACTATGCTACACAGTTGTTAAGTGCTATCTCACAACATCATCCCATCATCACAACAATGCTAAGTATCCCTATTTTACAGTTAAGGAAACTACATCTCCAAAATGTGAATGAAAATTCCTAAGGTCTCACACTAAGTAAATGGAGCATCCAGGATTTATACCCAGGTTGACTAACTCTCCTAGTCACGATGCTATACGTCAATCAAATGGGAAGTCACTCACTTTAAAACTGTCCATGAATGAGAAGAACTTCATTTCACTGGTTAAAACCTAAAAGCATCTGGTAGGTTTTTCTTTTCCCTGAAGTTGCCTAAACTCTCCCTGCTTAGAAATGCATAGAACATTGAGGCAGAGACTGTTTCAAAGAGACCTCAGATGTGCTATGTACTTTTAGACAGTGCAATTTTTACTTTTAAGAAAATAACAAGGCCACTTTCATCTATAACTTCCTTCAGTGGTCAGATTTCAATGGGTGTGTGTATGTGTATGCATACACAGTGAAATACTACTCCCAACTTTTTATCTGCAAGGAGCTTCCATTAAATGCAAGCTGACAGGAGAGGGAAGAAGGCATAATCACCTGCTATCTATGCTTTTTTTTTTTTTACCAGCCAAATGGGGCCATCATCTAAGCTGAGATTAATCCTGGTACCCAAAACCTACAAAGGAAAGTTTCTTTCCTCAGGAGACACTTTAATCAAGACCCTGTCTGATGTCAGATAGAAATATCAGAATATTAGAAAACTATTGCAGTGTGAAGCCTCGATTTGATCAAATGCAGCGCCCCTCTGCTCCCAGTCCCCATCTTGAAAACTGGCATTTGCTTTCCGATTTTCTTTCCCTTTCAATTTGTTTTCCTGTCAAAGGGATCACTCTTCCTATCCCCCTTTCCGGTAGTACCATCTGATTGAATTCCATTCAGAGCTCCTGGTGGTCCTGTTCTCCAAGCCTACTTGAGGGGGTCCCTTTGCCTGTTTCAAGCCATCTATCTCTCTGGGCAACTGAAATTGTGCTGCAAAATGTAGCACCACTTCTTGGGACCTTATTAACATATGTTCAGAGGGAATGGGCTTCAAGGGAGGAGGCATTAAGCATCTAAAACACACACTGAGACAGCAAAGACTCCAAGAGCATGGCAGACAAGGGATAAAAATCAAGTAACTGATATGAAAAAGCCAGGCAGTACACAAAGGGCCAAAGGAAGCTTTTCAATTTATATTTTTTGTGTTGATATCACATTTCTTCCTGCCTAGCAAAGATAGGTCCTGAAATACAGAGATGTCAGAGAGTTTCTATGCTTCCTGGCATCTTAGATTCACCTGAACTGAAGCCAGAAATAATATCATAAAACTAATTTAGCCATCACACCAATAGGACTCCCCAGCCATGAGATAGACTGGATAATTACATGTTTCCTATAATTTCTGACACTTGACTAGTTTCAGCAAATGGCACTTCTAAATATACATCTCTTTGTTGCAGCTACCTCTCTACATCAGTTTTTCATCAAGCAAAAGAAATTGAACAAAAAGTTAATTGCAAAGATGAAAAATCCAAGTCATTGTATCAGAACAATCTAAATTAATTGACTCCCCCTGCCCCCTGCCTCCAAAAGTCCAATAACCTAAGTGATCGGGAAGACAAGCTGATCAAGCCACAGGTTTGTAAAGTCCAGACGAGTTGTACCATCTCAGGGGAGTTGCTTCACCTCTGGGCTCTCACCCTGTAAATGAGGAGGTTGAACTAAAGATTCTCTGTGGTTGTGTCCTGTGTGTTAATTAATACCCTGTGAGCCAGCATCTTGTCCCATCCAATTGTTTGTGTTTCTCTATTGTCTGTATTAAAGCAGAAGGAGCTCTCTGATCTCTTATGCTGCTTCTCCATTGGATCCCCTGAGACCCTATGGTGAGATACCCAATGTTTTCAAGTGTCTTCCAAAATACATTTCAGTTCATACTTCTAATTACACACACTACAAACAATTAACAGTGAAACCAAAAGCTCTTGTTTAGTAGAACAGCTGATGTGGCTAAGATAAGGGTCGAGCCGAACCGTGAAAATGCCAAAGTCTCTGGCCAGCCCAGAAGGGCATCCTCCCTACTGGAAGATGCATGCCCAGCAGAATTTGCCTCACCTTCCACATAAAGAATAAGTGGGCTACACAAAACTGCAGAAAAAACAGCCAGTAGAATAAGTAAACATTTTTCTTGTCCAATGACCTGAGTAGAAAAAGATGTGTGGTGAAATATGGTTCTAATTTATAGGTGACCCATAAATAAGTCATATTTACTGACAGCTAATATGCCAAGCACTGTTCTAAGGACCTGCTTCCTCAATTCATTATAGCAAGGAATAATGAATGAGGAAGGGACTGTTGCTATTCTACTTTATAGATGGAAAAATTAGAACACAGAGAAGTTAAACACACTAGTAGACAGGTAGTAAGTGGAGGAGGTGGGACTGGAACCTAGACATGCAGGTTTTAGAACGTGTACACTCATGACAGTATACTGGCTATTGTGGAGACTTATTACACCCTTAGGAAACACTGACAAGAGCTACAAACCTAATGTGGAAAGCTGGAAAGCTTCCCGTAAGTGCATAAGGCAGATCTCTATTAGGAGTGTGTATGCTCATGTCAAGGTTTCTGTATATTAATGACTACATATGTGAATTAGGGGCTGAATAGCAATAAGCACACCTACAGCAAGGAGAGGCAGAATGCCTCTGAATTCCAGGCTGAAGGAAAGGAGTAAGGCTTGGGAGAATAAGGATTCTCTTGGAATAAGGTTCTCTTGGAACCAGCCAAGAGAAGTGGACAGTTATACAGATCTTAAGTTCAAATCCTGAATCATTTACTAACCAACTGTATAAACTTGGTATTTTGCTTATATTGCTACATAACACACCACCCTAAAACTTAGTATCTTAGTACAACAACATTGATTTTGCTCATGGCTCTGCAACTGGGGCCAGACTTGGCAGGGTCAACTTATCTGTGCCCCCCTAGGCATGAGATTGGAAGCTGGCATCTTTGGAAGGTTTGGCCATCAGTACTGGGTGTTAGTTAGCTGGGACCTCAGCCAGAGCTGTTGCCCAGATCCACACGTGGCCTCTCCATGTGGCATGAGCTTCCTCACAACATGGCAGCTGGGTCTTAATGGTGAATATTCCTAAAGAGAGAGAAAGGGCTAGACAAAATGTGACCTTTTATTGATATAACCTGAGAAGTCATGCACCATCACTTCCACAACATTCTACTTATTGAGACAATCATAAAGACCAACCAACTTTCAAGGAGAGAAAAAAATGTACTTCACCTCTGGGCAGGAGAGTATCCAAGTTCAGGATGTGCCTATGCTGCTGGGAACATTGCTGTGGTCATATTTTGAAGCTACCATCTGCCATACTTGGTTAAATTACTGAGGCTTCTAAGCCTCAGTTTCTTTGCCTGAAGAACTAGGATAATAAAACTTTATGGCGTTTGTACAAAGGTTAGAGATAATGTATGTCATGAGCTTGCACTGAGTAGGTGCTCAATAGAAAGTCTCAGCCCAGATTGGGGGTCAGGCCTGGGTAAGCAGAAATCACCTATTGCTCTTGCAGTGGTTGCTGAATTTCTCAGTGACACACCTGTACCTGGACAAGAAACACAATTGTCTGAACAAGAATAAAGTTAAAGGCCAAAGCACTCATCCTGCAGGCCCTTCCTAACTCCCTTTGGGACTTCTCACCAGGACCCTGTCTTAGGGAGGCATCAGTTCAGTTAGTTTCTCCTACATTATTGCATATTTTTTAGGCAATTTAGGTTGGATGTAAACAATAAGTAACTAAAAATAATGAGTGAAACACTAGGATTTAGAAGGAATTTTGATCTCATTTTTGGGTGTTTACTTAAGTGTGTAGAAAAGTGCTTTATAAAAAGCCCTGACAGCAAAACAGGCTGGTTGGGTTATTCCCTAAAGCTAGTATGCTCTCCAAGTAAGTTTTGAGCCTGGGATAGCACAGTGGCTCACAGTATACCAGATTAAAACATTTAAAACACAAAAATCTGGTGTGATAAACCTAACTTAGAGTCACAAATCTCAAAAAAAAAAAAAAAAAAAAGATTGTAAAGACAAGTCCATGATTTTTTGGGGTAACTCCATGACAGAAAGGTACAAATGAAATCTGAGCAGATAAGGCCTCCTGAAAAATCAAGATGTGATGGAAATCGCATTTCTGTACCTAAGTCAGTGGTAGGGATTCTTGGGAGGCTCCCTCTGCTGAGTTTTCTCATGAATCCCAACTTTCTATTCCCTCTGTAAGTGGAAAATGGGAGAGAAAAGCAAGACAAATGGATAAAAATGCACTCTGTCTCAAGATAGTATTCATAAGGAGCCCTCTACAAAGAATTTCTTCAAAAGAGAGAGATGAAAGGGGGTCTGGTTTTTGCTGGCATTTGAGCTGGCATTTGCAGCATTACCGTATGACTTCGAGCAGGGCATGAGCAGCTCTTTGATTGCCAAAGAACAGTTGCACCTCTGTCAGAACAGCCCTCATGACTCATGCGGCTTAGCGGCAAAGCAAGGGATAAGAGCAGATGTGAGGGGAAGATCACAGCAGAGGGAAAGTAGTTTGAATACCAAAAAAAGAACATATACAGAAAAGAGTACAAAAGAAGCGTGAGCATGAGGAAAGGTGAAAAGGACAAATTATTTGGTAGTCAGCACTGTGGCAGAGCACCTGTTGTCTTTAGAGACAACAGCATATCCAGGAGGAAATGCATTGTTCTTTCTTGATCATAAAACTAAATGACTGCCTAGAAAGTGTGTCCGTGGGAGCAAACACCTTCCTTTTCTGTTGCCCTCATGCAACAGAAGCCTGATCTATATTGCAGAGTGTGGGAAACTTATTCAAATACTATTAGTTTGAAAATTAACACTTTTTAATAGTGCTTACTATGTGCCAGGTACTCTGCTAAACTCTACAAAAATGGAATCATTTAATCTTCATGGCAACCTGAGAGATGGACAAGAAAACTGATGACCTTGTCTCTTTCAGTGACTCGTCACGGCTATCCTTATCTCCGTCCTTCACCACTGCATTAGCAATTATTATTTTTTTAACTCTTACTATATCAGGTGCTCCTTACATCATCATACATCCCTCATCATTTTAGTCCTTTCAACAAGGACTAAAATGCTGTGGGCACTATTTTCATTTCCACTTTCAATGAAATGTTAATATGATCATTTTACAATGAGACTTAGGAAGGCTAACCTACATAAAATGGTAAAACTGAATGGAAATTTCAAGAAAGATCCTGCTTAGCCTGTCCTCAGAGCTGGTGCCCAGAACCACCATGACATCCATATAAGGCAATAAACAATTCATTGGCATCTGGTGTATTTAGCGATATGAGAAATTCTGGTCCCAAGGAATTTCATGAGAGCCATAAAGTTGCTTGCTACTTCCACTCTCTGGTGGATGGGTTGCCAGACACCTGGCATTAAATCATAGGATATTAGAGCTCCCCATCTCTGTGTCACCCCCATTGTATCGACAATGAAACTGAGGTACACAGTGCTAACTAAAGTCAGAATCAGTATTCAAAAATCGCATGACTACAGTCTACCACCCTCTTTCAAGAAATTCTTGGCCCGGAAAAATGGATCTATATTAATCCAGCCCATTTTTACTGGATGTTTATGTCTTCACTGAATGACAAAGCACAGGACACAGGACTGGAACATAAATTTTGGCCCTGCTTTCATTGTTAATGGGATTAGAGGTCTTTTACTGTTCCATTTACTGACCGGTCTTGGAAAAGAATCTTATTCTGTCCTCTGTGAATAAACCTCACTTGATGAAATGACTTCTGCAAACTCCAGAAATGTTCTTAATTACATTAAAATTAGTCCTAAATTACCAGAAAAGTCTACTTGAAAATGTTTGTCAATTATTTTACTTCCAGATGGCAGACAACCACAAATCAAATCCAAAATGCATGCTGACATCTTTTAGTAGCAATCCCATATTTGGCCACAATCAACTGACTAATTCCTCAGAAAATTTATTCATTTGTTTAAAGAAAACCAACAGCACTTACTGTGTACTCTTTAAACCCCATGTAATCACAGAAAGTGAGTGGCACACAAGACAAGTTAGTTGCCCAGTCCCCAAGGAACTGCCCCTATCGCAAAGAGGACAGATATGTCTACAAAGAAAATTCAGCAGAGCATTCATACAGCAAGGTAATCAAAGACTTATATGCTTAGAAACCCTAAGAACTGGGATGTGAACAAAGATGGAGTTCAAAGATCTCTTTCTAATTCCATCAGCTGGCTAATAATCAAATGGCCATTTACCAAAATGATTTGAAATTGCAGAATCTCCTGATCTGCCTTCAGAATTAATGCTCAGGATAATGAATGCCCAGTTCCTTCAGATGTTTAATTACTGAAGGGCCTTACTTTCCAAGACAGAGACTAGACAAACTCAGGAAGTGACATGGAATCTTAATGAGATGTATCTTGAGATGTCATGTAATTCAGACTCCATCTTCAGGCAAGACTCTCATTTTTAAAGACCTTGGGGAGAGAAACTTGACAACCTTCTTTGTTGACAGTTTTGACAACCCTCAGAAGGGTCTGCAGCAGTAGCTCTTAAAGTATGTCCCTATGCCATGGCCCTTATGGTCTCTTGTGGAAGCTTGACAAGGGCATACTCTGTGTTTATCCTGCATCTGGGACTGAGGTTTTGGTCCTCTTGGGTCTGGAAGATGGTCTGACTCTGCATCCAGAGGGAGTGAAGATTGTGGGGACCAAACCAGGGCTAAGGGGACATTGTATTCTGGTGGGGTGAGATAGACCGGGCTCCCTAGAGCAGGCGACAGTAGCTGAATTTTAACATTTGATAACAACGAACATCTGGATAATTCTTAATTTGCAAAGTTTTTTGACATATACCACATGCAGCTTCCAAAGCAAGGTTGGGATAACAGCTTTGTAATGTAGATCATTGTCCCATTTAATCACATGGAAAATGAGATTCAGAGGATTTAAGTTACTAAACCCAGGTAGGCCTGGGACCACTATTACTCCACCACTCCTCCTCCTAAAAATAGTAATCATGATGATAATGATAAAAAACATGTATGTGTTCCAGCCATTTCGTATGGAATATTTCATCCAATTTTCATAATAGCTCAGCAAGGTAGGTAGTTTCTAAAAATCCCCATTTTACAGAAGATGAAAGTGGAATTTAGAAAAGTTAAGTAATTTGCCTGTGGTCTCCCAGCTAATGTGGTGAAACTGAATTCAAACTTAGGTAATTTGACACCTAAGCCCCTGCTCCTTCTATATTCACTAACATTTTAGAAAACAACCACAATTTCTACCAAAAGAGGGATTCAAAACCCTAATAAGTCCATATTAAGTATAGCTGATATTCTAATCCACTTGGACAGTAATAAAACCCACATCTCCCAATGTGGGAGACATTGCTGTCTCTACCCTCCTTGTTCCCCTTCACCTCTGAGAATTCCAGCGTTATCCTTACTTCCTTATGCATTAATTATGGTATGGGTTGATCCATGCCCCTCCCCACCCACAGGACACCAAGAAATGAACTGGGAGTATGGTCTACAACACCCTTGCCTTGAGCGGAAGGGAGGACCCTCAAAGAATAATACAGAGACCATTGGTAATTTTCTTTCCAAACCACTTTCTTATCTATGATTCCTTTAAATTTTGAGTTTTATAGAGGAGGTGCCTGATGAGACGTGAAAAAACTAAATACTTGTCTAACATCACAAAGAAGTTAGAGGCAGAAACAAACATATGAAAAAAAGCTCATCATCACTGATCATTAGAGAAATGCAAATCAAAACCAAAATGAGATACCATCCCACACCAGTCAGAATGTCAGTTATTAAAAAGTCAAGAAACAATAGATGCTGGTGAGGCTGTGGAGAAATACAAATGCTTTTACACTGTTGGTGGGAATGTAAATTAGTTCAACCATTGTGGAAGACAGTGCGGCAATTCCTCAAGGATCCAGAACCAGAAATACCATTTAACCCAGCCATCCCATTACTGGCTATATACCCAAAGGAATATAAATCATTCTCCTATAAAGACATGTGCACACGTATGTTTATTGCAGCACTATTTACTATAGCAAAGGCATGGAACCAACTCAAATGCCCATCAATGATAGACTGGATAAAGAAAATGTGATACATATGCACCATGGAATACTATGCAGCCATAAAAAAGAATGAGATCATGTCCTTTGCAGGGACAAGGATGCAGCTGGAAGCCACCATTCTCAGCAAATTAACACAGGAACAGAAAACCAAACACCGCGTGTTCTCACTCATAAGTGGGAGTTGAACAATGAGAATACATGGACACAGCGAGGGGAACAACACACACCCGGGCCTGTGTAGGGGTCAGGGGGAAGAGGAGGGAGAGCATTAGGACAAATACCTAATGCATGCAGGGCTTAAAACCTAGATAATGGGTTGATAAGTGCAGCAAACCACCATAGCATATGTATACCTATGTAACAAACCTGCATGTTCTGCACATGTATCCCAGAACTTAAAGTAAAATATAAATAAATAAATAAATAAATAAAAGAAGTTAGAGGCAGAGCAGGATCTTAAACCCAGGTCTCTTCACCCATGTACTATACAACACACTGGTCAACAAGTCAATTTAGTAAGCACTTGTGGAAAGGCTACTGTGATCCAAGTCTTGTGTTCAGTTCTCTAAAGCTTATAAGGAGACTCATGCATTTATTTAAGAAACTTTTACTGAGTACCTACGAGGTACCTGGCACTGCTAGGGGCATTAAAAATACAACAGAAAACAAAAAAGTTCTGCTATCAGGTTGGTGCAAAAGTAATTGTATTTTTGCCATTACTTTCAATGGCAAAAACCACAATTACTTTTACACCAACCTAATACTCTCATGGAGCTAAGATGCTACTGGGGGAAGAGAGACAAATATATGCAAAGAAGATCCAATGCAATTGCATTTCCATTTTTACCTTGAACAATCCTGACTCTAAATTACAAAGGCCAAAACTGAATATAATATTCTAGTCATGGTTTTACTGTGCTACAGAATTTCTAGATATATCCAATATCATGCTTGCTTCTTTGGCACACAGGCTAGATTACATTCTCATGACTGTTTGTCCATTATTTATTTTCAGCCCTTTTTTATGCAGTCTTGATAGAGTGACCCATCTTGTATTTACAGCTTGTTCCTATTAAATTTTATTGTTCATTTATGGACACTTATACAAACAGCCAAGGTCTTGGTCTAAACTGACCGACTTCTAGAACCGTCTCTGAGACCCCTAGCCTGAAGTCATCTGTGAAGTTAATGAGTGTAGAGACCTTATAAATCAGCACAAAGTTCCTGTGGGTTTTTTTTTTTTAAATCTATAGTGGACTAAAAGATAGTAACAATTTTTTTTCCTGCTCCTCTCAACACAAGGTGGATCTGTTTCTCCTTCTCTTGAATCTGGGTTGTCCCTGTGCCTTGCTTTGACCAATAGAATGCTTAGAACTGATGATCTGGGACTTCTGAGTTCAGGTCTCAAAGGAACTGTTAGCATCAGCTTTTTCTTCCTTGAAAGTCAACTGCCAAGTGGTAAAGAGGCTCAGGCTATGTTGGGCGTGGTGGCTCATGCCTGTAATTCCAGCACTTTGGGAGACCAAGGCAAGTGGATCATTTGAGGCCAGGAGTTCAAGACCAGCACGGCCAACATGGCGAAACCCTGTCTTTGCTAAAACTATAAAAATTAGTCTGGTGTGATTGTGCACACCTGTAATCCCATCTATTCGGGAGGCTGAAGCACAAGCATCACTTGAACCCAGGAGCCAGAGGTTGCAGTGAGCCAAGATCACACCACTGTACTCCAGCCTGGGTGATAGAGCAAGACTCTGTCTCAGAAAAAAAAAAAGGCTCAGGCTAAATTCCCAAATCATGAGACACCATGCAGAGAGTATGAGAGACCATCTTGGATGTGCCAGCCTCAGCTGACCTCCCAGCTGAATGCAGCACCTGGGTGACCTCAGCTACACTATGTGGAACAGAAGAACCATACAGCTAATCCTAGTCAATCCACAGAATTATGAAAAATAACAAATCACTATTGTAAAGCACAAAGTTTTCGGAAAGCTGGCTACTCAGCAATAGAAAACTGAAATACATTCTTGACTTGAATGCTCACAGGAGGAATGTTGGGGAAGAAAGGAAGGAGAAAAGGCTGGCTGGCTTTGAACCACACTGCAAATGGGTTCTTAGTTGTATTTTTTCTTTAATGCACCATGAAGCCATTACCAGTAGTTTTCTAACATTGATCCTCCGACCAATGCTGACTGCCAAGAATTATCTGAGAAATTTAACTAAAATACAGATTTCTGAACCCTCCCTTTGGTAATCTGGACACAATAGGTCCCAAATGGGGCCCAGAAATCTGTATTCTTACAAAAGTCTGCAAGCAATTCCAACGAGCATGCATATTTGATAATTTGGGCTCTTAACTATGAATTATTTGAGGGCTAGAAGTAGGTTTATCCATCTATTTCTTGGCCTGTTACAGTGTCTGGCATATACGAGAACAAAATTCATGCTTAAGGAATGGATAAATAAGTAAATGAATAAATTGAGAAAGAACAGGGATATTTGTCCCATAGCCTGTTCTGTTTCAGATAATCTCTCACCCACTTTTGCACCCATGGTGTCCATGACAGCGCTATCACGTGTGCCTCATTCTTTCTTCCTCTTGTTGCTACCCAATAAGGATTTCTGTGGAGGTGAGAAGAATATGGACACAGTGTTAGGAAGGCGATAGGTGAGAGCTGTAAAGAGATACAGCATTAGGACAATGCAGGTATGCAAAAATAAACAAAAGAGAGCAACACCACACAAACGAAAACTTGGCAAAGTCTTTGAACTATTTGCCTCACTAAAATCAGCCCCTGGAAACTAGAAAATAAACTCTCATTTTCTCTCCTTACTTACCTAGATGATTCTACTTTGGGGGGAAAGATATTCAAATTCAAGGACACTGTCACCTCAGGGAGCGTGGAGGAAGGAAGGAATAGAGAAAAGGCAAGGGATATTTGACAGAGGAGGAAGGACAGCCGGACACCTGGGGAGATGGACGGGACCATAGGGACCATAGGGATAATATCTCAGCCAAGGCGATTTGCTTCCTTTTTGCACCAAATTCTGTTCCTGTCATGCCAAGGAATCTCAGTCTAAGGCCTTCGAGACCTGCATTTTAAAAACCTAAAAACCTGAAAGGCTTCCTCTCCCACTTGGGCTCTCAATCTTTCCTGAATACAAAAGACTGAAAAAAAGTAAAGATCTTGAAAAACAGTCCCAAACCATTTCCTGCAGCCTAATTCATTCTGATCCACACCTACTCAAATTACATTGGTGGCTTTGTTCTCTGGCTGCTTTACTTACTAAATGACACAGCAAGCTCTCTAGGTAGAGGGAACAAACATACACAGAGGAGCCATGCACAAAAATAAACCAGGTTGAAACCAAAAAATGAACCAAACTCAAACATATTTTACAGACATTTAAAATGCCAAGGCCAGAATGGCTTCTAAAAAGCCTTCAGAATTAAAAAATCTACTCAAAACTTTGATATCAAGTATCACAATTTGCATTTTATTATATGAGTCATGCATGTTTATGGTAGAAAAATAAGAGAAGGGTTAGTTTAAAAAAAAAATTGTTTTTTACAATACCAGAAGAAACACACACCACACACACACACACACACATTTTCTTAGGATAGATTTCTATCAGTAGCATTACAGGGTCCAATCTTTTGACAAATATTGTCAAATAACTCTTTGGAAAATATGTACTACTCAGCACTCTTGCTAGCTTTGTGGAAGTAGCCATTTCCTCACTTTTGCCATTCCAGGATAGAATCCTTTCTTACTCTGCTTAAGGGCCAGAAGAAAAATGTTTCTCATTATTCAAATTCTCTTTCTTTTTTTCCCCTCACCGGTAGGATTGTAAAGTTGAAACTCTTCTTATGTATTTCTTGGTCATTATTATTCTTCTTTACCTTGGGTTCCTGAATTTTCTACTGGGGTATTCATATATTCAATATTGATTTGTAACAAACCTTTTAAGACTAGGGCTAGTAACCCTTTGCCATTGATAATACAGGTACTTTTCCTGGGTTGTCACTGTTTTTACATTTGTTTATAGCATAGCAGTTTTGAACAGATGGACTTGAATCTTTTCTATGTCCTTGTTTTGTAACCTTAGGTAGATTATTTGATCTTTCTAGTCCTCAGTTCCCTCATCTATAAAATAGAAATCGTAATAGTACCTTGATCATTGGGTTAGATATCAAGTCATATCATGTCCTGATAACAGTCTCTGGTACATAATAAGCTTCAATCAATACTAGGTTTATGAATTTTAGTAGGTTTGTTGCCACTCTGACATGTTAACTTCATTTAAAGTGTTTTTTTTCTTTTATGAATTCTGACCTTTGAGGTCATGCTTAGAAAGTCCTTTTCCACCCCCATTATTACACTTTTTTCTATTATTAAATTTTCTTCTTTACATTTAAATTTTTACTCCATCTGAAATCACCTGTGGTGTAAGTTTTGAGTTAGGGAACCTATAATAACTTCATTGTTGTCACAATATCATATACTGAATAACCATTCATTCCCTACTAGATCGAGAGACAACATGCATTATGAATCAAGCTCTTACACATGCAAGGGTTCAGTTCTGGGTTTGCATTTCTGATCATTGATCAACCTGTCTATTCCTAGGCCAATACTTTACTCTTTTAATGATTGTAGATAGCTTCACAGTATATTACAATATCTAATGAGGCAAGACTTCTTATATTACTCTTCTTGGTTAAAATTGTATAATCATTCTATCAATTTATTATTTCAGATAAACTCTACAGTTGGAAATTCTGTCCAATTTCTTCCATGTGGCAGATGCTGTGATGAGCCACCGAGATCCTCCTTCAGGAAGGAAGACTTATTCCTCCAGATGCTAAGAGTGCTACTGGAGGATGGCTCTCAGCTGTGAGCCCTCAGCTGAAGACAGTTGTCTCACCTTGATCAGGCCTCCTTCCAGAAGTAGCCTGCCTTTGATGACAAACTGATTGGGCTGAGGGGAACACTATAAAGGCCAGTTCTCAGTCCCTATTTGATATGACTCTCAAGATTAAAGCTAGTGCAGTGCTCCCCATGGGGACAGGGGAAGGCTTCTTTGGGACTGGTTTGCAGATCACATTCCCCATCTGCCCAGCTCTGCTTCTCCCCCAACCCCTCCATGGTCCAGGAGCTCTCCCAAATAAATGATCTGCCGACTAACCTCAGTCCAGTTAGCTTTCTGGAAAGCCCAACCTGCAACATTTACTTATAAAAAAGTAAAATTGTTGGGTTTTGGATGAGATCCATTACATCTGATTATTAATTTGGCAGGAATCAACATTTTTACTATAATATATTGTCTTCCCACTGTATATTTTTCTATCTGTTTCATTTTTTCTTATAATCTCAAAAACAGTTTGAAGTATTCTTCACATAGGATCTGGAGTTTCTTTTTAAGACTATTCCCAAGTATTTTTCATTTGGCATTGATATTATTAGTGAGATCTAGTACTTTTTCCTCCCTATGGTGCAAAATAAATTTACAATCCCAGACTATCTTGTAGAAGAAATTACATTATTTTGTGTGGCTTCAAAGTCCAGAAGTGGGATGATGGAAACAAATTACACAAAGACACCTTTTAGTTCACTATATGCACAACATTTCCAAGAACTAGGGTGGTCCACTTACTCCATCTCTGAGGAAGACATGAAAAAGACTACCTTCAGGGATTGAGAGTCCCATGACCATGGAAGCACATAAGAAGGAATCAAATAATTATTTCAGAGATGTGATAGACTAGACTCATGTGTATACTTGGACTAGATAATCTGAATCCAAGATTCAGCAACCAGGCTGCTTGAGGAAGCCTGACTTTACATCATCCACATTTCTCCCTCTCTGTTCTACTGGACAGAGCCTTACAAACCACCCTTCCTGTTCTTCTGGCTCTGAATCATGTTTTTATCTGAGGTCTTGCTAAAGCAAGAAGAATATGTTTAAGAGTTATCTTATCACAGAAACATATCTAAGTAGAGAAGTAGGATTGATTCAAGAAATCTGTGACTACTTGAAATGTGAATTAAGCTTCATCACTAGCTATGAGGACCTGGAGTGAACTCATAAAACAAAAACCAGAGAAATATAGTCTACAGAAAACAGGAACTGAAGAATATACTCATAATTTAAAGCAGGAATTGGCAGATGGCAGCCCAAAGACCCAATCCATTTCACCACCTGTTTTTTAAATAAAGTTTTATTGGAACACAGTTACACTCATTCATTTACATGTTATCTACAGCTGCTTTTGTGTTACAGGTAGAGTGGAATAGTTGTCAGAGACGCCATATGTCCTGCAAAATGTTGCCAACTCATTGCTTGGAAGCAAAGTAACCTAAATAATCCAGTGGTTAAGACATGAACTTTAGAGTCAGACTAAGCTTTGAATTTTGATTCTATTATTTTGTCATTGTATGACCTTAAGCAATAAACATGTCATTTTCAAGCCCCAATTATCTCCTCTATTAGCTTGGTGGAACCGGTGATAACCATAGCGTTTTTGACTGCTTAAATATGGCAGTGTTTGTGTGAGGTTCCAACCCAAGCTAGGGTCTGAGGGGAGAATGTGGATTGGTGGCGGGTAGTTGAAAGAACACTCGGGAGGCCATAGGCAAGTGGGACATGGCTTTTTTATGCACCTCCTCTCACAGTGTCAGTGATACATTTATGCACTTCACAGACAATAGTGGCTCAGAACCAGGTGATGAGCCCACCCATGACATGATTACATAACTGATTATATAATGCACAGGACTGTGCACCTGCACTCCAATCCTGCTGTGTCATGTTGCACTGGATGTCTACCTTGGCCTGCTCTTGACTGCCATGCAGCCATCTTCTTTACATTCCACCCGCTAGGCCGAGGGGGTCTTCTTAGTGGGGAAATGTGCCCACAGCAACAATACAGGGAACAGCAACCTACTACTAATATTCCTGCTATGCTGCCCGTGATTATCAGGGCCCAATGTAGACCACAGCCCAGGGATGCCCACCATCTCTGTAGTGGGTCCATCAGTAAGGTTCTCAACTGCTTTAATCTCCTGTGACATCCCTTGCAAGGCTGCTGTTATGTTTTGTTGATTGTCAGGAATAAATGTACAACACTGTGTCCCTATAAGGGCTCAGGTGCCACCTTGGGCAGCCGTTACTATATCTAAGTCCATCCGGTTTTGCAGCACCACCTTTCTAGTTTGATCAGCCTAATTGGTTAACAGGAGGAGGGTGACTTGGGTGTAATTCAGGGCCTAAGCTGTGTGCCCTGTGCATTTCTACAGTAATGACACCTACTCAAGGGATAGTCAAAGCTAAGGGGTGGAGCTACCAAGGGGCCCGCCACACTCACAAAAACTGGGAACATAGTGCTTCCTAGTCATGTGGGCATCTAGGCAATGTGGGAAGCACAGTGGCAGGCACATAAGGCCACCCCCAGGTACAGCGGTCAGTGCAGTTCACTGACAAATATGGCTACCCTGTGTCTCCACAGACCCATGAACTCCAAATACTTGGATATTAAAAAGCATACTCCTAATTAATCCATGGGTCAAATAAGAAGTCTAATGAAAAATTAGATAATATTTTGAACTGAACAAAAATTAAAATACAACATATAAAAATGTGTGGGAGATAGTTAATGCAGTGCTTAGAGAGACATTCATAGCATTAAATGCTTATGTTAGAAAAGAAAAAAATTTCAAATGAAAGATCTAAACTTCTGCTTTCAAAAAGTAAAAATAGAAAAGCAAAATAAATGCAAAGCAGGCAGAAAGAAGAAAATAATAAATATATGAGAAAAAAATAAAATTGAAAAGAGAAAATAGAAAGGAAAATCAATGAAGCTAAACAAATAAAACTGATAAATCTCCAGACAGACAAAGAAAAAAGCAAGAGGGTACTAATTACCAATACAAGAATGAATGATTGTATTCATCATATTCACAAAGCTATCAAAAGAATAATAAGAAAGTACTACAAACAACTCTAAGCACACAAATTTGACAACTTACGTTAAATGGACCAATTCCTAAAAAGACACCAACTACAAAAATGTACCAAATATGATGAAGATAACCCCAAACACTCCATAACTATTTTTAAAATGAAATTAATGTTTAAAATCCTCAGAAAAGGAAATCTCCAGGTCCAGATAATTTTATTGAGGAACTCTACCAAACATTTAGAGAAGAAATAATGCAAATTCTTCACAATCTCTAATTGAAAAGGAGAAAACTATTTCCAATTCATTTTATGGCTCCAGCCAAAACCAAAGCCAAAGATACCAAATACTGAAGATAGTAAAAGAAAATTATAGACCAATCTCCCTCAAAAATATAGATGTAAAAATTCTCAACAAAACTAATTAAATATAAACCCAGCCATACATGAAGATGTAATAATAATGACCACATTGAATTTATTCTAGGAATATAAGGCTGGTTCAGTATTTGAAAGTTAGTCAATGTAATTCACCATATTAACAGACAAAGAAGTAAAACCTCATAATCACATTAATTTGATGCAGAAAAACTTTGGAAAAAATTCAGTGTACATTGATGATAAAATCTCTCAGCAAACTAGGAATAAAATTGAACTTCTTTAACCTAATGAAAGGTATGTTAGGTTAAGGGAGTTCAATTTTATTCCTAGTTTGCTGAGAGATTTTATCATCAACATATATTGAATTTTGGAGAAATAATGAACTGAGAAAGATTTGATGCTTTTCCCTGTGTTAGTCAGGGTTCTCTGGAGAAATAAAAAAACAATGGAATGTTTATAAATCCATGCTGGAGATCCAGGAAAGCCAGTGGTGTAGTCAGAAACCTGAGGGGTAAAGGATTAACTGTGCAGATTCCAGTAGACTTATGAAGGCCTGAGAACCAGGAGCACAGAGGGCAGAAGATCAATGTCCCAGCTCAAGCTGCTTAAGTCAGGCAGAGGGTGAGAAAATCCAATTTTCCTCTGCTTTTTTGTTCTTTAGGTCCTCAATAGATCGGATGAAGCCCACACATACTCTGGAAGGCCACCTGTTATACTCAGTCCACCAATTCAAATGCTAATCTCTTACAGAAACACCCACACAGACACACCCAGAAATTATGTTTAATCAGCTCTCCGGGCATCCCATGACTCAATCAAGTGGACACATAAAATTAATCATCACACCCCAGGAGACTGGGAACAAGCCAAGGATGGCCATTCTCACCACCCCATCCAACATTGTGCTGGAAGTTCTAGCCAGTACAATAAGACAAGAAAAAAACAAAAGGAATGCAGATGGAAAAAAAAGAAACAAACTGTTTCTATTCACAGATAACATGATTGCTATACAGAAAGTCCCATAGTAGTGATTTTTTAAAAACAAAAACCTCCTGTAACTAATAAATGAATAAAGTAAAGTCTCAGTATACAAGGTCACATGCAAAATTTGTTTTATTTCTCTATATAGGCAATGAACAATCATTGAAAACTGAAATTTAACAATACCATTTGCAATAATTTCTTTTAAAACAAAATGCTTAGGTATAAATATCATAAAACACGCAGGCTATGTAAGTTAA
The DNA here is from genome assembly GCF_000001405.40 of Homo sapiens. NCBI lineage: Eukaryota > Metazoa > Chordata > Mammalia > Primates > Hominidae > Homo > Homo sapiens. Next base: position 48,053,610 of record NC_000015.10, read on the forward strand.
AATCTATAAAATGCTAATGAAATAAATTTAAAAAGAATGGGGAGCTATTTCATGTATATAAATTAGAAGATTCAAGTTGTCCTACTGATTTAATGCAATTGCAATAAAATCCCAGTAAGATTTTTGTTACAGACAAACTGATTCTAAAATTTATATGGAAAGGCAAAGGAACTGGAATATGGAAAGACAAAGGAGCTATTTCTTCAAAATAATTTTGAAGAAAAAGGAAGATCTGGATAAATCATCCTACCCAATTATAAGATTTACTTAAATCTACAGTCATCAGGACAATTTGCAATGATGGAGAAATAAACATACAAATAAACTGAACAGGTAGAGAATTCAGAAATGTGGCTAACTGATTTTTGAGACAGGTGCAAAGGTAATTGAATGGTTAAAGGTTGGTCTTTCCAACAATTGGTACTGAAACAATTGGACATTCATATGCAAAAAAACCTTTGACCTATCCCTCACACCATACACAAAAATTACTCAAAATTGATACAGATATAAATGTAAAACCATGAGGCATATAGAAAAAAAGACATAGGAGAAAATCTGTAGGCAAAAAGTTCATGGAAATGACTCCAAAAGGCATGAGGCATGATTCATTACAAAAATAGATAAATTAGACTTCATCAAATTTTTAGAAATTTGTTCTGCAAAAGACACTAAGATAATGAAGAAGACAAGCTACAGACAGGAGAAAGTGTTTTTAAATACATAAGCTACAAAGGACTTGTATCCAGGATGTATACAGGACCCTCAAAACTCAACAGTTAAGAGTACAAACAACAGAATGGGCTCAGCAGCTCACGCCTGTAATTCAAGCACTTTGGGAGGCAAAGGCAGGAGGATCTCTTGAGTCTAGGAGTTTGAGACCAGCTTGGGCAACATAGTGAGACTCTGTCTGTAGTCTCAGGATACAAAATCAATGTGCAAAAATCACAAGCATTCCTATACACCAATAACAGACAAACAGAGAGCCAAATCATGAGTGAACTCATTCACAATTGCTACAAAGAGAATAAAATACCTAGGAATACAACTTACAAGGGATGTGAAAGACGTCTTCAAGGAGAACTACAAACCACTGCTCAAGGAAATAAGAGAGGACACAAACAAATGGAAAAACATTCCATGCTCATGGTTAGGAAGAATCAATATCGTGAAAATGGCCATACTGCCCAAAGTAATTTATAGATTCATTGCTATCCCCATCAAGATATCATTGACTTTCTTCACAGAATTGGAGAAAACTACTTTAAATTTCATATGGAACCGAAAAAGAGCTCGCATAGCTGAGACAATCCTAAGCAAAAAGAACAAAGCTGGAGGCATCATGCTATCTGACTTCAAACTATACTACAAGGCTACAGTAACTAAAACAGCATGATACTGGTACCAAAACAGATATATAGACCAATGGAAGAGAACAGAGACCTCAGAAATAACACCACACATCTACAACCATCTGATCTTTGACAAACCTGACAAAAACAAGCAATGGGGAAAGGATTCCCTATTTAATAAATGGTGTTGGGAAAACTGGCTAGCCATACGCAGAAAGCTGAAACTGGATCCCTTCCTCATAACTTATACAAAAATTAACTCAAGATGGATTAAAGACTTAAACGTAAGACCTAAAATCATAAGAACCTTAGAAGAAAACCTAAGCAATACCATTCAGGACATAGGCATGGGCAAAGCCTTCATGACTAAAACACCAAAAGCAATGGCAACAAAAGCCAAAATTGACCAATGGGATCTAATTAAACTAAAGAGCTTCTGCACAGCAAAAGAAACTACCATCAGAGTGAACAGGCAACCTACAGAATGGGAGAAAATGTTTGCAATCTATCCGTCTCACAAAGGGCTAATACCCAGAATCTACAAAGAACTTAAACAAATTTACAAGAAACAAACAAACAACCCCATCACAAAGTGGAAGAAGGATATGAACAGACACTTCTCAAAAGAAGACATTTATGCAGCCAACAAACATATGAAAAAAAACTCATCATCACTGGTCATTAGAGAAATGCAAATCAAAACCACAGAGAGATACCATCTCATGCCAGTTAGAATGATGATCATTAAAAAGTCAGGAAACAACAGATGCTGGAGACGATGTGGAGAAATAGGAATGCTTTTACACGGTTGGTTGGAGGGTAAATTAGTTCAACCATTGTCGAAGACAATGTGGTGATTTCTCAAGGATCTAGAACTGGAAATACCATTTGACCCAGCAATCTGATTACTGGGTATATACCTACAGGATTATAAATCATTCTACTATAAAGACACATGCACATGTATGTTTATTATGGCACTGTTCACAATAGCAAAGACTTGGAAACAACCCAAATGCCCATCAATGATAGACTGGATAAAGAAAATGTGGCACATATACACCATGGAATACTATGCAGCCATTAAAAAGGATGAGTTCATGTCCTTTGCAGGGACATGGATGAAGCTGGAAATCATCATTCTCAGAAAACTAACACAAGAACAGAAAACCAAACACCACACATTCTCAGTCATAAGTGGGAGGTGAACAATGCGGACACATGGACACAGGGAGGGGAACATCACACCCTGGAGCCTGTCAGGGGGTAGGGAGCTAGGGGAGGGATAGCATTAGGAGAAATACCTAATGTAGATGACAGGTTGATGGGTGCAGCAAACCACCATGGCACGTGTATACCTATGTAAGAAAACTGCACATTTTGCACATGTACCCTAGAACTTAAAGTATAATTTATAAAATTAGCCAGGCATGGTGACACACACCTGTACTTCCACCTACATGGGAGGCTGAGGTGGGACGATCACTTGACCCCAGGAAGGGGAGGTTGAGGCTGCAGTGAGCCATAATGGCACCACTGCACTCCAGCCTGGGCAATAATGCAAGACCTGTCTCAACAACAAAAATAAAAAGAATATAAACAACAAAATTTAAATATAGGCAACAGAACTAAATAGACACTTCAACAAAAGAAATACATGGATGACAAATAAGCACATGAAAATATGTTCAACATCATTAAGGAATTGTATATTTAAACCATATGAAATACTATTATACTACTATAATACGTCTATTAAAATGATTCCAAAATTCTTAACAATGCCAAGTGCTGGAAAAGATTCACAGCAACTGGAATGGAACTCTGATACATTAATAGTGGAAATGCAAAATGATATACCTACTCTGGAAAACAGTTTGCTGTTTCTTACAAAGTTGAACGTATTTCTCACATGACTTGGAAATAACGCTCCAAAGTATTTAGCCTAGAGAAATGGAAAGTTATGTTCACACAAAAACCTGTTCACACGAATGTTTATAGCAGCTCCATTTGTGGAATCAACCCAACTGCCTTTCAATGGGTGAATGGATAAACAAACTGTGGTATATCTACTCAGCAGTAAAAAGGCATGAACTATTGAAATGCCTAACTTACATGACTCTCAAAGGCAGTATGCTGAGTAAAAGAAACCAGTCTCAAAAGGTTATATACTCTATTGTTCCATTTCTGTGACATTCAGGAAAAGGCAAAACTGTACTGATGGAGAATACTGTGGTGGTTGCCAATGTCTAGAGATGGAGGAAGTGATTGAAAGTGGAAGCTTTATGGGGTGATGAAACTGCTCTGTGTCCTGATTGTGATGGTCATTACATGATATATATATTTACTGTGTGTTTAGTTAAAAAAATAAAATTAATTTTTAATGTATTCAATTTATTCAAGAAATACTTAAGTACCTTCTCTCTTTGAGACATTAATTTGGATTCCAGCCCTTGGAGTGCTGAAAAACAACAGACAAGAGACAAGAAAATAAATAATCCCAATACACTGTGTTTGTCTGCATGGCAAGAAGCTGTAAAAATACGTGGCAGGAGAACCTAACTCTACCTTGAGCATGGTTTGGGCAGAGAGTGCACCCTAGAGAAAGTGACAGGAAAATTGAGTAGTAGTTTTCTAGTTTGTAGAAGCAAGCAAGTGAAACGTATTAGAAGGTGTTCCAAATAAAAATGAAAGATAAGGAAACTGAGGCTTGGAGAAGCTGAGCAGCTTGTTCAAGATTCTGTACTTCTGAAACTGTTCTAAAATAAAAAGTTTATTTAAAAATAAAAGTGTGAGTCAGAGAAACGAACCAACAGCCTACAGCTGAGAGCCATGGAATTATTCCCGGATCTCAATCCTTACTCAAGGAATAGTTGACATTTGCCCAGCTGGGTTTCAGAATTGCTATTTCTGAAATACCAGTAACTTCCTTATGTCTCCCATTTTCCCTCCCTTTGAATAAGAATGACTATAGCAGTTATCCTATGTTTGTCCTGCCATTGTATGTTGGGTGTGGAGAGCAAGCAGTAATTTGTTTCCGTAGTTTCATAGGTGAAGAAGACTGTCGTTGAGGGGCTGTATTTAAGGAATGACAGCTGAGAAGCCTCATTTTCTCCTATATCTGATTAGATAACAAGGTTCTGAATTTTAAGGTCACACTTTAATGGGCTGAAACTTCGGAGGAGTCGTGATCAGGAATGAATGTATTTTGCTTGTGGGAATGATGTGAATCATTAGAGGCCAGAGACAAGACTATATAGTCCACCTCCATCATGACTCCAAGGAACCCACATTTTGTTATTCATACTCTTGTGTAGTCCTCTTCATATAGTACCAGTGTTGATATATACAGTATGCTACCTCCAAGATAGAAGATATAACTTCTATCTTGGGCACTCTTTTGCTCACTCTGGAGGAAGCCAGTGCTGTTCCATGTGAGCAGCCACTGGAGAGGCTAGCATGGCAAGGAGCTAAAGCCTCCACCAACAGCCATGTTCATGATTTTGGAAGTAGACCCTCCAACCCAATTCAGTCTCAGGTGACTGCATCCCTGGATGTCATCTTAATTGCAGCAATATGAGTTCCTAAGTCATGATAACCCAAACAACCCACTTCCTGTTTCCTGGCTCATTGAAACTGCAAGATAATAAATGTTTGTTGTTTCAGGCTGCTACATTTGGGGTCATTTGTTACACAAATATATAATTAAAACACTCACTCTCTATTGCAATCTAAATTCAGCCCTTTGCAAGCAACTCTGAGACTAAGGAGGGCAACTAAGTGCAAGGAAACAGAGGAAGCTGAGTCAATAACAAATTAGCTGGGAACAGGTAAGGAGGTTAGCAAGGATACACTTAAAGCAAGACTTTCAGGAAATTGTGGATAAGGATCAATCTGTCTGAAGAATCATAACACAAACCTTGTTATAAATTAGGAGCCAGAGATTCCAAACTGTTTTCCAGAGCTAAAGAGTCAGGTAGAAGGTAGCAGGTAAGTTAAATGTAAATAAACAGATACCTCTCCAGTTCTCAAGCTCTAGGCTAATTGGAAACAGCAATAAATTTTTGAGAATGGGATCTTCATCACTGTCAGGGTGAAAATGGAATTCAATTCAATCCAACAGATATTTAGTGGTCACCGTTTCTGCTGCAGAGGAAGTGCCTGATGCTCTAAGACAGAAATTGGATCATGAGTGGTATTGCTAAAGAGCATTTAATCACTCCACTGAACTGCCCCTCACATTGATAATAAAAGTTATCACCTGGGCACATATACTTGATTATTATAGTCAAGATTAAAAAGATAGAAGTAGGACAAAAAGAGGATAGACAATGGGGGAAGCCAGAATTCAGAAGACCTCAGAAAAAAGTAGAGACAGAAAGATTTTTCCTATGAAGATGCAGTGCAAGGAAAAACATCAAGATCCTTAAAATAGTGTTTAGGGTTGAGAAAAAAGTAATAGTTTTATCATCACCATCATCATCACCGCCACCACCGTGATCATCATCACTGCAAATGTTAAATATTCATGTATGTTCTAGGCATTGTTCTAAATGGGTTTCACGAATTAATTTATTTAATCCTCACAATAACCCTATGAGATAGCTGCAATTATTTTCCTCATTTAAAAATCACTGAAGCATAAAGGCTAAGAAAATTTCTCGAAATCACGGAGCTGCTAAATGGCAGCACTAGGATTCAAATACATGCTTTCTAACCCCACAACTGATGTTATGTTGCCTCTCAGCGCGTCAATGTGGACCACTGGCCTGTGTCATCCCTGATCTCCTGCCCATCAGAGTGTGAGCTTATATTTTCACCAGAGAAAGCCAAAAGTGAAAGGGTAAAACGGGAGGCAAAAGCCGTGGATCTGTTTTTTCTGCTCAGCAATTCTGAGTGAGATACGTGTGAAGTCCCATTTTAAAAATGCCTCTGAGGTCAGCCATGCATGGCCGGCTGCCACAGGACACCCCTGTCCCACTGGCATCTAAAGTCCGCCCCTCCCCGTCCTGAGACTCCAGTGAAAAGAAATCTCTTAGAGTGCACCCTTTTCTCAGGCCTCGCTGGGAGACCTGCCATTTGAACTCTGTCCAAAGACCCAGGCTTGCCAAGCTGTTCAGACCAATGGCTTTCAGATTGCAATACTTAAGAATTAAAGAATCTTTACTTTTTAAACTCCATCCCATGCAGGATATCTTGAATAAATAATGCTATAATAATACATATAAGAGAATTGATCATAAAGCAAACTTTATACCTGCATGTATAAACTGATACTAAGAAAAGCTGAAATATTATTACTACTAATAATAAAATAAGTAAAACACAGACTAGTTAACCTGGAAATGTAATAACATATTTCATTTTTTTTAATCATCTTTTGGCTTCTTGTTTAGGTGATGGCAGAAAGAAATGTTTTTAAATTCTCTTATGTTGGTTATACATTTGTTCTATGACCTTAAGGAAGGTGGAAATTGTGCTTCTTTTATCATCCTCTCCTCAATGCTCCAAAAATATGCTGGAGTGCATTTTTACCTCTGTAATTTCATATGTCACTTGCTTGTCTCTTGTGTCAGTCCCCCTCTTAGGTCAGGGGTGGGTAAATATTTTGGGCTTTGTGGTTCATGTCATCTCTGCCCCAAGTATTCAACTCAGCTGTTGTGACTCAAAAGCAGCCACAGACAATACATAAAAGAATGAGCTTGACTGCGTTCCTGTAATACTTTATTTATAAACATTGAAATTTGAATTTCATGTAATTTTCACATGTTAGGAAATATTATTCTTTTGTGTTTTTGCTCAACCATTTAAAAATGTAAAAGCCCTTCTTAACTCATAGCTGTTCAAAAACAGGAGGGGTATGGGACTCATCCCATGGGCCATACCCTGCTGCCTGCTGACCCTTGCCTTAGACTCTAAGCTGTTGACAGGCTGGAAAAGGGTCTTATTCATCCTGGCATCTTCAGTGCCAAATGTAGTGTCTGTGTCAGAGTAGGAGCTCAACATTCATGTCTTAAATAGCAGAATAAAGTAAGTTATAATTCTCCTTTGGGAAGACCTAGGTGTAGATCACTTAGTTCTTTGCCAATTTAGTTTTTTTTTTAATTCCCATGTTTCTAATTATTGCACCCTAACTTCCACCTCATTTTTGGTATACGGCTTATACCAACATTTGTTTCTTGCGTTTGTAATTGGCTCCTGGTTCGTCTTCCTGTTTATTTGCAGGGAATACTTGCTGCTCTACTTTAACTTAGTGTCATTCAGGTTTGACCTAGTGGTTGTATTCTTAAGGCCACTTGTGCAGATGTTCTCAGATAATCTTGTTTTCAAAGATGCATGTGTGTGTGTAATTGGATATTTTAGCCTGGGAGTTCCAGGTCTTAGGGGTCCACCATGAGCGGAGGGAGGTGCCGCCACTCTCCTTACATGAACTGATGTCCTTAAACTTATATGGGGTGAGAAGACCAGATACAGACAGGTCAGGTAAAGACGTGATTGCAGGGAGAGGCAATGGAGCTTGAGAAGGAGAATTGTAAGAACTGACTATCTATACATTGTGATACTTGGTGCTCAAGCAGCCTGTACCCTCTGTGCTGGAAAAGGAGCACATTCACAGGAATGATACAGATCAGTAGCCCCAGGGAACATGGTACCATTCCAGGGGCACCAAGATCACATCCTGACAGATTTTCAGCCTCACCAGCATTGATGCTTTTGACATGCAGACAGACAGGGAAATGGGAGCAAAATTTCAGCTCATAACAGCTACTCTCCACATTGAGGCCCAAGTCTACAGAGCTCTAGCTTGGCGGGCAGAGCAACAGGCAATGACCAAAGTTCATCAGCAAACTCATGGGAGACACGTAAACATTCCCAGGAATACTCAGGGTCAGAGTCTCAGTAACACTTCGTTTCCCAAGTATATATGATCACCGATGTATATGATTGTGAGCTATCAGAATATCAACCGTAGCACACGCCTGGTAATACAGTAGCTACTCCATCAACATTTGTTGGCAGAGTCATTGAATTCCATCTATGGGCTGGTATTTTGTCTGTTTAATTTATATTGTATCCACCACTAAAACCATGCCTGGCATAACAATGGTACTCAATAAGCATTTGGTGAATGAATTAAAGTCAAGTTTGTGCTTTTCCAGTTTATTTTATTGTTTTCTATAAATGTGATTTATTGAGAATACTTTTTAAAGATGTAAGTAAATTAACAAATCAGGGGGAAAATATTTTTTTCCTATTTCCTGATTTACGTTTGAAAACATGTGATCACTCTTCCTAATGTCATGCCTATGATCCACTTTCCTTTGAACCTGCAGCTACCATTATCCTCTCGTACAGGAGCTTATAAATTAGACCAGCCTGCTGTGGATAACAGTGCTGATGATGTTTGAATATCCATTTAATAGCAACTAGTGCTGGCGTTTTCTTAATGTGTTTTCTCTTGTAATTCTGACAGCTCTATGAATGCTCCAGTAACTTTCAGCTAAATCATCGCAGAGTTTCAATTTCCATCTTTAAGCCCTGGAGATAGATTCATAACTGTATTATGCTAATAAATAACTGCATTTTGGGTGGATGGTGGAAAATGATCTAAACGAATGTACAAGATAATAATGCAGGTCCTTAAGCCTGAGCCGGGCCTCATTCACTTATTTCCCCTTCAGTGATCAAAGGCATATTAGGCAATTAAAAATAAAATCGGTAAATGGTGCTGACATGATTTCATTCTAGCTGTTTACTCTAGAAAGGAGAACATTTCCGGTGAGTCACTGCTCTCCAGGCAGCCTACCACCGTCGCAAGCATGGGGGGATAGTGGCAGGAATACATGGGCGGCTGTGTTTCTCAGTGACAGAAAGAGAAAAGGGACTCTCTGCAGTTATTGTTTAGGGAGCTGACTTCACATTTATGGCCCTGGCTACCCTATGTCTTAATATCTCCCTTTAAAAAAAAAAAAAAAAAAAAGAACTCTGACCCTGTGGGTGCCTTTAAGTATTCTTTAAAAATTCTTAGATGTGTATTATTTACTAGGCTGTCTTCCATTTATTTTAGGGACACTTGCTTTAAAATGTACTTTTTTATTCCACAGCACTTCAGTGTTTTGGAGCTCTCAGCATCTCAAATGTCCAATGGGATCAATTCGAAGTTTTCTATTTTTAAAGGAAAAAACAACAACGACGACAAGAAGAAACAACAAAGCTTGTTATGAACAACAAAATATCACATGGATGACTTTCACAGGGATCTTGGATTCCCAGCCTCAGAGTCTATCAGGAAAGCTTTTGACAGGGTTTCAGAATATACTGTGCTTAGTAAAATGAATTTAATCTATCCATCCAGTAAATTACATAACCTCTTTTGTTCCAAGTGCAGTTTACTTACAGAGACTTGCTACACCCTCCAGTCTCCTCTCACTGAATCCGGTCAAACCCTCCTCTACTGTTTAAAAGGCTGCTAGTCCATCAACAAAGATTATTGAACATCCAGGGGCACATTCTCATGCCAGCAAAGAATGCATCTTCAGCGTTGTGGGTTGAAATTGTGGCCCCTCAAATGATACTCCTGTGTCTTAATCCCTTGAACCTGTGACTGTGACCTTATTTGGACAAATAAGATCCAAATTGAATTAAGCTAAGGAGATTGAATTAAGCTAAGGAGCTCAGAAATCATCCTGGACTTAACGTGGGCTCTAAATCCAGTGGCAGATGTCCTTATAAGAAAAAGGCAGAGGGAGAGTTCAGACACTGAGACACACAGGTCAGACAGCCATGTAGACATGGAGGCAGAGATTAGGATTATGCAGCCTTCAGCCAAGGAATGTCTGGAATTACTGGGAACTGAAAGAGACAAGGAAGGATTCTCCCTTGAAGGACTTCAGGGAGAAGAATGTGGTGCAGAAACACCTTGAATTCACACTTTGGTCTCCAAAACTGTGAGAAAAGAAATTTCTGTTGTTTTTAAGCCACAGATTTGTTACATCAGCTCTAGGGAAGGAAAGCCATCAGGTACCAAGTTCAACACCTCATGCTTGGAGACATGTCTGAGATTTGACTCTCCTGGGTTTATTGGAATCTTTTTTGTTTTGAAAATCAACTCTCCGACTCCAACCATCATCACCCTACCATGCCCTGCCAAAAAGGAAAAAAAAATCTATTCTTATATTTACTTTAATCATACTAACACATAATGTTACCAAGAGAATTACTGGTAATTTACTGCTGATAATTAAATTGATTAATTGTTCCTGTTACTCTTGGGTGGTCCTTCTTGTCTTCTTATTTAGAATGAAAAAGATCCAGTTGTCATAATATTTCCAGTTGCTCCTTGAAAGAGAAGGAAGATCCAGAATGATGAAATGAAAGAGAACAAAAGACTAACTTTGGCCTGGTCCTGGCCTTAACTATTTGAATTTCCATGAATACATTTTTGAAACTTGGTGATTTCTGTATATTTCCACATATGTCTTGTCACCCACACATTTCATTGTTTCTATACAGACTTCGTAAGGAAAGAAGTGAGATTTCCACCTCTTGGACACGGAGTAAATAAAGTCCTCTTCTCAAGGATATGTTATTGCCAAAAATCAAAGCCCAGCAGTCATGTTTCTGGGCTGGAATGGAGAAATTGCCTCATCAATGACCTCTTGACAATTGACTAATAAGCTGGGGTGGCTTCTAGGCCCAGAAAGAAACCCAGAGCACTGTATAACTGAAAACAACTAAACCACAACTTCTAAACCACTTAATTAGATTTCCAACTGTTATTCTTGACTTCATTAACAAAACAAAACAAAATATTAGCTATAAACAAGGCTCTGCTCAGCCTACACTCTTTGGACAAGACTATGTAACATTCCCCAAGCATGCCCCATGTTCTTGGCCTCCTCACCTTTACTCTCCCCGTTTCTGTCATCAGGAACGCTCCCTCTACTTCCCCTACATCTGCCCCTCAGCTCCTTTCCCCGCTGAGACCTCCTTTCCATCCCTTAGCTCTTGTTTAATGTCCCCTTCCTTATTTGGCCCCTGTGGTTCTTTTTGGCTCCTCTGATCATCCTCAAACATTGGGATTCCTTAGGGGCTTAAGGCTGGAGAATGGAGCAGGGGCAGTCTCTTACTCACACCCCATGTTAGGGGCAAGGGAAATAGCTCTGGAGTAAATCAAAGACAAACAAAGCCACCAAGCTATCCACACAGGGAGCACGTGAACCTGGACCCCTTTTCCCTCATCCACACTTCGGGGAGGATATTGAATAAAATATTTGACCATTTCTGATTTTCTTTGCAAAGAGAATAGTGTGGGCCAGCCTGGGGTCTCCTCTAAAGCCCTTTTCCATTTGGAGCAAGCATTGTGTTTTGTTCACCTTTGTTCCTCTATTTCTTATTCTTACATGAGATACACAGTAAGCACTAATAAACGTGTGGGAATACTGAACTAACCTTCCCAGGCCACAGGAATCCCTATATAGAAGCACAAAATGACTTTTTGATACCTCTCAGCTGTCTTTGATATCCACTCCCCCCAAAAAAGTCCCCACCAAGTTGTCAAATCCTGCGGTCTCCCTCAGGACATGCTTGATCTCTCATCTTTTCATTTCTATTCACGCTGCCACCATCCTTTTCCTCCCAAGCTGTTATGTTGATGGTTTTCCTGGTCTAGAAGGTGTGATTCAGCTTCCTAAAGCATAATTTGTTGTCACATTTACTCATCTGTCTACTAAAGCTAGACTCCAGTGGTTCCTACCTGACCAAGTCAACTCAAAGCCCCTTGCCTGGTGGCTAAGGCCTTCCATAGACTTGCCTTGGCCAATTTTTCCAGACTTTTTACTCACTGTTCCCTTTCAGAAACCCCAGGTCTTAGCCAAACAGAACATTGTTCACTTCCTGAACATGCCAGAAGCTTCCCATCTCCCTACCTCTGCTCTGACTGTCTCACTGCTCAGTCCTTACCTCCCCTGTCTGGTCACAGGGCCCACGTGTCCTTCAAGGTCAACCACAGCACTGTCTCTACCTTGAGACCTCCCCAGATGCTTCAGCCAAGGAAGATTTTCTTATCCTTTCATACTTTATGGATAGCATCTACACAGCCTTTAATTTTCTTATATGAGGGTTGCCTGATCCTATTTAAGAGCCATTCTCTGAGGCCCGCCCAAGCCCAGGCACTGCATAAGCCATGGCCTGTCTCCTCCACTTCACTTGACCTTGTTTCCAACACTTCCACTCTAAGGCCCCAGGCAAGGTATGTTCTCAGTGAATACTTACTGAATGAAAGAATAGATTAAAGTGTAAGTCATACATCTGTTCCTGCACAAAACAGCTTTGATGATCAGAGAAGGAATAGACTCTATATCAAAAAGTTAATGACTAGTCCTAAAGGATAGCACCATCACCTGTGCCTTCCCCCTGCCCTCTTTCTGCCCTGGCAGAAAGGACCATGCAGGAGTCCAGTGGACCTTCCCCAGTCATGACTCCAGGCCTTGGGGGCTTCCCTGCACCACGACAGGGTGCTGAATATCACACTCCAAAAGTCACAATGCATCCTCCCCTGCAACCACTGCCAGCCTTTCACCCTCACCCTTTGTTGTAACAGAGGACAGAGCAAGGTAAGGACGTCAGGGAGGAAGACAGGATCTGCTAACAGTGCATGTGGTGATCCCCAGGGGGTGGCAAACACAGCAATGAGAAACACCAGGAATGTCTGTCACTTGGCCAGTTCCTGTGTCTCCAGGGAGGTCTGCCATTTGGGGCTAGGCTCTGGCCCCAAGCTTTGTCTCTGATCTCTGTGTCACCACAGGGCATCTGTGAGTCCAGACTCACAGAACTCTCTCCTATCAGTGGTGAGGGCAGCGGTGCCTCAAGTGGAGGCCTGTGCCCAGGAGGCCTGGTTGGGACAGCCAGACTAAAGAGGGTGGTTATGTGGGACTGTTTCAATCCCTGAACAAAGGCAGTGGGGAGGGGACCCACATCCTGTGTGGGCAGTGATGGTGGAGAGAGCAAAGTGGCAACAGAGCCATTCGGGGGAGCTGGGCCAAACACAGGGAAAGAGCTTGAACAAGACGTGGGGGGAGGAGGGTCTGCCATGTGATGCAGGCCCAGTAGGTATCAGAGGTTGTGAGGGTAAGCACAGTATCTGACGACCAAGGGAATAAGATCATCTCCTCACTCACAGCCCAGTCATCCCTAGATGAGGAAACACCAGCCGGTCACATGAATCGAAACTCCCTAGTTTCTCACAACTGGAATCCAATTTCCAGCTGAAAAGGGATTTCAGGTTGGCTAGGAGACAGGCCTATGGAGAAGTCCCCATCACTAGCTCTGCCACATGAGAAAAGCTGCTGGGTGAGGGGGCACAGGTGGAGAAGGCTTGGCAGAAGATAAAATGTGTAACATTAGTATATGGCCAGTCTAGGGAGGGCTCACCCATGGGAGGGGAAGACAGTTTTCGGGCAGCGGGGATAGTTGGGCACAGCCAGGACACAGGGAAGTCCATGTGTACTCGGAGGAAACAGCAATTCCTCACACAAAGTTGAGAAAATAGAGGCCTTTCTGGTGGCAGAGTAAGACGTGGGCAGTGGGTAGAGTAGCTGAGAAGAGGCACAGTGGGCCTAAGTGATGGAAGATTCATCCTAAATTGGGTGCCTGAGGAACTTGCTGCATAGACCAGGTTTCAGACCTGCTCAGGGCATTTAGTAAAATACAGACTCCCAGGCTCCTACCACAGAGATCTTGATTCAATAGATCTGGGGTTGGGTCTAGGACCTATAAACACCTAGAAGTTTTGATAGGAAAGAGTCTGGATATATGAGGCCAGGTCAGAAAGCCATCACAGAAAATACAGCACTAGTAGTGGCATTCCTAACAATAATAACTACTAACACCGTCTACTGAATGCAGACTATGTGGCAAGCACTGTTGTAAACAGGTTAGTGTTACGCATTTGATCCATGCATTAGCCCTATCATTCCCATTTTACAGAGGAGAAAACGGAGGCACAGAGCGGGTAAGGCCCTTGCCCAAGGAAGACTAGCAGCATCAGATGTGACCTAGCAAATCTGTCACCAAAGCCCATGCTTTGAACTCCTTTCTGTTCTGTGAGTTATTCTGCTCCTTGGGGCTGGAGGCCTCTGGCATGATGAAGCCAGGCTTATGTCCTCCCCTTGCAGTGCTCTCCACATCAGCTCACTTCATCCTCTCCCACGCAGCATGGCAGGGGAGATGAGGAGATCCAGGCTCAGGGAAGTCAGTGGTTGGTCCCGTCACATAGGTGGGAGGTGGCAGAGCCGGACAGCATCCTCCCCTCTGCTCTACCTTCCCTGTCTATTCGCTGAGGAAAACTAACGCTTCTGCCGAAGAATGTACTATTTTTTCTTTCTGATGTTAATCTAAACAGGTCCCTTATTTCCTTAGACCAATTGATTGTGCAGGCCTGACAGCGAACAGTCCCAGAATTAAGAACCAGAATTAAGAGATTAAACCAAACTTTACTTATCTAGGTCAGACACTTCTCCAGTTTCTCAGCTATCATTTGTATGGTTTCCCCCTCTAGGGCTTCTTGAGGATTTCTTCCCATTCAAATATGTTCTGCTGAAATCCTTGGTTTTCCCTTGGGTTCTTTCACCTTCTCTCTAAGCTGGATGTTCTCATCTGCTGGCCTTACCCCCACATAACCATAAGGAATTTTAAACGGGGAGGTAATTCCCTCAGAAATTCAAAATGATCCTCAGGTTATCTTCAGAGCAGCTGTGGAATGAAGGGAGCAACCCAGGACTTGGGACCAAAAGCCCAGTGTTGGGAGCCTGTAAAGTGAAAAAGTCTTATCTCAATGCCTCAGGCAAAATGGAAATGCCAACATAAGGGTTGAATAAAACGATAAGTTATATACATTCTCTATAAGTAGTAAAGCACCATGCAAACACAAGCTATCATTTCCTATAGTCCAGTGATCCTCTACAGGGCCAGGCTAGTTTATCAAAAAATAAAACGCTCCTGCTTCTGGGTGGGATATATATGTAGTCTGACCACCCGCCAAGAGAAGGTCACTGGAGTCTAAGTTAAAGGGTCTCACTAGGTGCTCAGGCTGAGGGTCAGAAACCAGCTCAAACAGTGGAGTAGACCAGGAGGAGACTTTCAAGCACCTTTCTCATAGTTAACCTGTCCTTGAATAGTTAGGGGAGGCTGGGAGGAGTATCATTCTGACCACAAATATGATAAACTAGAAGACATATATTGCTAGGAGAATCTCAACCCTATCCCCTCCAACACAGAGATAGGACAAATTGTCCCATTTCATTCCTATGGCATGTGGGATGCAAAGCCAGAGCACAAATTATGACAGTGCTTGGAGCTCCAGCCCACTAAACATGAGCTCAGGCGGCAATTGGAAAACACCTGTGCCCAGTATGGGTGATGTTTTTGAATGTTTATTAGGCTGGTCAAGGGCTGTTTTTTGCTTCCTAAGAGCAAAATTGTCTCATGAAGTTCTCTGCAATTGCACATATGAGTTCAGAATATGAATATTAATGAAATAAAATGATACACCTTCCACTAAAACTTTATTTGTAGATTTTATTTTCTGCTTACAGGAACATTGATATTGGTGCTTAGGTCTTTGCTGCATTTAAAGTGCCTCTTTAAAAATCTCATTTGGAGTGAATATTCTATTAATGTTTTGTAGTGTTTGGCTTTGTTCCTTCGTGTCTTGGTTGTTTGCCTCCCCGCTTCAAAGGAGGAAAAGGAAAAGGGAAAAAGGCAATCAGAATTCTCCCTTTTGAGAAGACAATGTACACATAATCAGCCAACAGGACAGAATGAAATGGACAAAGCCCTACAAGATAAATTCTTGTTATGGCAAAGGTGAATCTTGTAGAAAATTTTTATTCTCCCCA
Organism: Homo sapiens; assembly: GCF_000001405.40. NCBI lineage: Eukaryota > Metazoa > Chordata > Mammalia > Primates > Hominidae > Homo > Homo sapiens. The sequence goes on from NC_000015.10 coordinate 48,069,859, forward strand.
TGGCCCCCCAACTACTAAAAAACAATTCCTTTTCTTAATTATTTTCCGTATTTATAAACTTGTCTTGTTCCAGAATGAACTTTAGGTAGCTTTAAAGAGTTATTTTGATTAGTTTATTTTGGTAGTTGATGAAACGATCTTTCGAAGTTCCCAAATCTTCAGCCAAATGCCTCAAGCTCCTTGGGAGATGGGGAGGCTGTGAAGTCTCTTCTCAAACCAGTTTTGGTAACCCAGGTCAGACTTGTTCAAGAGCTCCTAAAAACAAAACTTGCAATTTGGCTGGAGTTGTCCCAGTGTTCAGATGCAATACTCCATCACCCAGAATCTTTAAGGGTAACCTAATCATGTTGATATGGTTTGGCTGTGTCCCCACCCAAATCTCATCTTGAACTGTAGCTCCCATAATTCCCACATGTCGTGGGAGGGACCCAGTGGGAGGTAACTGAATCATGGGGGCAGGTCTTCCTGTGCCGTTCTTGTGATAGTGAATGAGTCTTGCAAGATCTGATGGTTTTATAAAGGGCAGTTCCCCTGCACACGCTCTCTTGCCTGCCACCATGTAAGATGTGACTTTGCTCCTCATTCACCTTCCACCATGATTGTGAGGCCTCCCCAGCCATGTGGAACAGTGAGTCAATGGAATCTCTTTCCTTTATAAATTACCCAGTTTCGGGTATATCTTTATTAGCAGCATGAGAACAGACTAATACAGATGTATTTGTCAGTTCTTTTCACCAGAACTCTTTGGAGGGTTGGGTAGTCTCTCACTAAGCACATTCCTGCAAGCCCACAAAGGCAAGAGTTTTAGTGGAAGCTGTGCCCTCCCTGAAAGCTATTTGCAAAAAGCCAGGGCAGAGGGGGCAAGAGCTCTCTGCTTCAGGAGGCAGAACATCCTCACTGTGCTCCTGGAGCAGAGAAAAGCCTTGCTCCATCCCCAGCCCTCAAAGGAGTCCATAGGAGCCCCAAGTACACAACCGAGATCTGATGCTTCTAGCTAGCCATACTATACAGTTCTACAGAGAGAAGAAAATGCCCTGGCAGACAGGTTCACACCAGGGCACACTTTGAAGCCAAAGTAGCAAAATTTTTTCCCTAAGTTCCAATCCTAATAGTTTCAGTGAGTATCAGAGGCAATTTGTTTATGCTGCACACTTTCTACTGAGAAGCAGAGAGAAGGTTCAAAGGTAATTCAGTAATAGGCTGGGAGACAGACATGGCTGGGAGCAGTTTCTGCTACTCAGCGTGACCATCTTCACAAGTAGCCCAGTCCCCTGGCTAGTCAGAATGTAAAAACCATATAAACCAAAGTTAATAACTTAAAATTGTTGAGAGTGAGGTTCTTGATGCCACCTCTGTTGCCTCCCTGGACCTTTCAGACATACTATTGTGTTATTTTCTATTGCAAAATCTGTCTAGTGGTGGGGTAGGGAGGCGGAGGCCAGTCACAGAGGAGCTCACTCTCCGGGGGTCCTTCTCCCAGCCACTAGCATACGGCTTCCATGACAAGAGGGACTTGTCTGTGTTGTTCAGAACTAGACCTTGAATAATAGTAGGGTTTCTGGCACCTAATAAGTGAGCATTAAATCTGCTGAGTAAATGAGTGACTAGAATCTACTATCAAGAGTAACCTAAAAAAATAACTACTCCAGTGTACCTTCTGTGCATTCATTTATGATTTTGGAAGGGAAATTCCAAGGGCCAGATGATAGAAATCAAGTGAGGCCTGAGTTTCTAGGAGCTGAAATGAACAACCTGAGACAGCCCAGCTGGGCCACCAGCCAAAGGTGGCAGTGAGCAAGTAAAGGGAAAACCATATGGGGTCACCAGGGGAACCCTTATGCATCCACAAGCCCAGAATCTAGGATCTAGAAGGGAATGTCAAGGTCATCTCCTCCACACTGTCTCTCAATAGCAGGACTCTGTTTCTATAGGATTCCTCACAGCAGAATAGGATGCAACAAAGTCCTCCAGGCAGTGTTAAGGCTGCAAATACATAGTAAATGACTGCCTCCCCTACTCCCTCCCTGCCCCACCAAATCCTTTCATTTAGGAGTAATATCAGAAGGAGGTTGTTGGTAGGATATTTGATTTATTCATTCAGTGAATACTTACTGAGTCCAAGTATTCTAAGGATACAAACATGAAAAAAACCTAAGTTCTAGCCTCCAGGACGAAGACAGCCCTTGTTTTTGTAAAGCCCATCACAGCTTACAAAGTACTTTATTCTATCATATGGCCACATTCAAAGTTGCTAGCAAAACTGCTTTGGGATATAGTCTGTTGAACAAAGTTCTTTAAGATGGGATTGGAGGTAGGGAGAGAGTGGCTTCCTCCTGGGGTTCCAAAACTTAATCACCCATCATACCTCAAAGTTCCCAGGGAAACGGCAGCAATCATTAGTCATACTCTATTCCCAAGTTCCTCCTCTTTGCCTTAATCCTTTGGATCAATAATATAATTACTGCTCTAGTCTGAAGGTCTTAAAATTTCTATTTTTCATGTTGATTGCCAGTCAATTTTTAAAGTTTATTTTTAACTTAATGATTTTTGTAGACAGATTTTCTAGTTCACTGGAGATTTTTGGTTTTATGGATTTAAAGAAACAAAATAATATCATTTTACTTGATTTTCTTTTGTGGCTTACAAATCTTAACTTGACAGTGTTTGCCAAAGGTGAGCTTCTTTGAGTATATCTGTTCCAATAACTTATATTTCCTTGAAGTTATGAGAGATAGCTACAAAGAACAGAATTCTGTTCTGAAATAATAAGTTGGGAGTTTGAGAAAATGAGGGCAGTTCCAGGAGTGAGTATGGACATGGATGACATGAGGAGGATTAAGGCATAGTAGGAAAAACACAGTTTGGTTTGACTCCCAGCTCTGTGACCTTGGGTAGGTCATATACCTCTGCTGAATGTATTTCTCATTTGCTTAGTAAGAAAATAATGCCAGCCTGTATTAGTCCATTTTCACACTGATAATAAAGACATACCTGAGACTGGGCTATTTACAAAATAAAGAGGTTTAATTTGACTCACAGTTCCATGTGGCTGGGGAAGCCTCACAATCATGGCAGAAGGCAAGGAAGAGCAAGTCACGTCTTACATGGATGGCAGCAGGCAAAGAGAGAGAGCTTGTGTAGGGGAACTCCTCTTTTTAAAACCATCAATCTCGTGAGACTTAATTCACTATCATCAGAACAGCTCGGGAAAGATTTGCCCCCGTGATTCAATTACCTCCCACTGGGTCCCTGTCACAACACGCTGAAATTCAAGATGAGGTTTGGATGGGGACATAGCCAATCCATATCACAGCCTAACAGGGATGTTCCAGGATAGGATTCTCAGTATTGTATGCAAGCACTGGATGTCTTGCTAGCAGTGGCTCTCACAGCAGGGAACTGTGTGGCATGTAGGAACAAGCTGCATGGATGGTGTACCAGGCCCTGATGTCCATGGAAAGGCTTTCTTCGTGGGGTTATTGGTACCCCCAGCTGTGGTCATCCTAATGTGAACAGGCCTCCGGCATTTCATGAAGACTGAGGCGAGGATGTTATGTAGAGGACTATGAGGTTTATCTCAGTTTCAGAGAACTCATAAGAATCTTGAAGACCAAGAGACTTCTATTAGTCTGTTTTGTGTTGCTATAAAGGAATACCTGAAACCAGATAATTTCTAAAGAAAACAGGTTTATTTGGCTCACAGTTCTGCAGGCTGTACAAGCATGGCACCAGTATCTGATCAGCTTCTGGTGAGGCCTCAGGAAACTTACAATCAAAGCAGAAGGTGAAGGGGGAGCAGGTGTAGCACATGGCAAGAGAGGGAGAAAGAAGGTTGAGGAGGTCTCAGAGTCTTTTTTATGAGACCATCAGACCTCATGTGAACTTATTACTGCAGGGAGAGCACCAAGCCATTCACAAGGGATCTGCCCCCATGGCCCAAACAACTTCCACCACACCCCACCTCCAACACTGGGGATCATATTTCCACATGAGATTTGGAGGGAAGAAACATTCAAACTACATCAAAGCCCACTAGGTAAGTAAGGTCAACTGTCTGCAGAAGGGCTGGAACCTGACATTGTGCCCATGTGACCCAGAGCTGTTTCCACTCTGTGTGCCTGCTCCCTTCTCTTCCTCAGCCTCCGAACCAGGTGAGAAGGCAGAACTGCCTCCCAGGTCTACATTTGCCTCTGATGTTTTAAGCGCCTCATGTGGGCTGTCAGCTTACACAACTCCCACGGAAACTTCTCAGCACATTTTGGGAAAATCCAGGGAGCACGGTCTATACTGACAGCTGTAACAGGGATTTTCACCAGCCCTCACATTGCACTTGGCCCTGCTTGGCATGAAAGTCAGTTTGAGTTCAACCTACTGCTGCTGGCTGCTTCTTAGCCCCCACCTAACTATGCCAGGGCCCTGCTGCTGGTTCTGGGATGCTCCTCCCCATCCCAGCCCCAAGCCAAAGTACCCTTTCCACAGTGCCTTCACCCCCAGCCACCAATTCACCCCTGGGAATTCTTCAAATAGAATCTCTTCCATTTTTCCCAGTTGTGACAAGTCTGAATATATTTTGGAAAGAGGTTTCTTTATTTTATTTCTTTTTATTTCATTTTGCCCCCAACCTTCTCTTTGGACATCAGGAACCTTTTTTTTTTTTTTTCTCCTCCTGAAGAAATCTGAGTAGGTCGAGGATTTACTCACCTCTTCCCAGCCCCATTCTCTACAGTCTTTTTTTTTTTTTTTAACTTATTCACATTTCCTGCTCTTGTCTTCCAGATTATAATTATCTCACCATCTCAAACAAACCAGATCAAGGGAATTCCGGGTAGAATCTCATATTTTCAACACCTGATTTTAAAGCCTTTTTTATTTATAACACCACCTTGGACCTTTCACTTCCCCGTCACTTATCTTCAGCATCTTTTCATCTTAGGATGCCTTGAGACACAATGGGAGGCCTGTCAATCAGATGTAGTCAAGCACAATGCAAACCACTTTACTTCAGGGAGCAGATTCTAGAGGGGACAAACTCCATGTACGTGACAGTACATAAATCACAGCTCTTCATTACCTGAAAGCATGGGCTTTGAGTCTGTTTCATCTTCATGTTCTACTCTTATTTCCACCTTCTCCCAGCCCGTCCCCCACTCCATTCCCCTATAACCACCTCTCTATCCTCAGCCACAGCATAGCATCAGTCATAACTCTGTATGTCAGTGGGGTGTGCAGTCCTCCCCGTCTGGTTTCTCTGTGTCTTATTGAATTGAGGCTATCCTACACTCTAAGTCACCCTGCTATTGGGAGGAGAGATACTTACCTTGTTCTCTTCAGATTCCTTTCTGGGTTTCTCCAGACTCTAGATGTTCAGCCTCCTCTCCACCCTCCAAACTTCATCTTGTCTCCTGCAGACATCCCTTGTCTTGTGATCACTCTTGATCATCCCGCAGGCATAGTTACATCAACTGGCTTTCAGCTCCCAGCCTCTCAAAAATGCCTCTCCTATTCTTTATCTCTGCCGCATTTTAGGGAGGACTTTTTCTCAGGCCCAGAATCGAGGTCAGAGCTGGCACATAGGCACTTTGAGCCTATTTCAAAAAGTGGCCCCTCTGGGAAGGCAGAGTCTTGGCAAGAGGAACAAAGGCTGGATTTCAAGCCATACCTTCCCCAAGTATAGGCATCTAACCTACATAACTACACACAGAAGCCCTGCCTAAGACATAGACTTTGAATTTTAGACGAGGGAGAGACAGTAGAAAGTGGAGTCCTCAAGAAGTTGAGTTATTTTCCCAAAGTAATATGTCAGTTAAGGGGTCGACACAGAACTAAAACCTATGTCTCATGAATCCCACTCTAGGGCTTGAGTGTCCGCAACCACAGGTGATAATCCTTCTCTCCCTACATTGCTGGCCATCATTTAGCATGCTAAACTAGCATTTAAATTAACTGAGTTTGGCTGGGTGCGGTGGCTCACACCTGTAATCCTAGCACTTTGGGAGGCCAAGGTGGGTGGATCACTTGAGCTCAGGAGTTCAAGATCAGCCTGGGCAACGCGGTGAAACCCCATCTCTACTAAAAATACAAAAATTAGCTGGGCATGGTGGTGCATGCATGTAATCCCAGCTACTCAGGAAGCTGAGGCATGAGAATTGCTTGAGACTGGGAGGCGGAGCTTGTAGTGAGCCGAGATCATGCCATTACACTCCAGCCTGGGCAACAGAGCCAGACCTTGTCTCAAAAAATAAAATAAATTAATTAACTGAGGTCTCTGCCACTGTCAGATTCAAGTATACTTAGCAGAGAAAGTTGAGGGGGGGAATTTCCAAGATGCCCATATATAGATTATACCCACCACATCTCTGGGCCAGCCCACCTAATCCCCATGGAATAATTCTGAGGAGGGGAGTTTTCATTTTGTTTTGTTTTTGTATTGGAGGAAGACAGAGGAAAATGAAGAAAGAAAGGGGGAAATGGAAGAATAGAGAGGAATGAATTTTCATTTCCTTTTTGAGTTAATTTTGTTATAAATACAAAACAACCTCCCATTTATTTTAACCCAATTAGGTCTCAATTTGCTGTTAGGAAAACAAATATCTAAACTGATATCTCTTTATGTTCTTTTCCTAAGTCAAAACATCTGTCTTTGTTTTGAGATTTGGGATTTTTTTTCTTGTTTTTCTTTTTCCTTTCTTTTTTTATAGTCCTCAAGACAGCTACCCCAATGCCACAGTGTCATTAACCCAGCTGCAGCTTTGATTCTGCAGGCTCTTTACTGCAGCTCCCACAGCTGTTGCCAGCTCATCGTCCTACCCTGCAGAGAGGTCAGCGGAAGCCATAACTCATGGGCTGTGGCATCTGAAGAGATACTAGGGAGCCATCATCCAGGCTTTCAGAATGGGCAAGAAATCTAAATGCCGAGAATTTTGCTGTGGCCAGGAATCAGAAAGGAGTATGCCTCTTGTCCGTGTTGCTTGAGGAATCTCCCTTCCAATGGTCCAAGAAAAAGAGGAAGGCTGAGGTATCTTGACAGCTGGAAAACTGGATTCTCTTAAAACAAATCACAGGAGTACCTGCTGGGTACCCAGTTCCATGCTGGCTGCTCTACCCACATTATTGCTCATTATTTTCCTTACTGTCTTAAGATGAGGCTAAGAGAGAAAAAGTGATTTGCCTCCAGTCACATCACCAACAAGAGACAGCTTCACCTAAGGTGAACTTGTTAGAGGTGAATTAAGGCTTAAAAGGACCTAGAAAACAGGGTGGGTCATTAGGAAATGAAAGAAAAGAGGAAAAGAGGGAAAATGATCCCACTCACCATTAGATTAGAATTAGGTGCTGAGACATCAGTCTTTTTATAACTTGAACTTGACTTCCATTTTGTTCCCCGGTGCCCAGTTGAGATTCAAATGTCCTGTGGCTCTTTTTGAAATCAAACTCTGGTGTGGCATCAGGTCAATTGAAGTGAAACAGCTGCCGCTGTGCACAAGGCTTGCTCCTTAGAACCAAAATTGTTCACATCTACTGTGTCCAGTGTTGCACTAGCATTTCAGCTCGTTTCTCCTTCCCACTCTTCAGGGAAGATATCATTTCTCATTTGGGAACTGTTGGCTTTTAGCTTTTAGCCTGAGGCTTTATTCCAAATAGATTTAGATCTGTCTGGCCACCCAGGACAGAAAGGTGAACTCCTTATTTTTAGCTCACCCAGAGTAATGGGTCTGTGCTAAGGGATCACTTAAGAAAATGCTGCTTCAGTAACGAAGCCCTTTGATGAGAATTTAAGATGGATATTTATTATAATTAACTTGACCTGATAGCCCATAAAATGGTGGTAAGATTTCAACAGAGCCCTAATTCTTTCTGTAAAAGGAAAACAAGAAGCAGATAGAAAAGGAAATACTCTTGTTTATCTCCTAGATTCCAACAAAGACACTACATAAGTCAAGTATCAGGACAGGATTACCAACAAATTCACTGATCCCAGGAGTACTTATTGACTCTCTGGCATGCACAAAGTTTTCTAATAAAAACATCAGGAGATTACGGTCATGATGAACTGAAACCCTTAAGGGAAGTTTGAAGAAAAATATCTCATCCTTACTAGGCTTTTCTGGGGGTGTTAATTTTGCTGAGTAGGCTTTTTACTCTTGCTGGAGAGAGATTGGAGAGGAGAGGAGAGGAGATGAGAAAGTGGGCAAAAATACTTCCCCATGTAGAAATTTGACTGTCTTGCTGTATAATTTATGATAGACCTTCACTTCCAATGACTACCTCACAAAACTTTGACAATATCTATGTTTTTATCAATGTGGTAAGAGTTTGTGTTTTTCTCATGGGAATAATGCATTGAAATGTTACGTTGGCAGAGGCTGTTAAAAAGGGCCCAGCTGTCCAGGCACGGTGGCTCACGCCTGTAATCCCAGCACTTTGGGAGGCTAAGGTGAGCAGATCATCTGAGGTTGGGAGTTCGAGACAAGCCTGGCCAACATGGAGAAACCCTGTCTCTAATAGAAATAAAAAATTAGCCAGGCATGGTGATGCACGCCTGTAATCCCAGCTACTCGGGAGGCTGGGTCAGGAGAATCACTTGAACTCAGGAGGAGGAGGTTGCAGTGAGCCAAGATTGTGCCACTGCACTCCAGCCTGCGCAACAAGAGCAAAACTCCATCAAAATTAAATTAAATTAAATTAAATTAAAATTAAATTAAGGCCCAGCCACATGAGTATTGCACAAAATAAAATAGATCTGGTTCCTGACTTCAGGGAACTTATGATTAGGTAGAATTGGTTAAGCAATTGAAAAGTAGCACTGGTGCAAGAAAGACCTTTGTCAGGACCCAAGGTAGGTCTTTTGCAGTCAAAGCAGTTCAGAGGAGAGCTGTAGAGCAAGAATCTGACATTGCTGAATTTATACCATAAGTGCCACCTCAGCACCACATTTTATTGCCCCATCTGGTAAAGTTGGAGGCGTGGGGTGGGAGGGGGGAAGAATAGAGGAATAGGGTAAAGATGTCTGTTTTGCATCGTATTGGATATGACCTGGAAAACGTATGGTTGTAAAAGCAGTAGAGGATAACTCACCATAACCTTGGGATGGGGAGGAATCTTAAGCATTATACCAAAGCTAGAAATAATAAAGGAAAAGATCAATTCGTTTGACAATGATATCACACATACACACACAAACCCACACTTAAAACCACTTACACAAACAAACAGAAAGACAAACTGGAAAAAAATTTGCAACATATGTCACAGATCATCATTTTTTAAAATTGCTTTAAGATTGCCTTGATTTTATACTTGGATTTTTACCAAGCGCTACCCTGCATCAATATAACATACTTTATTCAAATCATTAATAAAAAGATACACACCTGAGAAACTATCATCAATCAGTGGAAACAGCAAAGACATGATCATTAAATGCAATGTGAGATCCTGGACTGCATCCCAAACAGGAAAGGAACATAAGTCCCAATAAGAAAATAGACAAAGGATATGTAGAGATAATTCAAAAGAAGAGATAAATACAAATGAAAGTGGTCAATGAAATATGAAAAGATATTCAATCTTAGCAATTATCAAAGAAAGGAAAAATTTTATATATATAATACATACTTTAAATTATATATACTATGTACAACATATATTAAACACACACATACACAATCACCTTGGATTGGCAATGGCAAAATTAACCAATGATATCCATTTCTGATAGTGGTATAAATTGGTAAAATCATAAAATGATCTGCTCTTCTGTATGTCTGCCTTGACTATCCTGGTCCAAGCTATGTATCACGGTCTGCGATTCAGACTAGTTTAAGCTATTATCATCTGTCACTTGGACTTTGCAATACCCTCCTACCTTGTCAACCTGTCTTCATTCTTGCCTCTGTTCATCAGTTCTCTCTACTCAGCCGAATTTATCCTTTCAAAATACAAATATGATCCCTCAACCTTGCTTATACCTCTCCTTACTGTTAGAAAAACAGTAACCTCTTTAATAAGACCTACAAATCTGTCTATGGTATGCTCCCTACACATGTCTCTAGCCTCATCTTGCACCACACTCTGCCTCATTTCTACTCCAGCCATCCCAACCTTCTTCAACTCCCTGTCCAGCCACATTTATACAGGCATTGAATGAAGACCTTTTAACTCCCATTAGTCTAGTTATCTCCTATTTAACCTTTGGGCTTTACCTGAAATGTCACTTCCTCAGGAAGTCATCCTTGAATTCACAACTAGATCAAATCCCTTTTATTTGATTTGGCACAGGGGCAGAGAGCACATCTGGTGTTGTTCTCCATTGCAGCCTAAATATCTAGCATATAGTTCCTGGCACATGTTATGTTCTCAATAAATATTGTTTAGTGAATTCTGAATCTTCCCAGAGATCAGTTTGGCAACATATACCAACATTTTAAATATGCATATTCTTTGACCCAGAAATCTATTTCAGGAAATTTATTTTTTCTTTATTCTTCTATGCACCCACACCTGCACATCACACACATGTACACGTATGGGGATGAGCCCTGAGATTTTCCACTTTTTTAAGTATGTGCATATTACATACTTTAATATCAGAAAATACATGAATATATTTTCATTCTTGGTAGAAAATATAAGTTAATTGTTTGGCAAAAAGGATCATGTCAAGTTAGAGGAGGTGGCTATTTCCAGCTCGGGATGGGGAATTGCGTGGAGTTCAAAGATGTCTTCAGAAAGAGGTGGCCTGTAAGGCAGGTTAGTATTCACACAGATGAATAAGAGGGGAAAGGCTGGAGAGAGGACCAGCCAGGCAGCAGAATCAGCACAAAGAGAGATATGGAGGTGGGAAGGTGCAGGACAAACAGCATGGTCATTTGGCCTGAGTGTAGGGAGTACAGAGGGAAGCAAGACACGAGAGAAAAAGGGAGGGCTGGGGCTGGATTACAAAAACTTTCATCGCTGGCAGAAATCAACGGGGAGGCTTTAAGCAGAGGGTAAGCATGGCAGGCTCCACGCTTGTGATTGTTTTCATTTATTTTTTGAGTTGATAAAACATACTATTACACTTAGTGCTGTAACAAATATCTTTAGATTTCTTCAGACATAAGTATAAATAAAAATGTAGGAGAAATTCTCAAACATGCAATTGATACATCAAAGGGTATGCACATTTCAAATTTTGATGATATTCAAAAATTTCCCTCTTTAGAGGTTGTTCTGTTTACATAACTAAAATATAAGTATGGGCCAGGCGCGGTGACTCACACCTGTAATCCCAGCACTTTGGAAGGCCGAGGTGGGTGGATCACCTGAGGTCAGAAGCTCAAGACCAGCCTGGCCAACGTGGTGAAACCCAGTCTCTACCAAAAAATACAAAAATTATCTGGGCACTGTGGTGCATGCGTATAATCCCAGCTACTCAGGAAGCTGAGGTGGGAGAATCACTTGAACCCGGAAGGTGGAGGTTGAAGTGAGCTGAAATCGTGCCACTGCACTCCAGCCTGCATGACAGAGTGAGATCCTGTCTCAAAAAAAAAAACAGTATGTATGCCTATTTCCTCATAATCTTGTCGAAAATAGGTGACTGAAAATACATTTTAATCATCTTTGGCTACAAGGTGAAAAATACAGTTTTAATTTACAATTGCTTATTGTGTGGAGCCTAGGCATGCTTTCAAATATCTAAATACCACTTGTATTTCCTTTTGTGAGCTATTGGCTCATGTACTTTGCCAATTTTTCTATTAGAGTTTTGGTCTTTTTTCTATTGATTTGTAGAAGTTCTTTATATTTTAACAAATTAAGCCCTCTGTCTGACATGTTTGTTACAAATATTTTTCCCTGTTCAGAATTTGACTTTATTTATAGTGTTTTCTATTATGCAGATATGTTTGGTTTTAATCATGCTTAGAAAGGCCTTCTCTATGCCATGATCATTTTAAAATTTTCAATTATTTTCCTAGAACTTTGATAGTTTAATTTTCCTGTTGATAGTCCATCTGGCACTCACTTTGGTATAGAGGGTTAGGAGAGATACAACTTTATTGTTTTCCAGATGGCTCCGCAATTGTCCCAGCACTATTTATTGAATTGCAAAAATTGTCCCCACTGATAAAGATTCAGAAAATCTAAGAAATACTAAATTCTTGTAAGCATTGGGGTCAGTTTGATTCTATTATGTCTATTCTACTTGTTTATTCATGTACAGCTATTAAGCTATATTAATGGACAACATTTCATAAGAATTTTAATATCTATTTGGGCTAGTTCTCTCTTTTTAGTCCTCTTTTTCAGAAATTTCCTGGATATTCTAGTATACTTATTTTTCCATCAGAACTCTCAAATCAGCTTGTCTGGTTACAGAAAAATAGTTTTTAAAACCTGCTGCTATTTTTATTGGGGACTCACTAAAATTATAATTTAAGGAGGATTGGCAGCTTTATAATAACTCATGCTCCTGGCCTTTCCATTCAGAAAGTCTTTTTGTGTGTTCCACATCTGAAGGTTCCCCTCACGTTGATCTCACGGGTGGCATACTATATCAGGATTATTGGTTAGATAACAGGAGAAGAACATCCCATACAGGGGGGATGGTTAGTTAGGAGAGGCAAGATGTCATGAGCAACAGAGCCACGTGAAGGCAGCAGAACCCAAAACAGCATAATATTTCAATTATTGGAAATCGGAAGCAAGGGAGAAAAAAGGAATCAAAACCTTCTCTAAGGTTTTGAGCTTAAGGGATGGGAAGTTTCGGGGGTAGTATTATCAGGAAAGGGAAACAAGGAGAAGAACCAAATTGTGAGCAGGAAAATGAGGTATTGGGTTTGGGAAATATTGACCCTCCAGTTACAGCAGGTCCAGGTGGCAATGTCCATCAAGCAGGTGGAAATGAGTGTCTGAAAATACAGACATGGACTCAGAAGGCAAACCTATTGGGTGAGAGTCAAAGATTTTCAAAGGTAGTGAGAGGGTAACTACAGAGAGGAGAACAAAGGTCGGACCTTGGAGACACCTTTGTTTGAGAAGAAGAAAAAAGAAGAGCTGGTAAAGGAGTTAGTACATGAACAACAAGAGTAGTGGAAGAAATAGGCCATAGCAGGACCAGCATGGTGGCTCACGCCTGTAATCCCAGCACTTTGGGAGGCCAAGGCGGGTGGATCACCTGAGGTTGGGAGTTCGAGACCAGCCTGACCAACATGGAGAAACCCCATATCTACTAAAAATACAAAATTAGCCAGGTGTCGTGGCACATGCCTGTGCCAGCTACTCGGGAGGCTGAGCCAGGAGAATTGCTTGAACCTGGGAGGCGGAGGTTTCAGCGATCTGAGATTGTGCCATTGCACTCCAGCCTGGGCAACAACAGTGAAATTCTGTCTCAAAAAAAAAAAAGAAGAAGAGAAGAGAAAAAGAAGAAATAGGCCAGAGCAGAGTGAGAAGAGAAGACAGAAGCAGTAAATGGAGCGTTGCTGCATTGCCCATTCACAAAATGCTCAGACACTTGCATTGGAGACTAGCCATCTGGGGCTCAATCTTGACCCCATCATCCAGGCATTATACAACTCAGGACATGTTAATTAAGCTCTCTGAGCCTTAGTTTCTTCATCTGGAAAATGGAGATAACCATAGTACCTCTCTCAAAGGGCCGTTGTAATGATTAAAAGAGATAACCTCTGCAAAGACAGCGCATGCTCAGAAATACCAGCTCGCTCACCAGCAGAGCTGCAGAATTTCAAATGGCAGCATTTCTGATTATTCTACACTGGAGTTGCCTCACTGTGAAGGAGCAAGTGGTCAGCAATGGTCAGGAGTATCAAGGAAGCTCACGATTGGCAGTTAGGACATGATAGGTGAGCCAGTAGGGAATTTTTTCTTTGGAACAATGGACACAAAAGCCAGATTCCGAGAGGCTGAGAAGCAAGTGGCTTATTCTTTCCTATAGACTCTGTCCTTGCTGTCCCCTCAGCTTACTTCTGTATGTATCCTTCCAAAGTTTCTTTGTGTATACAAACAAATATTACACAGATTTAAAAGATAGTACACTATCCGATCTGTTCTGCACCTGACTTGCACTAGCAAATGTCTTGGAGCTCTTTCCAATGTATGGTTGCATTGTAAGTTTGTCCTCTATTGATAAACATTTGGGTTGTTTCCAATCTCCTGCTTTTATAAATAAGGATGAAATGATTAACTATGTACACATGTTATTTCATGCAGCAGTTCTATCTGTAGGATAAATTCCCCAAGGTGAAGTTGCTGCAGGACAAAATCTTAATCCAACCTATCCAACCTAAAAAGAGAACCAACTCCTACAAATACAAAAACCAAGGCTATAATTCTTCTGTGAGGTGTCCAGTGTAGCATAGGAACAGATAACTAAAAATCCCTACAGGAAAGATATTTCTTACTTCATCTCTTTATAAAAACAGAAAACAAACCCAAACACCCATGATGAATATGGATTTTACTCTTCATTTAATGTGCTTTGCTCCAGATGTTATAGAAATCATTGAGTTTGATGTACTCTGTTACAATTTTTATTCACAATGCTATTCAAAGTCTTTTGAACAACCTCAGGGAGGTGGCTGAGTTTTTCAGGAAAATTAATACACAGAAACCTGAGTTGGAGATGGTTACAATGACAACTTTAGGGCCATTTTATGATCACACGACCTCAGCAATCATATATTTCGAAATTGAATTATTGAGTTAGTGGTTGGCAGACATGCAAGCTTAGATTCATATGGTTCCCCACTCCTTTCCTGGCTGTTTCCAGCACTCTGACCCCAAAAGCAACTGCATAACCCTCACTTTGTAACAAGGAACCTCTTCTTCCAGGAGACTGAAAGCACTAGGCCAGCCAGTATGTTCATGGCCACTAGGAGTGAAGACTTGCCACTTCAATTGCATTGTGTGGAAGAGATAGAAAAAATTAAGAGTCAGGAGGTGGCCTGTTCTCCTTATTTCTGACATCAATCATTTCCTTCTAGATGATTCTGACAGTAAGAGAGTTGAGTTTCCCAGGGGAGCTCCATCCCAGGTCATATCCTCATAAAGCAGAATGAGCTCCCCTTCCACAGTCCACCCCAAGGACAAACCCTATAGGCTGAACAGAAGGCCAGTCCAGACACCCCAAAAGAGACTACAGGGGGCCCTGTGCCTATGAAGGATTTGAGAAAAAGAAGATAGCCAAGTGGGTGAAAGTACAAAAATACCAGAGTCTTGTGCTTTGTGGTATTTCTTATCAAATTGAATAATAATGATAATAATAGCAAAAAGTTAGAAGTCTTGGCCCATGAGAAAGGAGCAACAGGGAGCTAAGCCAGCAAAGTTGGAGGCAGCTTACACTGTAGTGCTGAAGATGGTGCCACCTGGTGAAAATTCAGGGAGACAGCACAGGGTTAAAGTAAAAAAGCTCAAGAAACTCCAGCAAGCTAGGGGAGCCTGGAGAAAAGACATCAGAAATCGAAGTGCAGCTGCTCTTTTTTGCTGTTTAAATCATTATATATTAGCTGCAAATTTAGTTTGTTGGCCAACACTCAAAAGTGACATATGGCCAATAAAAGGTTTGGTGGAGTTTTCCATCTGCTGTTCAACTTCACTGTGGCTTCCACACGTACAGCTCAGTATCAAAGGAGGCTGCACTTCAGAATCCTCTCGTGAGCTGTATGCAAGCCATTAAATGGGCACTATTCTAAGCCATTGTATGTCACCAACCGTGCAGAATGTTCGACGGGTTGATGCGCATGTTCTCTGAAATCTGTTTCACTCTCAGATGGAAGCGCCTTCCAGGATCCATAGAACAAAAAGTGCCTGAACGGACAAGGCCTCTGGAATATTGCAGGTGGGGATGCCAGAAGTTCTACAAGTGGAGTTCTGACGCATTAGCTGGATGCTCAGCAAAAAGCTTGTGAGAGACAACTACACCCCGGGCACTCATTAAAACCCAAGCCAAATGCAAAGGAATTGGCAGGTGCAAGAGGCTCCGTTTTAGAAACTGTAGCCATTTTGCAAAGGGAAGAGGTTTATTTTCCTGGCTCTAGATTGTTCATTTCACCCACCTTGGAACTAGAATTGCCTGCAATTTAACAAATCAAGGCTAGGTAGTCCAGTTTGCACTCAGTTTTCAACCGTCAGTCAGCCTGTATGCTCCCTGTAAATGTCATCCCGCTGCCCTCTGCAGCTAATATTCAGAGACACATCAATGGTCTTGCTGCAGTTTTGTTTTTATAGCCACACTGCAATGGAGAACACATTTTTACCACAAAAACTTGGAATGAGAAGTATCCAGCTACTCAAAATTATTCTAATCCTTTTCTAATTGTTGTGTTCTTAAAAAGGAATTGGAGGATGAATAATATCCACAAGTGATTTCTTTGTTCGGGTAAAAGAACAAAAACTGTCCCAAAAGATGATTTCACTATAACCCAGACAGATCCGAGCAGGAGAAATGATGATTCACAGTGCCATATTTGCTTGCATTCTGCATGATGCTGTCATTTCTCCTGCCTGTTCTGCACCTGTCAGAAATATACTGCCAGAGGCAGAGTGAGATTCTGGGCTAGACTCAAAGAACGCCTGTCGCTGACTCCTGTTTTGAATTTGTTGGCAAAGAGATGGCAGAAGGGCAGCAAGGATACAGGGACAGAAAGGCGACTTTTGAAATACTACATAGGAGCTGGTGTAAAAAATAAAAAGTCCGTAAGTCTGTGAGGAGTGGCACAAATTATAACAATGAATCATTTGCGCAGAAATGGGCCCTCAGTTCTGACAGACAGCAAGGATTTAGGAAAATGGATTCCTCCTGGGTTCAGCAAGAAGCCAAGGCGAGGAGGCCAGTGGTGCTTGGGGTTTGGCAGAGAGTCACAGACTCTTCCTCCGATGTGCTGACTTGGCAAAAACTCAGTCCTCAAGGAGCCAGCCTCTCTGGAGACTATAATTTTTTTTAACCCATGTGCATTTGAGGGAAAATTTAATCTGTCTGCCTCTGACTCATTTACACTTAACTCATCAAAAAGTTGTTTTGCTTTGTGCTTATTTGATGGTCAGTAAGTTAAAGTCTAATTTAGAAACAGCCTCAGGTCCTGGAAAAAGACCCAAACCACGACCCGAGACTCAGACCCAGCTTCTGCTTTGATTGCAAAGAGTGGGAGGTTATTTCCTTGGATAACACTTCAGGGAATGTGGTCTCTACATTTTAACCTTTTCCCCTTGCTCCCATCACTCAATACATAAGCACACAAACTCACACTCACACTCACACACACCCACTCAACTAAGGAACTGAGTCATGTCGGAGGTCAATGGGACAGGATGCCTAATAGTCTCTGTTGGCCATGATAACCCTGCTATTATCATAGTAATGGTCAAGGAACATCATCCTTAACCATGAACTTAAAGGTGCAGCTTCTGGAAGTAAATTGCCTTGGGTTCAAGTCCTGCCCCTGCCTTTTTCTTACTGTATTACCTTAGGCCAGTTACTTAATCCATCTGGGCTTCAGTTTTCTCATTTGTAAAATGTGGATAATGATCACAGTACCCATTTCACAAATGCCAAGGCTTAGATGCATCGACTTACAGGTAGTACTGAGCACAGTCACTGCATGGTGTGAGTACTTCCTCAGGGCCTCCACCTCCACAAAATCTATGAACTTTACCGTTTTTTCTCAGGTGAATCAAACACCCATATGACACCTGTATGTGCCACTTCAGATCCTCTCAGCCTCGCCTGACTTCTGCCCCAGTGGTCACTGCAGTGACCAGCTCTTCATGGTCTCTGAGCAGCTTTACACAGGTGCAATATGGCAGCACTCACTGCATGCCTGTGCTGTGTGCCTCTCACCTCTGCAAAGACCTCTCTATTGCCTTTGGTTGAGTTCTCCCAGGAGCAGATGGCAAGATAAGAATTTGGAGGTAATCCTAGGAACATTGATAAGGGTCTAGGGAAGGGAGACAAGGGTGAGAAGAAAGACAACAAAGGGTGTGTTTATGAGCCAGTTGTTGCAGTGAATAACTGGGACTCGATCCCCTTTGACATCTCTGTGAGACTACACAGCACATGCTTCAAGGTTGGCTCACCCAAGGGACAAAGGCATTGGCATATTTACGCACCCACTCTCAACTCCCAGGACAGTTAACTCCATGGCATATGGGCCTGTCATGAACCTGCAACCAGAGAAAGCCTCAAGCAGAGAGCTGCAGGTGCTGCCCTAGAGAGCCAAGGCATGTGTGGAAATAGGGAGTGCTGAGGACCGGAAAAGAGCACAAAGTAGCTGCACCTGTGCCAATGAGTCCTGGGACTTTGAGGAAGCCCACTCAGGGTCTGTGTATGCAGCTAGGAAACCCAAGGGAAGTAAGAACTTGTGGCTCAGACCTTTCAGAGGCTGGTGGGAAAAAAACAGGAGCTGGTGGATAAATTCTTCTCCCTTTCTGTCCTTAGGGTGGACTGTCCTGGGGCCCAGTTTAAACATCTTCATGGAGAATGATCTCATGAGATGACACAATCCATCTTACTTAGAGAAGGCTAGCTCTCCAACCCATCTTAATCTCTCCTCTCTTCCTCCATTCCTCATTCCCCTCAGTCCTCATGCCTGCTCCCTGGAATTAGTTGTACCAATAAGCCATGGCCTCCAGCTTTGCTGGCTAAGACAACATAGTTAATTTCTTATAGTTAATTTCTTATTACAGTACTCCCCTCTTACCCATGGTTTCACTTCCCATGGTTTCAGTTACCTACCAGCAACTGTGGACCAAAAATATTAAATGAAAATTTCCAGAACTAAATAATTCATAAGTTTTGAATTGTGCATTATTCTAGTATTATGATGAAATCTCCCACCATCCTGCTCTGTCCCACTTGGAATATGAATCATCCCTTTGTCCAGGTATCCATGCGGCATAGGCTTCCATCCGTTAGTCACTTAGTAGCCATCTCAGTTTTCAGGTGAAAAAACATTGTATATACATGGTTCAGTACTCTCCTCAGTTTCAGGCATCCACTGGGGGTCTTGGAACATATCCCCTGCAGCTAAGGGGGAACTACTGTAATCCCAAATTTCCATCACTGCACCAACTACATAGAAACTGGATCTTCTTAGGGTGGTGAGAGGCACAATGTGAACTATCAAGTCATATAGGCACCTTTAAGAAGATAAGATCTCGGCCGGGTGCAGTGGTTCACACCTGTAATCCCAGCACTTTGGGAGGCCAAGGCAGGTGGATCACAAGGTCAGGAGATTGAGACCATCCTGGCTAACACGGTGAAACCCCGTCTCTATTAAAAGTACAAAAAATTAGCCGGGAGTAGTGCGGATGCCTGTAGTACCAGCTACTCGGGAGGCTGAGGCAGGAGAATGGCATGAAACCAGAAGGTGGAGCTTGCAGTAAGCCGAGATCGCACCACTGCACTCCAGCCTGGGCGACAGAGTGAGACTCCGTCTCAAAAAATAATAATAATAATAATAAGATATCCTAAGTCATCCAGGAGATAATAAGAGATCCCAGAACTTGGGTACCCTTAAGGGAAATACAGCTCCTAGAGAGAAGGGTCCACAAATGCAAGACCCCTGCTTCCCCCAAATCAGAGAAAGTAAAACTCAAGGAGGAGCCCAGGGTTTGTATTGAGTGGCTTCCTGGAATGGTGCTGAAGGCAGCATCTCTCAGCCTAGACATTTGATCTTGTCCATAATAATCCCACATCACCCCTGCCCTAACCAGGGAAGAACAAAGATTGCATGATGGTCAGTGGTCTTTCGCAAAAATATAACAAAGAAGCCAATATTGCAGTTAACTTCAAGTTTTGCAAGACTAATTTCAGTTTTTATTATTTTGAACATATTTTGAAGGGGACCTTAAGTGCCTTCTTTGACGCAAAATCCATATCTGGTGAAAGAAACAATTCTCAAGAAACATTAACCGTGTCCCGTGCCTGTGGCATGGAGGCATGGTCCCTGCCTGACTGCTCACTTCTGCCGGCAGAGAAATGACACCTCCACCCCAGCTGGGGCTGCCCCACTGCTTTCACATCAGGAAGCACTCTCTGCAAAATGAATAATACATCACTTTGTTTCTGTGAGGACACTTGTCACTCTTTCACTTGCCAAAGTGTAAATGAATATTCAGTGAGGATTGTCACCCCCGCTGGCCACTGTGAACGGATAGGGCCAGTAATGACCCATGTGATGTGATTTCAGAATGTGCCTCCTGCCCAGAGTCCACCCACAGGAAGGCACCTGAAACCTGCAGAAAAAGAAATTGGCATGAATTGAGCGCCTATGCACCAAGTTCTGCACTAGAAGCTCTCTCTGGATTAACTGAGAAATCAGCAGTTTTTCTGCAAGACCAAGGCAGCAAGTGTTTTATGCTTTGTGGTCTCTAGCAACTCTGTCCTAATTGCTCCACTCTGCCCTGCTAGTGCCAAAGCAGCCCTAGATAATAAATACACCAGTGGGCGTGGCTGTGTCCTCATAAAACTTTATTTACCAAAACAGGATTTGGCCAGCAAGCCATAGTCTGCTGACCCCTGGGTTAGCTTACATTGCCTTCATAAGCACTCATGGGTGGTAAGCATTGTCCTTGTGCAGTTTCTCTTCAAGTGCAGTCACTCTTGAGAGAAATTACACAGCAAATCCCAAACATCTTAGTATGATTTAATTCATCATTTGCTCTTCTAGAGATGAGAAGTGGAGAAAGAAGGAGAAACAGCTCTTCAGAGTAAACACAAATATCAAAAGATAGGAAAAGAAAGGCAGAGGGAGAGAAGAAGGGGCAGGGTGACTTAGGGTAGGGTGGATGAATCTAGGATGGGAAGGAGGGAGGACTTTAAGGACAATTTGTTACAAGGCCATGTCATCCCATCTTTAACCAGTATCACATCACAGTTAAAAACCCCGTCTGGGGAATCAACTGCTTTGTTAAAACCAGCTCTGCTTCTAACAGGTGGTGAGATCTTAGATAACTTATTAATCTCGGGCACCAGTCTTCTCACCTGTCAAGTGGGGATTCATAAGATTGAAGTGAGGATTAAATGAGGTAATTCATGGAAAGGGCTTGGCAAAGTGCCTGGAATGATCTGACCACTCATAAAGGTCAGCTGTTGTTATTGTTGTTGTTGTATTATTGTAAACTATAATGAGCCCACGAAAGTAATGGCTCTCAGAATGCAAATGCCAACTATAAATTTGCAAATGCTCTTAGTGCATGGTCTATAGGTCCCCTCTCCCTTATAATAAGAAATGTACCAGTGAGTCAACCAAACTGTCTGGGCTAGTAATGAATTGTAAACAGCAACACACACTCAGCACAGAATATGTCCCCTCTATACACCTAGAATCCACCAATCCTTGCCCCTAAGGGTCTCCCGTCCCCAGCTTCACACCCTAAATGTATTGTGTGTTAGGAGTTGATCACTAATGCTACAGAGGGTGCTTCTGTGGTCAAAATCTGGACGCTGCAGCTTGTTTTTCCAGTCATTTATTTCACCCATGCTTTCGTAAAGGCTTATTGAGGCTCGAGTAGAAACACAAGAAAGTGTACAAATTAGATAAATACAGTGCTCAGGGTACATAAGACTAATTGCTTTTTAATTTTCTCTATTTGCATGAAGCCTGATGAGACTGTCTTCACAGCTCTTGACCCTAAGGAGCCAACATATGACAAGAGCATTTAAGATGGGGAATCAAGTTTCCAGGCAAAATGTAGCCAGTGCCAGAAAAACAGAAAAATGAGAATTGGAAATTCAATGCTTCCTGGGTTGAAAATGCTCATTTATTGTGGAGCCCTGCTGGTCTCATTAATCCCTCCCAGCCTTTGAGGATCCGTACACGCCTTGCCTCCTGTAAGAAGGAAGCGTGAACTCACAGCTCCAGCCTGTACTGATTTCTGGCTCTTCTCATTGCCTGCAGAACAAATAGCGGTGGCTCTCAGTCACTGATGCATACTGGAATAATCTAGGGTGCTTTAACAAAAAACCCAGGGACTCCACCCAAAATTCTTACTTGCTTAGTCTGGGTAGAACTGGATGTCAGAATAGCTTTCAATATATATATATATTTTTTTTTTTGAGACTGAGTCTCATTCTGTTGCCCTGGCTGGAGTGCAATGGCACAATCTCAGCTCACTGCAACCTCTGTTTCCCAGGTTCAAGTAATTCTCCTGCCTCAGCCTTCCGAGTAGCTGGGATTACAGGCACACACCACCATACCTGGTAATTTTTGTATTCTTAGTAGAGACGGGGTTTCATCATGTTGGCCAGGCTGTTCTCAAACTCCTGACCTCAGGTAATCCACCCTCCTCGGCCTCCCAAAGTGCTGAGATTACAGGTGTGAGCCACCACACCCGGCTGCCTTTAATTTTTTAATGAAATAAAATATATGTACAAAAAAAGGGCACATAAGTGTTCAATACACTTTCAAAATGATACATGTCCATGTAACTGGCACATAGATTGAGACACAGAAGGCCACCACCACCCCAAAGTCTCCCTCATGTACCCTTCCGGGCAACGTTCCTCCCAGGGGAAGTATCCTGACTTCTAATAGCATACATGAATTTTTTCTGTCTTTGTATTTGATATGAATGGAATCATACAGCATGACTTTTTTATACTTAAGCAAGTTTTAAAATTTTAGAATAGTTTTAGAATTACAGAAGTGCAGACAGTACAGAGAGTACAGCATACCCTGTCCCACATTCCCCTATTGTTAACATCTTACGTTACTATGGTACATTAAAGACTGACCTGTTTCTATGTAGTTTCTTTCACTCAACATTATACTTGAGAGATTTATCTACACTTATTTATCTAATTTATCTACATTATTGTGTGTAGTTGTCAATCTTTCATCGTCATTGCTGAATGGCACTCTATTATGTGAATAATCCATAATTATTTATCCTTTCTACTGTTGGTGTACATTTGGAGAGTTTCCAGTTTGGGGCTCTTACAAATAGTGCCACTAGTATGAACACTCTAGTAGGCATCCGTATTTTTAAAAAGCTCTCCAGGGATGCTAATGTACAGCCAGAACTGGAAGTCACTAATATTAATGTAGGTGAAATAGTTCATTCCACCTTGGATTGCTGTCCTGTAATTTCATATCCCTCAGCCTTTGTCTTTCCTGGGGTTCTTGTGCTCCCCAGTGTGTGGTACAGTGCTGAAAATAAAGGAGGTCTTCAACCAACACCTGTTTCTTGATGAATGCATTGATCATGCTTTCATATTTCACATCAGCCTTTGTTCTGGGTCTGGGGAGCCTGTTCCTGGGCAGCAGCATCTCTCCCACTGCTGGAGTAGGCTGTCCGGCACCCACTTTTACTGCATCTGGCCCCACAGAGCTCTTCTCCAAAACAGGCATCCTCGTGATGCACTTGAAAGAGCAAACCCCGAGTACAAATGGAATGGACACAGCATGCACAATGAGCCCAGATCAACAAGGTGGCTATTTAGTGGCCATTTGTCATTCTTCCTTTGTATATTGATTGTTTCTTTGTTCACTTTTCCAATAGGCTTTTTATCCTTTTCTTATTGACTTTAAAATTGTAGCTTTTCATATATAAGAAAGTTAACTTCTCTTTTTCCTGTCCTATATGTTGTAATTATTTTCAGGAAACCCTACATCCAGGCCTTCCTCCCCCTTCCCTCATCTTCCTCAGTGCCCATACAAAGGTCTGTTTTGTACCTGGCATCATGAACATCTCAAATCTCAGCAGCGCATCAGACCCTGATGTCTGCTGGTAAATGTGACTGTGCCACTGCTGGGTTTATCTCTATCGTCTTTCCTGGGGCCACTTTAACAAATTGCCATAAACTGCGTGGCTTAAAACAACAGAAATGTAATTATTCAAGTTCAGAAGGCCAGAAGTTCAAAACTGAGACGTTGAGAGACAATCCAGTTGCCTTCTTCTGGAGGCTCTAAGAAAGAAACTGTCCCATGCCTCTCTCCTAGCTTCTGGTGGTTCCCAGCAATTACTGCCCTTCCTAGGCTATAGACGCATCTCTCCAATCTCTGCCTACGTCTTCACAACACCTTCATCTCTGCGTACCTTCGTCTGTGTGATGATTAATTTTGTTTGTCAACTTGTTTAGTCCGCGTTGCTCAGATATTTGGTCAGACGTGATCTGGATGTTCCTGTGAGGGTGTTTTCGGATAAGAGTAGCATTTTTAGTGGAAGACCTTGAGTAAAGCAGATTGCCCTCCATGAGGGTGAGTGGGTCTCATCCCATCAGATGGAGGCCTTAATGGAACAAAAGACTGACCTCCCTCAAAGAAGAAATTCTTCCAGCAAGTGGTCTTTCCACTTAAACGGCAACATTTGCTCTTCTCTTCTGTAGGTGTCCTGCCGGCTGGCCCATCCTGCATATTGCAGACTTGCCAGCCTCCATAATTGCACAAGCCAATTTCTTAAAATATATCTTTATTTATACATACTTCCTGTTAGCTCTGTTTCTCTGGAGAACCCTGACTGGTATAATCTCTGTGTACCCACACTTCTTCTTATAAAGACACCAGTCATCAGATTTGGGGTCGATACCAATCTAGTATGACCTTATCTTAACTAATTACATCTGCAAAGACCCATTTCTGAATAAGGTCACATTCTGAGCTTCTGGACAGACATGAATGAGGTGATGGGGCTCTATTCAACCCGTACAATCTACATTGCTTGGAGTTACTGAACTGTAGACACAGTCCCAGAATCTTAGTGCATCCTAGCCCTATTTCCCTCTTCTTACTGATCCTGGAGCTGTCATGGCCTCAAGCAGTAGAGGCTGCTCACTTCTCAGACTTCCAGCACCAGCCTGGTCCTCCTTTTTCAACCATTTCAGGTTGAACATGTGAGTCTCAGGAATAATTGTTACCTTTGAGTTAGACCCTCCCTGACTATGCTGCCTAAACCCAGGATGGTTCCATTTATTCAAGCGTTTAATAATTCATCAAACATTTAATGGATTGAGCACTGAATTCCTGAGGACATGAGTGTGGTTTCTGGGCCCAGGTGGTCTAGGTGTGAGTTCTGGTTCTAGTCTATTTAGTTGTGTGAACTTGGACTTGTTATTTGAACTCTCCCTACCATAAAAGATGGTTATAAATATTAAGCAACAAAAAGTCCTAGAATGGCGCCTGGCAATAAACTCTAGCTAAAGGTAGCTATTATCCAGAAAATAGGTGAGATGTGGTCCACACCAATGGCCCTCCTTGACCCACTTCTTTGGCCTCCTGGTTTGCATACCACATATTCCTCTCCTTTTCACAACCCTGCCACGGCCACTCATCGCCTCCAGAATAAGATCTAGCCTGCTCAGTTTGGCAATGAAGTTTCTGGCCTATCTAGTCTCCACAGACTACCTTTCCAAACTCTTCTGCCATAGGAAGAACCTTTACACATCTGCCCTTTACACACCCTGCAAGCTGCAATACTCACCATTCCAAATCACAGAGTGCATGTTAGGACACTAGGCTTTTGTTCATTCTCTTCACTTTGCGTAGAAGTTTCTTCTTCCTCCTACAGTTGTTCATTTATTCATTTCCATGCTTAGCTCAATTTTACCACCGTTTTAATGTATTCCTATTTCTTCCAACAATTTTAATTTCTTTTTATCCTCAAGTCAACGTCTTTTTTTTAATACTTATTTAGCACTTACTTTATTTTATATCATCTTACAATTGCTCGGTTTTGTGTCTGTTTCCCCTAAGACAGGAAGTTGCTTGAGGGCAGAACTCATGTTTGATCTGCCCCCACCTCTCTGTCGTGTGCTAGGCATGCAGTAGGTGATCAGTAAAGGTTTGTGGTCAATTGAAAGGGCCACACAAGCTCTGGTTGCTGCATGCCAGCTTGATGTCTGCTCTGAGCTTCTCACTCATCTTTTTAAAATTTGTGTTGCATACACTTCCTAAAATTTTCTGGAGCACCTTCTCTGAACATTTCTTCTCATACAGCTGTACCAGGAAGGAGCCAAACACCTTGCCATTGCCACCTTCGTCACATGCCCTGCTGGGTGGGGCTGAGTCACACCAGCACAGGTCAGAAGGGGCAAGTCAGCTACCCTGCAGAGCTCCAACATGGAACATCTCATCTTGGCCCATGACATTGCCCTTGTGCCTACATTATTGTACAAACACGTTTCCAGCCTACTTAGGAAAATCTACCTGTAAATGACAATCTTCACCTGCCTAATCACAGAGATCAACTAAATTCTTAACTCAAGGATCTAAAAACACAGAAACAGCTAAGACATAGCAGAGAATCCCAAAGTGCCTGAATTCCAATCCCCAAACAGATGGTCATGCTCCCAGGTAGCATTAGCAGAATGGCTACATATATTTCTTAAGTCCAACATATAGGAAGACAACTGACATTAAAATTCTTTATGTCTTTGATGACAGATGATAAAGAATTTATCTTAATTATATTCCTGGATTCTTGGTGCAGCAATATTTAGGGCTCCTAACCAGTAAGCATAGTAGAAAGAGACATCCCTGACTTCTGTCTTCAAACCATGCTCCACATGGTAAGCATGGATGTCATTCTCAACTCTGACCACATACCTTTACTGATTCAAATGATGTGAGATGCGGTCCACACCAATGGCCCTCCTTGCCATTCTTTGGCACTTCTTTGGCCTCCTGGTTTGCATACCACACATTTCTCTCCTCTTCACAACCCTGCCACGTTTCATACAAGGCCCCTTTCATGCAAGGCCCAGGTTTCTTCTAGAGAAATGAGTCACTCCATGCTGCTCACCTGCACTTTCACCATACCCTTACACTGTCCATTGTGCAAACACGCAGGGATCTGTCCCTCTTCCAGTCCTTCACTCGTGCTATTCCTCTTCCTATACTGCCATCTTCTCTTGTTCCACTGGAAAATGTAGTGAGTACATATATATATATTCACATTGCAATGAATACATCACATTGCAATGAATCAGAACTAAAAGCTATTGTAGACTTTGGGGGAGGCAGATAGAAACAAGCCATGAGAAAAATGTTTCAAAAATATTCATAGCCTGTGGGCATGGAAAAGCTTCAATGAAGTCTGGGAGCTCATCCTACAACAGCCTCCTCTCTTCCCCTTCTTCATGCTGCTAAAAGCAAGGTTGCAGCTCAATCCCACTGGTGACGGAGGCTGAACCACACATGATGCCTTCAGTGATTACTCATCATCAGGGCTTAGTCACGAACTCCTGATATATTACTATAGGCAACCAAATGTCCCAATCAGATTCCAAGCTCATCTGAGGCCTGTCACCAAAACTTTGCTAACATAAAACAGGACTTTATGAAGCAACCAATTTGAGTTTTAAAAATTGGATTTTAAAAATTAATCAGCTCAGCACAACACACAACCCTGATTCTTATCTCTTCTCTCATCCTCATCCATCTTCAACTCCCCAACATCCTTGCCCCTCCCTGAGCCTCTCAGCATCCCTATTCCCACCTTCCTCTTTATCTTATCCTTAATGGGGTAAGGATCAAAGTGTTGGTAAAGAAAGAACTGGTACTTGGGAGGAGGAGGAGTACAGTGTTGCACTGTTCATGGGAATTATATGGTAACTTTTTTAAGGTGAAAGTTTAACAGTTTGTTTTTTGGTTTCACTAGAATCAAGACATCACGTGACACAAGAAAAGGAAAGTAATTGCTGTGGCTAGGGGATAGAGGTCAGAGAGACTATTAGTTTTTGTATATCTGATTAATACCTTTTGCATTGTGTATTGTGTCATAATTATCTTTTAACCAAAACATAAATGAGTTTTCTTTAAGGTCGTGTATGCCCTTTGCAGACTGGGGTCCCAGAGAATAGTGCACACCTACCCCAAGAGGGTGCAAGATTAAAATCCTCATTAATTCCAGTGTATTTGGACAACAGTTTTTTAGAGATTTAAATTTGAAGGCTACCTTAAAAGTGTTCTCTCCTTCTAAGTACTGGAGGTGGAGTCTAGAATTGGCTGTAAACTTGTAAATAACCGTAACACAGGATATAGGTTCAATATCACTCCTGAAGTTATCAAAATACATGTCTGAGAAGCAAAGGCATATTTAGGAATGCAAGCTTATGTTTTCTGATTGGTGAATAAATGTTGCAGTCCTATAACTCAACACACAGCCAACAATCTTGTAATAGTGGAGTTTCTTGGCTTATTTATTTTTCAGAAAATAAACCAGCAAAATACAACATGCTGCAAATTTGTTTCATTTACTCTCTTCAGTCAACTCCAGGCAAGTTATAGGAACATTACTGTTTTTTAGGCTATCAATAGTTTTTCCATAAGAAAGCAATTTTAATTTATTATTGATTTTTTTTAATGCCACTATCTAGCCAAAACCCTATTGATGGCAGAGAATAAAAGAGAAAATACTTGGGGAAATGCAAGACATGAATTCTGTAAGCACAGCCACTGCTTTCGTTTTAATCTGATTTATTAAAGTATCTTCTGATGCAAGTAAACTAAGCAAAATCTCCATTACCCACCAGAACACCAAGAAGCTAACAGAAATTCCCTATACACAAATCCCCTATACATTTATTTCTGTTCTTTTCTCCTGAAATCAGTCAGTCTGGCATAAGAATTTAGCTTTGGGGGCTCTGGAATCTGACTTCAATGCTACACTAACTACTAGATAATAACCTTGGTCAATTTTCTTAACTTTTCTGCCTGTTTCCACATCTGTAAAATAGGGCTAACGGTTGTATCTCTCCCATAGGGTAGTTATGTGGAATAAACAAGATAATGCATTGTAAAGATCTTGGCAGCAAATGAGCACTCAATAAATATCAGCTATTGTGTTTAGATGGTAATACAGTAGCCTGACTCATTGCTAGTCTATCTGGGACCTTCTCTATTTCACAATTGCCTCACGGATGATCAGTTCATGGAAGGCAAGTTTCTATTGATCACCATGTCCCCCACATTTCACTGCCTCATTCTGCCTTGTAGTTTCCCCATGCTAGTGTTGTCTTTGTCGGTCTGTGCTGCTAAAACAAAATACCTGAGACTGAATAGTTTTTAAAACAGAAATTTATTTCTTATGGTCTGGAAGCTGGGAAGTCCAAAATCAAGGCACCAACAGATTTGACCAACCTTTGCTCCCAAGGTAGTATCTTCTTGCGCTTCCTCACATGGCCGAAGGTGGCCCTAGCTAGTTCCCGGAAGCCCTTTTACAAGGCATTAATCTCATGGAGGTTGTGGGGCCTTTAAGACTTAACCCCTCCTGAAGACCCCTCCTCTTATTATCACATTGGGTTTTAGGTTCCAACGTATGGATTTTAGAGGGACACAAACATTCAAACCATAGCAGGTATCTAGCAGTAGCAGAATAGCCTGGAGACATTACCTCTTTTTCTACACCCTTTTCTGCCCTGCTCACTGATACTGCTTTGAAGCACAGGCAGACTAGTGTAGACCAGTGCAGTTTGATTTCAAGGGATAAAGGAGGTCTCAAACCTCCCCTTGTCCCCAATCATTCCTGATACCTGGGAAATGCCTAGACTTACACCGTTGGCTCAGTTAAATCTTCAGTTTAAAGGAATGAAAAGGAGAAAGGAAATGAAATTAAAACTCTCCAAAAAAGAAATGGAACACAATTTTACCTTGTTCTGAACTACCTCAAACTCGGGCTTAAGATGTGATGGAAAAATATGGCAGATTGTGTTGCCTGTGGTATATCTTAAGAATCAACTTCAGAGGCTTTCATTTCAATACTTCATCAAAAATAGACATCTGGATAACCCCTTCTCCTTCTGCCTACCCATTATTTAAAACTATTCTACAAATATTCTACCTGGGAATAAACTCCTCCTTCTTTAAGTGCCCACAATGCCTTGTAACTTGAGTCTAGCCCCTGTTAATTCCTGCCTTATTTTAAGTTTATTCACATGTTATAGTTGTTGTTGACTATGTTGCAACTTTTGCACTGGGCCAGCAGAAACCTGAGGTCAGGTCTCCTGCCTTTATTTCTCATGCTCAGTTTGGAATCCATGTTCATTTTCGCGTTGTGTCATCCTTGTGGCTCCAGCCTGCATTAATAGCCCCCTTTGCTGCATGAGCAACAACCGTTAGAGACCCATACTTGTAGTGACTGAGACACAGTGACATTATATCACAACCTCAGAAACCACAACATAAACCAAGGAATAATCAATGCCATAGTTTTTAATAGTGCAACTAGAAATGGATTGTCTGCTGCTAAGTATAGGGAAACAGTTATAGCTGGAGCTGCTGCAGAGGGGAGGGATGATGTTTAATAATGTGATATAGGAAATCTCACGATGCTACAGAAATTGATTATCTATTCTTAGCTTCAACCTGCATCTGACTTTTCCCACATAAAGGGGGAATAAACTCCATCAAAAATCAGAGCCCTTAAAATATCAGCTTCTGGCCCTCAAATTACTAATCCTCACAGAGGAAAGGCAGCTCTCCAATCACTCTCTTCTTAGAGCCACAAAACTCAGCGATCTACATGACCATAGGCAGCATGATGGAGGGATACTGAAGGGAAACCAGGTCTTCTAAAGAATGTAACTGATGGACCCAGGGCCACTGACATCAGAGCCAGAAACATTGTTTTCTTTTTAACAACTTAAATCTGTCTAACCTCTCATGTTATTGGGGCCTGGGGACACATGGTCTCTCAGACTTTATTCCACCCTCTTTCTCCTCCAATAGCCAGAAGATTTACAAAGAACGTGGAGAATAGGAACAGATCCTCATTTCTATAATGGCTTTTTCTGGCGTCTTTAAGGCTTAGTATCTCAAGGTTTAATGTGATTCCTTGAAGTCAGACTACCCCAAAGCAGAAAGCCTAACCCCACTTGCCCAGTTGCCCATCAGTCTTTGCCCCCAGAGGTGCCCTCCCAGGGCACTGCTGGGGAGCAGGGCATGGGCTGGCCTTCAGACCCTACTGAGCGTCCCCTGTTCTCCAGGGTGTACCCTTTACCACTCTTTCCGCCCAACACCACCTCTCTGTTAGCTCAATACTTTATAAAGCACATGACCATAGGCAGCAGACTTTGGCCCTCAGGCAACCTCTCCTCTCTGCCCTACAAAAATTTCCAGAAAAAAGAAATATAAACAAATTTGTTTCCCATCTGCAACAAGGAAGAAAGAGGGAAAACAGAGACATACATACACCAATAAATATCTCAATCCTTTTTTCTTCCATAAACAAAGACTCTGTAATAAAAATACAGCAGGATATAGATATCCCAGGGCAGATCAGACCTCTTCAGATAAAAAGCAATGTGAGACACGGAGTCAAGAAACCAGTATGGACCAGAGCTGGTTCGATAAAAGGTGATCTCGAAGTTCTTAGTGAGGAGGCAAAAAGAGAAAAAGGCTGGATCTGCCACGTATCTTTCCTTTCCAACTTGAAGTTTATACATCATAACAGTGAATTAAGTTTCCATTTCTTCTCCATGAAACAGTTACCATCTTCAAAAAACCAAGTTACAGAACCCTTCCTAAATGTGTTAGAAACAGACACAAGGTTTGGGTGACATCCACTTGAACATTAGAGTCAAAATAGCAGGCACGACCAGAAAAGCAACTCCTGCGGAGAGGACTGGCTTACCCTCAGATTATTTCCATCTGTGTGTGCAGAATGTGAAAATCGCACAGCTTTTGAAAGGGAATCCAGGTGTCCGGGTGAAACTTTTGCACAGCATAGATGATTTAAAAAGTAGCAGAGGCTTTTATCCAATTTATTATACCACTCAGTTACTAAGGAAATGGAAATTCTGGAATTTGGCCAGTCATGTTTAATCTAAAGATGTGTGGTTTCCAAAAAGTAATAGAGATAAGCCGAGCTTATCTTTCCCATCACAGAAATGTCCTACACAAGGAAGAAGTTTCCCAACCATAAAATATGGGCCCAAAACTTTATATCTTCTTCCCCCCTGGTTTTTGGCCTTGAATGGAACAATAGAAGAATTGTAAATAGGTGTGGTGAGAGGCAGCCAGCCAGTCTGTACACACATGGAGAAATGGTACCTAGCTTTATTTTGCACAAGTAATCTAGTAAAACATGTTTATTATTAAACCAAAAAAACGGTAAAAATTATCTAGATAAGCCAATAGTAGAAATTAAGAATTGCCCACTATCACCTGTTAATAACCACTATTAATATCTTGGTATATATTTGTCCAGACTTTTTTCATGCAGATACCTAAATAACACATATATACCTAATTTTTATAAGAACAGGGTCATTGTACATAGTATTTTCTAGCCTACTTTTTAACTTAGAAATATATTTCTATATAAAAAAATAAACTTCTATTTAATCATTTTTATATCTACAGAGCACTCCACTGTACCACAATTATTTTATTAGAAAATGTAGGCCATCTCTAGTTTTTATGTTATTAACAATGCTACAATGAATGAATATACTCTAGAAGTATTTCTGGCCATTCTCTCAGGACACATTCTTTCAAAAGGAATTTGAGGTCAAAGCTGTTCAGATTTCATAGGTTGTTTTGATGTGAATTTGCAAATCGCCCTTCAGAAGAGCTGTTCCAACTTGGACTCCCACCTGTGCGGTGTGAGCGTCCATGGCATTCCTCTTTATACTGTGCCACGAACTCTCACTGGCAGACCGAACTGTTTATGACTGTAAGAATCTGAGGCCCCTGCATTTCTATCATTCTGCACACAAGCACATCTTTGAAACAAAATGTTTACGTTGATAAGCAATATATACTTGTTCAACCAAAACAAAAATCCTCAGGAGATTCTCATTTGGCAACAACCCCCAAACCACATTGTTTTTTAAAATCTAGTTTAACCAAGTCAGCGTCTGAGTCTTAGGTTTTTTGTTGGCTAGTTGTTCTCTAAGGTCCCTTCTTTTAGAAAAATCTATGTTTTCATTTCACAGACCTCATCTGGGCCAGCCTCCTCTCCAGTCATCCCTCCTCCATTTCCCTTTAGGACATCTTCATGCTGCTGTGCTGTTTTCTGAATTAGTTAGGCCATTCCTGAATTCTGAGTCTTTGGACACACTATCCCCACAATCTTAAACCATTAACTTTATTTCCTTCCTCCCCTATCAACTTCTGCTTATCTTTGAAGGTCCACACCAATAGCACCTTCTCTGGGACACCTTTGTAGATTCCCCAGCATTCACTCTGTTTCTTCCACCTCACCCCATTTATGTTTCTTTTGAAATGCTTATAACACTGAATGCAATCATCTTGTTCATTTCCGTGTCTCCCATGAGACCATGTGTTCTCTGTATCTCCTGGGTTAAGAATTACGTGATGCATATTAAAGATGCTTCATAAGTACTTGATAAATGTGCAAATGAGCAAGTGAATGAACAGGTGACTCCATCTGTGATGTCTCCAAAAGTTAAGAGATTTACTCAAACCTACATCAACTTGAAGACTGTCATTTTGTACATTTAAGGGCCAGGGCTTCTTCTGGGTCTTATCCCAGATCCAGGCTCCTCTCAATAGAATGCTCTTCTTTTCTTTTTATGAACAAACACCTACTACCAGTTCTCATCCCTGGACTGGGGAAGAAGGTGATTAAACCTAGTTCATACACACAGTGCCATGGAACCTGGTACTATCTACCATCCATATTTTGGATATCCATGAAGAGAGAGGAAGGTTACAGAAATTCTAGTCAAACAAAGGTGGGCTGGAAAATGTAAAGGAGACAGAGTCTTTGCACTCCTTTCTAGGAGCAACTACACACGGAAAGAGAGGAGATTAAAGGGAGAAGTGTGTTTCCACTTCTGTTAACCTTATCATGTAGGACTCAGGCTGAGGGCACAATGTGAATTACCCTTAAACAATGTGAGTATTTAGAAGTTCTTAACATTGCACCACACAGTTCCAAAAGACACTCCCCTCCCACTATTTTTACCCAGCAAAACAGAGCCTCAGCTGTTTTTCACATTTGATCTAAGCAAAGACGTGTTTATCTATTTGCTGTGAAATCGCAACCCAGCCACACTGCAGCGGCCATAGCAAGAACACCACTGAACATTCGTAGGCAGCAAGCCCTGACCTTGGTAGTTGAAATTCCAGGAGTTGGGGTAATGCATTCAGATCTGCCCTCTAGGCTTGTGGTGGAATTAGCCCAGAACACTGAGGCTGTGAAGTACAGTAGCTGAAAGTGAAAGTTCTAAAGTTTGTCATCCGTAGGCTTGAATTATAGCTTCACCATTTTCTGTTTGTGTAACTCTTGGCAAGTTACTTAGCCTTTTTTGAGTCCATGTTACCTCTTTTATAAGATGTCTCACTCTGTCTTACTGTGTACAAGTCTCTTCTCAAATGTCACCTCCTCAGAGAGGCACTTCCAGACCACCCTGTCTAAAACGGTGCTTCCCGTCACTATCCATCATCTCCTGTCTTGCTTAACATTCCTCTGGATATTTATTACTACCAATATTCTGTAAGATTGTTTGTTTGTTTATTGTCCTCCATTGGTAGGAAAGCATCAAGAAAGCAAGCAATTTGTCTCACCCATTCTAGAAGAGTGGCCAACACATAATAGAAATTCAATATTTCTTGAATGAGTGAATGGGAATAGTTATTGCATCTATTATTTGATTACTATGAGGACTGAATAAATAATGCAAGAAAAATGTTTAGCACTTTTCTTAGCATATTAGAAGCCCACAATATCAGATAGCTAGTAGTTCTAATAATACTTATAAATATTCCATTACCAGAATTATTTTTAAAAAATCTAATTGTGAAAATATGACTTCATCCATTACCAGAGTTATTTTGTAAAATTCTAATAGTGGAAATATGACTTGATGTGGTCTTATTTTGTATAGTCTTTAATAAATAACCCGGCTTCTCACAAGAAGGAATTTGAGGCAGCTTCTGAAAATACATAAAGTGACCTGTACCAACATAACTTAAACCATTCTAGAAGATTTTCATGATCGTTGATAAAATTTTAATGCATTTTGTTTACTTATTTATACATCTCATGGCAAATACAATTAACAATCTTTTTCTCCTCATATACAATACTAAATGAGTTTAGTGATCAAAGCTTGGAGAAAGAAGTGTGCCGTTGTCCCTGACCAAATTACTAGCAACTATGTGGTCTCCACTCTACTGGTGGGAGGGCCATTGCTGAGCTGTACCCATGTATCTTTCTCTGTCCTTGCAGGCTTTGCATTTGTATTTGCTGAAAACAACTCTTGTAAAATATAGTAGGTGCTCTCAACCAGGGTTCTGGAATAACTGTTCCTATCATGCAGTATTTAATGGGCTTATTCAATGTATTTAATGACTCTCAAACATCATGTATGGTAGAGCTCACAGCTGTAATATGTTTCTTCTGTTTTTTCCTTTTATTTCCTTTCCACCATGTAGATTTTGTGTCCAGTATTCCTGTGTGGTTAGTCCTGTGGAATTTCACTTGTCTTCCCATTTCCATTAATTGTTCTCTGTCTGCAGTGGCTTCTGTCCATATTTGCATCTTGATCCCTGCTTTGTTACTGGATTTGCATTTTTAGAAAGTTTCCTAAGTCTTTAACTCATAATTTAGTTATTTTCACATTTCTTAAACTATTTGGCTAAGCAAATACATGTTCAAAAAATTCATGAAGTCTCTCGATTAAATTAATAAAGGCTCAGATAGGTTGTCTTTAATTGATAAATGCTCAGAAATAGCTTACTTCTTGTAAGCAATTTTGTGTCTCATATTTAGTCTAAAATATATGACATGTTTAATATTATATGTTATAGAAATTCTAAACTTAGCTGAAAATGATTAGCTTAATAAATCCTCAGAAACATGTATTACTTATAAATGATCTTAATCTGAATTTTACTGTTATGATTTATAAAACAATAAGCTTGCATTTCACATGATCACCAGAAGCTTGCACTAGAGGCTTGCACCAGCTGATGTGATCAAGAGAAAATCTCACCCAGCTGAACTTCAGAGAAACATACTTTAGCATTAAATTCTGGGGAAAGATCCTAGAATGAAAAAGGAAACATGAGAAGAAATTACCAAGATGAGGAAGCCAGGACAATCAGATAAAGCAAAGGGTAGAATTATTCCTAAGAAACAGATATCCTATTTTTCTACATATTTGCTGAGGTTGAGCTGGGGCCATAAATCTGGCTCTTCCGGACAAAGCAAAGAGGAAAACATATTTACTTATGAGAGTTACAAAAAAGTATCAGTTCACTCAGGAAAGTCACAGGTCTCCCTAGCAATGAAACCCTAGAAAAATTTCCTTTGTGGGTCCTAATGAAGGGAATATTGTGTAAGGGAGTGAACTACTTCCTCAGCAACCTCCTATATTAAATACCAAGGAGACTTAAACAGGATGCTTCTTACAGCATCCACAGCAGCAGTAAATGTCATTACCCACAAGGCAGCTCACAAAAAGTGGTCCATACGGAGTCAAGACAATGGAGTCCCAGAGTGCAGCTCTCAATTCAGGAGTAACTTGTAAAATTTTAAAAAGAATGGAGTTCCTTGTTCATTCAGTAAATATTTATTGAGTATTTGTGTGGGTCAGGTACTGTGCTGGGCATTAGGGAGGGAGCGGTGACAAGATAAATGTAGTTTCTTCCTGCAGAGAATTACAGACTTGTTGGAAAGATGAGCCAACAACCACAAAATATTGAGATGTGTGCACAATGAGAGGACCTCTAAACCCCAGGCTTGCAGCTCCTTGAAAGTCTCATGCCCAGTTGCTTTTCCCTTCACTTCATTGTAGCCAATCTGTTCTTGTTATCACAAACTACCTTGTTGCTACTGCAATCAGCACCACCTCTGGAATCCGTTTCAGAAAACCCCATCTCTGACCCATACCTCCTCTCCTAGCTCCAGCTCCCTGACATAGTCGTCAGCCTCATCAGTATCCCCAAACCATCAACCACTTGCTCATTATCTAGCCGACACCTCCTGTTTTTATTTTCCTTCTTACTCATTTAGATCACAGGGCTTATCATCCCAATCACCTCCTTGAAAATGTCCTCTCCTCCTTGACTCCTCTCTCTTCTGTCACACTTTCCTGGAATAAAACCAAGCCTGGCTGAGTCCAGTTTATCCAAACCTGCATTTGAAAAACTGAATATTACTGGGGGAAAACACAAACATAATCCTGCTGACCAGATGCACTTTAAACCCACAGTGAAAACCTGAACAAAACACTCACACCCCCTTTACGTTTCCCTAGTTAATTAGCCTCTCCAGCTTCAAAATGATTCCCTTATATCTTCTGTAGTCTCTCTCCTCAAACCTCCTTCAAATGTAAATTAAACATTTTTAAATGATTTTATGATTAGAAAAATAGAAACCATCAGATAAGAATGTATGCATCTTCCTCCCCACCAAATCCTTAAGTCTCCTTTATCTATATCTCTCTTCCTCCCCGTTTCAGTGGGAAAAGCAGAGTTCATCCAACAAATGCCATTTCCCCTTGAGGCTCTGGAACCCTGAGCCCCAGCACCTCAAAGATTTCCTCTCTCTTTGCTGCATTTCCAATCTCTTTCTAGTTATGGGTCATTCACATCAATGCATAAACATGCTGTAAGGTTTAGCATGGTAAAAACAAACACAAACAAACAAAAAACCAACTCCCTCACTCAATATCCCCCCTCCAGCTGCTATTCAATTTTTTCTTTCACATATAGTTAAAAAAAAATTAATTTCCACTTCTAAGAGTTTACTCCAATTTTACATCTACACAAAGGACTCCATTGAAACGTCTCTGAAAGACACCCATGTTCTCCGTGCTGGCAAATGTTAGGGGATGTTTCATATTTCATCTTAACCCCTAACTGCTCCCTCCTTTAAAGCCGCCCACCTTCTACTCTGGAAATACCACATTCCTCTGGTTTTCCTACTACCTCAGTGACCCTGTTTCTGAAATTCATTTGCCAGCTTCTCCTTGCCTGCCTGGCTGCACCTCTGATCTCTAGACCCCTATATTCAACTGCCCACTTGACACACAGGTGTTGGAAGGACAGCGGGCTGTAGGGTGGCAAGAGAGATGACAAGGGACAAGTCAGGAGGCTATTGCAGAACTCTGGGCAACAGATGATGGTGGTGATGGATATGGAGAGGAGTGAGTTAACTCAAGAGAAGTTTAGGAAGCAGAGTTATCAGAACTCAGTGATTGATGGATGCTGTGAGGGAAGGGAGAAGTAGGAGTCACAGATGACAACCTGGGCGGCATCATTCACTGAGATTGGAAATGGGGAAGAAAGATGGGCCACATATAATACATCCTTTAGAAATGTTCCAGAAACCTGGTTTCTCCCAGCTGAGCTTTTAAGAGGTTTTATTCCCCTGCAAACAAAACAAAACAAAAAAACTGATATGTAGATACTGTCCATCAAGATCCACACACTCTGACCATCCTTGTCTTCCAACGTTACATGGACCATGTTTATTTGCTCAGCACTCTGTCTCCAGTGCTAGCACTGCATCTGGTATACAGCAGGTGCTCTATGAATAGTTACTCAGTAACTGAAAACCTAGTTAGCAAACCCTTATGAACAGTTAGGGACTACAGAAGAATGGGTGCTTCTTAACTTCTCTGTGCCTCTCCTTCCTCATATATAAGATGAGAATATTAGTGACAAATTTCTCCTAAAGTTATTGTGGGAATTAAATATCATAATAAATGTAAATGCTTAGAGCAGTGCATGCTCAAAAGAGCTATTTTGATTAATAATATACATAATTAATAATAATATATTTTAGGAAACTTCTACTCTGCCATGTAGAAGGGCCAAATGACTTTCATGATTTTTTTTTTTTAACAGAAAACTGTGGATCTTCAGGAGAGTAAGACCTGGACTTTGCTGAAACTTCTGAGCTCTGCTTCAGTCTCCTAGGCGCAAAGACCTGGTCTCTATGAAGCTCAGTGTCTGTGAGACGCTACCATCATGGCAGCCCCCGTTCATGTTTCTCTTGCTGACCTATCCTCTGCAGGGGAAGCCAAGTCTGCTAACGGGGTGGTGCCGTGCGGACACTCAATGTTGCAGTTAAACCACATCCCTTAAGAAGGAAACCTAAGGTGGCTGCTCATTTGAGGTTCTCCAGTGGCCACACCAATGATATGAGTGTGAGTCCACATGCAGGACGATTTAATGGCTGTGCAGTCATGCTCAAAAGGTAAGCACAGAAGGCGGAGAAGGACAGCCTGCCCTTGAAATGAAACCTCTTGTTCCCTTTGTATCCAGGAGGAAAATCTCATTAGAAAGATCCTCCAGAGCCACAAAAATAAGCACATGCGTCAAAAGGAGGGCAGAAAGCCCAGGACACGAGGCGGGGGGGCGCTGAGATAAAAAGATTATAGCTAGAAAACAGCCAATCCCACCATCATAGCTGCTGCCTCATCCCTTCCACACTTTCCAGACCCCCAAACTTGGCGGAATAACAGGGTCTGCTGTGGGAGACTAAGAGGCGGCCAGCCCAGGGCTCAGTGCACTGCCGCAGTGCTCTGCCATCAGTAGCAACCAGCATTTGCCTGGTGCTCTGGGGTTTACAAAACTCTTTCATATAGATATAAAGGAGATAATGTTTTCAAAATGCCTTCCAACTTTTTTTTTTTTCATTTCCTTTTGCCTTATGGCTACCCACGCATTGAATCAATGGCATTCATTGCTTCAAGTAAAGGCCAAACACAGCCTAGAACAAAGGAGTCATTCCCCAACTTCAAGTGTCAAATGCAATTTTTTTCCTTCTATCCACAGAGGGCAACAGTTTTAAAAGCCAAGATTTGTTGAAGGAAAAAAGAAAGCATTTTCTAAAATCTAAAACTCACTGTTTACATATCAAGAGTAAAGTTTGGAAGTCTGAGCATAGAACTCTACCAGGCTACCGAGCAGGCTGAGTCTATCAGGGAGATGAAGTCACTGAAGGTAGAGTTCTTCAGAGGCTGTCACTGAGATGAAGTTGGGAGTACAAGATATTTATTGGGCTCAGGAACTGTGAGAGGGAGCAGGATCGGGAAGTGGGAGAAGTCAAACTTCAAAGTTAAGTCCAACAAAGCCTCAGCTAAACCAGAGGGCAGCTCCGAAATGAATATTAGCCACTAGAGCTGTGTGTCGGGCTGAAATGGCTGGGCTTTTATGTCCCTGCCTTACCTGGACATGGGCTGCCCTGTGAACCTCTTGCCCTCAGGTGAGGTGGCTCCCTGCTGCTGAGGAGTGCATGAAGGGGCTGTGAGCTGGCACTCATAGCAGCTGGGGTGACATTCCTTCCTCAAGGGGGATCTGGGAGGCCCACGTCCATGTAGACCACAGTGATCTAATAGTTTCAGAAAGAACTGGAAAACGAGAGAGAGAAAGGCAAAAGGTGAGATTTGTGTGTCCTCATGTTCTAGAAAAAAAGTAATATAGTTCTAATTCCTTGGACATATCTAAAACAGCAGCCCAGCAGGCCAAAACGCAAGGACCCTTTTCACAAAGACTTCTGCAGGTCATGCACTCAGCAGACAGACTTACTAGGAATGGCCATAGTTCCAGTCCCAGGAACAGTCTTGGACTGCATGGGCATGATGTACTAAGCTACTCAGATTACAATGGTCAGTCTTTATGGTCAATTCTGCTCCTTGTTCTCTAGCCCCACACCAGCCTCCTCTGCAACAACAACTGCAACAACAACAGAGATATGACAGCCTCCCTCTCTCATTGCTAAGGAAGGACTTCAAAGCACACTGAGTAATTTGCATTTCTTATCCCAGGACAGAGAGAATTATAATAAAGCATTCGTTGGCTTTTTCTCTTCAGGACCAGAGTCTTGTATGTTCAGTTCTTTGGCTTTTGAGTTCCAAACCTGTAGGAGAACTTCTAAGCCCAGCAAATTTTGAAGCATCCCTGATGAATTCCTTCATCCCGATTATTTATAATAAAGGAGGCATTAATCTCCCCACACAGGGATGGCAGCCTTCACATAGAAGACTAAGGAAAAATGATGGTGCTAACTCAGACCCTGAGGGGTTTATTATATTAAAGTGAAGGAAATAAATCTCCACACTCTATTGTGTTTGAGTCAGGGCCCCTCCACTTCTTGTTCTCACTGGCCACCCCCTCAGAACCCCCTAATGAAACAGAGCTAGAGGAGAAAATGGCAAAGCCAAGCAAGAGGCCTTTTTCCAGAT
This sequence comes from Homo sapiens, assembly GCF_000001405.40. Taxonomy (NCBI): domain Eukaryota; kingdom Metazoa; phylum Chordata; class Mammalia; order Primates; family Hominidae; genus Homo; species Homo sapiens. The sequence continues at coordinate 48,110,957 of NC_000015.10, forward strand.
CACTCCTTAAACCACCACATACTGAAACACTCAGGAAAGGCTTTTATTCAAACTCTGAGAACAAAGGCAGAGTAAGGCTAGCACAAATGAAGTAAGAGCAACAAGTATCAAAGAGCAGAGGCTAAATATCCAATTCCATTCTGTGTAAATACAGCTAATGAAAATGTCTTATCTGTTAATTTTTTCCCCAGCTGATGGCCTGCCCAATGCATTCAGTTTCATTGAGAGTTAAGGACTCTGCCAAGTTCTACTAACATAAAATGTGCTCTCATACAGTAGTACAGAGGGAAAAGGGGTTGATATTTTTGTTTTTTTATCACACAGCCTAAAAAGCATATGGTATTATCCACAATGACTGTTTCAGAAAGAATGGGGAGGAAGATTTTAACCCAGATTTGGCAAGCTCTAAAATTATTTCCACTCTAAAATATTGTTTATTTTAAATAATATTTGATCTGCAAAACTTGACTACTGCCAAAATAATTTAAACTCCCCCTTAGTATTTAGAGGACTAGAAGATGCCTTCCAGTGAAGGAAATAAAAAGTATAACTTTGAGAAGACAGTGAAGACCTCCTAGGAATTGAAAATGTTTTAGACAATTTTCACAGCATTGGAGCCATACAGCAGTAAAATTAGACCAATCTGAATTGGGTCGAAAATTAGGAATGTTCACTCATGCTCTAAACCAGTGCTGAACCCTGGTTTTAGTGCCTAACTTGAGTCTGGGAAAGGACAAGGGTCTGGGGAAGTTGGCAGGTGCCTTGTGAATATGTGAACCATTGAGTGAAATGCCATTCAACACTCAGTCATGGCTGTGGCTCCAGTTAGAAACTCATGTGATGGTTAGAGACAAAAAAAAAAAAAAATGACACTCAGTAGATAAGATGAAAGCTCCTAGTCGAGCTGATGCCCATACTGACCTCCTGTTCCAGGATCCTGAGGGAAAGCTGCCCATGCAACAGCAGCAACTGAGGTAATGAAGGCTCCACATAACAATGCATTTACATTCAAAATCCACTCTGCTCCACATTGTTCTTAGCAATCACTCACTCATCTTGCTAAATGTTACCCACGCGATCTGACTCTGCATGTTTACATTGCAAAAGGTAACTGTGAAATATGTACATTGTTTTCTGCGTGTATATTATATATTCCAGTAAAAAATTAAAAATAAACAAGTAATATTGACAAGCTGGAGTCAGAGTATGGGATAGCCCAAGCCATCTGCTTCCTTTCCCTGCCTTAGTCTTCATAGTGATCAGGGACGCCTATGGAAGCCTTCATATTGAGGGATAGGGATGCAGATAATAAAGTGCAAGGGTGATCAACATTGCGAATTCTTCATTCAGTGGCAGAGTCAGAATGCCTTTTCAAACGACAGATTTCACAGGCCTCCTAACACTACATTGGCCTGTGTTCCCTTCAAGGGAAGCTGGGAAAGCCCAACCTGTGTGGAAGCATCAGCAGGTGGAGCTGAAGAGCTAATGGAGCCGCTGAGTAAGGGGACATCTCAGACAAGTGCTTCCAGAACTGGGCAGATGGCATTTTGGATGAGATAGAAAGGCAAATGTACAAAAAACCCTGCGGAGTCCTAATAAGATAAGCGAGCAACAATAAGGAAGGGGCCCCAGGTCGGAGAGAATAATTGTTCTGAGAAACTGCTAATCACAGACAACCTGCAGACATGCTGTTTCCAAATACCTCATTCACATGTAGACCCCAGCAGCAGGACCTGATCTGCATACCTTATCTGCATGTACCCCCTCCAATATGACCCCATAAAACTTCCCTCCAGCCCCTGCCTCTTTGCAGACAGCCCCTTCTCTGCTGTGCTGCCTGTTGCACCCTTGCAATGTATCTTCGAACTTTATCAAATCTGCCTTTTTTTACCTATAACTGTCCTGGTAAATTCTTTTACCACCCATAACACCGGCCCCAGCCAGTCACACCCTCAACAAACTCAGTGTGTTATTACAGGGTCCTGTGGATGTTATCAAATAAAATTCAAGGTGGACTAGCTTATCTACTTTATACATTCATTCAATAATGTTTATTAGATACCCAGCATGTGCCTGGCACTGTGTTGTACACTGGAAGTGCTGTAGGAAATGAGGTAGACATGGTTTCATGCCCTCATGAAACAGATTCTGAGGAGGTGGCTCAGCTTAATAGTTAAGGATATTCATGCACTTTGGCATTAGACATACCTTTGTCTACATCCTGGCTTTTTCACTTATGAGCTATGGATCCTCAGATCTTGGGTAACTGACTCAATCAATCATCTATAAAGCAGGGCTTAGCAATATTCACCCCAGTAGTTCCCCACCCTCCTAAAATCACATAGGAATTTTTTTTAATACCTATCCCTAAGCCATCCTTATAGATTGTGATTCAATTGGTCTGGGTAAGTACCAAATCATCAGTAATTTTAAAACCCACCAGACACATCTATTGAGCAGCCAGTGAGAACTACTCCTCTATTCATTAGGGTCTGTGGGGGAACTGTACTGAATAGTGTACGTGAATACCTTGTGCTTAGTAAACATGTTAGCTTTGATTCCCAAACATCACAGCTGCTGTCTCACTAATCAGAGGAATCAGAGGCCCAGGTATATGGGAGAAGACTGTTAACCTGAAGCTGGGCCATGAGCAAGTAAGAGCTGAAGATCATTCTAATGGTTTTTCCCTAAGGGGAAAAAATGACTGCCAGTCTATAACTTGATCACAGCTAAATAACCACCGCTGTGTTGATTTTAATGGGTAAGCTAACTTGGCTATTTCAAGAGATGGCTTATTTATTGATTTATTTAAATTTCCATTTTTACTACAAGCCATTCAGTGCTTAATATTGTTTCATACTAGCAAATGCTAATTAGGAGTAGAATTAAGAACATATCTTAGAATCATATCTGACCCAGACCTTTCATTTCACAAATGAGAACAAGGAAGCCCTAAGAAGTGAAGTGATTTTCCCAAGGTCAAACATCCAGCAGGTGCAAAGTTTTGTTTCATTTGTTCTCAGCACAAACTTGTATAACAATTTAGCTGTATGCAACTTTACATAATACAGATGTTCTTTAATTTATGGTGGGGTTATGTTCCGATATATCCATCTTAAAAAACAAAACAAAAAAAAACTATCCTTTTTGTATAGTTATTTTAAAGAAACACATACATTTATCAAAATTTTTAAGTAAACGAAAAGTCGTAATTATAAAAAAGAAAATATAAGTCAAAATGCAGAAGGGTTCCCTAATGGTTGTATTAAATAGAATCTTCGTAAAGCAAATCACATGTGCAGTGTACTAAAATAATTTTCTGATTAAAGAATACATCTATGAATGCTTTTGGTTAAAAACAAAAAGCTTTTTGAAGATGGAGACAGTGGTTATATGGTTTTCCAATCTCTCCAAATTCCTACATAGAAATAGACAAAGCAACTAGGTAGCAAATCCAAAGACTCATGGACAAGAGTGATAATTATGTCAAGCTACCCCTATGAAACTCAAATACAAATGAGTGGGGACAAACTATCGTTATGACACCAAATATGCATGGTATCGGCTTCTATGAGAGAGAAGTACAGGATGGGCACAGGGAATCCGACTGACCTGAGAAATGGAGACCCCAAAATACACAACAGGTATTTGTAAAAGTACCATAAGACAATTCGAGAACAATAGCTACAACTATAAAAGGTTTGGCTCATTCCAATAGCGGGTGAATATAGAGGTCATAGTAAGGTCTGACCCATATGAACCCTCAAAACTGATCAGCCAGAGCTCCTTTCAGCACAGGGCCCAATGCATGGAGGTCTTAAACTACACATTGAAACTGCTACCCATGGCGGAAAAGCTAACAGGATAGAGACATTTGAGAATAAAGGGAAAGAGAAGATCCAGATAAACACAGGCGTGGAGGACTGTTGACAGAAAATCTCATGCTATTTTGGAACAAAATAACAAAGTCATGTTATTTTGGAACACTGTAAGAAACAATGAAAGAGGGAGCTCTGCGAATTGAGAAAAGCCACAGTGAATAACGCTTTCTTCTAAAAGTTCAAGAAAAAATAATTTTCTATAAAAATGAGGAAAGAAAGGCATAGAGGTTAAAGCCCACACAAAGTTATTGTAAGAATAAAAGAGCCAGGCATGGTGGCTCACACCTGTAATCCCAGCACTTTGGGAGGCTGAGGCAGCAGATCACCTGAGGTCAAGAGTTTGAGATCAGCCTGGCCAACATGGTGAAACCCTGTCTCTACTAAAAATACAAGAATTAGCCAGGCATGGTGGCACACACACCTGTAGTCCCAGCCACTCGAGAGGCTGAGGCATGAGAATCACTTGAACCTGGAAGATGGAGGTTACAGTGAGCCAAGATGGTGCCACTGCACTCCAGCCTGGGTGACAGAGTGAGACTCTGTCTCAATAAAAATAAATAAATAAATAAATAAAAGAATAAAAGATAATAAGAAGTAGAATTACATCCCTTCGGATAATAGAAGTGTGCCAGGAAGACATGTCCACAGAACAGATCAAAATTGCAACCTTCTAAAATCTAAAAAATAAAAAAAAAAAAGTGAAGGAAATCATACAGAACATAAAGAACAACCTAAATCAGAAGTAGAAAAAAAAACTCAGAAATTAGGTGGTAGGACTCTGGAAAGAATTAGATATAAAGGATAAAAGCCATCCCAAAAATTAATATCAAGCTAGAAGGAACGCAAGAGCAATAAACACGACAGATAATGTCTTCAGAGATAGAAAGGAAAAAGCTGAAAAAATTTTAAGTCAAAAAAGAAATTGAAAAGAGAGATAAAGAGGATTTGTAACCAAGTTAAAATATCGAAGATACTCAAAGAACGTCCAACATAGAAATAGTGGAAGTCTCTGGAACAAGAAATCCAGAGAAAGAGGGCAGAACAAACACTAAGAAATATAATTCAAGAAAACACTCCTGAAATAAAAGGATTTGAAATTACATTGTGAAAAAGCACACTACAGACCTAAGAATGTTGACCTACAATGACCCACACTATGATATATTCTAGTAAAATTATTGAAGTTTAAGAGAAAAAAAGGTCCTTTGGGTATCTAGAAAAAAAAGAGCAAGTGGCTTGTAAAAGAATACAAATTAGATAATTATTGACTTGTCAATAACAATGTTTTATGGTAGAAGAAAACAGAGTAACATATTTAAGATATCCAAAGGAAAAAATGCAAGCCAATGATTTTACATCCAGCAGAGCTGACTTTCAAGTATAGAGATCATTGACAAATTGTTACCAACATGATAGAATTCAAGCAATATTGTTCCCAAAGGTCCTTCCCAGCAATCTACTGAAAATAAGTTGCAGGTATCAAAATATCTAGAGAAACAACAGCCTAAGGACTGATGGCAAGCATTAAACACATAGTTACTTGTAGAACCAGGCAAAATGTGGGTTAAAAGGGAGAAACAGTAGATTTAATGACTGTAAGCTGTGGCAATGTAGACAGACTATAGTTCTTAAAAGAATAGAGGGAGAATGGAAGAGCATATGCACAAATGTTTAACTCTTCTCAGTATTTATATTGGGGGTAGTAGTAACAATATTGTTATTTTGCACTGGTATACAGGTAAAGTGGTACCATTACCTATAATTATAGGTAAATGATTTTATAATTATAAAATCATAAATTATAAAATTTTGGGTATTCCTATTTTGTCATCTCCTGTGTTCTTGGGAACCATAACCTGTGGTATGAAAGAAAGGGGACACAGAGTTAGTATAGAAAAAGTTCAGATTAAAATAAAAAGTTGTCATCATGAATTTGAATGCTAAGTATCAGTATTAACTCATGATGTATTTTGAGGTAGGAATGTGTGTGTGTGTGTGTGCCTGTGTGTGTGTGTGTCTGTGTGTCCGTGTGTGTGTCAGAGAGAGAGAGACTGAGATTTAGAAACGATGACCAACCCAGTTGCAGTGAGCCCCTCTAACAACCCAGATTCTTAGATCACAGTCTTGAAATAGAATCCACTTTAAAAAAATAAGGATTTTGGAGAAATGGGTGATTTCATATATAAGATGAGCCTGGTACATCTTTTTATACTAGGTAGTGAGGAAGCTATCAAAGATGATTAAGATCATGTCAAAGATGCTCAGAAATCGTGCTGAAGGGGCTCCCACTGGTTAACGATGAGACAATTTGAGCTTCAACATGGGTAATAATTGCAATTGATTGGAACTCATCAAATATATTTAAATAGATTAATTCATAATAACTTAATCTAATTGGTTATTTATGGAGGAAAATAGGGAACCAATTTATTGTTTTGAAAACCTATAAATAAAGAGAAAGAATCAGAAACTGGGTACCCCTGGGTATTCAAAGAGTAGATGATCAAAATCATCTCTTTGTAAGATATTCCGACTGATGAATGAAGAATAAATTAGAATTAGAATGCCATCTGTGATGGTTAATACTGAGTGTCAATTTGATTGAATTGAAGGATACAAAGTATTGATCCTGGGCGTGTCTGTGAGGGTGTTGCCAAAGGAGAATAATATTTATTTGAGTCAGTGGGCTGGGAAAGGAAGACCTACCCTTAATCTGGGTGGGCACCATCTAATCAGCTGCCAGTGAATATAAAGCAGGCAGAAAAGCATGAAAAGGCTAGACTGGCTTAGCCTCCCAGACTACATCTTTCTCAGGTGCTCGCTGCTTTCTGCCCTCAAACATTGGACTCCAAGTTCTTCAGCTTTGGGACTTGGACTGGCTTCCTTGCTCCTCAGCTTGCAGATGGCCTGTTGTGGGACCTTGCGATCATGTGAGTTAATACTACTTAATAAACTACATACATATATATATATATATATATATATGTTATAGATATAGATATATAGATATATATCCTACTAGTTCTGTCCCTCTAGAGAACCCTGAGTAATACACCACCCTTTCCCAACTCCCAAAGAATTAATGGGAGTTAATTAATGGGAGTGATGAGCATGAGTGGCTGCTGCTCACATTACAAAAGAGAGATGAGCAGACACAGTGTGCTTCCTGTAAACAAACACGCCACCACCTATAGCCTTGCCAGAGGGATAGGACTGAGTCTGATCAAGCCTCTGCATCCAGCTGCCACTTTACAAAAATGCAGAAAACAGGAACATATTGAACTATATCACAAGGACACGTCATCAAAATCAAAACTGTAGGAAACTCTACAGATCAAATGCCCTGGGCTTTTCCCAGAGACAAGTTATAAGAAACAGAAGAGAAAAAAAAGGTAGGACTATAGACTAAAAGAAAGTTAAAAGATACCTTTTTAAGGCAAAATTAAGTTATAGCATCATAAAGATGCACTGGATTACATCACGGACTATTAAAACTACACACATGAGGAAATGATTACAAGTCAGGAGAGTGGTTACTTTCAGAGAAAGGGAGGAGAGGAGACTGAGGCTCACAAAGGGGCTTCTAGGGGGGCTGGCAAACTTATTTATTTACTTATTTTTATTATACTTTAAGTTCTAGGGTACATGTGCACAACACGCAGGTTTGTTACATATGTATACATGTGCCATGTTGGTGTGCTGCACCCATTAACTCGTCATTTACATTAGGTATATCTCCTAATGCTATCCCTCCCCCCTCCCCCCACCCCACAACAGTCCCCAGTGTGTGATGTTCCCCTTCCTGTGTCCATGTGTTCTCATTGTTCAGTTCCCACCTATGAGGGAGAACATGCGGTGTTTGGTTTTTTGTCCTTGCGATAGTTTGCTGAGAATGATGGTTTCCAGCTTCATCCATGTCTCTACAAAGGACATGAACTCATCCTTTTTTATGGCTGCATAGTATTCCATGGTGTATATGTGGGTGGCTGGCAAATTTCTATTTCTTGACCTTGGATGTTTACAAGGGTGTTCATCTTATGAAAATAATAATAATATAGTAAACTATTCATGTATGTAGTTTTATCTGGGTGTTATTTTACAAGAAAAAGATCTTTAAGATGCTTTTGCAAAATGAAGAATGTGTGTGAAGCAAATCTAATTCATCTCCTAAAATCTCTTTTCGTGGTAAATCCATATTTAGATGGTAATTTGTTTAGACCAAGCATATGCATGTTCTGGCAATGTGTTTTCAAGACCATTCATTGCAAAGTAATCGATCTGCAAATGTTGATGGAGTACTAACTATGTGCAAGGCACTTCTGCTGTTCCATAGCAATTGGCTCGTACCTTCAGACACTTGCTCTCTCTCTTGAATTAGCTGACAATGTGCATTGGAAGCTTTCACTTTGGGTTTGAGCTTTTTATATTATTGGTATTTTATTTGTTTATGATGTTTTATGAATTGATTGAAGTACTGTGTGTTGAAGAGGAGAGGCTCGCAAGACACTTCCACTCAGCATAAAACTAAACGACCTCTTCCCTTAGTCTTAGCTAGCTGGCATGTAGGCCACTCCCCAGTGATCAGGGTGCTGCTTCCTGCGAGTGTAGACAGCTGGAACTCTGCTTGTTGAGAATCTGCTCTATACTGGGCTATGCTTTGGTGACTCATCATCACAGCCTCACAATCACACCATACATCTGAATATCTAGTTCCTAGAAATGACAGTTTTGGAGAGGTTTATAATGGATACCAATTCCCACAAAAAAAAGTAGTTTTTGAGACTTTCTTCCGACCCAAGATCACAAACATCAGGAAGCAACTTACTCCGTTCCATCAGATAAAGCTAGTTTCTAAATAGAAAACTTACTAGGCATATCAATTTTTGTGTTTTTTCTGCAAAGCAAAGGAACCATGAAAGTTGCAAAACTACAAAAATTTTTATGAACAAAAACGCTTCTATTTCAATTGAAAGAAAGAAAGAGAAAGAAAAAGAAAGAAAGAAAGAAAGAAAGAAAGAAAGAAAGAAAGAAAAAGAAAAGAAAAGAAAGGAAGAAAGAAAGAAGGAACGAAGGAAAGGAAGGAAGGAGGGAAGGAAGGAAGGAGAGAAAGAGGAGGAGGAGAAGAAAGGAAGGAAGGAAGGAAGGAAGGAAGGGAGGAAGGAAGGAAAACAAACAAAACAAAGAAAAAGAAAGGAAGGAATGAAGACGTCAGCCAGAGGTCGTTCTGAGCAAATTATTTGCGTTCATTTTTGTAATTCTTACCACAACCCAAATACAGGTGATCCCTGTTTTACAGATAGCAGAACTGTGTAGCAGAAAGGTTAAATAACATGCCAAAAGTCACATAACTAGTAAGTAGCAGTGCTAGGGCTCAAATCATGTGGTCTGGTTCCATAGCCTGTGCTATTAGCTATAGGTTACTACACTGCCAAAAGTTCTAAATATCTTGGCAAGCCTCATAAATGTTAGCATAGGGAAGATAGTAGTCTATATTTAAACACTACCTTGTACGTCAAATTTGCATTTTAGATAGCTCCCTCTGGCAGAAAGCACAGCCTATCAATGATCAAATAGCATCCACTCCATCTCAATAATTCTTGAAACTGTCAGCTACTCTCCATCCCCGTTGCCACAGCCTTGGTTCAAGCCACTATCATTTCTCAGCTAGACGATTGCAATGATGCCCTAACTGGCCTTTCTCCCTTTGGCCCTAACTGAAGATGAAGATGAGAGGCTAAAACAGAAATATGAAAGGATGCCGAGCTAGCCAAAGCATGTACATATATTAATATCAACCCAAACAACTTCTAGGGGAAAGGGCTGGAGAGAGATGGGAAGCAGTTGCAAACCCAACTTTTTACAAATCTAGAGAAAGTCAAAAGCAGAGCCAGTATGAAGACATTAAATAAAACCACACATTTTCATAAAGTACAAGCTGCCTTAATCTGCCCTTAGAGACTGTAGGCCATGGAAATAGCTATAGACAATGGTTGTCAGCTCTCCTCCGTCTCCTCCGGCCTCCCTGGAGATTGGGTCTCCTGATCAGAGAAGCTTGACTGGCTACACTCGCCCTTTCTCCTGTGCTGGCCTTGCTGAGATGTGCCCTGGGCAGGGTATTGGGCAGGAAGGAGACTCCTCACATGATCCAGTTTAATCCTCCTCTTCTCCCTTCCTGAAGCTGCACGCTGCAGTAAGAGCACAGCAGAAATGCAGACAAAAGGGGGCCAAACATGGGCGAGAAGGGCTCTGTTGCTCGGCATCCTGTGGGCCACTGCACATCTGCCTCTCTCAGGGACCTCCCTGCCCCAACGTCTCCCAAGGGCCACAGGTAGGTGGACATTGGGGTCAGTTAGCTCTGCAGCAGCAGCTGCTGCTGCTGCTACCACATACAGATGAAGGGACAAAAAGAGGAAAATTCTCAATGGGCTCACTTTTACTTACGCTTCTGAATTTTAGCATTTAAAAAGATATCAAACACTTTTGATCCTTCAAATAAGTTCTTAAATATACTCCAAAGTAATTCACAGAGATCATAGTAGGCCAAGTCTCCAGTTTTTGTTCTTGGAGACTTTTTGGTGAAAACAAAAAATCTTTCATCTTAGAAATTCTCTCTGCAACAGTGGATGGATTCTTTGCAGGCCTGTGAACAATTTAGGCTCTGCAATGAGAAAACGAAATTGTATAAACAATAGAAATCTTCATGTATCAGAGATACAGTTTCTACTTGGGGAAGAGAGATTCAGAAATAAAAACAAGGAGGAGTGATTTCATGATTTCCTCTTTTTAATTCTTCACCATCATCAACATATTTCATTAAGATATCTCTTTTCAGTCCCCCAAAAAAATTTTTTGAAAACTCTACAACTGTGTTATATTCAGAAGCGCTTTATACATTTTCAGTGGGTCCTTAAAATTCCACCCGGTTACCCCACACTTACAGATTTCTTAAGGAAGCTCTCTGTGGGCTTGGAATGTGTGACTCCAAACTCTTCAAACTTTCACCTCCTTTTCCTTAACAGGAAATAGCACCCAATGTGTTATTTCTCCATCATCGGAGTTTCCCGAAGGGTTTTTCACGAGACAGGAGCGCAGAGATGGAGGCATCATAATCTATTTCCTAATTATCGTTTACATGTTCATGGCCATATCTATTGTCTGTGATGAATACTTCCTACCCTCCCTGGAAATCATCAGTGAATGTAAGTGGCTGGAAAGTTGCCCTGTAACCTTCTGGGAGAGTGTGCCACACAGATATGACTGTCTTTGAAATAGCTCAGCAGCTGTCCTGTACTTCTCAACTGGTTGCAGAGCACCAGCTTCTTGTTGTGGGGTCCCGTGTCTTAAGGAACTGGTCGAGTGTGGTTTCTCTTGGTAGTTAATGTGAATCAGAGTTTCTTCAAGTTAGAACCCGGCAGTTATTATTTTTCTGCCTATTTCCAGAAATCTCTAGTTTGTCTACTGCCTGGATGTTTGTTATAAGAACTGTTCCAAGATTTCACTTGTATGTACTTTGTGTGCGCTCCTAATACAATGAAACTCCTAATATTTGCCATTTTATGCTTCAAAAAACTTTTTTTTATTTTTACTCTAAGCTCGCTATAACTTTGATTATAAAAAGTGATAAACAAATGCAATTAAGGACCACCCTCCCCATCTTCCTTTCCCAGCATCCTACCATTAAGGAAATTAATTGATATTTAAGAACCAATAAACAGATAGATGAATAAGTCCTGTATCCTAAGTGACCTTAGACATCAGATGACTGTAAAATCAGTTATTAAAAATTAAGAGCTCCATTTATTGGTTTCTGAAAATAAGATCAGCCGGTCCAAGCCTCTGAGCTCTGTTCCTTCAGCAGTATATGTTGCCCAGAATTCTGAGCATAGACCTTCACTGGTGCACTGGTCCCTAAACACCAGGATAGCAGTTATGTTCTGTGCCATATGAGCAAAAGTGTGTTTCTAGACTTGGTCTCATGTTTGGTTATTTATTTGGCTGAGCATGCCCACATTACAGCAAAAAGCAATGTCAAAATTAAGGATTGGGTTTCCTATTGCATATTCACAAGACTGCACAGTAACAGCAGCGTCCTCAACCTCCACCCACCGCCCCCGACACACACACATTGCTGCCATTTCTTTATAAAGGGAAAGAGCATGAATGTAAACTCTCCCTTTTCCCATCACCCCACCCCCAACCCCTGCTGAAATGCAAAGCGAATTATTTCCTCCCTTGTTCACTGCAGTATACCAGAATCTGTAGGCTCTAAAACAGTAACTGGTGATAGCAGAGGCACTCAACACCTATCTGTTTAATGAAAATATATAATATATATATATATGATAGATTAGCCTAATTTATTACAATTTTTCTTAAGTAGATACAAACATATGCTTTTATCTTGACGTTACATCTTATATATAATTGATATTTTCTTTAATAAAGATTAAATTATTTAACAGTTTTACTTAGATTAATGAAATACAAGAAAAATAGAAGAGAAAGATAAAATCACCTGTATTTCCATCTACACAGTTACCATTTGGTATATTTCCTTTAAATCTTTTGAATCTTGCTTTATATACAGTTTGGGATCTTTCCTTTTTTTCACACAATATTTTATAGTGCACATTTTCCAATATTATTAAACATTCTTCAAAAACATTATTTTTAATGATATCATGATAGTCCATGATTCTATAAATGATTTGAGCGTCTGACACTGGTTTTTACACATAGTAGGCACCCAGTAGAAATTTATCATAAAATTTAAAACTATTACTCTCATTGGACATTTGGCCTGTTTTAAGTTTTTTGTGTTAATGTCATGCCCATAATTGTATAAAATCTTTGCACACCTCTCTGATCATTTCCTGATTAAGAGGCAGAGATGTGGATATTTTAAGTCTTATGATATATATTTGCAAAAGGCATCCCACAAAAGGTGTGCCTACTTATACCTCCTTAAGCATCCATTCCAGAAAACCATGAAAAATATGTGAAATATCCTTGGTTGCTTTAACCTCCCATTATTTTATAAAATTTGTGTTTATCTTATTATCCATGAGGGTGAATATTTTATATGTTTATTTTATTTTATGGTTTTCCTTTTGTGTTTTTTTGCCCATATTATATCAGGGGTATTCTGTCTCTTTCTTATTGATTTTCAAGACTTTAAAAATATATAAGGATATTAACCCTTTTTCTAGTATTACTTCATATCATATGCTTTTTCATGGTTTGTTTGATTTTGCATTTTGTGTTTATCACATTGAAGTTTGAAGTTTAAATATTTTAAGTAAATTTGTAAATCTTTTTCTTTATGGTTCTCCTTTTGGTTTTATAACTAGAAAGGCATTTTTATCCATAGGTCACAACAATCATCATATTTTATTCTACATGCAGGATTTTTTAAAATTTATTTATTTTTTCCACTAAGAATCTGTCTTGCTATAGGATGTAATGTTCTTTTTTCCAACAGTTGATCAATTTTCATATACTAAGTTCTTATATAGATGTAGATCTGTCTCTATGCTCCCAACTCTGTTCTAATAACCTTTTTGTACATTCTTATGCCAATACTGCACTTTTAATTAGAAAAATGTAAAAAACTAAAAATTGAAAAATTAAAAATGTTAATCATATAAAACACAGAAATTTAAATTGTAAGGAATAATTTCCATTTCTAATGACTTAACTGAACAATGACATGACTGAAAAAATAAATCTATCAAGAATTTTATTATAAAAATTATCTTAGGAGAAGTGAAAAATAAATAAAAAACCTTTCTAGCCCTGTAGAAGACACTACTGCATTAAAATTTAGATTATGACTTCAAAATATTGTTCATTAAGTGACTTAATATGTCTAAGTGACTTCCAACGTGCACCTTGTGAAATTACTTTGAAAGATCATCAGCAAACATGCATTTCTCAAGTGAGTCTCTCTGCCCTGAAATACAGTAGTTCTTACAGATGTGTGATTGATGAATATCCATGCCACTGCCAAATCTTCAGCTGTTAAAAATTGACCCTCATCTTGAGTATTGAAAATACTGGCAACAAAATGAGATAGAAATAGTGCTAGCTCAATTCATTTTTAAATGCTTATAAATTAATTCTGTCACTTCTCTTTTCAAGTTCTAGCATGGTCTTATCCAAATTATGACATCAGCAATAAAAAACAATTTTCCTGAAATTTCTTCACATCTGCAGAAACGGGCTTCAAAAGTCTGCAAGTGCTTTGCCTTTCCCCAGTTTCTTGATGAGCATTGAGTCATAATAGTTCCACCCATTTTGTCAACTAATAGTTATCAACATAACCCTCAAAACAGTTTACTAAAGTATTCCACAATGTACTACAGTGTTATTTTTTATCAGTTACTTATGATAAAATTATAGATGAAAGATATATATCTTATAATAATATATGGTTTATATAATATATATGATTTTATATATATATATATGGTTTCACTTAGTCTTCCCAAAAACCTTACAAAATAGGGACTAATGTTTTGGTTTTACTGATGAGGAAGCCAAGGCTGGGAGGGTAGGTAATTTCTCATGACCACATAGCCACACAGAGAAAGTCCTGATCTCTCTAATGCCAAAACTCAAGCATGATCTCAACTGCTACATGATAAAACTTTACACATCCTTGTTTGAGATTCGTTGCTAGAATATAGTTGTTTCAGAACTGTTCTATTTGAACCATCTTACAAGAAATTTTCCTCTCGAGAGCACTGAAAATTTTGACAAAAAAATATCAAATACCCACAGTTACTATGGAGGAAGTATATTACAAAATAAAGAGAATACATTGAATTATTTACAAAAATCATTTTGGACCTTTGGCAACCTATAGGTGATTGTAAATCAATGCTATAGACACTTATCCATAAGCTCCCAGGCCTAAACATTTTGTCCAAGATCATGAGATCATAATGTAGTACAGTGGAACTTCATCATCATAGATGAGGCTATAATGTCTTGTGGGGTATGTATACTGAGTTCCAACCTAGAATACAATGGAAGGATTGGCAGGCCCCTGTCCCACCCCAGCCCCACTCACTCCTCAAATCACCACAGTGGCTCATTTGGCCAACAGCAGGATCTTTAGCCAGGTGAAGACTAGAAGAGGCTCAGGATTGTCATCTCCGTGCAGCGATGAGCTGGAAGTGGAAGAGGGCAGAGCCTCTTGCTGGTGCTCTGGCAGGGCCCCCGCTCGGTCAAACCAGTGCTCTTTCTCTTTTGGACCTATGTATGTTGGTCTTGGTCTCCTAGAGCTGCCTCCACCAGAGGCTTCCAGCAAGGATTTTTTTTCCTTCTCCTTGCTCTGCTCATGATCATAAAAGTCACACACCCTCTCCTCTACCCTCGAACACTGGAAAAGCTGGAAAAGCACCTATCTCTACGAGGCAACCTCAGACACTTTACCACCATCTTAACTGTATGGAGCCAATAAAAGAAAATGCTGTTGCTATGCCCCCTTCCTGTAATCCTATCTTCTTTTTCTGTCCATTTGGTTCTACAGGAAAAGAAGCTAATAATTCTCTGAACACAGAGGGCTGAAATGAAATTAATTGGTGTTGTAGAGGGGACACAAATATATCACCCTCTAGTTGTCCAGGGCATTTCACGTTTGGAGGAAAGCCTTGGCTTCTGGGCTGGGAAACAGAATGGAGATTCTGGGAAAAGAGTTAAAGATGTGATCAGAAGAGGAGCATTATCCAAGCCCAAGTTAGAGCTAAAGGAGCTAGAGGTAATGGGGTGAGGAATAAACTAAGGAGAGCTTCCTCATCCTAACCAGTTGTGCTACTCTAGAATGTTACCCGGATGGATACCCTGAGGGGTGTGTATGAGAGACAGGAAGAGAGACAGAGACACAGTGAGAGAGGAATCCAAATGACTAAGGAAAAGGAGGGAGCCTTTGTCGTCTCTGATCATTCATGTAAGCCTGACTTAGAAACCTGTGTCTAAGATTCCCTTGCTTAGTTTGTGAATTTAGTTACATCACTTTGTAGTCCTATCTGGTATTGTTTGCTTGGGGCTTTTTCCAATTTTTTTCTCTCTATATATTGATATAGTTGCTGAATGGTCTATGACAAATGCTGAGAATCCCCGGACAGCTGGAGGGGAAGGACACAGCCGTCATATGCTCTAGTGCCACACTCTTATAGAGAGACAATTGAAAGTGCCCACCCTGGAGCCAGATAGCCCAGGTTCAAATCCCGGCTCTGCCATTTGCTAGCACTGTGACCTTGGGCAAAGTTCCTAACTTCCCTCTGCCTCTGTTATCTCAGCTGTGAAACAGGGTGATTACAACTTTCAGTTCATAGTGCTGTGTGACAAGTGCACGAAGAAACACAAGTGAACTGCTTACACAAGTACCTAGCACATAGAAAACATTCACTGAATGTTCATTGTTACATAAGAACAGACTACAGAGGTTAGAATCCTTTACTCAGGAAAGATGAAAGTGGAGATGGGGAATACCAAAGCCTATTTAAGTATTTTTGGAGCAAATAACCAAATCTACGGTGCATCTGCTAGAACTTGAACACCAAATTTAAGGTAAATAAAAGTAAGGTCTATTTGACAAGGTAGGAAGTAAGCTTATTAAACTAGTTATTTTATCTAATAAGCCATGTGACAACTTTAAAGTATACCTTAAATATCTCTGGAATATTCTGTTTAGGCCAGGAGCAGTGGCTTACACCTGTAATCCCAGTGCTTTGGGAGTCCAAGGTGGGTGGATTACCTGAGCCCAGGAGTTCGAGACCAGCCTGGCCAACATGGTAAAACCCCATTTCTACAAAAATACAAATATTAGCCAGTCGTGGTGGCAGGCACCTGGCCTGTAATCCCAGCTCCTCGGGAGGCTGAGGCAGGAGAATTGCTTAAACCCGGGAGGCAGAGTTTGCAGTCAGCTGAGATCATGCCACTGCCCTCCAGCCTGGGCAACAGAGCAAGACTCCATCTCAAAATAAATAAATAAATAAAAATTAAAATTAAAAAATATTCTGTTTAAAGTTCCTTTTATTTCATTTACATTAGCATCTATACCATTTTACTTCATCTTTTATTGTTTAAAAAGTCACTTTTAAATATAATTTAAATTTAAATAATTTAAATATAAGCCAATATATAATACAAATTAAAAATATAATATAAACTATATTCATTTAAAGACCAAATAGGACCAGTATGTCTAATCTCTCTAAGCAGTTTAATTTTAGAAACACAAAAGATGATATAAAATGAAAACAAAATATCCTTTTGATATGTAATGGGGATCTCAGAGGTATTGAACCACTGTTCTGGGCAGGTTTCTTTATATTTTTCCAAACTATATACATAGAAAACTCTGAGAACCCCTTAAGATTGGTCACTGGATAGAGTCCAAATTCCACAGTGAGCCAGCTATGAAACTTTAAAAAAAAATTTACACTAATATACCATTCAATTAGATATAACCTCTCTACCACACTGATACCTTCGAATTATAACACGTCTTATATGAAAATGATCTTAATAAGGTTTGGGGGAAATATACTTAAATATTTACTTTTTATTTTAAAAAATTTTCACTTACTCTGCTTTGGACTAATATTTGCTTATGTTCTACTTTACATTTCAGACATAGGCAATAAGAAAGAAATGCAAGTTTTAATTCCAGGCAGAATTGTTTCTAAATTGAAAAAATTAGGATTCAAATAATTCTGTGAGTATGGCATTTGGATAGCCTACAGTTTCAGGGGATTGTTTGATTTTTAATCCTCATGAAATTTACAGAAGCAAAAGCTTTACTAAAGAACAAAGAATCTAAGAATAGTGCTTCCTCCCTGCTACACACTCATTCTCCTAAGAGTATTTCATCCTCTTTGTTGTTCTTTTTTCTCTGATCTAAATTGTGGTCCCTTTGGATTGCATCTAAATCTACACCAGGCATACAGATCTAAATAAGTGCTAAGTACTCAGTATTTTACCACGATGCTATTGCAGGAACAAGAAATAATAATAAAGTTATGTATTATCTCTTTACTTTGCCCACATGGATAGCTGAAAGGGCAGCTTCTTGGTGTCAAAAAGATCTAGGTTCCCTTCCTACCTCTGCATTTATTACCTATGTGACCTTGGGAAAGTTATGGAACAAAAAATGAAGTAATTGTTAGGTTTGGAGGTAAAGTGTCTTGTATAAAAGAGGTACACTTCATAAGATAGGCTAAGAGCAGGTAGAAATCCACTGTAATATTACAGCTGTTAGATTGGGGATAGGGAGAGTCTTTTTCGGTGGAATCAGCCTTTAAAAGCATTACAGGTTTCAGAATTCATTCTTTCATTGCTCAGACAAAATATGAGTTGGTAAATGTAAGGTAATCAAGTTATCTTACTTATTGTTAAAAACATCCCAGAGCATATACATGCAGTCATGTATTCCTGACTCTCAGTAACTATTTTTCCCCTCTAGGCATTTATTCCCTCAAAATATTTCTAGGAATACATTTGAAATTAATTTCAGAACCAGTTTTGCAAATCACAAAAAAGACATCAGTTTGCTGTTGCACTTCATTTTGGACCCTAAATTGTATGACTCAGCATGACTACTCACCATGGTCACTAGAGTTGGGTCTGATAGACTTTTGATTGTTTCTAAAACTCTAATCCATTCACAAAGCACAAAAGTTTGCAGACTTTTAAAAATGATGCCACAGGACGCCAAATTGCATATAGCCTATGGCTGTAACTATATTAAAATGTGCATTGTGAAAAGGACTAGACACATTGAAATGACAGGAGTGGTTAAAATACTATGATAAAAGTATTCCTCTATTTTTCCCCTTCATCGTCTAAATTTTGGTAATGTAGACTTGGGGGTGGGGGGTAGGTATTATAAAAGAAATTTAATTAAAAATAAAAAGTGGTGTAGAGTCTTAAAGCATAGAATTCACATTCTATAACTTTGAGTAAAGATTGAAAAAAAAAGATAATACCTTAAAGATTGTGTGGTCTGATCCTCCATTTCACAGATGGCAAAATGAGGCTTGTCTAAATAACTTAAGTCTCCTATCAAGTTACTGGCAGGGCTGAATCCAGGTCTCAGTTTTAGTTTAATATTCTTCCGACTATATCATATTTCCAGAAGGAGATTTTCAAAAACCATTATAAACTTTCTAACATGACATCACAGAAAAAAACACATTTAAGAAAAAGTCTGATGAATTTTCATAATCAGCTCATTACCACGAAGTTGTACTTTATATAAACAATGTGTTGATATCTAAACCTATAAAGAAAACTCAAGTTGAACATTTCTACTATATCTTCCAGGATATGTGATTATTCCTTTAGAGTAATAGAGGAAAAAAAGAATAATAGCTATGGGAGGAAAAAACTAGAAAAATTTATCCTTAATAATAAACTATAGCAGAAAGAAATTTCACCCAAAAGGTCGAAGAAGACAAAGCCAATCTATTCTAAAGTTCAGAGGTATAAAACATTTTATAAAATATTCTTAGAACATTAAGATATAATTTGTTAAAATATCTTTAAGTTTTATCCATCCATCTATACAAAATCTTTCCTTTCATAATTTGAGTGCAGTGAATAGGAACAAGCTTTATTCTTACTGCCTTTTGGGACTGAAACTTTTCTAAAGGACCACCTGTTGTCCTTCCTTGAGACTGAGTTTTCTAATGAAGCATTCTTCAGCTAGTGCTAAATGAAGATTGTTCAGTATTCAGCTGCACTGTTTGGGCAGTTATTTTAAGATAAGGCATTCTGTTCTTTTTCAATTTCTTCCACCTATTTATTATCTAGCCCTGTTTTGATTTGGGAAGACAATTCATGGTAATATCCAGCAGCACTAAATCTATAAATTCTCTAGAATGTGCCGGAAAACTTCCAAAGTATTCTTGGCTCTCGGTAACTATTTTTTCCACCAGGAAAGAATAGAATGAGGGTGATTATGGTGCCAGTGCCACAAAGTGTAAACAAAAAAGATTCAGTCACCTACCATGTTCTAATGGGCCTAAGTGCCATTCTTATATTGGGTTTCTGTGGTAAAATAAAAACAGCATTGGGCTTAGAATCAACAGGCTCAGGGTTTATGCCCTAACTCTCAACATTTCAGATCCTTGCAATCCATGTGACATTATTTTACCTCCTGGGCCTGTTTATCTGTAAAATGGAATACCACCACTCATATTTCATGATAGTTGATATTAAATTATGTATATGGGAGTGCATTGTACACCATGAATATATTATTTACTTCATTTCTAAAATGAAAAACAGTTAATTACAGAGCCATCTCCTTTATCTTTTTGTTCTATGTTTTAAATATTATGGTCAGTTGTACACATCAGAATTGTAATAAGAATATAGTATATATGTGTGTCTATACATATATACACACACTGGTTAGAGTGATTATACGTATGCATGTATATGTGTATATGTATGTAATCACTCTAATCAGGAAAATAAATACTAGGAAATATGCTATGGTTTGGGTATTTGTCCACTCCAAATCTCATGTTGAAATTTGATCCTAAATGTTGGAGGTGGGGAGTAATGGGAGGTGTTTAGATCCTGGGGGTTAATCCTTTCCTAGGGGGTGAGTTCTCTCTCTTTAGTTCCTTTACAGAGCTGGTTGTTTAAAAGAGCCTGGCACCACCCACCTCTCTCTCTTACTTCCTCTCTCACCATGTGATCTCTGCACACACCAGTTCCCCCTCTATCTTCCACCATGAGTGGAAGCAGCCTGAGGCTCTCACCAGATGCCCAATCTTGAACTTTTCCAGACAGAGGAATCATGAGCCAAATAAACCTTTTTTTCTTTATAAACTACCCAGTCTCAGGCATTCCTTTATACACACAAAATGCACTAGGATACAATGTAAACTACAAAAATCATTTATTTCTCACCCTTCACTAGTCACTGCAGGTAGATGTTCAACAAGCAACATGACCAAAGGCAAACAGAATAGAGGGCCTGGCCTAAATAATTCTAACCACCCCAAGAGAACTTTTCACAATGGTTTTTCAGGTGTCAAAATAGCTTGGATTAGGGCTGGTTGGATCTCTCAGACCAAATTACCCCAAGGGATAAAATTAATGACTGGAGCTGGTATCATCAGCAGACAGTATGTAGGTGACAGATTTCTAAGTACTTCCCACATCTTTCAAAATGAAAGCCAAAGTCCTTATTAGGATCCACAAGACCTTACATGATCTGCCTATTACCTTTAATCTCATCACCTACTGCTTTCCCTTGACACTCTTCATTCTAGACATGCAGGTCTTCTGTTTCTTCACCACACAGACTAGCCTCTACCTCAATACCTTTGCAGTCATTTATTCTGCATAGAATACTTTTAGCCCAGGCATACAAATGACTCATTTCAAGGTCTTTAGTTACCTTCTCAATTAAGTCCTTTCTGGTTATCCAATCTAAAATTTCAATCCTTCCTCTCTGACATTTTTCTCTCTCTCCCCTCCCTGCCTTTACTCCTTGCAACTTATCTCTAACATCATACCTATTTTGCTTATCTTATCTGCTTCCCCTTACTAAAAGTAAAGCTCTGTGAGAGCAGGAATATTTGTCTATTTTGTTCACTGCCTTATTACTAGCACATTAAAAAAGCATCTGGCATATAGTAAGTACTCAATAAATACAACAAATAAATGAACCACCAGATGACTTAACTATCACCCCAAAACTAGTGGCTAAAAACAACAATTACTTTCACGGTTTTGGGTGTTTACTGAGCTAAGCTAGGTAGTTCTCACTCAGGGTCTCTTGTGCAGCTATGGTCAGAGGATGGAGCTAGAATCACCTGAGAGCTCACTCTCTCATATGTCTGGTGCCTAGGCTGGGAATTTTCAAAATCTGGGGACTGAAACAGCAGCAATTCCTTAGACATCTCTATTTCTATATGGGCTTTTCATGAGGTTTCTCCAGTATGGGGGTTTCAACAAAGTAGCAGGACTTACCATGTCGTAGCTTAAGGGAAATGTCCTGTGATGATAGTAAGGAAGTCGTATCACCTTTTATGTAGGGGATTAAAGGGTTCTGGAAAACTACGTGGAGCAGAAAAATACCATAACTATTATTGTAATATACAATCTGCCACACCAAGAAACACAAAAGGAATCAGTAAGCTCAAATGCCGTCCCAGCAGACTACAGAACAAGGTTCACCTGAGTGCAGGCAACAGGTGGTCCCAGAGACAAGAATAAGGAAATACCAACCACCTGTGACAGGGAGTCAACCAAGCACACCAGAGTTTGAGGGTCTGGGAAGACTGAAGCGTCAAAAACCAATAGGTATAGTAAACGACAATAAACATCAACAAAGAGTTGCCATCAAGTCTTGAAAACCCAAATTCTAGTTCTGACTTCGATACTAACTTTGTGACCTAGGGTAGATAATTTAATGTATGGCATGCTACCTCTATTAGCTAGTTTTTAGTTTATCAGTAAAGCCTGGTTGGGGATTTCTTATGCAAACCTATCTCGGCCTACGGCTTTCTCTGTTCCTTCCCATGGTAGGTCCCTTGGCCCTAAAATTGAAAGGACAAAAAACTTCTTAATTTAGTGACTCTCATCTTGTCAGTCCCTAAAGTTTATGAACTTGCATGCTTGTAAGCCTGGTGGATAGAAACAAACTGTAGTATTACGTATTTTCTTATATTCCTATTCTAGAGCAAAATTTTAATA
Organism: Homo sapiens; assembly: GCF_000001405.40. Lineage (NCBI taxonomy): Eukaryota > Metazoa > Chordata > Mammalia > Primates > Hominidae > Homo > Homo sapiens. Next base: position 48,133,564 of record NC_000015.10, read on the forward strand.
GATCCATGTTTTAAATCAATAGACTACACAATATTAAATCTAGTTATTTTCTCTCATTTGTAATTAGACAACGTTGAAACTGCAAATTTTTTTAGAATATCCAGTTTTCTTGTGACTATCAGCCAAATTCAGCTACATTCAAATCATCAAAAATTCTCTGCATGGCAAACTGAAAAACCCCAGCCAAAGCCTCCCATATTCCGAATAATATTTTACACAAAGGTCCTATACCAGAAAATTTGAACGGACAGTTGAGATGACTTAACAGATGTGTGCAAATTTGTGAACAAGCTCTGTTCAGCTGCATTATACATCTAAAAAACTAACATCTTTTTTTTCTTCTTTGAAGTTGGGTTAGGATTTCCAAATTATCTTAATTTTCAAAGCCATGCTGTTGCTACTCACCTACAAGCCCTCTGCCTCTGAACGCTTTTCTGGGTTCCAAATAACCCTATGTTTGGCACTCAGGATATTCCCTTTAGTCTCCTGGCCTTCCCTCACCCTTTCTATAGAAGCATTAAGTAATGAAGTCATAAAGAAGCAAAACATTGGACTCTTTTAATCTGTGTATTTTATTTTTCTAGTTTAATAGTGGTTTTATGTGAAGCTGTAGCTTTGAGTATCTATTGTGTTTAGTTGTAAAGACATACTCTTTCACTTTATTAGGCATAACAATCATTTCATTTATGTTCAGCCCTTGGATTGTCTCAGGATGTTGCAGGCACAACTTTCATGGCAGCGGGCAGTTCAGCTCCTGAATTAGTTACTGCTTTCCTAGGTAAATATTGCTCCTTATACTTCTTGCTTACTCAGTGTGATTTTTATTTTCTTCAAGTTAACACTAACTTAGCTGGTACTATCTTGCACATAGGTGTATTTATCACAAAGGGAGATATTGGCATTAGCACCATCCTTGGATCTGCAATTTATAATCTCCTTGGCATCTGTGCTGCCTGTGGTTTGCTATCTAATACGGTATGTAACAAAACCATTCAACAAAATGTATTGTCTTAAAAAATTCTAAAGATAACTGTTCGTCGTCTGGGATGGACAACAGGGCACTAATAATATGTGCAATCAAATTTATTAATCAGTAGAAAAACAACATGTATTCAATTTAATGTTAATCCACAAATAGCTCTTGGTCAGATTTATGAAAGTCTGTGTAAGTTAGAACACAATTTTACATTTTTTTCTCTAAGCAATATGCAAAAGATAACAATATTTAACTACAAATATATAAACAATTTTAGTATTATACTAAGGATTGTACTTGAAGAAGTTACAATGTAATGGAAATAATAACTTACCATATTACAGGTCTCAACACTATCATGTTGGCCCCTATTCAGAGACTGTGCAGCGTACACAATTAGTGCAGCAGCAGTTCTTGGTATAATATATGACAACCAAGTTTACTGGTAAGCTTGAAAATAATTCTTATGTAAAAATTAGAGATTTTATGAATTTCTGATGGTTCAGTAATTTTTTTTCAGAAATGTTATTTCAGTCACTTAATCTGCCACTTCTATACCATATTCCAACAGGTCTGTGAGTTAACCTCATCACAATTGCTGATTGAGTTCTTCTCACTAGTTTGCAATTTCTTCTTAATCACTTCACAGTCTCCTTTTTTCTCTCACTAGTCACTGGAGACCACCACTTTTCCTTCTCCCCACTGGCTGCCTATTCAGAAAGTTTCCCAACTCCTGTTGTCCATTAAAGCCACAACAGTTGACTTTTTCTTCTGCTGGGTTACTGCTCACCTTGCCTTGGTTAGAAGTGTTCATGGCCACAAAAGACTGGAGAAGGATGGTAGAGGAAGTAAAAGAAGTCTTTTTAAATTCCTCCAAACTTCTGATGCTCATTCAGGAGAAACTATAGCCTTCCTCTAAGAAATAACAATGCTTAGCTTTTCATATTAAAAATTGTTTGCTTTCCTTACAATCTCTCTGTGCCTAGCTGGTCCAAGAAAATGAAAAAGGTGGTGACTGAGTGGACAGATACTAACTTTTTCAACTAGTAAGCAGCAGGCACCTACTAGGTCCTTCTCACTATGCTAGATATCATAAGGGATAATGAAATGTAAAACACAGCTACACAGGTTATATACATTGCATAACTCCAGAGGACACCAGAAAAATATGAAAAAAAAAAAATGTAATGGTGTCCATCTGGAGAACCATAACCTTGCAGCACGGCGTAATACCTGCTATCAAGAAACTTAAAACCTAGCCAGAAGCATAATTTCTAAACTAATCATCCTGTCCTCTAGTCCGTCTCCCTAAGACACTGTGTTGGTAGAATAGAAATCCTTCTAGAACTCAGCAGTTGTCTGTAAGGGATAGTGACTGTGAGAGTATCCAAGCTAATTCTTCCTCCATTAGGGAAATCAGAACTGTTCTTTAAGATACAGCAGACAGAGATTCACTGGCTATAAAAGGTAAATGCAAGGTTCAAATGTGATGGCATTAGCTAACTGCCAGAGTACAGGGAAACAGTTCTTGGTTCCAAGGGTATAATTTTATATTTTAGAACATCTTGTTTTCTTGTGACTGTAAGCCAAATTCAGCTACATTCAAATCATTAAAAATGCTCTGTATGACAAACTGAAAAATCCCAGCCTAAGCCTCCCATATCTGAGTAATATTTTACACAAAGTTCCTATACCAGAAAACTTGGACAGTTGAAATAACTTAACAGTTACTATATTATTTTATAATTATTATGTATGTTGGGGAATGTATTATGCCAATGAGCTGAGGCAGAAAATGTTCACCACTATTTATTAATTTTACATTTATTTTGAAAATCTCCAATTATCATTTTCCTTGCATTTTTATACCTATCATTTGGAAGGAATCTACAAGTAAAAACGAGTTTGTTGATCTTGTTTTTAAAAAAAAAAAAACAACACAGAAGTGTCCAGCTTTTATCAATAAACATAATAATGCTGTAATCAAGTCTGGACAAATCTACAAAACAAAAAATATCTAGAAATGTTTGATTGTTCTATGGCTACTTTTGTTAGAAAATCATTCAATAGATACTGCCCAAAAGCTATCAACTCTAAAATGACTTTCACTTTTAATTTAAAAACACAAATTTCTCTTTTGTAGGTATGAAGGGGCTTTACTGCTTTTGATATATGGATTGTATGTTTTGGTGCTGTGTTTTGACATTAAAATTAACCAATATATTATAAAGAAATGCAGTCCTTGCTGCGCCTGTCTTGCCAAAGCTATGGAGAGAAGTGAACAACAGCCACTGATGGGCTGGGAAGATGAAGGTCAACCATTCATTCGTCGGCAATCAAGAACTGATAGTGGAATATTTTATGAAGATTCTGGCTACTCTCAGCTCTCTATAAGTTTACATGGCCTTAGTCAGGTTTCTGAAGGTAATCACTAAATCTTGCCCATTATTAAGTCTATTCGCAAAGGAAAAACTTTAAAATTTCATTTCAATTCAGCAAGTATTGTGTGCTTTTTATGTAAAAAAGACTGTGAAGACTCAGAAATGATAAAGACCAAGTCCCTACCTTTAAGGAACTTCCAATATCACAGGAAATACAAAATAGCTAAAGTATGAACGTTAAGTACCATAAAAAGAGAAAAATAAAGTGTGACTGTGGTTCACAAATGGGACAGATTGCCAAAATGTGGTGAGGACAGATAGGAGATTTTCACAGAGAAGGGAGCATTTAAATTGGGCCTTGCTGGACAGGAAAGACTTTAACTAATGACATATGTTATGACCAATAAGTAGCAGCTACTGAGGTCTTCATTCCATAAATGATGCAGAGATAAAACACATAGAGCACAGTATGTGCATAGGAAGGAAGGAGAGGAAAGGTAGAAAGGAATAGGATAAGAAGAATCTTAAATGCTATTTTAAGAATCTTGGAAGGTTTCTGAGGAGAGAAATTATTAGAACTGTTATCTTAGTAATGTTACCCAAAATGATGTTCACCGAACTAAAATATGAAGAGACAAAGAGGTCTGTAAGAGAGGCTATTACAACAGCTGATGTGTTTACTAGGTGCCTAGACCAAGTGAAAGTGGTGGGAATAAATGAGAACAGATGTGAGACTATATGAAGGAAGCATCACCAAGACTATATGGGGCCAGAAAAAGGAACAAAGACACCTCCTATGTTTTAATCTTGACTGAGAAAATGGGAACAGCACTTATTAAAACTGGGAACTCAGAAAAAGGGGCTGGTTTGGAAGAAAGAAGAAAAACAGCTGAGGTTTACCATTGTTTAAAGCAATAGCAAAACTTTTAGGTAAATAGGTTCAGTAGGAAGTCAGAAAATTCAGCTATGGTCAAAATTATAAGTTCATGGGTTACCTTTTTATAAAGTGGTTGTCCAAAACAGATTCTAAATTTAATTAAGCCTTTAGGAGGGTTTTATTCTAATCTACTACTTAAAATTTTAAAACATGACTTTTCCCCCTTTTTACAAAAATTTTAGCTTCTACTCTTTCAGGTATAAGAGGTATGCCTCTCCAAATTAAGTTTATAATAAGAAACGCAAAAGAACCAATCCAAATTCTTTGATTATGTTAAAATTATATCTAATATTACTTAATGGCACATTGGTTGAAGCTTGGCAAACTTTTTATGAGTTGTTGTACTAACATTAGTTTTAACATGATTTCATCCAATTGTTACATTATTTTGTAAATGCCATACAAATTTTGAACATTTTTGAATTCGAATTTTTATCCAATATATTATCATTATCCTTCTACTAAATTAAATTGAATAAAGAAATATACTCAATTTTCATAAATTGTACTTTAGATGATATACTACCTCCTACTTTAAGGTTATTTCTATGAACTGTGGTAAAGTCTGAATTTAATAAATAAAATAGTAATGAAATAGGACAAAAAAACCACTTCCACTAAGAATTAGGATATGCGACTTAATAAAAAAATTATGCTATGATTATTTTATATTCTTTAAGTATACATTATCTGGTACATAGGGCAGGCAGAGGCATCATCAATATTATGAAGTGGAGACAACTGGAGTAGCTAGGTTAGAAACCAGGTTAATCCCTTAAGCAAAAAGTTACTGAAGACAATCCACAGGAGATGTCCAATTGACACTTCATAAACACTATCTACAATATATTTAACGAATGGCCCAAGACATTTTTATAGATTTAAGGCCCCAAATAAAGAAATGCGGAGTATCACATCTTACATTGTCTGCCCTAAAGTTTCAATTAGTTTCTTTTCACCAGCAATATCAGTAATGAGGTACTCAAATGTTTTAAACAGCCTTTTAAAAACTGATACAGCTAATTTATTTCAATATAACTTTCTAAATAGGCATTTCTAACTTAATTAGCCATTTGAGAAAACTCAAAAGTGTTTACTTTTTCCACAACAGATCCACCAAGTGTTTTCAACATGCCTGAAGCAGACTTAAAAAGAATTTTTTGGGTATTATCCCTTCCTATTATTACATTACTTTTTCTAACCACACCAGATTGTAGAAAAAAGTTTTGGAAAAACTACTTTGTGATAACCTTTTTCATGTCTGCAATATGGATATCCGCATTTACATATATCCTGGTTTGGATGGTCACAATAACTGGTATGTATTTTAAGTACAATAGCACAACTTGAAAATATTCATATAAGAACAAATTGCATATGTTCACTCAAAGTAGTCTAGCTACACAGCAAATTTCTTTTCAGCAAGATTGAAGATTAGTACCATTTACAAAATGATTAAGTATTACTATAACAAGATCACTGGAGTTTGTGAGTTGCATATTATATATAAACTGTATTTTCCACTGTTATTTAGCCTGGGGTACAATTCAAGAGATCTTATAAATGAAATCAAATTCATAGGATGTCTTTTTATTATGCTAATAATTTAATCACATTCCATGGGGTCCACAATAAACTCTTTATATTGAATTCCATTCCATAATAAAAAAAAAAAAGAACAAAAAAACAAAAACAAAGCAAGGAGCTCTATTTTTGGGAAAACAATGGGTGCTCACTGCTTAACTGGATTGTATTTTATTTGGCTTTTCAACACGGCAATACAAACATATTATGAAATGAGTGAAAAGGGCATAATAATTTTATTCTAGGTTTCTACTACCTTCATGATTAAGACTTAACTAGCTACTGCTGCTTGGCCATAATCCACTACAGTCCCTAAACAAAAAAACTATGAACAAAGACAAAAATAATCTGTAATTTCTCCTACAAAGGTTAACCCAAATTAACTTACAGCAGAGGTGAACAAACTACTGCCTGTGTGCCAACATAACCCAGCTTGTTTTTATTAGTAAGGTTTTACATATTATCTATGATTGTTTTCACACTACATTGGCAAAGCTGAATAACTGCAACAGAAATCACACAGCCTGCAAAGCCTAAATAATTACTATCTGGCCCCTCACAGACACAAAAATTTGTTGACCCTTGACTTTTCCCAAATTAATGTAAGTCTCAGAATAGTATGCTAGCAAAAAGTGGACTACTTCTTCCTTTTTTTAATGAGAAAAATGAAAAAGTCCAATTAGCTTGCATATTATATCTATCCAAATTCACTCAGCCAGAACACATTTGATACTAGAAAAATAAAAAGAGAGCAAAAATCATGTAATAGATCACAGAACAGCCCCCAAGATGATAAATATTAGTGTTATTTATGCACATATGAATTCTAGCAAAGCCAGTAACAGAAATTAACAACCAATTCCAATTCCAATATCAATGTATAAGCATGCAATAAATAAGCTACTTTCTAATTATTTTAGTTGGCATTTTAAGAAAAAAAAAGAGAAAGAAAAAAAAGACGCTAAACCAAGTTTTCAATTACAACATTAAAGGAACAGTTACATAACCTTTTGTTTAACTTCTCTCTGGTTCTGTTTCTGAGAATAAATACATTTCTGAAAAATGTTGACCTGACATCAAATTTAACAGAAGTATTAATAAATTGGGACCATATGTTAGACTCAAGTAGAAAACAGGTTTTGTTTTCCTCAGAGATTAATGAACGTTCCCCCTCCCCCGCCCTGCCAAAGCCCACTAAATTAAGGTATATCACTAAAGTAGAACATAATAAATGGTATATATACATGTTAACACATTTATAGCTTAAAGATAGCTATAATTAATTTGCTTAACTCTGACTAATATTTTTAAGAAAGAAAAAGCGGAATGATCAGTCTCATTATCAAATATTCAGCACAGCCCTGATGAGATAATGGTGGACATAAACATCTTTTGTAAGAATATCAAACAGGAAAATTTCTCACTGGCAGAATTTTAGCTGTTACGTATCTTTAGATATGTCATTAAAAATCTGTGCTACCTGGGTTACCCGAATTACCAGCCTGATTCAAATATGTTGCTAGCTAAAAAACTAATAAGCAAGCACATATTGGCTCTGAATTCTAAATGTGCCTATTTTATTTTTGTTCACGAAGGAAATATCCAAAATAACTGCAAAGGATGGTTAGTGAATCTTTAAGATTTGTAACTTGAAATATCTGTTTATTACAGGGGAAACACTAGAAATTCCCGATACAGTAATGGGCCTTACTTTATTAGCAGCAGGAACAAGCATACCAGACACAATTGCAAGTGTGTTGGTTGCAAGAAAAGGTAAGAACTAGGTCCCTCAAGCTGCAATGGTCATTCTACAAGGCTAGAATGAGTAAAAGTAGCTTTAAAAATGTTTACTTCCAGCCGGGTGTGGTGGCTCGCGCCTGTAATCCCAGGATTTTGGGAGGCCGAGGCGGGTGGATCACGAGGTCAGGAGTTTGAGACCAGCCTGACCAACATGGTGAAACCCAGTCTCTACTAAAAATACAAAAATTAGCCGGGCGTGGTGGCATGTGCCTGTAATCCCAGCTACTCAGGAGGCTGAGGCAGGAGAATTGTTTGAATCCAGGAGGCGGAGGTTGCAGTGAGCCGAGATTGCGCCACGGCACTCCAGCAGCCTGGGCAACAGAGCGAGACTGTGTCTCAAAAAACAAAAACCAAAAAAAAAAAAAAAAGTTTACTTCCTCAGTAACATACTTTGAAGGGGGAAAAAAGTGACTCCAGAGGAAAAGTTTACTATTTAATAGCAGGTTAATTTCACTCAATCTAATCCCCCAAATAATATTCATTTGAAATGTGTGTTAAATAGTAATTAACCATTAACCATGTTAAATTACAATGAAAAGCAACAAATAAGCTATATACCTTATTGAAAAATGGTTTAATAAATATAATTATTAAATAAATGTTAAGACTTTAAATACTAACCCAAGAAAAATTTAAAAATACAAATTCAGTAAGACTTTTGCTCTAACAACAATTTTTCAAAACGAATCAACAACAAAAAAGTATCCAGTGTTTCTTTTCTTATGAAGATTATTAATAAAACACAGTATTGGTAAGCACATTTTAACAGTATGCTTTTCTTTTGTAGGGAAAGGAGATATGGCTATGTCTAACATCGTGGGATCCAATGTGTTTGATATGTTGTGCCTTGGTATTCCATGGTTTATTAAAACTGCATTTATAAATGGATCAGCTCCTGCAGAAGTAAACAGCAGAGGACTAACTTACATAACCATCTCTCTCAACATTTCAATTATTTTTCTTTTTTTAGCAGTTCACTTCAATGGCTGGAAACTAGACAGAAAGTTGGGAATAGTCTGCCTATTATCATACTTGGGGCTTGCTACATTATCAGTTCTATATGAACTTGGAATTATTGGAAATAATAAAATAAGGGGCTGTGGAGGTTGATATTATTAATAGTGTTATGCAGAAAATATGAATGGCAGGGAGGGGCAGAGAGAAAAATCCATTTCTTCATTTAAATCAAATTTTAAAAATCTTGAACCTTAGAATCTAAAACTTACAGTAATTTAAAACCAACCAAAATCACATCCTAATTTTTCTGAGCCCTTTCTTTTCATGAAAAATTACATATTATAAAACAGAAGTTTGGGGGGAAAAAATCTATGTTTTACCATACAATAAGTTGACAAAAACTGGAGAAACTAGAACAAACAAATCCAACTATGTAGTACTGAAAACAACAAGAAAATGGCTTATTTCATTAAAAACAGTATAACCATTCATTTAAACTGAATGACCAGACTTGCTGTCTTTAAAAACCCAAACTTGAGATTAACAAAAATTACAGTATATTTTTAACATTATACTGTTAAAAGCTGGTGGGAGTTTTAAAAGTTCATTTTTACAGCTTTTGTAAGCATACAATATTACTTTAAAAAAATGACTTTTACTAGGAGATTCAGCAAAACAGATGTAGGAATGTTCCAACCATGGCTTGAAATTATGCATTACGATCCAAGCGAACATCAATTTCTCTGCCACTGATTTTTATGCCATTCATTATTCTGCAGGCTTTTTCAGCTGATTCTGGGGAGTCAAATCTGACTGTTCCACAGCCTTTTGACTTTCCATTCTCCATTTTTATTTCTGCAAACATTACATGACCTGTAAAATAAAAGTTACAGAATTACTAGTCAGTTTAAATAAGTTCTATTTCACTTTATAGGTTTGAAATTCCTCATAGCCAATTGTGATAATTAATTTGATTAAAAACATTAATTATTTAAAATAAATAATATAAGCATTATATTTGGACTAAAATACAATTCATACAAAGTAATAAATATATACATATTAGAATATACAAAATTGGAATCAGGAAAGATTTTCTTAGGATTTAATGTATTTTATTTATGTTAAATCCCTAATTCCTGAGGTTAATTTTATAAGCAATAAGTCAAGCTAGCACAAAATGCCGCCAACTCACCATGCCCTATAACAAACTTACATATTTAAACAAAATTATTTTTAGAATAAACGGTTGCTTACTGCTCAGTCTCCCTAATCTCTCTTCCTTCCCTTTTATCCTCATTTCACTCCTTTATCCCCTGCAAACAAGTGCAACTGACCAGAAATCTAATTTCTATCAGGCTACAAAGGGCCCCACTAATTCTGCTTTGCAACCACAGTGCCAAAGCCGTTTATTCAATATCACAGTTTGAGCTCAAAGTCTTAAGAATGGCACCAAATATGCTACGGAAATAGTCATGGGAAGAGATAGCACAGATTTAAATCAATAAAGGTAAAAACAGTGATGTCAAGGAGAATATCAGAGAAGCTTCAGGAAAGAGGAAGAAAACCAGAAACCTGTCCTTATGCAGTTATAATATCATTGCTAACTCTAGAGACTCGTATTTGAAGTAAATCAATACCATTTATCAAAATAAAAAGTGGCCATAAGAATTCATCACTACAATAGAACACTTTTGAGAGTAAAAGGGGGAGTTATCAATAATTACACATAAGTAACAGATGTAAAGGGAGACTATCCCCAGGCAAACTGGAATACATGGTCACTCAATCCAAACAGGTCATAAATTTAGGGTGTGACTACTTACCAAAATATTTCCCTCCCCACTAGATGTACATGTCAAAACAAATCAAGTTAGAAGACTTTAAATATTATAGTTGCCAGATCACTATGGGCTAATTTTAGTCTGGCAACCAAATCAGACAGCCAGACATATTTAGTTCTAGGAAGGGAGGAGAAAAAAAAGGAGAAAGGTAAAAGCAAGAGGACCTGTCGAAAAACTGCATAAGCCCTTTCCAGATGATAAGATCAAACTTTAATATCAATCCATAAGGAAGATTTTTTTCTGTTGAAATCTTGATCTGAATAATCTCTTACCTATAACATGATGGACTACTTTATACTTTCACTTTTTCATCCACTCCCTATTACTGCATTTCTTTTTGAAAACCAACTGGTAGTCAACTGCTCACCTACTAAACACTAATTAAATGGTCTAGGATAATAAATGTCATACTGAGACAAAACCAGTATCTTGTTACACAGGCCAGATAGTCTTTAAATGTGTTCTGAAAAGTTATAAAATAGGCTAATCTCCAGAGAAATTACATGATAATGGTTAAAGTAGATCCAAATAATATTTAGCCCACAACTGGAATGAAATGGGGAAAAAAAGCAAAAACATAGCAATCACACTTTCTAATAAACATCATAAAATGAAACTGGAAAACACATTTTAAAACAATTTAAAGATAAATGCAGCACAATTTCCAGAGTCCTCTTAATATCTTGAATGCTGGTACCTGAAAAAAAGCAAGTTTAATTAAAGAAGCTGTTGGTAAATGACAGCACCTTACAGTTATTTTGAAAAGAACTGTGGAGGATTTTCAAGGGCTTTTAAGGTTAAAGGTTCTTCCTTATCTTAATTTTACCTAAAAACGTAGAGTTTTTCTTAAGTATCCCATCATAGATTTATCAGCAATAGTAAAGTTCACCTAAGCAAGAAATCTTCAAAACCTCAAAAGAAAATATGTCACTATTTCTTGCATAATCTGTCTCTCGATCTTTCAGGACAGTTTCTCTTTTTTGTTTTTCTCTTAAATTGCCTCTTTCAGTTTAGAAATCAGCACTCAGACCTCCAAATTCCTGACCTCACAATGACCTCAAAAATTTTCTAGTTGACAAGTTCCCTCAGCTAAGATACTTCAACTTCCTCACAGTTCTGATGTTCAAGCTATATGGACAGTAGCCCATAAATATTTGTTTTATGGTTAGACTGCTCCCCTAAAAAGAATCCCAGCAGTACAGAACCAGAAAGAGTTATAGATGTTCTAAGTTTCTTCCTGATCCTATAAAAACACCAACTGAAATATTTTCTTTTCTAAAGATAAATAATTGAGGAGAAAAAAATTAGTTTCAAATAGCTGATTAAAATCAAACCTGCCTGACTTTTTACATGCTCTGAGAACTTCCTCAACTAAGTTAAATATCTAATAATCTTGTACGATTCCAAGAAAACAAAAACAGGACTGATATTTTGGCAACAGCACAGGACAAAATAGTATGCCATGAGAAATCAGTATCACAGAATAATCAAACATATTGCTGTTACATATACTAGTAATAAAAAGGATTTGTCCCACAGTAAAAGAAACCTTTCTGTTTTATTTAACCCAGTCTATAAACATCTTGTGGGGTATATTTTGGGATATGCCAGTATAAAAACACATGTAAAAATAGACCAAATTAAAGGATGTTCAATAAAATCTACTGCCTACATGAAGTTAACACAACCACGGATGAAAACAGGAAAATCAGAAATTCTACGATAAGAAAACATAATAAGGATATAAGGGATAGAAAAGCAAAGTATTCTGTTGTTTCTTTACAAACAAAAGACAGAGCCTATCAATGAATGCTCATCATATATCATTTGTACTATTACTGCAATTTTACTGTTAAGTTATTCTAAAGTCCACTCAAAATGCTTGAAGCAGCAAGTACTTTAATCAATAAAATCTACCATAAGCCTCCATTTTCCATGCAGTTGACAAGCACACTGATGTAGAAATACTACATAATGGAAATCTGTGGAACAAAGTTATATCTGTTTATATGGCTTATAGCAGGAATAACTGAGAATGGGTTTTCCTTGTGCTGAAGTTCTAAAATGTTATAGTCTTGCATCATACTGAGCCAGAAGGCCAGAATGCAGCTAAAGTATACAGATGACATGGGAGCACATTTAAAAGACTATGCCCATTTGACCCTATTAGCACAAGCTGAAATGATGTGGGGTCCAATACTAAATAGGTTAATTTATTTATACTCAGCCTTTTTGAAAATGCATCTCTCTGAGGAATTACACAAGGCAAGATAAAAAGATAGATCTCTTTTGCTACAGGAAAGATGTGTATCTTACCAGCCTGGGGTCAAAAATGTTACCTTTAGGGGCTTGATGGAACCAGAAAATAGCAGTTATATTCACTTATTTCTCATCTTGTTATATTTGGAAAGATCTGAAAACAATCTTTTCTGAATTACAAAGGCTGAGAAAATGTTCTATTGAGGGTAATATAACCCATAATATAACATTTACTCAGCCTTTGTAATTACTCCATCAAGAACAGTTAATCACTAGAGATAATTTATAAGCAGAGGGGGTTGCCAGTGGCACCCTTTACTGACAGATATTGTTTATGGGAGATGCAAGGAGTACTACTAGATTCTTACTAAGAAGCAAGCAAGAGAATATACTTACTCTCTTTGGGCTTACAAGAAAAACAACAACAGAAGACTGCCTTTTACTGCCCAAGAGGCCATTACTGGCTTGCAGCATGTTAAAAAGAAATGTCTCATACTAAGAAAAAGATTTATAAATAAGTGACATGGCAGAAAAATGGATGGTTCAGTTCATACTAGCTAGATAATTTGTATAGTTGTCAATAGCTGGACACTTAATTCTATATTATTATAACTTTTCCATCAATGTAGTTCAAGGTTAAAAATAAGGGAGATATAGGGAATTGTGTAAATATGGTATTATCTTAATATAAAATCTAAGAGTCAGAAACTTTTACAAAAGAATTGATAAAACAAAAATCATTAATCTTAAAATATAATTATAATCGAAAAAGGATTATAAGAATAGAGCTAAAATAGCAAAGTAAAGAATAATAATTTAACCATTATTTTATATGGCTAACATACTATAAAAATTTTCTATGTAGATTTGAATGTTTTTTCCTTTCAAAAAATGTCTTGCAATTGCTGATGTCCTCATGTCAAAACAATGCCACTCCAACCAGAAGCCCACCAAACACTTGAAGTTTGCTGCAAGCCTTGCTCATATCTAACCTCAAACAGAAAGCAGCCTACAAAGAATAAAGAACAGTCAACTCAACAATGGTCACCTTTTCATTGTCATTTCTTTGTCCTGCTTTGCTCTTTATCTTGCTAAGTTTCATTTCTACTTTTAACATAATGTCATATCTCATTTGGAGATTTTTTTTTTCACTCAAACTAAATCAACACAGATTATACTTGCTGCCACTGTTCCTCATTTGATGTATTTCACTAAGACCCTATATACATTCTTTCCTCTGTAGTCTACAGGATTCATGGCCAGACACTGCTTACTCATTCTGGTAGATCTTCTTACTCCTGCAAAGAAGACCAATACCTCAAGGCCACTTTACTATTTTGCTTTCTCTTAGTGGTGACTATTAACCAGTTAACTTGTTTTCAACAACTTTTTCTTGAATTTTTGATTAGTTCAAAATAAAAGGATGATCAAGAAAGAGAGTCAACAGAACATCCTAGACAAATTCATGTTGTATGTTCTTTGAGGGCAGGAGCATCTCACTTTGTTCACCTTCAAAATTCTAGGGCCTAACAGACTGCCAAAAATATGTTTGTGGATTTAATGAATAAATTACTGAATAAATGAACATCTACCCAGAATGCTTAACTTATAAACTTTTCATAAACTCTTACCATATGTACAGAGGCAATAAAAGGAGCTAAGATAAAAAGACAATTCTTGCCTTCAAGAGCTTCCACGTAGGATGGAAGAAAACTTGAACAAATAACTATTAATATAATAAAAGCTACAAAAGAGTTAGATATAAAGAAATATGAGATAATATTATCTCTGTAGTGGCCACAAAGGCTATTTTGTGACAGAACACTAAACCTATTCCTTCATGACCTCAGAAATTATATATATGCTATCTTATGTAATTTCCTATTGTGACTACAGTCGCTGAGATTCCATGCAATAGCAGAAAAATATTAATACTAGCAAAAAATATTTTACTTTATAACACTCACATGAATTCTCTCATTATTGCAAAAGAAAGAAAAAGTGAGAATTTAGTCAATTAAGATATTTGTAACAAAAGTTAAGTATGGTATATAAAAAGCTCTTTTTTAAAAGTGATAAACCACCTAATCTTCCACAGACCTGTGGAACACATTAAGGTTGTATAAGTAGTATCATTATAGTTAAGAACAGTTTATAAAAGAATAAGAAGGGCAACCAAAATGTACCCATGTCCAAGGCATTCCTGACAGTGGGTTGTATGCTACCAGCTAGGTTTCCTGTGTTGGGTAGGAATACAGTGTATGTAGAATGGGTCTCACCTATTAACTCCTTTATCAATTGGACATCAGCATCTCAGTTGGTTATGCTGATAATCCCCTGCACTATACTATAAACAAGGAAATAAATATACCATTTATTAATATTTCTCATGAGAAAAAAAGTTTAATGCAAAGAATGATAATATATTTATCTTTTTAAAATGAGGTAATAAAATAAGCCCTATCTTTATTAACAGAAAACAATGATAGGGTATATCCTAAACCTTGTTACCTAAACCTTGTTATTACCTAGTAGTAATAGCACTGCTCTAAGTCAAAAGATAGTGAAATAATTCATTTATTTGAAGTGGAATTAGACCTGGCACGCTATCAAGACTATCCAGGAATAGGCATCCGGACAGGCAAAGGTCTAAACACAGTGTATAAAAGTTTAAAACCAATTTTCCTCCATAATCAATATCAACATATCTGCAGTCATTTGCATACTTACCACACTGACTGAATTTCTCTTTTAGTTTCTGCCAAGTCAAGTCAAAAGGTAGCTAGAATGAAAAGAGGTATTAGTAACATATATACAAGAAAAAAAAGAATTTGAATTATCCTTAATATTTATTTGCTTACATTTCTGACAAATATCTGGTTGCCTTTGGAGCCTATTCTCTCTCTCATTCCGCTTCCCATTGGACCCGATAAAAATCCTCGATCCATATCGATGCTCCTTTCCAGTATAGCTCCTATACCTGGTCCCATTCTATCAAAGCTGGAACTCATCCGGTCCAGTCCCATCCCCATTCCTCCAGTCACACTGTTCATGCTACCCATTCCACCACCTGGATTTTCAAGAAAGGACGGGGGGATTTGGGAATTTTGTGTTTTTGTTTCAAAAACATAAGGAAAAGGAGAAGAGGAGAAAGGAGGAAAAGGAGATAAACATTTTTGAGAAAGAAGGGGGAAATTAATTTGTTTATATAATTAAATAATATAAAAACATAAAATTATTTTCATACAGATAACAACTTTCCAAAGAACAGAATTTGCTTACATATACATTTAGTTAGCTGAGAAATTCTAGCCACTGTATAAATACATTATGCATATATAACTGTATAAAATTGTATTCTGATCACTAAATATATCATATAAATATATAAATCCTCTACCAATCACTGCTTCCAATAACAGGACAGTTGTTCTGATCCTTATTTTTATTTTCCAATAATATCAAGCATAATAATTGCTAAAATAAAGATACACAGAGATAAATGCAAATTATTACAACTCTAGCACTCAAGCCGCTCTCATCATACTCTCCTACAAGTAAATACTCCTTTCCTAGCTTATCTTTCACCTCAGCATCTTCACCTCTGTTTCCCAGTTTTTATTCTCATGGTAATTCAATACTCATAGCAAAACATAACTTTTAATCTCAATATTACACGGAACTTGTCAAGGGAACAAAAAATGCTATCACTTCCCGTTAGCCAGAGCTTAAGAATTTAGCTCCGAACTCATACCTACTTCATTCTTATGCACTGACTCGATTTCCTGTCCTTTTCAATTGCTCCCATCTTACTCATTATCAAACCTTTTGTCTTGTATGTAATATCCCCAAACATGGAAATTCTAAAAATTAACATCACCCTCAAATTGGCTTTTTGTGAATAACCAATATAAAATCAGGGAAACAGAAGTACAAACACTGAGATAAAAGAGGAAGGTAAGGAAGTTAGGACTAATAGGAAATGGCTGAGGCTAAAAGATGATGGAAGGAGGAATAAAAGGAGCAAGATACAATGGAAGTAGACGTCTTAAGCTGACAGGATTTTAGAATTTACTTTTAGAATAGTTTAAATAGGTTGTATTTTCTATTTGTGAAATTTGATCAATTAAAGGAAGTCAATAAAGTATGGAGAGCTCAGAGACATGTCCCAGTAAGCAAAAGAGGTTAAAAAAATAAATAAATAATCCATGTATTCAGGCTTAATATAAGGCCTAAAAGGTAGGAGTGGAAATAGACGGATGGGAGATTCAGCATTCCCCAGTGTTGCAACTACTCTTGATGCTATTACGGGAAAGGTTCAAGAGGAAAAGAATTAAGTACCTCTTTCAACCTTAGCCTGACTCAAGCTCAGGAGATGCCTAAGAGTGCTATATCTGCATTTACCAAAAGACATAGATGTTTACAAATAAAATAAGCTAGTCACTAATAGCTATTATAGAAAATAAGCAAGGAAACAAAGTTGGTGCTAAAGCAAAAGTTGCTCCTGAAACATGATCAGAGAAATCCCCAGATTCCTTAGTTGGAAAGAAGGTTCCTGGATTGGCTGTTAACACATAGTTTAGAAATATCAAAAAAGTAAAATTCAAACAGTTAATTTAGAAATTTCAAACAATAATCAAACAGAAAGGCTTTGCTCAATTATCAAGGTTTCTCAAATTATAGCAAGACACATTAACGTATAAGAACAAAGTATTACTATACTACGATAACTACTCTTGCAAAGTCTTTGCAAGCACTCAAATATTACTGAATAAATTCTAGTAAAATTTAAACCTACTTATTCCAGATCCTACTGGACCCATGTTAGAAGATCCTATTCTTCCTGCAAACCCTCCAATCATTGCACTGCCTAAACAAGGATGGAAAGATAATATACTAATTAATTTTAAATAATCATACTTTAAAATTCCCAAGGTACTATGTGCTCTGATTTACAATAAATGAAAAGCATAAAGTCTTCTGAAAATAGAGTTCAAATATGTAAGATGTTGAAAAAGAGAGCTAGCATATTAAAATCCTTAAAGTGTTTTCTTCAGGTAATAAGTTGTATAAAACATTATGATTTTCTGATTTTTCACAAAAAAAGAGAAACCAAATTTCAAAAATTATAGCCTACAAAAAGAAAAGGAGAAGTATGCAGCCAGCCCTACCAAGTCTACCAAAGGAATCTCCAAAGCCTCGATTTATTCCAATATCACCACGTCCAAAATCTCGCTCCATGCTACTAGTCATCGCACCACGGTACAGCTCTGAAAAAATTGTGCAACAAATTAACCTTTTCAAATATATCAATACATGTTGAAAACATTCAGGAATGTATCTAAATTATGAAAAGACGCGTAAGTCACAAATATAAAATAGTCTGTCATTTACCCAATTTACCTCACATGCCACACATATCATCCCCATTCCCCAGGCCTGTCCTTATCCCCTAGTGCCTATATGCCTTCTGAAGACATTTTTAGCACACATTCCTAAGTTATAGGGGGGAAATATTAATAATAGGGAAAACTAAATATGCACACACTTCCCACTGCATACATTTACCTACCTCCCATTCGGCCAACTCCTCCAAATCCTCCCATGCTATTCATTGCTTCCAGACCACCAAACCCTATTCCTATGGAATAAAGATTAATTTTGAGATCCAACTGTCAGTCATGTAGCTGAAAGGTACGTTTTGTAAATGTTAAATCTCACCAGTAAGCTCTTCATCCACCCTACCTTGTGCAGCTACTTCTTAACACATCACCTTCCTTTAAGTATGTACCAGGCTCAATTTCTGCTAGCAGCCTTTAGAACATGAGCCAACAATAAACCATGACTTTTTTTTCATGGAATTCTCAACACAGTTTCTAGTTTATTAAAAATGGTGATGGGTACATACAAAAAAACAAATCTTTATACATACCTCCTCCAATTCTATTCATTCCTCCAAAACCTGGACCATCCATTCCCATACCTCAAATAAAATACACAGTATGTACTTTAAGTATATTTTATTTTTATGACTAAAAGATGATATAATGCATTATAGCAAAATAGATACCACTGGTATAACCACAATGAAACACTAGAGAAGCGGTAGGGTACAGGAGGCATGGTTTAAAGTGCTATGCCATAGCAGCTGTCTAATCATGAATCTTCAAAAGGGTTTCTTTGAACATTTATCAGACAAGAAAGCAAAATTCACTAGTAACACCCACAACATTCAGTTAGAGAATATCTTGAACTAGGTAATCATTCACTTTTTTTTCCACAATAAACACAGAAATACTACTATCAATGATTTTTTTTTTCCAGCATAGACACAGAAATAGCATTACAGCAGATTTAGAGATCAGGCCAGAATGTAAGGACTCTCTAAACATCGCAGTTAAAAGAGCAGTAAAAATTTTCAAAATATAAATAGTATGTATTTAGGAGAGGGTAGGTAGGTGTGAGAGTCTAAGGGTAAGGGAGAAAACTTGTTTGGATCAGAATGATTATGATAATGAGCCTCATAATTTAAAGTGTGACTACAGCATCTTGACAAAATAGGAATCTGATAGCATTTATTAGTCCATCAATTAAAACAGTAATTCACAAAGTATGGTCCAGGGACTCTTGAGGGTTCAATAGGTCAAAACTATTTAAGTCACCAAATACTACTAAGACATTATTTGATGTTTTACCCTCATTCTCTTGAGTTTAAGGTGTAATTTTCCAAACACTATATGATGTACAATATCACAAAAAACTAAAGTGCAGAAACAGATATAACAGCAATATTAAGCCAAACATTAAAAAGATGTGTGGAAAGGTAAAACAATGCCACTCTCCTCACCAATTTCTTTTTTGCATTGAAAAATAGTTTATTTTCTTAAAACTTTTATGTATGTTAACATGTAATGAGTTTATCATTTTTTAATATGTAATTTTTTTAATTTCTAATTTTTCATTTATAATACAGTAAATACTGGTAATTATAACTACATAAACAAAGCATTTTCGGGTTCTCAACAAATTTTAAAATATAAAAGGGTCCTAACACCAAAGTTTAAAAACCAATCTCTAAAAATGAACTGTGAGTTCTTCCAGGTGAGCAGCCAAATAACTACCTGAAAAGCCACCTTCCCAAATGGATAAACAGATTTTAGCTGCCTATGATATGGTAGCATTTCAGCTACTCCATAAATACTGTTCATAGATGATATATTCTCCTTCTGCCTTCAAGACATTTCAAAATCCAAAATGCTAAAAGGCTAGCTACAACATAGCTGGCCCCAAAGAAACCCTCCTGACTTCTGCCTATCTCTTTCATGTTAGCTGTGCTCAAGGTTTCATTCCTTTTTCAGAATGAAGTGACACCGTAAATATCTAACTATTAATTAGAGTCCTTTAAACATTATTACAGACCACATCAATGGAGGCTTTATTAGCTAGCATATGTATCATTTAAAAAGAAAAGAGGAAGTTAGAATACTCACCACCTGGACCTAAATTTCCCATTACTCCACCTATGTTCAACTGGCTGGCACTAATAGGCTGTCCACCCGGACCAAGTCCCATCCCAATGCCTCCAAGACCACCTAAAACAAAAATGAGAACAATCATTACAAAGATCCATATATGATTAACTAATTGGCAATAAAATTTTTTAAAAAGCTATATACCTGTAGTAGTATCTGTAAAATTTCTGCAAATTTTCATATAAAAGCACTGGTTCTTGTTTTTGTCTAGAAAGTAGCACACTGAAGCCCGACTATAAAACCATTTATTAATGAGAAGTGTTTTATGAAATAAAACATGATATAATACAAAGTACACCTTATACCCCACTTAAAGGTACACTGAGAGGAATAATAAAATACCTAGAGGATTTTGAATAATATCATATCACCTTATATATGGCACACATATCTGAAAATGAGTATCTTGCCCAAATTTGTAGACCCACTTAAAATTTGATAATTACTTTTTAAATGGTTCAAATCAAACTAAAAAGTCAATAACCATGAAAGTATAACACTGAATAAGGCAAATATTATATTACCTAGTTTTCTCATTGATATAAATATTTATTTATATTTATATGGCACCTTAAGTGTTTCCACATCTATTGTCCATAGAAGAGGAAATTTTTGAGACCTTAGGTTGCTTGCATAATGACATGTAGCTGATTTTAAGACTTTGGTCTTTGCTGTCAAACTGCACAAACTGCACAGGAAGGACAGATTACTTATAAAGAAAGGACGATTCAACAAATAGCTGACTTAATAGCAACAGTGTAAACATGAAGACTGTAGAATACTTTCAAAGTGCTTAGAGAAAATAATTATCAATCTTTATACAAGTTAAACTATCTTTGAAAACATTTAAAACCCAAAATTGAGAGAATTTACTAATAAAAGATCCTCACTTAAAAGAGCTTCTAACATATATGCTTCAGGGGAAAAAAATTAGTGCCAGAGTCTATAAAAGCAGAGGAGTGATGACACAAGAAAATGGTAAATAACATTGTCTAATTTGCAGGACAGAAAAAAAAATAGTACAGAACTAATAATACAGAACTAAAATGCTGAGCAATGATAGTATAATTCAGTAGGAAAGTGACTGTATCCAAAGGTCACTCTACTATTACATAAAAGAATAATTATATTAACTTCAGGCTTCACAGAAATATTAAAATATCCAGAAGAATCCAAGATAGGAGTAAAATAAGTATTTGTAAGACAAAAAAATAAGACACAATATAATGGAAATTAATCCAAATGAACCAATACATGTGAAGAAATTGAACTCTTCAATTTCATGGTGAAAAAAACTATCAAAGTGATTTTTTTAAAAAGTCTAAGCCCAGCAATAACACCCTTTATAAGGGGCATGCCTGAAACAGTAAAAAAATAGGAAAAATGTACCAGGCAAGTACTAAACAAAATAAAGCTGCTGTACTTACATTAAAATGAGACCAAAGACTCAAAGTAACTACTAGAGAAAAAAAATCACCCAATAAAATTTTTAATTCACTAGGAAAATATATCAATTCTAATCTAGATGCACCTACTAAGCTAGCTTAAAAATATTTAAGTAAAAACAAGAAAAAGTAGACAAATCCACTATTCTATTGGGCAATTTTACCAGACACATAAGATAATAAGATAAACAGTGTTACAGCAGAAAAAGTATTGGATCTAAGACAATTTAAATGATTAGCAAACTTGATTTAATGAACACATATAGATCACTGCACTCACCAACTGTACCCAGAATACTTAAGAAAAATGTGCCATATGGTAGGCCATCCATAAGTCCAAATGAATTCCAAAGAATCACACTCACATATAAACCATGTTCTCTGACCACATTAAAATGAAAAAGTACAAAGGAAAAAAAAAAAAACTCATACATTTGGAAATTGAAAACTTCCATTTTCAAATAATACATGGCTCAATAAGAAATCATAATGGTAATTTTTTTTTTTTTTTTTTGAGACAGAGTCTCCCTCTGTCACCCAGGCTGGAGTGCAGGGGCACGATCTCAGCTCACTGCAACCTCTGCCTCCCAGGTTCAAGCAATTCTCCTGCCCTAGTCTCCTGAGTAACTGGGACTACAGGCATGCGCCACCATGCCTGGCTACTTTTTTTTGTATTTTTAGTAGAGACGGGGTTTCACCATGTTGACCAGGCTGATCTCGAACTCCTGACCTCAAGTGATCCACCTGCCTGGGCCTCCCAAAGTGCTGGGATTACAGGTGTTAGCCACCATGCCCGGCCCATAATGGTAATTTTTAAATACTCTAAAAACTGACCCATCATAAAAATGCTCCATAGCAAAACCCATGTACTAACTTTATAGTCATAAATGCTTATATTAGAAAGGAAAAGCTACCAATTTGAAGTAAGCATTCAACTTAAGGAGTTAGGACAAAAACACACTAAACCCCAATAAATAGAAGGAAAAAATAATAAGGCTAAGTGCAGAAATTAGAAATACAAAACATCCAAATTCAGTTATTTGAATACTCTATTAAAACCGACAAATTTCTAACAAAATTAACCAAGAAAAAAATAAAAATTGCATTCAGAATTTTTAAAACAGAAACATAGATGTAGCAAAAACTTAAGAGATAATTTAAGCCAAAATATTTGAAAATGAACAAAAACAGAAAAAATCCTTAGAAAAATAGAAATTACAAAAATTGACTCAAAAAAAAAAGACAGAAAATATAAACCATCAGTAGTTAAAAACTTCCCAGAAACAACAGAGGAAGGCCAGTTTTACACATAATTTCTAGCAAATATAAAGAGAACATATAATTCTGATAAAAAATAGCAAATACTTTCCAACTTAATACACAATAACTAAAAATTAAAATAACCTAAAAAACAGAAAAATGTATAAAATGTGGTATCAGCAGTTAAAATGAAGAAACTAGAGCTACATCTATCAACATAAATGAATCTCAAAAACAATTTAAAAAAAAAAGCAAGTTACATAATACATTATGATATCACTCAAACAAAATTTTAAATCCAACAAAACAATTCCCTATGTTTATGGATGTACAAATGTGTAGTCAAATTATTAAAACCTAAATGATAAATACTCTATCCATAAGTTGTTTCCTCTGGATAAGGCATAAGTTGAAAGATGGGCAAGGGAGATGGGGAAGCTCCATTTTACCATAAAATTTTATTTATTTTAAAGAAAAAAATCTACAACAAATATGGCATATGATAACTATATGAGTAATTTTACTTTTGTCTGTATATTTAAGATTTCTTATAAGAATACTTTAAAAACCAGAGAAGATGCAGTGAAATAGTAAAAACAATAGCTAATATTTATTGAGTGTTTACATTATGCCAAAATGATTCTAAGTGCTTTACATATATTAATTCATGTAATACTCATGTCAACCCCATGACGTAGACAATATTATTCTCCCCACTTTTCAAAGGAGGCACTGAGACACAGAGGCACTGAGACACATAATACAATAAGTATATTACACTGTTATAGTCATTTTGGAAAACAATTTGATAATACTAACCCATGAGAACTGTAAATCTACTTCAGAATATCTGTCTGAAGGAAGTACTCAAAAACATTACAAAGATTTGTGAACAAAAAGGCATGTGTTACTCTGTGGTTACTCAAAAGAAAAGTTAAAACACCTAAAATACAGAACAGTGAAATAGTTATGGAACATCTATATGATAGACTATTATACTACCAATAAAAATATTTGAAAAGAATCTTCAACATGAAAAAATGCTTATACTCTAATGTTAAACAAAAAATAATTCAAAATTATTTTTGTTCCCAACTATGTAAAAAATATACATAGCAGGCTAGAAGAAAATACACAAAAATGTTATAATGAGGTTACCCACAGATGGTGAAATTACAGAGGACTTTTTTTCCTTCAAGTGTATAAATTTACCAAACATTTTAGAATGTATTGCTGATTAGTCAGGAAAAGTTACCAAAGAGAAAAAAAAAATGGCACGTAACACTTATCTTCTCAGTCTTCCTAATCAATAGCGCCAAACTATCTTCATAACTCCAAACTAATCCCAAATTGTGAGAAACTAGGATGTAGGCACAAAAACAAAGTGTTGCTTAGCACATAATAAAACAAACCAAAAAAAGCCTATGTTGTTTCTCATAATAGCTTTTACTTACGTGGTAATTGTGGTGTTTTACCATCATGTGAACGGTACTCTTCATGAGGAACAGACTTGTCATCCTAATTGCAAGAAAGTTTATAATATGGTTAACATATTACCACAAAGAACTGTAATGTAGAAGAGAGCCAATAAAAGATCTGAAGAGGTTGGAGGTTGAAGTGATATACAGGAACTCACCATTTTCACATGCATAGGTCTATCAAATAAAAACTGCCCATTGAACATAGCTGTTGGTTCAGTCAAGGAAAGTCAGTTAAGATAACTATAAAATTATAACAGAACACAAACTAATTTTTAATAATCTTAGAGTCCAACTCTCTGATATTTTAATTAACATCTTTAATACTTATTGATATTAGCCACTTTCATATACTCAAAAAAATATTCAATTCTTTGCTTTACGGTTTTATTTCATCAATAAGATGTATTTTTAATTCAACCATTGAAAAAAGTAAACTCGTAAGGCTTCGCTTAAAGTAACTGCATTAATATACA
The DNA here is from genome assembly GCF_000001405.40 of Homo sapiens. NCBI lineage: Eukaryota > Metazoa > Chordata > Mammalia > Primates > Hominidae > Homo > Homo sapiens. The sequence goes on from NC_000015.10 coordinate 48,158,493, forward strand.
ATAGATTACACAATTGTTAAATCCATGTATACAATTAATTGTGGTAGGAAGAAAGAAAAGAAAAAACTTCATACCAGCCCTGTACAATATGGCCAATTCAAGTTTTAAGAGTGACTTTAATACTTGGACCTACTAAGGGTTTTATTTGCTGGAGACTAAAGTCTAACACACATCTCTAAGCCAGGCAACCTTAAATTCAATTACCCCCCGCCAAAACAAAGGTGGTATTATGCTTCTTCAACCTCATAAACAATGCTGAAATGTAAATCAGGATACAAATTGCTTGAACTGCTTCAATTGCTTGCTCAAAAGTGACAGTGCCCATTCCTCTGCTCTTGCCATCTTTGTCTTCTTTAATATCTGCCCGCTTCACAGTTCCAGCTATGCTGAACACTTCCTTTAGCTTCTTCCAACCAACTTTGAAGTCAAGCTTAATATAAAATTGTATAAAGTTACATACCTAATAAATCCATCTCCCCATCTGTAAATACAAAAAATCTTTTCTAAACTCTTAAAACCATAAAGAACCATAATTCTAGTTCAACAATATATTGATAATGTTCAAATTTTAAAACATCTTCAGTTGCTTAAAATCATTTAAGCTACGTCTACATTGTTCCTTATCCTTATTTTTTTTAATTTCCAAAATCATCTCTCAACTGCTCAAACCTGTTTTGTACATTTGAAACTTGCATATCTATTTTTACCAAGAGAAATCCAGATTTTGAAAAGTATTGTTTTCACTGACTTTCAGATGCTTAGAACAAATAACAAACCAACTATGGCATGCATATTCACAAATATCAAGACTAAAAAAAGAAATCCATTTACCAATATAAACCAAAACACATATAATTTCAAGAACTGCTTGAATGTGTATAAACTGCACAGTTCCATGTTTAAAAAATCCAAATAGTTGTATTTAAACTCTAACCTTGTGCGTGTGTGTGTGTGTGTATATATATGTATATACGTCAATTGATTTTGAGTTTACAATAATTACTATTTCACTTACTTTAGTTAAAAATAAGCAAAATGTTCTATAAACCTATAACTCATTCATTTAATCAAATTAGCTATCTATCTGAATGACAAATTTTAGACTAAAGCTTGAACTTACATTGGCAACAAAAATTGTGGAACCAAGTCTACCGGCCTGCAAATTACTGATGACTTCAGGAGGAATGTTTGGATTATTGAGTATGGAAGGTGGTAAATTCATCAACCCTGATCCCATATCAGGGACGTGTCCTCCTGGAAATGATCCTCCTGTTCGCTGCAATGCCCTACGAGCATTTTCTCCATCAGGATCCTATAACACACATTGAATGTTAAATTCCACTAAATACATCACTAATTCTACAAAATTAAAATAACAATTTAAATTCTACAGTAGCTATCCTGTCTGGCTCAAATTATTGACCCTCTTGAAGAGTGAGCTTTTTTCTCATCCAGAGAATTGAGTCCCATAAAAACCTGTGGATAAACAAAATATTTCAGCCTCCAGAGATGTCAGTTAATTTTTTTTTCCAATCACTAAAGCCACTTAAGAACTTGAAATTAGTTTAATTTTGCTCTCACACTAGGGTACATGCATACATACATGTAACTCAAAGAAGAGCGAAGTACTCACTGCAACTTTTCTTTCCAAAATGTAGGAATGGTCATTTCTCACTATTGGATGCCCAATGGAATGCCAAATTCAGACTAATTCAAAGCTTTTCAATACTGGAACAGACTGTTATAAAACCCAAATACTGGGGTAGAGGATAGGATGGCCGACTGTAATCTGTAAATTTTATTCCTGAACAAAATACAGTTACCCACCTTCTAAACTCTTACCTTCTTCAACAATGATTATAATCTGAGATGGAGGAGAGGAGAGATAAAGGAGGGCTAAATGTCCAAGTGAGAAATGATATTAAACATTGTTTTTTTGTTAGGTTCATTAATTTTTTAAGAGAAACACCCTACCTTTAAACAAAACCAAACATACACACACACACACACACACACACACACACACAAACATAAATGTACTTCTCACTCATCCCACTAGGTGGAATACTAAAAAACAAAAATAAATAAACAAAAACCACATAAACACATGGATAGACTATCATCTGCAATGCCAAATGATTATGTTAAAGGTAATCACCCCATCATCACTTCTCTATCTTTAGGCTAAGATGAAGTGTAAAGGTAACCATCAAATCTACTTTGCTGGCCTCAGTCTGGGAATACAGTACTAATAAAAAGAAAGTCAAGTGATTTTAATAAATTCTCTAGGATGGCTGGAGAATAAAAGGTGAAAAGGTAAAATAATAAAACCATTCTGGCTTGCAACATATTTCTTCACTATGAAGGAATAAAAAGGATTACAAAAGAAAAAAAAAATGTATCAAAGAATGCTTCAAAACATATAAGTTAATAAATAAATTCTTTAGGCCTGAGGATTCAAAAAGAGGTAAAAATACGAAATTTAGGACAGTGGCTACCTATGGGGAAGAAAGATAACTCAGAAGAGAAGATATTTCTTCAACTAGTATAGTAAGCTATTTCGGTTGTTTGTGCTTATAACATTAACAAGATGTATTGCTGTGTTGATCTGTCTTTTATATACATATATATGACAGAAATATATACACATACAATACATGCATACATACATAAAACATATATAAAATAAAATTTATATAAAACAAACCACCTACTATATAACATGACTTTTACTCTTCTTTTCCCCTTGCTGTCAGCCTGCTGGTTACTGACTGCTATTGCTTTTGGAGGGCCTACAATAGCAGTTTATAACTGCTACTATTCTGCATTTAATTAAATGAAAAAAATGTAACTCTAAAGTCTGTTAAGGAACATTGGAAATACACCTTCCTTAGACTTTCCTCAGTAGCAGTTCTAAGCATTCATTCCATCCACCCCTCTATAAATTAGATATCCCAGGAAAGGGACTGCCAAAGTGACATTAATTCAAAAAAGTCAACTGAATAAATCCCTCATCATTTAGCTAGGCCAAATTTAGCCTTTTTTTTTTCTCTTAAAAAAGTTAAAAATGGCGGCATCCTCTTTCAACTTGGATTATATAACTCCAGGGTCTCTGAAATATTACTGAGGATCTACAATGTGCTGAAACTTAAAAGAACACAATAACATGATATTTAGCATCCAATATTATATGGAAGTTTATTGGATGATATTTAGCATCCAATAAACTTTTTTTTCCAATAAAAGAAAAAGACACTAAGAATCTGTAGTACATGTCCTTTGAAGAGAAACAGAAAACATAAAACAGAAAATTGTCAGGTTGGTGCAAAAGTAAATGCAGTTTTTGCCATTATTTTAATTCAAAGCTTTTTTTAATGGCAAAAACTGCATTTACTTTTGCACCAACCTAATTTAATCCTCAAAATAATCATTCTGATTATTATAATTTAAAGAAAATTAAGATACCAATATATTTCTGAAGCACTGGCCCTGGCTTATGCATAAAAACCACCAATAATTGGCTGACACAAACCACAACAGTCAAAATTTTCTCTGCTAATTCTATACATTCCTGTTAATAACTTTTTTAATAATAAACCCCAGACTCAAACAGGACTAGAATAATTTGGAAGCAAGCTCAAATAAAGGTATCTGGGATACATGTTATATGTTGGTAGCATGGCCTTTGATTTCAAGCTATTATCTCACACTCAGGAACAAAAGACTCTTGGACAGGAGTAACAATCATCATTACTAAAGCTAACGTTTATTATGTAGCTAAAATATTTTGAGCACTGTGCTTAGTGCTTTGTACACTGGTAATATCACAAGCATAATAAATAGCCAACACTAAATGGTTTACATATATTAACTCTTCGAGTCCTGATAGCACTATGAGGTAGGTGCTATCATTACTCCCATCTTAGTAATTATGAAAACAAAGGAGAAAGTTTAAGTAATTTGCCCTGAGTTAGAGAGGTTCTCTGATGCCAGAACATAAGTTCTTTACCATGTATCTCATTTAATCCTCATAAAAATCCTATTAGGTAAATAAAAGCACATTTCATTTTATTGTGCTTCACTTTACTGTGCTTTGCAGATATTGCACTTTTTGCAAATTGAAGGTCTGTGACAACCCCGTGTCCGGCAAGTCTATTAGCACCATTTTCCCAACATGTGCTCACTTTGTGTCTCCGTATCACATTTTGGTAATTCATGCAATATCTCAACCTTCTTCATTATTATCTGTTATGGTGATCTGTGATCAGTGATCTTTGATGTTTTAATTGTTTTGGGGCACCATCAACCGTGCCCAAATAAAACAGCGAACTTAATCAATAAATGTTCTGACTGCTCCACCGACCAGCCGCTCCCCATCTCTCTCCGTCGCCTCAGGCCTCCCTATTCCAAGACACAATAATATTGAAATTAGGTCAGTTAATAACCCTAAAATGGCTTCTAAGTGTTCAAGTAAAAGAAAGAGTTGCAAGTCTCTCACTTTAAATCAAAAGTTAGACATGATTAAGCTTAGTGAGGAAGGCATGTCAAAAGTTCAGACAGGTGAAAAGCCGGGCCTCTTGCATCGAAGTTCCTGAAGGAAACTTAAAGTGCTACTCCAGTGAACGCACGAATGATGAGAAAGTGAAACAGCCTTAATGCTGTTTCAAAAACAGGTAAAAACACAAAATTTAAGATACCGGTTACCTTTGGGGAAGAAGGATAACACAACACAGAAGATGCTTCTTGAACTATTAAGATACTTCACTTGTTTGTGCTTATAACATTTCAGTGGTCTGAAAGTTTCAGTGGTTTGAACAGAAGATCAAAGCACCCTCATCATTCCCTTAAGCCAAAGCCTAATCCAGAGTAAGGCCTTAACTCTCTTCAATTCTATGAAGGCTGAGAGAGGTGAGAAAGCTGCAGAAGAAAAGTTTGAAGCTGGTTCATGAGATTTAAAGAAAGAAGCCATCTCTATAACATAAAAGTGCAAGTGAAGCAGCAAGTGCTGATGTAGAAGCTACAGAAAGTTATCCAGAACACCTAGCTAAGATCATTGATGAGATGGCTACACTAAACAATAGATTTTCAGTGTAATGAAACAGTCTTCTATAGAAAGAAGATGCCATCTAGGACTTTCAGAGTTAGAAGGGAGAAGTCAGTGTTTGGCTTCAAAGCTTCAAAGGCCACATTGACTCTTTTATTAGGGGCTAATGCAACTGGTAACCTTAATTGACTTGAAGCCAATGCTCATTTACCATTCTGAAAATCCTAGGGCCCTTAATAATTAGGCTAAATCTACTCTGTCTGTGCTCTGTAAATGAAATAACAAAGCCTGGATGACAGCACACCTGTTTAAGGATAGTTTGCTGAATATTTTAAGCCCACTGTTGAGACCTCTTGCTCAAAAAAAAAATCCTTTTGAAATATTACTGCTCATTGACAATGCACTTGTCACCCAAGAGTGCTAAAGAAGATATACAAGAAGACTAATGTTGTTTGCAGGTCTATTAACACAATATCCACTCTGTAACCCATCAATCAAGAAATAATTTTAACTTTCAAGCCTGATTATTTAAGAAATACAATTTGTAAGGCTATTGCTGTCATAGACAGTGATTCCTCTGATAGACCTGGGCAAAGTAAATTAAAAACCTTCTGGAAAGAATGTACCATTCTAGATGTCATTAAGAACATCTGTGATTCATAAGGTCAAAATATCAATACTAACAGGAGTTTGGAATAAGTGGATTCTAATCCTAATGGATGACTTTGAGGGCTTCAAGATTTCAATGGTGGATGTAACTGAAGATGTGATGGAAAGAGCAAGAAAACTAGAATTAGAAGTGGATCCTGAAGATGTGAATAAATTGCTGTAAACTCATGATAAAACCTAAACAAATTAGGAGTTACTTCTTGTATGAGCAAAGAAAGTCATTTCTTGAGATGGAATCTACACCTGGTGAATATGCTATGTACACTGTTGAAATGACAACAAAGGATTTAGAATATTATATAAATTTAATTGATAAAGCAGCAGCAGGTTTGAGAGGACTGACTTCAATTTTGAAGGAAGTTCAACCGTAGGTAAAATGCTATCAAACAACATCACATGCTTCAGAGAAATCTATTATGAAAGGAAGACTCAACTGATACAGCAAACTTCATTGTTCTTAATTTAAGAAATTGCAACAGCCACCCCAAACTTTAGTAACCATCACCCTGATCAGTCAGCAGCCATCAGCACTGAGGCAAGACTCTCCACCAGCAAAAAGGTTACAGTGAAAGTTCAAATGATCACTAGCATTTTCAGCAATAAAGTATTTTTAAATTAAGGCATGTATATTGTGCTTTTAGACATAATGCTATTGCACACTTTAAACAGAATATAGTATAAACGTAACTTTTATGTGTACTGCAAAACCAAAACATACATATGACACAGTTTATTGTTATATTTGCTTTATTGCAGTAGTCTGGAACCAAACCTACAATAGCTCCAAGGTATGCCTCTATTATCAGTAGTACTACTACCATTACTTCAGTTTAGAGAAATTAAGTAGCATGTCTAGACACCCACTAGAAAGTGATAAAGCCAGGAATCAAATCATTAGTATACTATTAAATGCCATGGGTGACAGTACTGCTCTACAACCAATGATTAGCATCAGTATTAGTACAAAATCTTCAGGGTCCCAAAGTTACACTATTTATCTCTTTTAACACAGACTTTAGCAAGTATATGTACATAACAGGTCTGTAATCAAACTATTAAGATTAACAATACAAAATAAAGGAACCTATGAAGATGAGTGCTATTCAAGCCAATCATTCTCAAGGTTAAACTGTAAATTTTTTGTTTGTATCTTCTAGTCATTTTTTGTCAACCTGTTTACACTGCTACAATTTTGTACAAAGAAGACATTTCCATTTTAGGGGATTCCAACTTCTAGTTATAAATTTCACTAACAAAGTTATAATTTTTCTTAAATTTTAATCTAGTACAGTTTCCAAGTAACTCTGATAAAAAGTGAATATCAATTTTATTCAAATCCATAACATATTTGCATTAAGTGACCTTTAATTATCAATTACAAGGATATTATATTTCTCAAATAACAAAATCTAAATATTGAAAATGTCTGTACCAAATAAACTTAGCACCTAAAGTTTATCCCCTTTGAATTTCTAGGTCCTCAAATTTTTTTAAATTATGTGCTTTTATTTTTAACAACTTGGAACCAATCAAGTATATAGGATAACTGCTTAACAGCAAATATAAAATCATGTACAAGTAAAACTTTCGTCAATATATAATGCTTTAATGAACACCTATGTTTTAAAAAAAAGTTGTAGTCAGGCAAATATATTACCAAATTGAAAATCCAAGGAAAACATGTCTTTATAGTCAAATGTTTAAATTCTAAATATGAGAAATCTTACCTCTTTAATATTAAGGGGTCTTCCACTAAGATCATATTTGTTCATAGTTTCTAGGGCTTTCTTTACAAATTCTTCATCTTTGAATTCAACCACACTTAATAGGGAAAAAATTTATAGGAAATGTTTATGTGCTAATTTTTTTCCAAAGTTTAATTTGACTTAAGATACTTAAAGAAAAAATTTCTTACCCACAACCCTATATCCAGGTAGATTTGTCAAAATATGCAAAAGAAAAAAAGTTTTAGATCAGTACATGAAGTTAATAATCAGTTCTAACATTTCAATCATTAAGGCAATTAATAATATGGTAGAATCACTTCATCTTTTATACCTCCAGAACATAACAGGCAAGTAACCACAAATTTTCTCTAAATTTTTAAATATATCTATTAAAGATAGTAGACTCTAACATGTAACAAGCTTGGAGCACATTTTTCACTTTTAGGTGACTTTTCATTAAGTTAAAATTAATGTCACTGCACAAATTAAATCAACAGGAATTCAAGGAAATAACTAAAGGCTCCAATAGACCTATCCTTCTGTAGTTACAAATATTTTCAAAAAATGTATTGTCTACGACATATTTTTCAACTCTATTAAAATCAAAATAGTGAATAAATATTAATTTTATTTTTAACAAGTTCTCTATTAGATTAAAACTGGCTGCACATTTAACAGCACCCAGTTGGAAGTATGTAAAAATCATCTATAAACTAATAATAAATTAATTTGGAGAGTTATTTAAAAAATAATTCCCTGTGATTGCCATTCAAAGTCCCATATGAATGTAATGACAAAATTTTTATTCATCATGCACCCAACTAGTTTTACTAACATAATGAAACATTGCTAAGAGTTTTCCATTGTATTCTTCAGTATACTGCATTCTTATTGCTAAAAATCAAAATATACTATCAACCAATTCCTTCTACGTCAATATAATCGTAAATGTCATTCATACCAATTGGTCAGAGCACTGCCTCTCATGTAGTCCTGCAGGCTACCAAATTTAACTTTTCAGTAAAATTTCAAAAATACATTCTGAACTAACACCTTTAAGCTATAGCCCTCAAAAAACTCAGGAATATTATCAATTCAGTGACTTTTAAAGTATCCTTGAAGACATCAAAATACAACAAAAAAAATCCTATGCTAAAATCTTATTGGCTAAGAAGAAGTATTACCTTAGAGCATTGGAAAAGTGAATGCCCCTTTGGAGTGTTTACAAAACCCATCCCTTCCAGGCAGCTAGGTTTGTATAAGTGTCAGACTTGCTGGTATAGAGCCTCAAATCTTGCATAATAAAGTAAAACAAAATGAAACTTAAGTTTCCAAAAACTGGTACAAGTATTATACAAAAAGTAAACTGCTGAGGAACTTTTAAACCTCAAGCAGATTATTGCCCACAGCACTTACCCTTGATTTTCCTTCCGCATCCTTAAAGAGCTCCACGTATGTAACCTCACCAACTACATAAGACATACAAAAGGAAGATACCAAGAAACAATACATTTAAACACCAGTATCTTGCTTTACTGCACACCTGTGCACAACTCTACAGAGAAGCACCTATTATTCACCAACAATCAAAACCAGACCAACATACCTCCTATCAATGGCTATGTAAATTTAACTAATTTTCAGAAATGTACATCATCCACATTCTCTAAAAAAAAGCTAACAACCATATTAACCTAATTCATACTACAGATCATATTTTGGCCAGCATGATATAGTTGGTGAACAAATGCACATATACATACAAATGGTCCCTTAACCTATCATATTAAAAAACATCAACATTAGCACTTTTCAAATAACTTTGGTCAGCCTACACACAACAGCTGTTTTAAGGTGACTTTCTACCTGAATGTCTTCAATCATGTTTGCCATCAGTAAACTAAATTTACAAATCATGCTTCACAGCAAGCCACACACTTTCTAAATAAAGTCAATGAATAAAACCAATCAAATAGTTGTCACCTTACAACAGATACACCAATGCAATTTAAAAAAAAAAATTTATTAGAAGAGATCAGCCTCAAAGCCAAGTACATAGTTTGCAGGACTGTTGAAACTCAATTTTTCAAGAGATAACAAAACTAACTTTTACAAGATCAAGTATTAAAATTATTTTTCCCCAAAACCAACCATGTATATAAGATGAAGGTTTTCAGATTATTCTGAAAACAAAACTGCAACAGCAGTAATGCAATTTTAATTTAGAACTGCAAAGACAGCATCATGGCAGTCATGACAATGCAAACAAAATAAATTCCACAGCCAGATTCCAGACTCCACCAAGATAGTAACAAAACAGCTTTTGGAAAAAAAATAAATAATCAGACCTTATTATTCATTCTTAACACGCTAAATGTATTGCTTAACTAATGCAATAGCCCTTTTAAAATCTATAAAAACTTCAACTAGACAAAGCAATCACTTTAACAAAATTCTTGGTGGCATGCATATGCTGGCTCGCTACTATCCCACTAAAATGGCAAAAAGAAAAATATCCATACTACCTTGTAATGAAATTGTGTCAAGAGAAAGAAGAGGAAAAGATTAATTCACATGTCAAGAAATAAAAATCAATTTTTTGAGTCTGTGTGGCTCAGAGGAATAAAAATGTTTGTGTAGTTCCCTCCCCTGCCTATATGAAGATTATCCAACAGTGGGTTATTTCAGAGATAGTTACCTTTCTCTCTCATTAGATCTTTAATAGCTTGCCATTTCATGTCATATGGGATGTTGCTAATGAAAACTCTGTTACGATTTGGACCCTTCTTTTCTCCAGCGCCCGAATTCTTGTCTTTTGAATAAGGATGAAATCTATTGGCCTTCTTACTTCCTGTAGATTTTTCCTTTAAGTCAGATTTCTCTTCTTTTGCTGATTCATCATTCTCCCTGTGAATTAAAAAAAGTCAAACAAACAAAAACCCTCAGTTGTGCTTATAAGAATGGAAGTCTATATTAAATAAGTATTCCATATTTATCACCTCACAAAACTCTCCACTAAGCTAGACCTCAGCAAAGTAGCTGGAGAATCAGCCTGAGAGCTTTGAAATTACCCAATGCTATTTCAAAGCAAGGATTTGGTTTCTCATTTAACAGTCCTCATTTTTTTCCCACATTAAATAGTTGTAAGCATCCAAACAATCACCCAGTTTTTCCCATCACACTACTTAATTAATAAATGCTATTAGACTGGAACAGAGGGAAGAGCAGATAATTTTACTTCTAAGGTATCTAAAACTGCCACCTTTGATGGAGAATTAACTTTCTGGGCATCATTAAAAACTTTTTTAAAAACTAACTTACACAGTGATACTCTGAAAAAGTTCATCTCTTAAAGGTTAATAGTTTCTTCTCAGAACTTTCTCCTCCCTTAATTAGAAGCATAATTAAAATACAAAGTTATGTATATAAATCCACATCTATATATGAATATACTCACATTAAGACTCTCAAACTTTCTTCTATTCCCAATTTTGATCAACACAGAAAACTTATAAAGTATCCTAATATTTTATGTTACATTTTAACCTATAAACTAGAATAGGGTACTTCATCAAATTATGCAGTTTCATTAATATTACCTACAATGGGTAATGTAGGACAGAAGCAGTACATAAAAGCAACGTAAGCCAAAATTTTATAAACCTGATTTTTTTTTTTTTTTTGAGACGGAGTTTTGCTCTGTCACCCAGGCTGGAGTGCAGTGGTGCAATCTCGACTCACTGCAACCTCCGCCTCCCAGGTCCAAGCAATTCTCTGCCTTAGCCTCCTGAGCAGCTGGGATTACAGGTGCCCACCACCATGCCCAGCTAATTTTTTGTATTTTTAGTAGAGACGGGGTTTCATCATCTTGGCCAGGCTGATCTTGAACTCCTGACCTCGTGATCCACTCACCTCGCCTCCCAAAGTGCTGGGATTACAGGCGTGAGCCACCACGCCTGGCCAAACCTGATTTTTAATGAGGCCTTAACTAGAAAAAAAAGTAATTTATAATACCGTAATCACAATGCAACTCTATGATGTCATATGCCAACCATCCAAAAGATGTAGGCATACACTTAAACCCTACAGATAAAAATTTGGATTTCTATTTTAAAATGCAATTTACTTTTCAAAACAAGTCTTTTTTACAGCACAAACAATAGGGTTTTTTGTGGGGGTTTTTGTTGCTGTTGTTGTTGTTGTTGTTGTTTGAGATACAGTCTCATTCTGTCACCCAGGCTGGAGTACAGTGGCAAGATCTCGGCTCACTGCAATCTCCGCCTCCTGGGTTCAAGGAATTCTCCTTCCTCAGCCTCCCAAGTAGCTGGAATTACAGGTGTCTGCCACTACACCCAGCTAATTTTTGTATTTTTAGTAGAGACAGGGTTTCACCATGTTGGCCAGGCTGGTCTCAAACTCCTGACCTCTGGTGATCCACCCGCCTCGGCCTCCCAAAGTGCTGGGATTACAGGTGTGAGCCACCGTGCCCGGCCAATAGATTTCTTATTTAAATAAGTGCTCTAGTCAATTTAAAACTATTTTAATAACAAAACTTCAATTTTAAAGCAATTTTTCACAAACATTACTAATAATATCACTGTGGATGACACCCAGGAATCTAAATTTTTTTTAAAGCTTTCTGGATTATTCTGACAACAAACCAAGTTTCATGAGCCAGGCTCTAAATTATCTTCTAAGCCCAGCAATTCTGGTGATCCACACATTGCAATGCTCCACACACCTCTAACTGCAGTCATTTGTTACATAATATATACAGAGCTTCTTGAACACTACTCTTCTTTGTAGGTAACACAGCCATAAATATAGTATGTAAACTCTATGAGAACAAAAACTATCTGCTTTGGTATCAGCAGCACCTCGCACGGTGACTGCATATAACATTGTGCTATAATTTTTTAATGAATTAACAGTCAATTAAGAATCCATACTCATCTGAGCACAGATGTTGCCAGAAAAACTGCTAGAATAAAGAAAGAGACATTTGGACCAAACTTGCTTTGCCATTTTTTTTAGACCTTAAAAAGGACATCTTCACTATCAAACATATTCCTTCATCAGAAATGGCATGGCCTAGGGGGGAGTCTTCTCAACTGTCTAAATCTAGAAAGTACCTACCTGTCTAAACAGAGTGACACTTTTGAAAATGGCAGCAAGCAGCCAAAAGGCACAAAGGCCTTTTCTCTGGTTTCTGAGTACCGCAGATAGAAGAACAAACCTTTCTTTTCAATTCCCAAAGGGCCTGTTTACATAATAGGCTTAGATGAATTCAGTGAATGTTTGTAAAGTAACTAAGACTCTATTCAGTAAGCAGATATCTATATAGTCTCTAGATTAATACCCCTTCCCCTGCCTATTTTCTTCCTGGATTAAACCAATTGTGAAAATTACACAAAGTTCTGAAGTACTTACAATGTTCTATTCTTGACTTAGGTGGGGTTACATAGATTAAATATTTGCTTACAACAATCTGAAAATTCCATTAAAAACAGTAACATTATATATAATATTTTCTTTAAAATATTTACTCAAAGATGATCAGAGAAAGTAAATTTCTTCATTTTTCCCCCATAAGAAGCATCTTAAAAATACTGCTAAACTGCTCATCTATGATGTAGAATTAAAATTTATCTTAAGTTTCTTCCCAGTGTATAACAAAAAAAGAAAAAAAACTATAAAAGGCATAACAGTTGAGAGGCTACAGGGATGATCTAATTATTAAGAAACTGAGCCATAATTATATAATTTCTGAACTATTTCCAAGTCATAAATACTTTGGAAGAGAAAGTAAAAATATATGTGAAAACTCTTAAGGAAATGATGCTACATAATTCCAAAATATTGGTACTACATCCAGAATTCCAAGTACTAAATTCCCAAACTGTTCATTTAGACAACCACTCCCACAATGTACTTAAAATAAAAACCCTAAAATAGTCATAAAAATGTTATCTATTCTTAAAATTGAACTATGCGTATCTAAATTATAACATACATTTCTGAAAAAAATCAAGCTCCAACATCAAAAGAAGAAACATAGTTTTAATGTGTGATTTTAAAAGTATAATGGTGTAGTATGAGATCCAATATTAATCCCAGTTCCAGAGGAAAACTACCAGAGGGCAGTTCAGAGCAGTAAATGTCTACATTAAGAAAAACGACCTCCAGGCCAGGTGCAGTGGCTCACATCTGTAATCCCGGCACTTTGGGAGGCCAAGGCAGGTGGGTGACTTGAGGTCAGGAGTTCGAGATGAACCTGGCCAACATGGTGAAACCCCGTCTCTACTAAAAATACAAAAATTAGCCAGACGTAGTGATGCATGCCTGTAATCCCAGCTGCTTGGGAGGCTGAGGCAGGAGATTCACCTGAACCCAGGAGGCAGAGGTTGCAGTGAGCCAAGATCACACCATTGCACATTTTTTTTTTGATACAGAGCAAGACTCTGTATCAAAAAAAAAAAAAAGAATAAAGATCTCCAACAACCTAACTTTACACCTCAAGGAACTAGAAAAAAGAGCTCAGTCCAAACTTAGTAGAAAGAAGAAAATAATGAAAATCAGGGCAAAAATAAATGAAATATACTAGAAAAACAATAGAAAAGATCAATAAAATTAAAAGTTGGTTTTTGAAAGATAAGCAAAACTGACAAAGATCAAACTAGATTAAGGGGGAAAAACAATCAGAAATCAAAGAGGAAAAAATAGAAAAATATATAAAGAAATCAAAGAGGAGACATTATAACAGATACCACAGAAATACAGAGAATCATAAGAAACTACTATTAACAATTATATACCAACAAATTGGATAACTTAGAAGAAATTAATAAATTCCTGGAAATATACAACTCACCAAGGCTGAATCATGAAAAATTAGAAAATCTGAACTGTCCACTAACAAGGGAGATGGAGTCAGTAATCAAAAATCTCCCAAGAAAGAGAAGCCCAGGACCTGGTAAATTCTACCAAACATTTAAGAACTAATACCAATCCTTGTCAAACTGTTCCAAAAAACTGAACATGAGGAAAGTCTTTCAAATCATTTTATAAGGCCAAGATTACCCTGATAACAACGCAAGACAAGGATCCTACAAGAAAAGAAAATTACAGCAATATCCCTGATGATCACAGATGTGAAAATTCTCAACAAAATACTAGCAAACTAAATTCAACAGCACATTAAAAGGATCATACACCATAATCAAATGGTATCTATATCAGGGACGCAAGGATGACATACATAAATCAATAAATGTTATACACCACATTAACAGAATGAAGGATTTTTTAAAAATCAAGGATCATCTCAATAGATCCAGAAAAAGCATTTGACAAAACTCAACATCCTTTCAAGATAAACACTCTCAACAAATTCAGTATAGAAGGAATGTTCCTCAACACAATAAAGGTCATATATGACAACCCCATAGCTAATGTCATACTCAACAGTGAAAATTTGAAGGTTTTACCTCTAAGAGCAGGAAAAAGAGAAGATGCCCATGCTCACCACTTCTATTCAACATTGTACTGAAGGTCACAGCCAGAGCAATTAGGCAAATAAAAGACATAAAAGGCAACCAAATTGGAGAGAAAGAAGTAAAATTAACTCTGTTTGCAGAAGATGTGATCTTATATAGAAAATTATTCAGAGAAAATTTTAAAGACAACACCAAAAAAACTATTAGAACAAATTCAGTAAAGTTATAGAATACAAAGTCAACATTCAAAAATCCACTGCATATCTACACACTAATAATAATGAACTATCCAAAAAATTAAGAACATAATCTCATTTAAAATAGCATCAGAAAGAATAAAATACCTAGAAATAAATTTAACCAAGAAAGCTAAAGAGCTATACACTGAAAAACGATCAAACAATGATAAAAGAAATTGAAAATAATACAAATGAAAGATATTCCATGTTCACAGATGAGAGGAATTAATATTGTCAAAATGTCCTTCCTACCCAAAATGACCTATAAATTCAATGTGATCTCTATCAAAATTCTAACAGCATTTTTCACAGAAACGGAAAAATTCCTGAAATCCGTATGAACCATAAAAGATCTCAAATGGCTAAAGCAAGCTTAAACAAGAAGAAAAAACTAAAAGTACCACACTACCTGATTCAAGTTATATTACAAATCTATAGTAATCAAAACAATATGGTACTGGTACAAAAACAGACACACAGACCAATGGAGCATAACAAACACTCAAAAACACATCCCCAATATATGGTAAACTAATCCTTGACAAAGGCACCAAAAATATACAATGGTGAAAGGACAGTCTCTTCAAAAAATGGTATTGGGAAAACTAGATATCCACATACAAAACAAAATGAAAATGGATTAAAAACTTATAACACCTAAAACCATGGAACTCCTAGAAGAAAACACAAGAGAAAAGCTCCATGACCTTGGCCTTGGCAATGATTTTTTTTTTTTTTGATATGACACCAAAAGCACAGACAACACAAACAAAAGTAAACAACTGGGACTACATCAAAGTAAAAAGTTATTGCACAGCAAAGGAAACTCAACAAAATAAAAAGGCAACCTAAGAAATGAGAGATAAAATTTGCAAACCATATATCCAATAAGGGATTAATATCAAAAATGTATAAGGAACCCATACAACTCAATAGCAACCCAATTTAAAAAATGAGAAAAGGATCCAAACAGATAATTTTTCCAAAGAAGACATACCAACGGCCAAAAGGTATATGAAAAGGTGCTCAATATCACTGTTCATCAGGGAAATACAACTCAAAACCAGACTGCAATATCACTTCATACCTGTTAGGATGACTTATCGAAAAGTCAAAAGATAGCAACTGTTGCTGAGGACGTGGAGAAAGAACCTTTAGATACTGCTGGTGGGAATATACATTGGTACAGCCATTATGGAAAACAGCATCAAGGGTCCACAAAAAATTAAAAACAGAACTACCACATGATTCATCAATGCCACTTCTGGGTATATATCCAATGAAAATGAAATCACTATCTCAAGGAGATATCTGCACTCCCATGTTCGCTGCATCATCCACAATACCCAAGATATGGAAACAACGACTTAAGTGTCCATTGACAGATAAATGATTAAAGGAAACATGATATATATTATATTTTATGTTTACACAACACATCCACACTGGAATATTATTATTCAGCCTTACAAAAAGAACAAAATCTTGCCATTTGCAACAACAGAGATAAACCTAGAGGACATTGGGCTATGTGAAAAAAGCCAGACTCAGAAAGACAAATGCTACATGATCTCACTTACACACAGACTTTTAAAAAAGTCAAACTCAGAAGCAGAGAGTAGAAGGGTGTTTACCAGAGGTGGAGGGCAGCAGGGGATGGGGAAATGTTCTAAGGGCACAAACTTTCAGTTATAAGATGAGTAAGTTCTGTAGATCTAAGGTACAGTATAGTGACTATACTTAACATATTTACTGTATACTTGAAATTTGCTTAAAGAATAGATCTTAAGTATTTTCAACACCAAAAAATATGGTAGCTATGCGAGGTAACAGATACGTTAATTAGCGTGATTGTGGTAATCATTTCACAATTTATTTGTATACCAAACCATCACACTGTACACTTCAAAATATACAATTTTTGTCAATTTACCTCAATAAAGCTGGGGGAAACAGTTCTAGTCTTTATTCCTAATAAAAATCACTCAGCTAAAGAACACATTACCTTGCTCCAATGCTTAATATTTTATAGTACCCTAATATAACTCTCAATCTCTACCTACTCCAAAGTTATACTTAATTACACATGAATAATAAAGTTATAATAATACTGCTCTTTTCCCTCCTATTCATTTTTAAGAAAAGGAGAGCTAGTATACCATTTGGCGTTAAAGAAGAAGACTACAGTTGGAAAACGGATCTTTTCTAAAGGTGTGAATATGCAAACTAAATTCCCTGTATATGAGTTTCATAAGCATGAAAGTTCACTTCTGCATTTCTTCCACAAATATTTACTAGGCCTTAAGAATACAAAGAAGAATAAGACATAGTGGTCTCCCACCCTCAATAACTATGGATTAACCTCAGCAAATATTATTTCAATCCTGATGACAAGCAGTACTCTGTTCAATTCCAACCAATACATAATTTGGGGCAATATTATGGTAATTTTTATAATCAACAATGAATTATTTTTATTATTAAAAGTATATGGTAATCAACTCAAGGTTTATGTATTGGGGTTGTTATCCACTCCTACTAGTTCACGAAGTAAAAAAAAAAAAAAAAAAAAAAAGGACTAGGTCGCTAGTTATTCAGTTTGAATGACTCATGCTGGACCATCACAAATCTTCTTATGGAATAGACAGTAAGAGAAATCCCTGAGAGTAAATTGGACTCGATTCAACTTCTGGGAAAAAGAGAAAGGGAGAGGCGAATTATAAGCAATATGGAAATAATCTGTATTTACTAGTAATATTTCTTCATTTCTTCACCTTATATTTTTCTCTTCCTAAATTAGAAAAGGATTCTTTCTCCACCTTTCTCCTTTCTCTTTTCCTGTCTTGCTAAATCATGAAGAGACTTTAGAAGGGAATAGAAAATCTGATGGAGGTTTAGATACCAAACTTCCCCTATATCAAAACTAATCATACCCAAGTATAGGAGGGCTTCTCTCTGTAATTCAAGGCTGCACTTTTTGTTCAGGAGAAAAGGTGGCATGTATACTCGTGTTTAGATATGAATAGCACATATTTTTAAGTTTATCATTCCACCGGTTTTCATTTCTATTTTTAATGCCAAATTCCAGAAAGCCCACATTTTGGCAAGCATGGTAGAAAGCACTTCATTCCCTTTCTGGTTCCTCAATTACTGAGGTGCACCACTCTTCATCCAGGAATAAACTCCACTAAGTTCCAATCTCTTATACCTGCACCTCTATTCTCCTAGAAGATGCTGCCGATCCTGTTCAAACTCATTTGAGAGCAAGAGTGTCAAAGAGCTGGGGAGAGCTACCCCATCTTTTTTGCCACCAACTTTTACACAGACTGGTCCAGTTCTTACCATACAATTTCAAACATGCTTATACAAAGGTCAGAAAGACCTTTCCCTTGTCTATTTTACTGTGAGCATATATCTATTGCTTTCTGCTCTGAGGCATAACAGAGAAGGAAAAGGATGTTTTCACTTAATTATTAACATACTTTCAACTTCAGGTTTAAGGAGGTAGGCATATGAAAGTAAGCGCTTAACTTCATATCCTCCCACAGGACAGGAACAAAGGAGAGCATAACATTTCCCTAGAACCAGAAATTATTATGGATTGGGGTCAACTAAATTCTTTATAGGCACTGGTGACAGCTGCGACCTTAAAAGTCTTCCTTCATTTGGGAAAAAAAAAATCTTAACCATCTATTATACCAAACTTAAGATAATCATACACTGAGTTAAAAAAAAAAATACTCTCCACAGCTGACGCACATTACCCAGTGGGAAGGGAAGCCACGCACATCGCACATTTCCCTTTTTAAAGTACGTCTAGCCAATTCAAGAGTAACACAAAACATAGAGTCTAACAGCACATTATTAAACTTCCTCTCGGTATAAATCAGTTTAAAAATGAACATACACTTTAGAAAACAACAAAACACTAAACTTGTGAAGCTCAGAAAGAAGCCAGGAATATTCCTTTTAAATATGTTCTCGGTGGTTAAGAGGAAATGTCCGATGATGTCATCCCTAGATACTCCCTAGTGATGAACACTAACTACTGGTCCTTAAAGGGGGACCATTTTCCTGCAAACCGTGGCGGTCGCTGAGCTTTGCTCAAAGATTCTTTAACCAAAGTCAGGGAAGAGGGGTGTTCGCTGTCTCGGGCTAGAAATCAGGGAAGAGCGCTGGTCCCCGGGCCCCCAGCCCCGGCTCCCAGACCACAGGCGGCCAGGCCTGGGGCGGGCGGGGAAGGGCCTGGGAGCGGCCCAGCTGCACCTGCTCCTCAGGAAGCCGATGGCCCGGGGGCGGGCCGGGGTCTGGGGGTGGTTGTCCCCCATCGGGGCACAGCCCGGCCTCTAGCCGCCCGGTAGACTCCCCGCCCCCCACCTCGCCCCGGTTCCCGGAGGAAAAGACAATACATTTTAACGCCATTGGAGCTGCTGCTGTGCTGCGGCTGCTGCTTCTCCGCCTCCGCGGGGTGCGGCTCTCGCCGCGGCTCGCCCGGCGGCTCTGCGGGCTGCAGGTGCGGGCTGTCGCCACCAGTGGCCCCGGGCACCTCGGCCTTGTTGGCGTCCGCCATCCCGCCGCCGCTGCCTCCGCCTCGGCCGCCTGAGCTGAGGGGCTCCGAGCGCGACAATGGCGGCTGCCGGGGAAGCGGTAACGGATCCCGATTTGAAAAGGCCCCGAGCGCTCAGTAACCCGGATCTCGCGAGAACCGGTCGAGACTGGGTGACTGGGAGATGGTGTGTGCCGGGTGCGGGGGGTGGGAGTGCGGGGGGAGGGGAGCCATGGGAGCTGGGGTCAGGGCCGCTGTTGCTGCAGTCGGCCCTACACCTGCCTGGGAGGGCTGGACCAGTCCTGAAAGCCCCCGGTGGTGGTGCCATGTCTGCCCACCAGCCCGCCTGTCGCTTGGCACCAGTGGAGTCTTCGCTTGCAAAGCGGGATTAGACATCAAAGCCCTAACACCCAGACTGTTCAATTCATTCCAGGTAGGGGCAGTTAAAGAACACACCACTTTGCATCTTTAAAGACTTCTTGCAAGTCCTCAGACTGCCTTTAGAAATCCTTTGAATTAAGCAAATATAAGTCTCTTGCCATTTCAATGCCTAGGCACCCTTCGGACATTCCATAAATAGTTATTGATGACTGATTGCAATTCACCAAAAGGAATGACTTTGAATTTCTTTGAGAATTATTTGTTCTTAGGGGGTGAGGATTTCCCAGGAACTCAACTATCAGCTTAGTAAGAGAAGACTGCAGTTTTTCTCTGGACATCAATCAATATGGGGAATCCATAATTATAAAATATCGTCTACTAGATGGGCTAATAATGGACATTTGAGGTTTTGACTGTGTGTTTATTGTATACTGATGGAAATTCTAGTGAAGTAGTTAGTTATACGCTCTCAAATTTAATTGCCATATGGAGTTTTAAAATACAGTCGTAGATTTTTCCCCCTAAGTATGAAAAGGAAACCGTTAAATTTAATCAACTCCTAATTCTCGAGTACTATAATCTTTCACATTGACATAACCTTTTTCAGCTGAAAAGTTTAAATGCCTTCCCAAATTTTTTTTCCATGAAGAAGCAAACACGTACAGTTTAGTCACTTTGCAGAATATCATACACACATCAGTGGTAAAGTTATAGTTAGAAAGTAATACTCAAATAACATAATTTCATCTTCGGCTTTTCAATGTGTAGTTTCCTACCCTCTACCGAAAAATACCAAGTTCAGCTACTTCATCACACACACACATACACACACACACATACACAAACACACACACACATAATCAGAACATTTTAATGATAAGAATGCTATTGTAGTTGCTGTATAAATTGTTTCTCATTCAACTCTGAGACATAAGATTTATAATCGCAGAAAGGGCATTCAATTGTGACAGACAAAATCTGGGTTAGAACCCCAGCTCTGCCTCTTTTTGCCCATAACTCCCTGGGCAAGTCACCTCATTTCTCAATCTCTCTACAATAAATAGGGATAGCAATACCGACCTTACAGGATTGAGGTGAGGATTAAAAGAAAGCACTTTATGTAGGAAAAAGTGCTATATGAACATAATGTAATATTACAATTCTCTATCTCCCTAAGCTCAGCAGGGTTTTAGTCAAAGACAAGCCAAGTGATTTTTCCCACAGCACTAAATTATAAGTACTTTCAAAATAGTCATCATTCTGTTATTCTTTTGCTATTGTTGAATTCAGTATGAAAATTGAACCCCACCATCACCAGTACAATATATTCTTGCAAAAATCCTTTAATCAACTCAATGCAAGATTTTTTTAAGAGGCCTTTATGCTTCAAACAGAGTAGTAGGTACATGAGGAATACAAAAATGAGTACAGCCCTGTTGGGAGAGGGCTAATGTAAAAAGTACTATTTAAGTGCTATAATACAAATAAAAGCAAAGTATAATTAAAAAATTATTTACAAAAACAGGAGACTGGCCCACATGCCTTAGTTTGCCAATTAAAATATTCCATTAAAATATTTATCTTGATTACTGAGTTTTAACTTTTGTACCCAAGACAAATGCCTCACCCGCTGTAGCTTGGTTCTAGTCCTGATAAAGAGCAGAGGTTAATTCCTACTGAGAGATTGGTGAGGGCCTTATAAAAGAGCTGGATCTTAAAAGACAAAGAATTAAGGCAACTTCTGAAGGGAAGAGAATGATTAATCTTTACCATTCCATCTGACTGCTCAATAGATTGATCTTTCCTTCCTTTCTTGCTATTAATTGCAAAAGATAAAGAAAAAACTATTAATATTCTGTTGCTGAATTCCATTTCTGTATTTGCTTGTCTTCCTCTCTACTGTTTTGGTTTGTTTTGTTTTGTTTTGTCTTTTTTGAGATGGAGTCTCGCTCTGTCACCCAGGCTGGAGTGCAGTGGCGCCATCTCTGCTCACTGCAAGCTCCACCTCCCGCGTTCATACCGTTCTCCTGCCTCAGCCTCCTGAGTAGCTGGGACTACAGGCGCCCGCCAGCAGGCCCGGCTAATTTTTTGTATTTTTAGTAGAAACAGGTTTCACCGTGTTAGCCAGGATGGTCTCCATCTCCTGACCCTGTGATCTGCCTGCCTTGGCCTCCCAAATTGCTGGGATTACAGGCGTGAGCCAGAGCGCCCGGCCTTGGTTTTTTGTTTTTTGTTTGTTTGTTTTTTAGTGCATGTAGGTACATTGAAAAATTCTTAAGTGATGCTCAAATTCTTATTTTCCCATGATTCACATTGCAAAAGCATTATCCTTTGCAATTGCACAAAATATATTACTGGTACAACTTCACATAATCACTTAGTTTTCTTTCTTACAAATTAGAATGCATGTTTATGTGTGTGTACCTGGCGGGATAGGGGAAAAGCTATTACACGTATCTAGAAATCTAATCCTAGAAATCACAAAATATTTTCAATTAATACCTTAATATATGTATCACTTAGGAATTGTGTTCATCTGCTAATAACAATAACTAGAAATAATAGTGTCTTAAGCAAGATATACATTTTTACTCTCTTAAGTAAAATAAATGCAGAAGGAGCATCCCAGAGGATATATAGTAGCTTCACAGTCATCGTGAAGTCAGGTTCCTGCTACCTTAATCTTTCGCCATCCTAGTGTGAGGCTTCCATTCTTAAGGTTGCCCTATGACCCAAGATGGCTGCTGGAGATCGAGGCACCTTGTCGGCATTGTAGGTCAGAAGGAGTCCAGAAAAAAAGGGACCTATCCAGAAGTCTCACACAACACTTCCGCTTATGGGCAAGAACTTAGTCACATGACACACTCATCTGTGGGGGAGGTTGGCAAATAATTTGGGGGCTGGGCTTACTGCCCAGGGTTCTGTTACCAATGAAGAAGAGAATGGATGTCATCATTCTTCTTTTTTTTAATTTATTTTGTCTTTAAGAATTAAGTTTTAGGGATAATAATAAAATTTAAAAGAAAAAGAAACTAGACAAAAATGGTGGCTAACATTTCTATGGTGACAATAGCTTCTAAAAATACTTCCATATTTGTGCTGATATTCTAGCCCTAGAATTCATAATAAATAGATTACCTTCTCTGGGGTATTCAGAAACTCAAAAAAGAAAAAAGAATTAAACGGCAAAGACCAACAATATGAAGTAAAACAAAAAGTATGGTATAATTTTTAAGTCAATTTGCTTCACTATATAAATTGCTGGATTTGAAGGCATGAAGTTTCTAAACCTTACAAAGTAAAAATTTACCTCTTTAAAGCTTAAAAAGGAATTCGTAACTTTTTAAAATACTATGGTTTATATTTGAAATCTACATATGTATTTCCCTTTTTATAGAAAGTTCATTCTGTGATGAAAATGTGGACATTGGTTACTATCAAGTAGAAAGTAAAGTTTAATCTTATTCTGACGATTAGCTATTTACCATTCTCTCTCTTCTTCTCTTTTCCTCCTTTCTCTCTCTCTCTCCCTCCGTATCTCTGTATCACCCCCAATACACCCTCATTACACCACAGCTCTGCTTACTTTAGGAGTTCTTTTTTTTTAGCATTTAGCATTCCAAAAATACATCCTATACAAAGGTCTCTACCAGCTAGCTAAGTGAAGTTTAGAATTAAGACAATTATCTGAATAATCCAGGCAGAAACTCCACTTTTACCTCAATTATTCAAATAATTCAGAAAATAACCTCCATTGCCTTCAGGC
Organism: Homo sapiens; assembly: GCF_000001405.40. NCBI lineage: Eukaryota > Metazoa > Chordata > Mammalia > Primates > Hominidae > Homo > Homo sapiens. The sequence continues at coordinate 48,182,361 of NC_000015.10, forward strand.
ATTGCCATTGGATTTCTGTCTGTGATCCTCCATTTCATGAAACTAAACAGAATCCAAAAATTGTACCGTATTACAGCCCTTTTCCTCAAGGGTCACACCATTCCTGATGGCTGCTTATGAGCCTAGTTTGGTGAAAGCTATGATTTTTCAGTAGTATACTGATGTGATATTTTTTCATGGTGTATTGCAAAATGGTAGATTGAAGTGATTTCATGTTACTATGTTTCAATTCACAAAGTGTTTAAACATGCAGAATATATATATGTGTGTATATGCAATATGCAGTATGTATATAAACAAAATATATTTCCATGATTTTCATTTCTAGCTATTTTTATCAGTCAGGAAAAGAAAGCTTTTGACTCAGTCAAACACTATAGATGTTTCCTCTAGGAAAGGATTTAATGCATAAAGTCTTAGAGGCTTATACAACAATTAGTAAGGCTGAGAGGGCAAAGGTCCAGGAGCTATTGCTAGAGTTTGAAATATTAGGAAGAGCAGGAGTCACAAGGAACCATGGCCAAGGATCCCTCTGACCTGTAACAACAAGATAAGTCTCAAGACTTCCTTGTGCCCAGAATCTGCTGACTTAACATTCCATCTGCCGTTTGCTGATACCCACAAAGTTACCTGCAGCCACTACTGAAATTGATGGCTTCTCTTTCCCTTCCTCCTTGCAAATTTTGTAACAGTGCCTCTCCTTGGTAGAATTTAGATTGAAATACTATTAGCAACAGAGTTTGATAAATGTCTCATAGGAGACAGAACTTAGAAGGGCAAAAACGATGCTAAGTGTCAATAGGTAATATTTTGCACAGTTTCTAAACCATTTGGCATGCTTTCTGAGGTACCCACATATGAAGGAGACAGTTACCCTATGTGTGCAATCGTGCTTTGAAAAATAAAATCAGGCCAAATGTTTTAAAATGTGTAAATTATAGATAGAAAACAACAACTTACAAACTGAGAGATCTCAAACCGAAAATGCTAAGTGGAAGCTCAGAGGCATGGCATTATAGGCTGGCTTATAAAGCAAAAATGAAACTTTAACTTTTACGATGATTTGTTATTACCATGGAGGTTTTCAGACAACAGATTGGTTTAAAATTCATCATCTTATACCATTTTTGGAAGACAACTTAAGTTTTACTTACAATTGTCAGAGGTATTTACAAGAAATAACCTAAGTTACTCTTACATGGCCTAACTGGTTTTGTCTGCTCCGAGGGTTCTCAAGCCTGGTCTCCATTTTATTTTGTTTTAACAATCCATTCATTCATTGTGTGTGTTAGATTTAAAAATGCCTGAACTTCTAAATAAGATAAAGTATGTAAAAATACTTGTGACTTATCTTATTCTCTTGACTCCATTAACAAATCTCAATTGTGAGTTCCTTGCAATATCGTTCAGGCTACTAAAGAGACTGCATGGTAGTACGGTCAGTCTAGATGTTCTGACAGTCCCAACGTTACAGAGCAAATGTAGGCTTGCATAAGTGTCCATGTACTTCAAACCAGATTTCTGCATCAGCACTCTGAATATTTCTGGAAACTAGTATCAACAACATTTCTGAAAAATCAAACCTTATTCTTCCCAAGTGCCTTTGCTTTGAGCACTATCTAAAGTCCTCGGGACAGTTACATAGGAACTACTGTAGAACTACTGTAGACTAAAAAATTATTACAATTAATCAGTCCTCAAAACATTAGGCTTACATTTTCTCCTCAAAAATCTTCATATTTTTAAGTACTGTTTTAGATCATAGTCACTAACTTCAATTTATTTTATACTGACTTTTAGGTAGTGTAGAAAAAGAAGGCCCCTCCTTAGTTCTTTCTGATTATCTCCTATAGTTGCCTAAAGTGTCTTCGCATCTCACCAGATAAACGTTCATTCAGTTTAGCTTTGCTTAATATATGAGAGGTGTGGCTTTTATTTGGCTAGCCTAGCTTTAGAACTCTGATACCAAATATACAACTGTTCATTCTTTAACAATGCACAGAACCCTGAAAAAGAAAAAGAACTCACATTCTACAAAATCATACATTAAAAATAACTGGCAACTTAAGAAAATGGAAAGATAAGCCACAGACTGGAATAAAATCTTTTCAAAACGCATATCTAATAAAGAACTTATATCCAAAAACAAAGAAGATATGCAAATGAAAAATAAGCAAATGAAATTATCATTAACATCAGATGTACTGGGGGTTGAAAATTGGAACAATAATGAGAAACCACTATATATTATTGGAATGGCTAAAATCCAAAACACTGACAACACTAAATGTTGAAGATGATGTGGAGCAACAGGAACTCTCATTAATTACTGGTAGAAATACAAAATGATGCAGCCACTTTGGAAGACAGTATGGCAATTTCTTACACAGCTAAATATAGTCTTACCATAGAATCCAACAATCACGCTGTTAGTTATTTGCTGAAACAAATTGAAAACTTATGTCCACACAAAAGCCTGCACACAAATATTTATAGTATCTTTATTCATAATTGCCAAAAATTGGAAGTAACCGAGATATCTTTCAACAGATATATAGATAAATAAACTGTGGCATATCCATACAATGAAATATTATTGAACAATAAAAAATAAATGAGCTATCAAGCCATGAAAAGTCATGAAGGATGCTTACATGCGTGTTGTTAAATGAAAGAAGCCAGTTTGAAAGGGCAACAGAGTCTGTATGACTCTATACATACATTCTGGAAAAGAGAAAACTGCAAGACAGTTTCAGATCAATGGATTCCAGGGGTTTGTGAGGGGAAGAGGAAGGGATAAATAGGGGATATTCAGAAATGTGAAACTATTCTGCATGACAATATAATGGTGAATATATGACATTATACACTATTCAAAACTCATAGAACTGACCAACAAAAAGAATAAACTCTAGTGTAAACTGTGTACTTAATAATAATGTAACAAAATTGTTTTATCAATTGTTAACAAATGTACCACACTAATGTAAGATGTTAATAACAAGTGAAACTGTGAGAAAAGGGATGGGAGATATATGGGAACTTTCTGTACTCTCTGACTTTTCTGTAATCCTGAAACTGCTCTAAGAAAATTAAGTCTATTCAATAACAAAAATAACTGGCAATATTTCGGGAAAAAATTATGTTGGAGAAAAAAGTGTAAAACTTACATAACATCACAACCATAGCACTGCAAAAAACATTTACAAAGCTAAGAAAATGCTAGCACAATTAAAAATAAAAGTTACGACATATATTTCAATACATTTAGAACTTCACAAATTTGTTTGAGTTAGGAAAGAATGATGGAATAAATAAACCAAAGGTTGAGTTACAAAAACAAGGACAAATGCACAAAGATCAGGAAGAATTGTGCAATAAGCATTTTCAAGACAGATCGTATGGTGAAATTAAGCCAAGAGGAAAAAGGAGGAGTGAATGGGTGTTATATATAGGACTACTTTCCTCCACAGCTTACTACCTTCAGCTGTGTTAGTGGACTTAGAGTGCAACTGCTTTTACTTGGTAGTCAAAACATTAACGTATTGGGGAAAATCATGTATAAAACAATTGATTTCCACATTTCATTGACATTCCTATTTGCCAATTATTTTTTAACTGAGTCCTATTACAGAAGCATACATTATGTTAGAAAACTGCTCTTGTTTCTCTATCTTTAGCAGAGCAAAATAACTTAAGCTAATCTCTATATACTATACTGTAGTTATGGCTCATACATTCGTGGAGATTGTGCCCAAGGTACCCTCTCATACTCATTAGATTCAACAGTGAATATAGTGGAGGGCTTAAAGTACACTTTAAATGAAACAACTGAAGGCTTATGGGCAGTAAAACTAAAAGCAATTAAATGAAATTTCATTTAAATAGAACACTCTGAACTGAAACATTTAGTACATTTTTCTTTGCAGAAAAGTTTACCAGAAAACAGAGCATCTCATTTTCAATGGGACTCATCAACCAGACCAGCATTAGATCATTAACTACACTAAAGTGTCATCATGCTCAATTCACTTAGGAGTCCACATACTTAGATCATTTCTTCACTGTTGACAAAATCCCACACAGTCATTTTCTAATCAAATCTAATTATCCTATTACTGTACTCTCTAATCCTATTTCAGCACATTCAGCCTTGGCTTAGTTTTGAGATATCAGATGGTAAAAATGACCTAAAGGAAGATCTCCAAGGGGAAAAAAATAGAAAACTAATGGGGTGGCTTTAAAATATGTAGGAGTTGGCCAGGCGCGTTGGCTCACGCCTGTAATCCCAGCATTTTGGGAAGCCAAGGCAGGCGGATCATGAGGTCAGGAGTTCGAGACCAGCCTGACCAACATGCTGAAACCCTGATTGTACTAAAAATACAAAAAAAAAATAAAAATTAGCCAGGCCTGATGGCATGTGCTTGTAATCCCAGTTACTCAGAAGGCTGAGGCAGGAGAATCGCTTGAACCCAGGAGGCAGAGGTTGCAGTGAGCAGAGATCGAGCCACTGCACTCCAGCCTGGGTAACAGAGGGAGACTCCATCTCAAAAAAAAAAAAAAAAAAAAAAGTAGGAGTTTAAGCCATTCAATACTTCGTTGTAAAACAGGGAATGAGATCATGTACCATGCATTTACAGCAGAATTTTTTAGCAGGCTCTTTGGATTACCTTGGGATTATAAAAATGAACTTCCAGAGATCCATGAATACCTGAGCTGTGAGCAAAACATCTGTATATATGTATTTTTAGGAAGAGGGCATATCTTTCTTAGTGAAATTTCAAAATCATTCTTATTCCTCCCCCCGAAACAATGATTAAAACTGTATATGTAGACAAAAAAGACATGGGTAGATAAAAATAACACTCATATACATAGGAGTTCATTTTTTGAAAAAAAAAAAAGGTTGACTTTTGAATATAGCTAATTACCAAACATCATCTAAAGCCAAAAAAGCATTGGATTAATCTTAAAAAATAGTTATACCAAAACTAATTTATGTTTGTCTTTAATACATGTTTTAAAATTTCACATTTGAAAGATATGCTACCCAATGTTTGAATCAATAGCAATATTCAAATTAAAAAGCACAGCTACATTAAAATATTTTAGTTAAGGAATAATAATCAAACCTCAGCCAAACAAGACGTAGATTTTCCTGAAAAATTGAAAGTAACATGTTGGCCTCATAGGTTGAAGAGGTAAAGGTGATCTCACTTTGCAAAAGTTGAGAGCAAGAAGTCAACTAGAGCCAAGATGGCAAGAATTTATGCAAGCTAAATTTTCCTCTGAAAAGAATCCTGAGCTCAGTTGTTAGAGGAAATTCTTGTTTTCAGTTTCTTTGTGACAACCTCATTCTAGAATATATTCATTACAGTTGGGCTATCATGCTTTCTAAATTCCTATAGTTACCATGTCTTCTAACAAGGTGGACAATTAACACTTCCAATCTCTGAGATAACAAAAAGTCTTAGTCATATAAGGGACACTATTTAGAGTATAAAAATAGCAATAGGGTAACAAAGTGGTTTGAAATTAAGCTGATCTATAATTATATAAACTGAAAAATTTCTTCGTCATCTTGACATTTTAATATTTCCTCATTATAGTTTAGATTTTTATCTTCATAGCTAATTAGATGATACATTTTCTGTATTTTAGTATCCTATTTAGAATAAATTTATAAAACAACCATATACACTCACCCAATAATCAAAAAGTAGAGAAATTTACTTTATTTATTTATTTACTCCACTTCTGATTTTATGAGGACATTTACATGAGGTCACACATTAAAACAAATAATTAAAAGAAAATAATATTATCATTACCTAAGAAACCAAAATTGCAGTAGTTAAGGTGATTAAAAAAAAAGAAAAGATATAAAAGGCTTAAGGTCTTATGTAGTTATTCATTTTCAGCTGTTAATTTGACTCTGGCATCCCTAGTAGCTAAAATAAATGCTAACTTTAATTAGTTACATGATTTTCATTGTGTGTAAGAACAGAACATACCACTTTACCCTGGGTTGATTTAAGTGAGGTATGAAAGTTCAATTCATTAAACTGGTATTGAAAGAAATGCTTTTGGGGATATATCTATGAAATCTAAATTTCTTGGGCATCTTTATATAAGAAATAGTAAGTTATATGTTGACCAACACTTTAGTAACAGCTCTGTAGTAGATATAGAGCAGGTTGTGTAAGCTGGCTACTGTTTCACATAGAATTACTGTATATAAGCTGAGAGCATAATGTCAAAGCATAGTAAAGGCAATTCTGCTTGAGGAACTTCTAAACAATGTCACCAACATATTTACCTTTCTAATAACTTGGATTGTTCTGAAAATAAATCATAGATGCTCCAGAAGTATAGATTATCCACATGTGCTTTAGAAAGGCATTCATATATTTCATGCCTTTCAGCAATTTTTTTTGTAAAAGTTGGGCAGTAGATATTGGCAAGGACCTGAAGTACAAGTATTCTGTGTTTTATCTTTTTGCAGTTCTTCATCCCTTCTTTGGCAATGGCTAATAAAACATGAATAGCATATTAATCTGTGTTTGTATAGAACTTTGTAGAACTTACCATATTATTTTGCCACGTATCTCCTCGAGGGCAGAGACCAAATCTCATTTATCTTTGTATCTCAGCATCTAGCAAAGAAAGTGGAACCTAATGGATTTTTAATCCATTATGCTTTCCTGAATAAGCCATTTTGCAGGCTTTTGAGAGCATCATTACCTTTCATATAGCTTGAAAAGGGTCAGGGTCATGCACCAACTAATACCAAGGAACCTAATTTATAATCAATGCTTTCCTTTGGCATCAATTCAGAAGCATTAATGGGAAACGCTAGCAACCTTCAAAATGTAAGCATGTGTGTATGATGTCAATGACATAACAAATCAACATTCACACAAATGATCTATGAAACAAGAAGCCTATTCTACCTTTTAAACTAAGTGAGAATTAGAACTGTAATATCCAGATTTTAAAAATCAGCTTTATGGGCATTTACCATGGAGCCATATTTCAAGTCATAAAGTGACAAGTCAAAGTCTCCAACCGTGATAATAAATTATTGGAGTGGTGCTTATACATCCGCAGCAGAATCATGTAACTTAGTTCTGCTCCCTTGAGCTCGGCCTGCAAAGAGAATGAATGGTTATAGATCATAGTATGGAAATACAGACTCAACTATACCACTGGTCCAGACAATGTCAAAATCAAAATCAAAGGAATCAAATTCATAAAAAATTGTTCATACTGTACAGACAAAATGTTTACATGATTAGTCTCTGAACTAATTTTGAATAAATTATTTTTGTAACAGTTTGGAAACATACATAGAATAATAGATGGAATAAAATGATCTCCTTTCCCACAATCTATGACTGACTGCATTGCCAGAATTCAATATCTCTAGCATCTTGCTACTTTATTTTTATTTATTTATTTATTTTGAGACAATGTCTCGCTCTGTCACCCAGGCTGGAGTGCAGTGGCACAATCTCAGCTCACTGCAATGTCCGCCTCCTGAGTTCAAGTGATTCTCCTGCCTCAGTCTCCTGAGTAGCTGGGATTACAGGCACCCACCACCACACCCAGCTAATTTTTGTATTTTTAGTAGAGACAGGGTTTCGCCATGTTGGTCAGGCTGGTCTCAAACTCCTCACCTCAGGTGATCCTCCTACCTCGGCCTCCCAAAGTGCTGGGATTACAGGCATAAGCCACCACTCCTGGCTGCATCTTGCTACTTTAATTGGTCCCAAAACTAGTAATCTCTGGCATCACCTAGGAAATTGTCAGAAAAGCACAATCTGAGACCCAACCCCACACCTACTGAATCAGAGTCTGCATTTTAGCAAGATCGTTGAAGATTCATATGCATGTTATACTTCAAGAAGCACTGTTCCAGCCCAGAGTGCTAATAAAGAATGTGGCCCTTGGCAAGTTTAAAAAGGGTCAATAAAACCATGGCCATGGAAATGTCCCTAGAATAAGATATGTCTTTCAGTCTTTCATAGAGGGCAGTTAGTTCACCTACATTTTAGGACATCTTAATAGTTTAAAATCAAAAAACAACTTTTAAAAAATGTGGTCTTATATGAACTCTCAGTTATACATTGCCCATTTTTTTGTAAGACCATTACATTTCCTAAATCAGTAAATACTCTAAATAATCATGAAGTTTGTCTTCACTTTGTTATTGAATCTAGTTGCAGTTACATTACGTTTTCAAAGTATTTTCTTTAGATGAGTGTCCCAATTCTGTATCTACATTTCCCCCAACGACTCACAGTCCAGTAGTTATAAGGTGAATAATTAAGATTGTAGGGAATCTAAAAGTGCTTGCAACTTGTAGGTTCTGGATAGAGTCGCAAAACATAAATAGAATTGGGAACCCTGTAACTGAGTTTGTTGAAACGGCCAGACCCCTAAAATAAGGATAAAGAGCAAGGTTTCTGTTGTTGTTTTTTTGTTTTCCTTTGCTTTGCTTTGCTTTACCTTGCTTTCAACGTCGGTTAGGTTTAGAATCTACATATTCAACACTGTTTAGAAAACGTACCTGGCAGCTATCTAGAGCTTTATCAGAGCGTTTCCTGGCTGCTATTTTGTTGTCTTCTAGCTTGTGTTGGGGAGACAGGTCTCACCACGCACCATTTCAGCACTACGGACAGCGCCTAGGCGCCTTCTCCTAGAAACGGAAGGGGATTCAGTTGTGTTTGTGTGGAAGAGAGAAGGGAAAGAGTAGAGGAAAAGAACTCCAAACGACACATTCAGTCTCCAGTTAAATCAATACACCTTTCACTCCTGAATTTTCCTTACCGGATAAGAAGAAACGTGTAAGAATTTAGTGCCTACTGTTCTACTGAAAACGGCTGTCACCAAAGCACAGCAAAATGCCCGCAGCACAGCCAGGAATGCAGCAAAGAGAGCAAAACAAGGATTTCAGCAGTAAATCAATTAAACCCTCACTGCCTTAGTAAACAAAGATAATGATGAAATCTAATTGCTAACCTTCAGGGTGTGTCGTGAGAAAAAAAAGGAGTGTCTATTTTTTTCTTCCTCTCTTCCTCTTTCTTTTAGCAGAACTGAAGAATAGAGCCTGTTGCTGCTGGAGCTGATTCCCTTCCCCTCCTCATCTCCCACCTCCTTTCAGTCTCACATACACACACAGATGCTGCCACAGACACACGCGAGCGCAAATATTTACACACTGCCACACCGAAGAAATCCATGCACGTTTTCCTGCAAACGCGCGCGCGCACACGTACTTCGGCGGGCGCCCACGTCCTCTGTCTCACCAACAGACACAGACATTTACACTTCTAGGCCAGGAAAGCGCTAACCAGGGCCCTGTGACTCTACGCAGGTTCCAGAACACGCCTTCTACATTTGTTACTGAACCGATCAGCGAACACAGACAAACGTGCCAACACTTAAGTCTACTGGCTGGACTTCATCTCCATGGCAACAAGCATGGAAGGTGAGACATCGCTGTCTGCGAAGTAACTTTCTCCCCCTTCCCTCCGCATTAACTGACAGCGTTCCAAATGCAGGTCCAGATGAGAAGCATGTCCTCATTCTCTTGTATTTCTGAAGCAAAAGAGCGGGGGGTGGGGCGGTGGGTGGAGGAGCCAGTAGGTCTGATAAGTTCAAATTCTAAAGGAGAAACAGCACCCCTAATGCTAGCGCCACTGCTGATGCGGCTGCCAGGCGGGGGAAAAGTGTTGTGTACGTGCAGATTGCTGATGCTTCTCCCATAATGTTTTGTAGGAAGTTTCCATGCTTCTTCGGTTTAGTGCGTAGAAAGAGACCTGGAAACAAACAACGCAGAATGATGATGATGGTCTAGGTTTCTTTAATGAGATATCTGGAGAATTTTCAGACCAGGTTTCCCAGTGCGTTGGAAGGATTGAGTGTCAGAGTCCTTGAGCCATCCAAAGATTCTCTTAAGAGAGAAATTCTCTTAAGGTTGAAATCTGAGGGTTTAGGGGTGGATTCTGGCAGATCCTAAGGTCTGGGATCTCTGGAAAGCCCTGAAATTTATGCATTTCACCATGATGAAGACATCTAGGTTTGTAATTTAAGGTTTTCCTTTTATTCCAACACATTCGATTCTTAATGATTAACTACCTCTGTGCAGATGTGGTTTCAATAATGCTTCTTTTCTCTCTTTTACTGGGATATAATCTTTATATTTTGTGTGGAGTGTGTATATGTATGGAATGGTTCATTATTTTTTAAGCTTGGGTTTTCTTATATGTCTTATTTCATGAAATTATGAATGTCATCATTAGCAGTAGAGATTATTATATCTAATGACCAGTGCTAAAATACTTTCTACCTAGAACATCATATTCCACTCTAATAGTTATTATTTCAGGTTTATTGTTTGGAATACCATTACTAGAGAAATAAACAAGAGGAAAAACCTGTTGATTAAAATAAAACACAGGAGGTTCTTTCTTTAATGGGTACACACTTTTTAACATTAGTTTCTGTAATTGTGCATTGTTGCATGATTAAATGATTTTATCTGAAAGGTATATTTTTATATCTCTAGTAAGGTTATTTCACAGAAGACATAAACATCACTAACAATATTCATGAATATGAAAGGCTGCATATCAGGTATAAAAATACTATCATCTTTGCTTAACTGCTTACGGAGATATGATTTGTAAGTACTGATCATAGGAAGACTTTGTTTTTTACTTACTAGTTGCCAATTACAAAGCAACTTCATGAGATTTGGGCTATTTGATATCTACAGGAACACCCCTGGCCCAATCTTATGACTCATCAGTACTTAGAAATCTTGGTGCCTGACAATTGCCATGAAGGAAATGTACTTTCAACCAAGTTACTCATTGCCAAAGTACCTAACCATTTATTCCAGTGAATATGGCTCAAGACAATATTTTATCATTTGCATCAGTAGTATTAAAAGACACTTAAATATTTTAATCATTATATATATTGATCCTGATATTTAAACTGTGCATTGTTTATTTTACCCAATTTTGTGGTATAATATATTTCAAATAACTTTTACCACTACCCAATTTTACATTCTACTTATTTTTGAAAGTTCATTTTTTCTTAACTATTTTTATATGGATTTTTTAATATATGGTTTTGTAACTTAATCTAAATTTTCTCAGATTTCTTTTTTTTTCTATTTCCCAATAAACAGGATATTAAAATGATGCTTCTCTGGAGCTAGGCATTACAGTGTCTGTTGTGAATAGCTCTTCCAGCTTTTAGAGAAAGTGAAAATGCATATTTTATCTATAACTGTTGAGTATTTTGAACACCTTAGTAATTGTGAATGAATCAGTTTTATAACTGGGGACTTTTGTTTTTAATAATATTTTGTTATTAACAATATTTTCATATCATATTATGCTCTATATCAGTAGAAAAGCAGGACTTGGCACACTTAACAGTATATCCTCAAAAACTTTGGATTTGTTGTTGAAATGAGACAAGTTCTTCATTTCACAGAGCAAGTAAAATGGAAAGTTTGGCCAATTGTTTGAAAAATTTAGGCCTGAAATACTGATATTTCAACTGCTATATATATGGTTTAAATTACTAAAACCATCTATTTGCTGAACACATTGTTAGGCAATTGCTTAACTTTTTACTTCTATTTGCTTGTGTAGGCACAGCCTGCAGCAATGGACAAATTTTTAATCAGCCTTTGAATATTACTTTTTCAGTTGCTCTCCTTGACCTGTATTTTGTTTTCATCTTTAGTATAAAGTATATTTTATGATAAATATAAAAGCCTGTTTTCTCTTTTAAGATATTAATAAAACATTTGTTCTTTCTCAACCCATTTTTTTTTTGTTAAAAATGGAAATTTTACAGTTCTTTGAATCCAGGTAAATTTATGGAGCTCTTCCTTTAAAAACTGAATATGCAGTCATGTCTTCATTATTGAAAGTGATTCATCATATGATTTAACCTTCTGTACCGACTAAGTAAAACTTATTTTCTGTCAAGTTTATTTACCACCTGACTCCATTTTCTCATTACCCCTCACTCCTAAATCCAATTCAATTTAGTGTCCCTCCTAGACTCTCAACTAAATTTTTATAATGATGAAATAATTCTGAATGCCAACCATAAGACCCTGTTTTCCAGTGCTTAGTTTCCATCACCGCTGCAGAATTTGACACTGTTTGCTAATGCCTCATTCTAGAAGCCCTAGCCTCCTTTATTATAGGTGAACTTTCTGCTACAGATTTACTCATGATTCATCTTATATAACTCCACTAGGAGATCCTCCTTGTAGGAGAGGCATTCCTTGGAGTTCCTTGCTAGGCTTCTTCCATCTTTAATCTTTTCTGGTAACAGAAAATAGACTTTAATGGAATTACAGTAAAATTGCTCTCTGGATCAATCTAGAACAAGTCCATCTGGCTTCCTACAAGATAATATTTCAAATATTTGAGTCTACCTATTGTCCTTCTTGGTCTTCCCTTTCCTAGGCAAAACTCAACAATTCTTTTCTTCTCTTTAAGTTTTGATCTGCAAATATTTCTATGTACTGGGCTCTCTCCATCCTGTATAAAGTCTTCTACACAAACGTTATTTGACAACAATACCTTAAAATATTCTCCCCATCAAAAATTTTATGCTAGACAAAATGATCTGGATAAATTTATTGAAAGCTGACAATTGAGTGCCTACTAAGTGCCACACATGAGTACCACAAATTCACCAAGTCCAGAAATAAACTTGTCATTTACTTTTTAAGTCTATGCTTTGCTCTTATTTTCTTTGTTTTGATTAATAAAAACACTATATTTACACTTGTCCGAGCTTAATAGTGTAGAGTCATCTTTGATGCCTCTCTCTCCTTGGGCCCACTACTTTCCAAATCCTATCCCTCCTACTTTTCTAAATATCTTTCCAACCTCTACCCTCTTTCATACATCTACTCCCTAGTGGAGACCCTCATTGCTTCTCACCTGAACCATTTCTTTCCCGTGATGCTCTCTCCCTCAAAATTATGTCTATTTCAGTCTCATCATCAAGCCACTCAGCCTTTAAGCAAATAGATTTCAAACTCTTAGCCTGACAGTCAACATATTTCACAATTTGGCTCCAACCTACCTTTCCAACGCTTTGTTTCCCATACTCCCCCTTGCCTGTACCAAATTGCTCACTGTGCTCTGAAAAAATCCAGTATTTTTCTGCCTTCATATTTATTGTCATGCTTTTTTCTTCTTCACAGATTTGAATCATTCTGTCTCTCAAGACTCAGTTCAAATACAATCTCTTGCAAGAAAAACTTTCCTGATCCCTCAATGGGTGATATCTTGATTTCATCTAAACTTGTTTATCCTTTTTGGATCTTCTTTTTTTTCACCAAGATGTTGAAGATAGTATCAACACTATGTGGGTGTTGTGGGAATAAAATAAAATATGTAAAGCAGTATTTGATACACAGTAGATTTTAAATACAAGTTGGCTTCCTCTTCCTTTTTTATTGCTTTTGTAGAAGCCTATGTTGTTGTTTCTTTCCTTGTGTGTACATGGCTCTTCTCCCTTACTAGTTGGAATCCCTTTAAGTAGAGGAGTGCATGTCTACTAGAGCATACTAGCAACCCAATAAATATGTTTCAATGAAAGTATAGTGAATATATGCAGTGTTACTTTATATGTGGCCTGACACATTATAATAATGTTATTACTTTCTATCATTTGCACCCCTATTCAATTTAAGACATTTGCTTTTATAAGCCACCACCTCATATCTTTGGCTCAGGCTAACTTGACTAATTGCAGCTTACAGATTTATTTTACATGAATTGCCAAGTCATTATCTCCCCTGTTTGGATTTGGTGCATCTCCTTCCCTCCCACTTAAACAAAGGGCTTTAGAAGTGTTTCTATTAAATTTTATGTTCTAGCTTCAACCCAGAATTCTAGGCATCAGAATTGTCTTGAGTGTTTTTTCCATGTGCTATCATATTTCAGCCACACTTTGTCAAATTTAATAAGCTTCACTTCAATATCTTCAACTTAGTCACTGTTCAAAAACACTGAAAACATGCGTAGATTAAAGTGAAACCTTTGTAATACCACACTGGAGACCCACGTCCATGATTATAGAACCCGATATTTATTAGGGTAGTTCAGATCTATGAATCTACATAAAAACACTATTATCCAGGCATATCTCATATCTTCCCCACAAAGATATCATGGGAGACTGTTAAATGCATTGCCAAAATAACTAAACCATGTCCATGCTATTTCTCTGATTCATCATATTAGTAGCAAACTTTTGAAAAGGAAGTGAATTGGCATTACCTATTAAACTCATGTTAACTTTTAATGACTTCTTAAATATTGACAAATTACTTGTTAAATAATTAATTATGGGTTTGCAACAAAGATCAATTCCGAGTTGCCAATATATAATTTTTACAATTCCCCCTTACTCCTCTTGAAAATTGAGACATTTGTCCATGTCCTTACCTCTGGCAGCTTTTTCATGGTCTGTAATTTCTCAAAAGTCTTGAAAGTATATCTCCAAGTTATAAATTGTCTGAAAATGAGATTTTTAACTCATTTAATGTAGCTAAACATTATTCTACTGAAGTATTATCCGCTTACATTGTTTGATTTTTTTTTTTTTTCATTTCTAAAGCCCATTCTATATTGGTTAAAAAGACAGAAGTAGATTAAGTAGTTCTGCCTTTTTTTGTTGTTTGATAGCATTAAACCATCTTGTACAAATAAAGGGCTTAATCTTATATTGGTCTATCTCTTGATCTGAACATATGGTATGTGAAACCCTTCCACCTCAAAGCCTTTGTAAAGGCTGTTTCCACAAATTTCAAATCTATTCTTCCAAATATTTTCATGGTTCCCTTCTAGACATCATTCAGGGCAAATATTGTCTCCTTAGGGAAGCCTTTGCTGACCTCTTTAACTAAAGGAGTGCTGCTTATCCACCATCATTCTCTTTCTACTTAACGTGCTTTGCTTTCTTTCATAGCCTTTATGACTATGAGTACCTGGTATAATATATAGATATGGATATATAGAGATAGATATTTTTAAATAATTGTGTCTGTCTTCACCACTGGATGTAACCCTCAGTTTGGCAGGTGCACATTGTTATCTAGTTCACCACTGTACTCTAGTACCAAGAAAAGTACTGACATCTAACAGATACTCAATATACATTTGGTTAATGAATAAATTAAAATATTATTATATGTTACCTTAAGTTCATTTAGCTCTTTAGATTTCTTAACAGCATTCTGACAGTTTTTGGTCACTTCTCAGCATTTTCCCTAGTTATACTGCATTGCTGCTATATTTGTACCAATAATAGAGACACAGAGTGCTTATAAATTATGTTTAAAGCCATGAAATAGCCATTCATCTATTCCTCCAAGGTAGTATAAAAATGGTGACTTTGTTTATTCAGTAACAGTGACTCTGCATATCTACTCATTCTTTATGCCCTTACCTGATTCCAAAAGCCTTTGAAGTATCTTACAATACCTTCTTAGTTAAGGGTAACAGTCAAGTAATGTAGAGGGCAGGCACAGAGGAAGAAGGAGTAATTATACCAGAAATCTTAAGCTAACCAATGTCACTACAGTTGAATACAAAATTTAACCCTGTACTTCCTGGCACAAACTAATGCCAAAATATAAGATGGCTATATACCTTTCCTTAGAAAACAAAAGGAAACTCCCAAGGTTGTTAGGAAAGATCTGTTTTCTCCACATTTGAATACTAAAAATGATGTAAGTCTGAGAATGCTAAGTAAATTTGATAGAAAAGAACAAAAACACTGAACTCTGAAAGAGCTACTGAGTTTTTATACTTATTTTCAAATCCAATTTTTGAAATCAAATAAAAATTTTCTTTTTCATTTTAACTAAATGTATTTGCATGCTTTTTGGATATCTAAAAACTAGAGTTTTGTACAAAACTTTATTTGAAGGACTTTATTCCTCAAAAAATATATTCTTCAAAATATTTAGTTTAATTCAATTAAAATATGTATTGAATACCTACAGTGTGCTGGGAACTGTGATCACTATGTGAGAAGTAATTATTTTCCATTTAAAAATGATAAATAACTCATTAATTTACATATCATCTAAGGCTCTAGGAACAAAGTATTATTCGCTGTATGATGGACATATTATATTCTAAAGTATAAAAGGATTTTGTTTGTCTAACTAGGAAGATGCCTTGTTTTAAACTAATAGTAACAAATGACAAGAATGTTTTATTGCTGCCTCTAAAAAATGCCTCTTTTTGCTGGTTTGTTTTGTTGGTTAGTAGGTTTTAAGAAAAATAAGAGCGTAGTGGATTAATCACTGGTTAAGAGCCAACAGACTTCACTCTTCCAACAATCAGCTATGATACTGTGTCTGTGTCTACATTATGCATTTTCAAAACACCTAAATAAATTTAGCTAACATCATAACTATAATCAGTTTAGGCTACTGCTAGATGATAACAAAAAGAACTAGTTGAAAAATGAACAGATCATTAAAACTGCCCAGGTGCTTTAACTTTTGTGATGTCAATTGTTAAAGGTTGGGTCCTCCAGAAGCCAGTCTCTGAGACAGAAGTTAGTTTGCTGAATTTTTATTGAGGACTGTCCTTGGGCTCAGCACCCATGGAAGAGTGGGGAATTAAACAGGAGTGGCCAGAAATTGAACTGTGCTATAGACCCAATGACAGTCTCTGCTGACCCCATCTAGAACTCTGAAGCTAAAATAGATTTTAGAGTTGACCCCCTTTGATACAAGATGGCCACACCTTTATACTATTATATAATCAATGATTGAGTATGGTCTTCCCTGGGAAGGGCCACGACTTTGGGTGAAGCAGCTCTCTGCAATCGAGGCAATCAGTGAAAGGGGCTGACAGCTGAAGACTGTTTGCTGCCAACATTCTTTGTTGCTGGGCAATAAGTCCTTCACTGAAGGAAATCTATTGGGAAACCACAGCGTCCATCCATAAACCATGTTTATTGCCTCCTCTTACCCACATATCCCCTGAAATATCCACATGTTGTAGCCCAGCAAGTTTATGCTCTAGTAAAAAACTAAATGAACAAGTTAGTTGGCTGAATCATCTCCTTGGTCCAACATCTCTATAGAGAAACATCCTGCTATTCAGTTTCTCCTTCCATTAAATAAATGATCCAGTGAGTATATGGATCTTAACAAATGATTTTTAATTGACAAAAGCAAGAAAATTAGACATTTAGTCAGCAAAAGAAGTTCCAGTTAAGTCTCAGAGTCATTGGAGATTCAATCCAGTCCTCTGTGCCTTTTACAGGATAAATACTACAACAAGAACTCAATCTTCAGGAAGATCATTCTCAGCCAATAAGTGTCCCTATGTTTAAAAAACTAAAGTCTTCTCACTATACTATATTGATTAGGACAAAAAATGACTTAGTGGAAAGAAACTCAACAGGGGTTTGAACAATATTTTTTCCCTTTACTAAACAAAAAAATCAAACAATGAACATAAGCCATAATTATTGAATATTTCTACCACTTAAGGTTTGAGGATAGAGCTTTTTTGTAATCTAAATCATTATAAAACAAAATATTGATTGATATTAGTTGGTGTATTATTTGCAGAATAACTTTGAAAGCTACAAGTCCTGCTTTTCTTACTCTCTTTCTTCATTCCTTACCTCCCATCCTTTATTCTGTCTCAGTTGTTTCCTGAAAATTAGGTCCAAACAAATCTCAAGGGTCAGTAATTTTAATACATATAAGTCTTAAAAATTATCAGAAAAAGCAACAATAAAAAAGAAAATACCAACAGTCTATTATTCGCAGTTATTGGATGAAAAGCTATTTGGTGACAGTCCTCTTAAAAAAGGTGGCTGTACATTAGTAATTATTTGATTAATTAAATTTATCTTTATTTGTAATTAATTCATTTAACTAACTTAAGACATCAAATGGGAAAAAAACCTATTTTGTTTCAGTTGAACATATACTTTCTGAATGCTTTAGTGGTAGTTTTAGAATCTCAGCACAATAGGGACTTAGGAGTGGAAATCTTGTTGGGAGGGAGACTGGGGAGCTTGTCTTGAAGTTGAATTTGCAGAGAAAGCATGCTGTTTAACTTGGATTTTATGTTTACTTAGAGTGTTCTGAAGGCTAATGGAGATGGTGGGGAGGTGGCTAATGGCCATAGCCACTGCTGCTTATTACTTGCAAGCTGCTCTGTTGGGCACTGCCTGCATTAATGTAATTTTAAAAACATAATTCCTCTCTTTAAGAAATTGACACAGTGTATCCAGTGGTAGTGAAGAAAAAAAATGTAAATACATACATATAAAACCTAAGGGGATGAAAAGAAAGAAGTCATTATATCTGTTTAAAAGGATCAGAATCTATATCAGTCAAAATGGCACTGGAAATAGACCTTGAAGTATGGACTTTAAACAGCTTGAGCAGCTTACATGCTATGATTGTTTATATTATCTACCTACACGTGCAAATATGAGGTGAAAATTAGATGACAATTCAGATCAAAGAAGCAGCTATCTAACTGTCTAGCAATGAATCAAAAGATTTTAGGGCTGATAATTTGAATATTCACCTTCATACTTGATTTATTTAGAGTATGTGGGCACAGTCTTATGTGTCCGCAAAGGAAATTCTTTAATTACAACATTTAGAAGTAGCATCTCCAATGCTAATTTGATTCCAATCTGTATCTGATGATGCTTTCAAACATCTTTTGTGAGTTAAGTCAAGAAGGTTTGAAAAACGTCAGATTTTATTAAGCAACAACCTACCCAATACCATACAAGGGTAAAACTAAACTGAGTCCAATTTTGTACCTAGGCAAAGAGTTGATTCCAGAAGGAACTGTGAAGAGCCACAACAATGTGCCAGTGAATAATGAGTAGTACCTACTGTGGCAACTCTTCAGCTAAGATGAGTGTCAACGAAGTATCAGCTTTCTCATTGACTCTGGAGCAAAAAACTGGCTTTGCTTTTGTTGGGATTTTGTGTATCTTCTTGGGACTTCTTATTATCCGATGCTTCAAAATCCTGCTAGACCCATATAGTAGCATGCCTTCCTCTACATGGGAAGATGAAGTTGAAGAGTTTGATAAAGGGACATTTGAATATGCACTCGCGTGAGAGTTCCAGCTATATGGTTTTTATGGTTGTGCCATCGGGACACATTCTGGATACAATTGTAACTACCTTGAGGGTGTGGGAGAGAGGCTCATTTTGTTCAGTGAATTCAATAAACATCTGTGACTAATTTCTTCACCATGCTGTGTAAATGATAAACTATTGTTGGGATTCCTCACTTTCCTCTGTTCCCACTTAGAGGTTTCCAATGAATAGAGCATAAGGATGGCTGCCGCCATGTTTACCATCTTTATTCTTATCTTGAACAACTGCCTTGAATTTCTGCTTCCTTTCTTGTGCTAATAAACTGTGCCAAAGGCATCTTGCTCTCTCCCCTCTGAAAAGCCCAGGCATCCCCTCCACATTCCTGACTCAGACCCCTTTAGCTTTAGTGAGTCAGGTCTTAAACAGAGAATTTAGTCCAAAGAATAATCAAAATATTATTTGTCTAATAATAACCATAGGCCCAAAAGGTTCACAGGTGAAAAAATATCTCAAAAATCTAACACCCAAAGCCTACAAGTAGTCACAGGCCCTAAAGCTCCCCAAATTTCACAGAGCCCTGACCCTCCTATCTCTTCTGTTTGTCGAATCTCTTGCAGTAAAATCCCATAGCTTGGAATCCAAACCAGATCTGCCTCATACTGATGCTCCCTCCCCTACCCCTTGCATAAATAGAATTTAAAAGGGAGTTTCCAGCATGACCTAGTGGAAAGAGTACTCTAAGCAGAAACAAAGACAGTCTCAGCTGTGCCACCAGTAGAGCTATGCTCTAATGGGTAAGTCATCTAATCTCTGTGAGCTTCAGTGAAGAGTAGTGTTAACATCCTTTTCAATTCTAGTGCCCTATGAATGCTACAAATGTATCTGAAAACCCAGAGATCTGAAATGAATGAGGATTTAAGATATCATGAAAAGTTTTTCAGATTAGGAGCCTAAACTCAGAGATTTGAATTCTAATGTTAGCTTAGCCAAGAACTAGCTTTATGACCTAGAAAGTTACCTAAAGGGAACCTATATTGCACAACAAGAATTAAGAAACCCATCCTGCATGTCTTCAGCAATATTGAGAGGGCCAATTAGATATAATGAATGTGAAAGCATTTTGTAAACCATAAAACAGTATCTAAACATACCTTGCTATCAATATTTATTGTCCTCATCAGTAGCAGTAATAGAGATTCTCAAACCCTAAGAAGCAATGGCTTAGTGTAAATTATTCAATCTCTCTAGTATTTCATTCTCTTCAATTGAGAAATAAAAAGATAAAATTATATAGTTCTAAATTCTTTCCAACTACAAACTTCTGACTCTCTATGAGTCAGAATGGAGGAACATAGCAGGAGATAAATACAAAAATATTTATGTCCTTTGAAAACACAGAACTGCAAAACATACCATGAAGGAACAAGACTAATATTACCAAGAGGTAGCACTAAGTTAGTTACTTTCAATTTATTTGATACTCTTATAAATTCTTTGAGTTGGAGACTACTATTTCCATTTTATTTTTAATCTTAATTTTGCAGAAGAGAAACTGAAGCTAAGAGAAATTAACTAGCTTCCCAAGGTCACCATAGCTAGGGAATGGTTATGTTAGGGATTGAACTTGGGCAGTTTGATTTCTGCTGTATCCCTAGACACTGTCCTCAACACTTCTACATAGCTTATAGGCATGGTTACTGCTCAGGTCTATGGAATTCCAAAACCAGCTGTCTCTGTGAGATTCCTTGATGCTTTCCATCTCATAATAGATTTAGAACATATCTGTTATTAGCTATGGATCTTCTGGACCAAATCCTCACCTCAAGGAGGCTCTCTGTACCCCAGTTGGTTCAAGAGTGTAGGCCTGGTACACCTCATAGCCAGTTAGTAACTTGGCCCAAGAACAGGCCACTGGGCCAAGTTCAACTGAACATACTGAAAATTGTGTGTGCCAGGAAACTAGGTCTCTTTGTTGACCAAGGCTTTTAAAGTACCAGATGTTTCATTTGTCTCCCAGAGAAGACACCCACCAAGACCCTCCATTTTGATGACTAGAACAAACCAAGGCCAGATCTTTATTTCAAAGGAAGAAAGACCTCTACAACCAAGAAAACTTTATGAAATATGAGCATTGTTTCTGGAAGTTCAACTCCCATAAGCTTTTCAAGTATATTAACTCTACCATAATATTATTTCCAAATCCACTAAAGAAAAATTCTATTAACCAAAAGTGTCTTCATCTGTGGTTTTTATTTGTGGTCTATTGGGTGCCTTAGTTTTTTTGGGGGGTGGGGTGGTTTGGGGGATAGAAAAGTCAGTATCTGTATTTTCAGAAACAGAAAGAATATAAAAAATATAAAAGGCTGGTTACAACATGAAAACAACATGGAAATTTCATGAAATGTTAATTCTTCTAGGAATAGATGTTCAGTGTCACAGTTGGATCAGCCTCTAGCTTCCCCTTCCCAAAAGCCTTGTCAGAGAGGACAGAGGAAAGATAGAGGAGCATACCTCAAGATAGCTTGCTCCTGTTACCTTTCCCGCTTGTCTGAAAGGCCTAAATCGGATTCACCTTTCAAGGTTGGCTTTATGGATGGTGTTATTTCATCCATATCCCCCAAAACTGTCTCCCATTTGTTCCAGGATGCCTGAATCCCCTTAAAAGAGAACAAAGACTTTCATTTCACAGTGAGAGATAAAAGGCTTAGAATGAAAATGTCTGGTTGATATAAGACCAAGACTAAAACAAATTCATACCACTCTGAAGTCAGGCAGTCAGTCAGCAAGAAAAAGGAAATTGACTGGTATCAGAGGTATTCACAGTCATTGGTAGAGGAAAAAGGTTGTAGAGTAAATAAGTGGCTCCAAAAAGGGTTGGAGGATGCCAGCTTATGGCTCCTGTCCTGGTCTGGTGAATAGAACTTATTTTGGGTGCCAGCCCCATCCTAGCTGTTCTTTGTCTTGATCTAAACAACCAGCCCCACCCAGCTGAATTTGAAATCGGACACTCCTATGCCAAAACACTTTCTATATGAGGAATCAGAACCCTTTGTTGAACAGATAAATGCCTTGTACTGGTGACCTTTAAGAGTGGAATGAGTTATAGGTATATACTTGTAATTCTGTCTCTATTTCTGATATAGCCTCACGACATTAGCCTGACTGATTAGCATGACATTTACTTAACGAAGAGGATCTAAAGGGTTTTACTTAGGTGTCTCTAGACACTTCTATAATCCTGTATCAGTTCACTAACTTACCTTTACACTTATTTTTTATAGACAAAATATCTATCCCAATCTCTAATGATTCACCTCACAATCTTGTATGTGCTAAGTAAAAATCCCCAGCTAATTGTAAATAGCGCTAAAATAGTGAAAGCAAGCACTAGGTACAAATTGTTGCTGTTCTAAACCCCATACACAAACTAACTCATTTATTCCTCAAAATAACTCTACAACAAGGTAGGTACAATTATAATCCACAACTGCATTTGCAGATGAGAAAATTAAGGCACAGAAAGATTGAGTAACTTGACTGAGTTCACACAGACAGCAAGTGGCAGGGCCACGACATAAGTTGGGCCTTCTGACTTGAGTCTTGCTCCTAGCCACTATATTACACCACAACCGAGCTACTCAGACAACTGGAAATCACTTAAATCGTTTCTTATAAGAAACAAAGAGGACTCATTCAATCATCCTGATTGATAATCAGTGACAGACTTGAGGGAGGAATTGTTTGCAGTGTTAATAATCACCTACTTGCAGATCTGAAAAAGAAAAACCTTTTCCTCAACAAAACTCAAAAACTGAGTTGGACAAAAAAATGTTTTTCTAGTTGGAGACAGAAAGGTCATTTAGTAGTGCCACTGAGATGCTTACCCACAGTTTGGTTCCTGCTTAAAACAGTTTTCCCTGCTGGGCGCGGTGGCTCACACCTGTAATCTTGACACTTTGGGAGGCTGTGCCGGGCAGATTACCTGAGGTCTGGAGTTCAAGATCAGCCTGGTCAACCTGGTGAAACCCCATCTCTACTAAAATTACAAAAAAATTTAGCCAGGCGTGGTGGTGGGCGCCTGTAATCCCAGCTACTCAGGTGGCCGAGGCAGGAGAATCACTTGAACCTGGGAGACAGAAGTTGCAGTGAGCTGAGATTGCACCAGTGCACTGCAACCTGGGCAACAGAGCGAGACTCCATCTCAAAAAAAAAAAATTTTCCCATATTTCCCAAAATAGAAATATTTTCAATAAATCATTGATTCCACTCTTAATCTGCTTACTTCCCATGCAAAAGAGTCAAGGTAATGTCTACTACAAGCAAGATAAAATCATTTCAGACACTACTTTCTAGTTACAGAGTATAGAAATTGTCTCTGGAGAACTATATTTTGATACACATGCTAAACAATAGGAGGTCACTAGGACTCATCTGTAAGACGGTGGAACTCAATTTATCTATTCCCAAATGACTAATGGCAATGCTCATATTTTTTGGACAATTGCTGTTAAGGGATCCAATTCTCCTTATGAATTAAAGAAACTCTATGTTACTTCCTGTCTAAAAGGATTAATGGTTTACTACTAGTTACCAGTTGATGTGGTACTTAAGTTTCCTCAGGGCTAATGACCTGGTGGGGCTTACAGTACTATTCCAGGCCAATCATTGCACAGTCATCTCTTTCAAGAAAGTTTCTAACCAATAAGCAGAAGCCTAACTTTCTGGCTGAAAGCTAAGTGTCCCATATATTCCTGGGTGACGCTGAAGCAGGTTACATTTCCTCAGAAGAAGGCTCCTTGGTGGTAAGTTGAACATTTCTGGGCAGGGTAAAAATCATACTTAATATTATGTCATAAAGTAGATTCTGAGGAGTAGGTGAGGGTGTCAAGGACTATGAAGAGAAGTGTTTTGTAAAAACTAAAACGATAATAGCTTCATTTATAATTTCCCCAGGAAAGGTTACTTGAGAAATGAAGTTGAGGGTTTTTTTAATTCAAATACACAGCTTTAATAACTGCATGAGAGAGACAAGTTTTTATTTATATTTATCTCATTTTTCTAGAACTTCCCTTGAAAAGCCAAATTTTAAGGTATCAATAAGGAAATATAATTCTAAAGCAAGTGTTTTAAGACAGGCCAGTACTATGAAATTGCGAAAATTATTGTGAAGTCTATTCACCTCACAGTCAAATATAAACCTCTCAATTATTGAAGACATTTCATTAAAATGAGTCAGTAGAGCATGATTATTTTACCTAAACATAGCAGAGGACTTTTTTAAGGTATATGACTTATTTCTTATAGATATATGACTTATTTCTATATTCATATTTTTTTAAGGTTTCATGTTAGTATTTGCAAAACAAACAAATGTATGAGCAAATGAAACATTTGGATCTTGTAAAAGATCTAAGAATTCACAGAGACATCATCTTGATGGGATGTATTTTTTAAATGCATATTCTAAAACATAATTTTTTACTTGTTGCATAGGTAACAAAATTTGGAATTTATAAGTTGAACATGTACAGATTTTTATAAACTAGCAAGAATATATTTTTTAGAAGTTTTGTTTTTCATTTTATATGTTGTATAGTATATATTCCTAACAATCAAAATACTTTGCAGTTTCAGCATTTAGTACTGTCAGTGAACTGTGTCTTAGGCTGAGAATATTCTCATCAGCTCTTACTGTATTCAATAAGTAAAGTTACATCTTTTCTAAAGTCACAGTGAACTCCAGTGCACTGAATTCAAGCAAATACTACAAACACAGGTAACATTTTAATGACTGCATTGGAAGTTCTGTTTGCTGGAACAGTTTTCCAGTTATTTATTATCAGATTTAATTACTCACATGACTAAGGTTCCTGGACAGATAAATTTTAGTGAAATGAGTTTAAAATTGTATGTCTTGTAAAATAAAACTGTTCCCTTATATCCCACCCTTACCTAAATATATTTGTATTACTTGGAACAAGTTTAATTTTCTTTTTCAATGACAGCTTTGAAGAACATCCTGAAGATTATATCGGAGACAATATATCAAGAATCTATTTATTGAATCATCTAGAACAAAAGCCAGGAGCTCCCTAATGGAAGCACATTAGTGTTTATTTTGATGAAGAAATATATAGATTTTTTAAAACAACCACAAAGTAGATAGCTCAGTAAAAAATCAATTTTGGAAGATGTCACTGAACAACTCTTCCAATGTATTTCTGGATTCAGTGCCCAGTAATACCAATCGCTTTCAAGTTAGTGTCATAAATGAGAACCATGAGAGCAGTGCAGCTGCAGATGACAATACTGACCCACCACATTATGAAGAAACCTCTTTTGGGGATGAAGCTCAGAAAAGACTCAGAATCAGCTTTAGGCCTGGGAATCAGGAGTGCTATGACAATTTCCTCCAAAGTGGAGAAACTGCTAAAACAGATGCCAGTTTTCACGCTTATGATTCTCACACAAACACATACTATCTACAAACTTTTGGCCACAACACCATGGATGCCGTTCCCAAGATAGAGTACTATCGTAACACCGGCAGCATCAGTGGGCCCAAGGTCAACCGACCCAGCCTGCTTGAGATTCACGAGCAACTCGCAAAGGTAAGCTTGAAGGACACAAGCAAGTCTCCTCCCTTATTCATAACTTCAGATAATTTCCTTCTCTTTCATTACACTATGAATGAATGTGAAACAGTCAAATGGAGAGGTCTATTCCAAACACTATCCATCTTACTTACAAAACTGTCCCTAGTTCCCAGAAAAGTGTTTCACAGATGCTTTTTCTTTGGATTTTTTTTTTTCTTGAGACAAAGTCTTGCTCTGTCACCCAGCCTGAAGTGTGGTGGACACTGCAGCTTTGAACTCCTGGGCTCAAACAATCCTCCCACCTCAACCTCCTGAGTAGCTGGGACTGCAGGCATGCACCACCACACCTGACTAACTTTTTTATTTTTTGTAGAGACAGGGTCTTGCTATGTTGCTCAAGCTGGTCTCGAACTCCTGACTTAAAGGGATCCTCCCACCTTGGCCTCCCAAAGAGATGGGATTGCAGGCATGAGCCACTGTGCCCAGCTCCACAAATGTTTTCTGACTTAGGATAGAGAACTAAAGAATTAACTCTAAATGTTAGGCAATATGTTGTACCTTGTATATGATTATAGTCCACTCAATTCACACTTGGTTAAACACGTCAAACTGAATACCAAGCTGGTTTCACGTCAGTATTAATGTCTCTATGTCAATCGTATAAAAAGCAAAACACTTGTGCTTGCTGTAGTTAATACTGTGGGTGACAGCCTTTAGTGTGTAGGGGTATTTTTTATATTCTTTAAAGAAAGGGCAGAGATTTATAAGATTCAGCATTTTATCCCTTCCTCTTTAAAACTTTGCCTGAGGCTCCTGAATGTGCTTAAGCATATAAAAATAACTAAATTAAAGTACAGAAGCAGCAGAAGTGACTAAACTTTTCATTATTTAAGAAATACAGCCAGGGTTCCCAAGTCTGTTAGAAGTGAGGCAGCACTTTTCCCAATCTTTTTTGAGACGAAGTATCGCTCTTGTTGCCCGGGCTGGAGTGCAATGGTGCGATCTCGGCTCACCGCAACCTCCACCTCCTGGGTTCAAGCGATTCTTCTGCCTCAGCCCCCTGAGTAGCTGGGATTACAGGCATGTGCCACCACCACACTCAGCTAATTTTTTTGTATTTTTAGTAAAGATGGGGTTTCTCCATGTTGGTCAGGCTGGTCTTGAACTCCCAACCTCAGGTGATCTGCCCACCTCAGCCTCCCAAAGTGCTGGGATTACAGGTGTGAGCCACCATGCCCGGCCTCCAATCTTAGAACTTAGTAGATTTCTTCTTCCATAACTTTCTCCAAAATATACTGATCACCTTTATCTTCCTGCTCTTCCAGACCAGTTTGGAATAAATATCATTCTTTATAAAACACAATTACCTGCTAAAAAGAATGATTAGATGTCACATATTCAAATGAGTTTACTCTTGCCCAAGTTTTGAGGAGAAGAAAATGATTCAAACAGTTCCTTTTGTATGCATTCATCCATTCGTTCCTTCAATATTTTTTTAAATGATCATCCACACCCGAGAGTCTAGGAATACTACTCTCAGGAAAGATGCTAATAAAGGGGAAAATCTTTCTTTAGTTTCTGCTCACCTTTCCTTCCACAAGAAAATCCATCTCCAAATCGTATTTGCCTTGGCTGCTAGGGTCCCTGACTCTGGGTCCTACCACCAGAGACCAAGTGACTTCCTGAGGAGGAGCCCATGTTTTTAATTTTGTTTCCTTGTCCCCTTTCCCCACCAAAACTTGCTAGTCCTGTGTACTAAATCGGCAACAGTCTGCCAAATGGCTGGTTTCCTTATAGACCTAAGATTTAGATTTTATCTGGCATATTTGATGCTTTAATCAAAAGAAGTTAGCAATGCGACAATTTCAGACAACATGGTAGCCCCCATGAAGAATTTTGAGAAGGGAGGCAATTTGAACTGTTGAAATCCAGCTGCGGTGTCACTGTCCTTTTCTGTGTCAAGAAAGGAAAGGAAAATGGCAGAGAGAAAAAGGAGAAGAGAAAGGAAAAGAAGGTTGACAGAAGCAGCCCCCAGGAGTTTCCAAGACATGGAAAGGGCAGAAACAAATTTAGGGCATTATAAAAAGATATTTCAATTGTTTCTGAAGAATTAAAATGAATCAAAGTTCTTTTTTAAAAAGACCTGAAATTCTATCCCACAATACTCTACCACGTCACACATGATAATTTTTAAATCTGCCTCCTTTTTTAAAGTTAGTGTCACAATTTAAATATTATCATTCACCTACTTCCCCAATTTACAACAAAAGAAAATAGAATTCTAACTTCATTAAAAAAGAAATGGGATAAATTCACATTGTTCTTAGGACTGACATTCCCGACAGAGAAAAGTAGCTTATTTATAATTGCAAAAGCCATGGCTTATGTAAATCTTTCAATAAAGGGAGAAAAGCTCTGAAGGAACAGGTGTTTAGAAAGCCATCTAAAGCCTGGGTGTGGTGGCTCATGCCTGTAATCCTAGCACTTTGGGAGGCTGAGGCTGGTGGATCACCTGAGGTCAAAAATTCAAGACCAGCCATGACCAACTGGTGAAATCTCTTCTCTACTTAAAAAAAAAAAAAAAAAAAAAATTAGCCAGGCATGGTGGCACATGCTTGTAATCCTGGCCCTGGGAGACTGAGGCAGGAGAATTGCTTGAACCTGAGAGGCAGAGGTTGCGGTGAGCTGAGATAGTGCCACTGCACTCCAGTCTGGGCAACAGGAGTGAAACTCCATCTCAAAAAAAAAAAGAAACAGAAAGCCATCTAAATGACCACACAGTAGGAATGTTATAGCTGCATTAGATAAATGTAATAGCTGTTTGGAATATTGTATCACTTTTGAAGACATAAAATGAAACTAAAGACTGAACTTCGACTTAAAGCATTTTTTTTCTTAGACACAAAGGAATGGCAAATTAAAATATTAAAAATTAGGCCTAAGCTCTGAATAATCATTTTGAAAGTGTATAGTAATAAGCTACTCTTTTACAGACTTGATGCTCAGTTATCTAGGACCCTTCATCTTGATTAAATCATGAAGAGGTATCCACATAGCCAAATTGGGAGTAGAATTCAGATTCAACCACAGAATCTACAATGTGCACATTTCTGCAGCCAGGCCCATTCTAGTGTTGCTGAAATTGTATGGCCTAGCCTGGCTCTCCATGTGTAGCAGTCTGGGCCTTCTTTAATTTATCTTTTTATTGCTTGCTAATGAATTTGACTCAGCTACTCTCCTTACTTTTCCCCCCTCAAATATAAGAAGTGAAAACCTGCAATGTGCTGTAGCTGTGCTGCCACCTCCTTGTGGCCCTTGACATTTTTATGGTAGTTCCTCAAATCACAACTAGAAATCATCAACAGAACAAACATTATGTGATTATACTCAGACCCTTCACAGATTTTGTATGCAAAAAATATAAATAATAGTGTTTACTTAAATCATTTAAAAGTAGAAGGTAATTGACACAGTACAAGCTAGACAATACTTTTTGTAACTATGATTAGAATGCTTTTAAAAGTTATAATAGCAATAGCACATTCATACCGAATGGCAGAACATGGTTAGTCAGAAAACCAGTTGGATTTTGCGTAAATTTTGGTTATAATTTCCAAGTGAGAAAAAAGTTACATGACAAAATTATACTAATAGGTAAAATAAAAAACAGGTTTGAAAGACATTATTTTAAGGCTCTACCTTAAATGAAACTCTAGTTGTGATAGATATTGACAGAATTTATAATCCCAATGACTTGAGATCGTAATTGAAGAAATTCTTTTTATTATCTATGTTAGTAAAGAGCTAAATACCTATACTGGTGACCGTTAATTATAAATTTCTGAAAACTCTACTTAAAAGCAGGAGAAACAACTGTCCTTTACTTGCTCTCTACAAGCTATTGTATGAACTACATAACTTCTACTTATCTTGCAAGATGCTTGTGAACATTAGTTTCTATAAGTATAAAGTCTACCCTTACAATGAGTAAGAATTCAATAAATGATCGATGATGATAGTGGTAATTTTTATACTAGCTTTTTATTTTAACAGAAAAATAAATACAAATAAAATATTTAACAAATACTAAAAAATATGTAATAAAATGTTTCTCTTCTAACATCAATATTCAGTTATTCTCTCCAGGACAATCATTACTAACAGTTTCTTGTAAATCCTTCCAGAAATGTTCTAGGCTTATATAAACATACACATATATCTATAAATATCTGGATTCCTATCAATCTAACTTTCTGTTTATATTTATTTTCAAACATGTACCAGACGTATTTTCCACATTGTTCTGCACTCTGCAGTTTTTACCAAACATACCCTCGAGATCTTTCCGTATTAAAGCATATGTAATAATTATTTGACATCTGGCAAAGATTAATCTAGTGCCTTTACTTTGTAAAGAGAATTTTGCTTTCAGTATCCAGCCTAATTCCTGTGACCAACTTTTCATATCCAATTCCTTACTACAGGACTAACCAAAATGGAACTCCTTTTCAGCCTTACTAACCACCATTGTTGTTAGCATTTCAGAAAAATATAATTTAAAAGGATTCAAGGAAATATATAGACTTTCTATCGAAGCCATGTGTCATTGAAATAAGCTATCTATGAAAAGTATAAAATACTATAAAATTAAGACAAATATTATTCTTAAAGAAGCTAACTCTATAGAAACTAATCCAAAAAAAAATCAATGAAATGACTATATTTGGATCATTATGCTGTTAACAACTACAAATAATTCGTAAATAAAAGCATTAACTTTAAATGCAGTGTAGTAATAACCAACTTTTTGTTGAGAACTTGTTATGTTTCAGACACTGTGCTCACACTTAAAAAATTCTCACTCAATCCTTAACAACAACCCCTCAAGGAAGGTACTATTATTATTGCTTTTTTATGGATGGTGAAAGTTTTATAAAATGCTGTGGATCTTTTAGAAGAGAAAACAAAGGCTTGCAAAAGTCAATGAACTTCCAAGGTCAAGAAACCAAGGTCACATGCTCATAAGTTGAACCCATGTCTGCAGGACTCCAGAGTCCTTGATCTTCAGTTCTACTTTCCATCCTCAGTCTGCTTTCCCTTGGCACTTTTCATTAACTCATTCAACAGCTGTAGAGAATGGTGGGACTCAGGCACGAAGAAGAAAATCACACTCTGTCATGATGGGCTGAGCAGGAGGTACTTCCTTGTTTCAGTCCTTTTTTCTGAGACTGTGACAAAAGATTGTATTGCTTGTCCTACAGAATTAATTATGTCTCAATCATTTTCATTGTCACCATCAAAAGCATTTATTAAGCATGTATTTACAAGAGTTTCTGTGTAAAGTGAGTTAAAGTGACTTGACCTCTTTCCTCTAGAATTTTTTTTTTTTTTTTTTTTGAGACGGGATCTCGCTCTGTCACCCGGGCTAGAGTGCCGCGGCGCAATCTTGGCTCACTGCAAGCTCTGCCTCCCGGGTTCACACCATTCTCCTGCCTCAGCCTCCTGAGTAGCTGGGACTACAGGCGCCCGCCAGCATGCCCGGCTAATTTTGTTTTGTTTTGTTTTTTGTTTTGTATTTTTAGTAGAGACAGGGTTTCACCGTGTTAGCCAGGAT
Source organism: Homo sapiens (assembly GCF_000001405.40). NCBI lineage: Eukaryota > Metazoa > Chordata > Mammalia > Primates > Hominidae > Homo > Homo sapiens. The sequence continues at coordinate 48,213,739 of NC_000015.10, forward strand.
GGTCTCGATCTCCTGACCTCGTGATCCGCCCACCTCAACCTCCCAAAGTGCTGGGACTACAGGTGTGAGCCACCACACCCAGCCTCCTCTAGAATTTTATAAGTCAAACGACATCGTTATGGATACGAATAAAGGAAATGTAGTCAAGTTAACAAACATTAAACCACATAAATCAATGTATTAAAATATACATTAAATGCTTATCTTCTATAAAAGGACAAAAATGTACGAATGTTTTCTCTAGAAAATAACCTTTTCTACAGTGTTTCAAAGTTCAAATTTGCAACTTTAGCATTCAAATTGGGGATATCTGAAATTAGAAATAATTACTAAGCTAACAACAGCCAAATAAAATAGACATTAAAATTGAAGCAATAAATGCCTTAAAGTCCAGTGACCAGAAGCCACCCTTAAAATATTTGTTGGAGTGAACCTCTGCAACTAAGAGTTCATTCTGATACTTTAGTTAGAGTTTCTTAGTACTCAGGGCCAGTTCCCCGGGGAGCTCACACTATTAAAACAATCTCTGGGAAAAAAAACAAAAACAAAAACAATTAATTTTTTATTATAAATAGTTTAGTAATACATGGCAAGAAGAGCAGTAGTTCCCTTAAACTTATACTTGGAAAATATTAAGAACCTTTCCATTTTCTTTTTCATATGCCAGTTTATTGCACATAGCTAACTTTTGTCCTAAATTATCAAAAACACAAGTCAATTTGTGTGTGAGATATGTGTTTTCAGCTATAGTAAATGCACTATGATTACAAATTGTGACCATTGGTAGTGATTTATAGGCATAATGTGTAATAACTTTCAAAACAAGAAAAAAAGACTTTCATTTTCATAATTTAAAATATTGCCTTTTATCACAAAGGGATAGAAATGTATAAACATAATAATATTGATCAGTAAGGTATGGAAATATGGTTAGAATCATATGTTTTTCATTCTGAAATGAAGCTTAGGAATCATCTGGTTCTTACTGGGATTGGTTTTTAGATAATTGAGTGGCAGGAGTGGGAGGGGCTTAGGTTAGGTGGAACAAGTTTGGCCATATGTTGATCATTGTTGAAACTCAATAATGAGTACCTGAGATTTATTTTGTTATTCTCATTACTTTTACATATGTTTGAATATGACAATAATAAAAGAAAGTTTAAAACAACAGGGGGATCATCTAGGTGTGAATATTTATGGAACTGTCTCTCGGTGGTGGTCTAAAAATTCTATCAACCTGAGATTAAAGGATCAAAATTCAAAAGAATGTATAAGTAGCAAATATTATCTAGTTGGAACTTAAAGAATAAATATATTTATTTTCCCTGCTTTGATGATAGACATAAAGATGTAAGTAACAAATAGTATCTAGCTGGAACTTAAAGAACAAATATATTTATTTTCCTCAGCTTTGATAATAGCTATAAAGGTATCTGATATGTTTCTGGGGTCTGAAAAATCACATTACATATTAAATAAAATAATTTAATCTTTCATTATCAAGAACTCATTGCCCTTTAAACTGCATGTGATTGAAGATTCATTAGTTGTCAAAATTGGAGTGGGGATAATCTGTTATCAAGTGGTCTTCCTTTCTTTTCATTTTTTAAACATACTTTATTTTACTTTTCCTGAATCCTTAACACACAGTTAAAATTCTTAGTAAATAAATAATCATTCCCTAAAGCTACATAATTTAGAATACATTTATAAAAGGTTATGGGTCATCATTTATGGTAATGGGAGTGTGAACAAACAAATTAATTCAATGTATGAAGGGAAAAACTGGTTTCAGGCAGTAATCATAAAACTTTTAGTCTTTGAGACTTTGGCCTCAAGAACATGAACCAGCTGGGAGACTGCAGGCCACCTGCTACACAGCTCATAGCCATCAAGTCCCCACAAACCCTCCACCCAAAGTCATGTTCAGTACTTTGATGATGAGTTTACAACTGCTGTTCTGATTTACTAAGGAGGCATTTATTAAAGAGTGAAACAAAGGTTTGCTTTGCCATGTCAGAACTGTAAGATGGCAAACAGAGAAAAACAATTTTGCCTTAGAGTAAATTACTTCAAGATAAGATTTTCACAAAATCCACTGGATTTATTCTTATTGGCAGTATTCAAGCACGGTTAAACACCTTGATGGAGGACGTACCCTGAATGAATTGCACAACCAAAACTAGATTCCAAGTATCCTAGTTTATACGGTGCAGGATTTTTTGGCTCCTACATGAGAGTAAGCAATGGAAATGGCTTCTGTGCTTGTAAATTTACTGTCAGACCTTAATAGTCAACAAAAGAAGTATACATTTGGGGTTTTTTTCCCCTCTATGGTATAAATATATTTAAAACTTTGAAATTCTAGCAGGTTGAACATATTATTAATACCTAAGGGAGAGTTGAACACCCTACATTGACTACACCTTTGAATAATTTAGAAAATGATTGCTTTACTAACTTGCACATATAGTGGTTTCCCTGTCATCCTCTCATAGAATATTCTTTTTGCATCATATTGTGAAATCCTAGTGATAAATTGAAGAACCATTAAACTGTGACCAGGAAGGGCATCCATCAGGAAGGAAAGTTCATTTTAGAGGAAATTTTAAATACCCTATTCATCCTTTAGCCTACTTTGTAAGATTTGTTTACAGTCTTGGATATTCTCATCAATTCATATCTAAGGGTCACAATCACCATTGGAGTTTATCAGCTAGCAGAGCAATTTCCCAGACCAAATCTTCAAGTTTAATCAGAAAACATAGGTTTTATTCCCAAGACCATCTTTAAAAAAGGCAAGCAACTAAGGCTGTGTCTCTTGGGATCCCCAATTAATCTACACAAAGAAAATTGCCCTCTCCCAAAGTGAGTAACTACTGATGGTCTGGCTATGGGATTTTGATTAACTAGAATATTGACAATTTTTTTTAAAGTTTTTCTCAAATCAAACTAAATAAATAGATCTCCTAACAAAATAATCCCTTCAATAGTCATGGACATTTTAACACATTCCTCAATTCCCTGCTCTCATTGATTATACATTTCAGTTATGAAAAAAATGAAAGTTACATTTGACCTATTCAGCTGCCGTATGTGTATAGAATTCTTTCAGAGAAAAACAGAATTTTTAATGGACTGGAAAACAGCCTCAAATGTTTCATGCATCTGAAATTGACTGCATTGCATAGACCTATGCTGTCCAATATGGTAGCCACTAACCACATGGGGCTATTGAGCACTTGGAACATGGCTAGTCCAAATTGAGATGTACTGCCAGTGGAAAATACACACTGAATATCAAAGACTTAGTATTAAAAACAGAATGTAAAATATTTCCTAATATTTTTATACTGATTATATATTGAAGTAATATTTTATAGATATTCTATTAAGTAAAATACATTACTAAAACACTCCTGTGATTCAGTTCCCTACAAGTTGGGGTGCAACTATTGCTAATAAATACTTATATTGCAAATATTAGAAATATGATATTCTCCAAAGATTAAGTATATCTTTAAAATGTAAGGGTCCATCTCTAAACCTAATTACTGCACCAATTTCTTTTTCCTTTTTAAAAAGTAGAAAATTTTGAATTACATACTTGGTTTGCATTTATAGCTGGTATAGATGACCAGTTTCTGCCCCACTATGTTAGCCTCAATTTTTTGGACTGCGTTTATTCTTACATTGGTGTGAATACATTATGTTAGCTTTCAATTATTTGTGCAAATAAGGACTGAGGATATCTAAGATTAACATATTCCTCAGGTAATTAAAAGCTAAATTTTAATTATTAACTTCAATCTCCTCTGTTATTCCATTTTTTCCCAATACTGTCAGAAAATAATAAAATAATCTGTCTTAGGATTCAGTCCCTTCTTCTTCCCTTTTAAATGTGACCTACCCAGAAGAAACAATAAGAAATGAGCTGTCCCATAGAGATGGAAGATAAAAGAAGTAGGAGGCAAGAATGGATAAGAAACTAGGATATCTGCTCTTAAGGGGTAGAGATCACGAACTTTCAAGTCCACCTTCTGAATTCAACATTGTTTTGTTATTGTTGTTTTTGTTTGTTTGTTTGAGATAGGGTCTCACTCTGTCACCCAGGCTGGAATGCAGTGGCACAACTGTGGTTCACTGCAGCCTTGACCTCCCTAGCTCAAGCAATCCTCCCACTTCAGCCTCCCAAGTAGATGGGACTAGAGGTGCATGCCACCACACGCAGGTAATTTTTTTTCTATTTTCTGTAGAGATAGGGTTTAGCCATGTTGCCTAGGCTGGTCTCAAACTTCTGGGCTCAAGCAATCCTCCTGCCTCAGCCTTCCAAAGTACTGGGATTACAGGCATGAGCCACTGCACCTGGCTGATTCAGCATTGTTTATTGATGGCCTGCTACATGCCAAGCCTTTGGCTGGTACTGAGAAAAAGTAACCCACAATTTAGAATCATCCTATAATAATGGTAATTAAGTGCTGAATCTTTCTCTGATTCACTTGTCACACAATGACTCTTATGACTCTGTATTATGCTGCTTATCCAAGTGTCACAATAGTATCATGAACAAGGTCTCAAGAAAGAAGAGTTTGAGGAGAAATCCTTACAAAGACAAAGAAAATGCACTCACCTCGGGAAGGAAAAGCAAATAAATAAAAAGACAAGGAGAAGAACAGGCTAGAAGAAGAAGACAAGAAGTCAAAGTCACTTGGAGTATAGAGGCCAAATGAGGGCAGTTTACCATGGGTAAGCTATACCTTAGCCCAAAGAAGCAAGAGCCTTTGAGTATGGCAAGGGCAAGAGCTTCAATCATCCTAAAATGAAACTTTGATAATAAATATGGATGTTTATTTCACACCAGCTCCATTTTAGAGGAAGAAAAAATGGTTTTATCTAAGACTTCTTAACTAGTGATATCAGAACATATCATCCTAGGCTTAAACCAGTTTAGACCACTTAAATAAGATATAGTCATTCTATAATCGTGGTAATTGAGGGCTCAATCTCAGAGCCTTCCCCAGTGGTTTCAAAATCTTTCCTAGAAAAGAAAACTGTTTTCAGAGCTCAAAGAAGTACAGTCTACACAAAGGGCCTGGTAAAAGCCAGATAAGCTAAATTAAGTAAGTGCATCTGAAATTATTCAAACCCATATCTTAAAGAGAAATTATAGATAGAGAACTATTCTCAATTTGACAGAAAAAGAGCTGTTTCCTGCCCTCTTGAGCTCAGATACTATTGTAATGAGAATGGAAGTCTTTTTCAAAATGAGGCCACAGGAAAAAACCATATAAAAGTTTAAACCCTTATTTATACTACCAACTTCTTATTTCTACTCAACTAGTAATCAGTTATGAAACTTCTTATCTTCTATAAGATACTAGCATATTCAACAATTCTCAGGCAAAGGCATAACGGAATCTCAAAGAAACTTCTACAGGAATAACATTCTTGTCATCATCCAGTGCATTTAAACTTTTGTGGAATACTTTAAACTTTATTGTTTTGTTTTCTTAGAAAACTTGTCGGCCGGGTGTGGTGGCTCATGCCTGTAATCTCAGCACTTTGGGAGGCCAAGGTGGGCCTTCAGGTCAAGAGGGTCATGAGGTCAAGAGATCAGGACCATCCTGGCCAACAAGGTGAAGCCCCGTCTCTACTAAAAATACAAAAAGTACCTTGGCGTGGTGGTGCACCCCTGTAGTCCCAGCTACTCTAGAGGTTGAGGCAGGAGAATGACTTGAATCCAGGAGGTGGAGGTTGCAGTGAGCCGAGTTCATACCACTGCATTCCAGCCTGGGTGACAGAGCAAGACTCTGTCAAAGAGAAGGAAAGAAAGAAAGATGAAAAAAGAAAGATGAAAGAAAGAAAGAAAGAGAGAGAGAAGGAAAGAAAAAGAAAGAAAGAAAAAGTAAGGAAGAAAGAAGGAAAGAAAGAAAGACAGAAAACATGTCTATGTGTCTTTCATTGAATTCTCTTAAAGATCCTCTGAGGTGTGTAGAGAAGTTTTATCATCATGATTTTAAATGAATAAAATAGGACGGGCGCGGTGGCTCACACCTCTAATCCTAGCACTTTGGGAGGCCGAGGCAGGCGGATTGCCTGGGCTCAGGAGCTCGAGACCAGCCTGGGCAACATGGCAAAAGTCTGTCTCTACAAAAAATACAAAAAATTAGCTGGGTGTGGTGGTGCGCGCCTGTAATCCCAGCTACTAAAAATACAAAAAATTAGCTGAGTGTGGTGGTGTGTGCCTGTAATCCCAGCTACTCGGGAGGCTAAGGCACAAGAATTGCCTTAACCCGGGAGGCACAGGTTGCAGTGAGCCAAGATTGTGCCACTGCACTCCAGCCTGAGTGACACAGCAAGACTCTGCCTCAAAAAAAAAAAAAAAAAAAAAGGTAGATAGATAGATAGATAGATAGATAGATAGATAGATAGATAGATAGATAGATAAAATGAAGTACAGGGAGTTTCACCAAAAGAAGCACAGATCCTCTACTTAGCTCAGGAAGTTTCTCTTTTTGGTCGTAACATGACTTCCAAAGACCCTTATTTACTCTGGCTGTCCCTTCCTTGTAGCCCTTCTCTCTTTTGTTTCTCTTATGTGCTAAACTTATCCAAATCTGACTTTTCACCAGAAGAAATATTCTCACTAGTGGAAGAACATCTCAGGTTCCCTTCACCCAGCCCTAAAAAACACTTTAAAATGACTCACAAAATGAACCTTTCAGCTTCCAGGGCAAAAAATATAAGTTTCATTAAAATTCTCAGAATATATTTAGTTTGGGGGTTTTTTGGTATTTTAAGTTTTATTTCAATTGTTTTGATTTGCTTTGAAAAGTTTCATGGAACCCTTTGTTCATTGACCAACTACTGTGTTTTTGCTATCTATAAAATGCAGAATGTGGCAGTCACCCCAAGTTCAGCTGACAGAGTTGCTAACGGTGATGGGATACCTGGAGATGAACAAGCTGAAAATAAGGAAGATGATCAAGCTGGTGTTGTGAAGTTTGGATGGGTGAAAGGTGTGCTGGTGAGAAAGCTCTTCTGTTTACAAATGAAAACTATCCATTCAATGTTCTAGTGGATTAAGAGTGAACAAGGCCTGGGCACAGCTTTATGAAGAGCCCCGGGTTTTGTCCCACTATCGTTTGTCCTGTCTCCTTTCAATACCGCTTCTATCCACAGGTAAGATGCATGCTGAACATCTGGGGAGTCATGCTCTTCATTCGCCTCTCCTGGATTGTTGGAGAAGCTGGAATTGGTAAGCATTTTTCCCCTCCTAAATAATTTTGCATGTAAATCATAAATTCAATAAGCAATCTTTTTTCACCATTAATACTGAATGTGAGATGAAGGTCACAGAAATAATTTACAGTTGGGCTCCTTTTACTTTGCTTCTTTGACGATGTTTGTCAGAAAGCAAAGGTGAAGAGTTAACTCCTATGAAACTGGAATTTTCCAGCTTGCCAAACAGGTGAATGCTCAAGGAGATCTCTCTCTTTTGATAGAGTTTTAGGTACACAGACATATAATAGCATGTTAATTTTAGATAATAATATTTGTATTGGGGGACATATTGACATTTGCCTCTCATTTGTTACAGAGTATCCTTCTTGGCATGATTGGTAAAACTTCACTGAACAAAAATAACTTGTGAGAAAACTGGTGAAAATGTGACCTGACTAATAAAAATGCTGAATTGTTGAACTTTTTCCAAAGAAAATAATTGTGTTACTTTCGGGTACCAGCAGTAAGAAAACAAAGGTTAATCAAATATTGCCAGATACAAGCTTTAAGTGAAAGATGAAATGACTAAGATAATATGTGCATTACTGTTATTTTTTTCTAAATGAAAAATGGATAATAATGACATTATTTTGAGTGGTTGTTTAATGTTTTAAATATTACATTCTATTTTAAATATTATTTCTTCTAGCAAATCTTTTTTGTTGAAAGTATATTAGTAAAGTTTTTATGAAAAATCTAATTGAATTGTATTAAAGTTCCCCATTTAATGAGATAAAAATTAATAATGTTCTATTCCATATATGGGAAATACATTATGAATTCACTTTCCGGAGAAGACTTAGTCTCAGGAATATGGAAGTTCTATTGTGCTTTCAGATAGCACTCCAGAAGGTATCTCAATTCACATTTTAAAAGGTAGTTGGTCATTATTTATTGGCTTTGCTCTTCAAAACACATTCAGCATCACCGGAAGACTAACTCAAAAAAGAAAGGGCTAAGCTGTAAATTGAAAAAATGGAGCCAGTTCCCATAGTTTTTCCATGTTTCATGTTTGGCAACTGCTGGGTTCCTGACAGAGGGCTGCTTGCCGGTTTTATGATGCATAACAAATGAATGCTCACAGCCGCAGGGTCCAAAATAAGTATATGCCGTTCCATGGAAAATCTGCATCTTAATATTGCCAAGGTTTTGCTCCAGGGTTTCATGCAAAATTAGGTTTTTAAGGGTAGTTTTAGTAACTTATTGAGATCATCAAGAAACATTACTTTGTTTGGAGGTGTGAGAGTAGCCAAGGGCAAGAGTAATTCTTTTTAACGCAACTTATTTAACATCCATACGTTTGGGCAATAATCTGAACTTTAATCAGATCTTACATTACTCTTCACAGTCAACCCAGTATTGAGTTTCTTGCAAAACTGTAGAGAATGAAGAATCCTATCTTCTGCTAAACAGTTTATTATGCTATCATATTAAAATATTAAAATAAAATTAATATTATTTTAATAAAGATCTTTATATTGAAGTAGTTAAATTATATATTAGAAGAGAGTAAAATTCTACCTAGTAAGTGTTCAATGGATTTTCCTTTGAATGGAGGTTTGTGTTTTTCTTTTCGTTTCTTTTCTTTTTTTAATTCTCGGAAGACAGACTTTAGTGAGTACTAGAAACTTATTGTCAACCTTACTCAGTTTTACTGGCCTTTGCTATGAACCTAAAACTTAATGAGTTAAGTCACCATCTGGGTCCCATTTGGGTTTTCCTTATTGGGGAAGAAAAGAAACAAACACATCTATTTGTTCTTGCTTTGGGGGTAGATTGAGGAAGAAATCTGAATACATTTTCAAGCCCAGACCCTGGGAATAGAGCCAGAAGGAATCTGGAGCCAGGAGTAACAGTAGCTACAGCCCTTGGGTAACCATTCTGGGCTACGAGTTTTGGCTGTCTTGTTCCCAAAAGCAAAGGGCTGAATGAGCTGCTAATGCTGTCTAGTTGTTCTTCTCTATCTTGGAGACCTTGCTGGGGCAAGATGGTTTCCAATAAATTTAACCATCAAGCAAGGAAGTTAGGTGTGAAAGCCGGTATGACCTGAAGCAAGTCACTTACATTCGGTGTTTCCCTTTCTTTTCTAAATATTAAGGAGCAGGTTAATTCCTACCCAATGAATTCTTTGAAGATAAAGCTAAAGTACCTTTCTGAACAGGCAGACACAAGTTGAAATAGGCTGAGGGTAGCTTAGTTGTCTTACTGAGGGATGCATAAGAATTATCTGGGAAGTTAGGTTAGGAAACTGCAGAATCCTGGGATTTACTTTTAAAGATCCAAATTCAGTAGGTCTGAGCATTTTTAATAAGCACCCCAGGCATTTCCTGAAGCAGGTGGTTCAAGAACCACAATTTCAGAAAACAATGAACTGAATGTTCTCCAAGCTGCCTTCTACCCTGGGATTTTATGTTTGATTATGAGAGAGAAGCAAATCCCTTGCTGTTCAAAAGTATAAAACTTTGTTCCAAGATTTCAAATGGTTTGGAGAAATATATACAATGCAAAAGGATGAATTAAGAATTGTTGAAAAAACTAGAGTCAAAAGGAAAATAACAGTGAGGAAATAATAAGGTTGGAGTAGGTTTAGTGTTATGAAATGCAAATTATATGGTCCTGTAGAGTTTCTGGGGTATGCTAAACATTTTCTATCAAGCTTCTTCAAAACAAAGTCAGGAGCAAAACAAGTGCAGAATAAATCACCTTTAGTGGCACAAGGACCTGAAGCCACATAGTGATACAGAGGCACTGCTCACCACAGTATCCCTGCAATAGATATGAAGAATTTGGTCCAACTATTTTTTACAACCCCAAGCTTTTAAGAGTCTACAGGGTCTAAAGCAATATGGTCCAAGTTTGCAGCCTGTGCTTAGTTAGCTTCTTCCCACTCCACCTTAACCTGCAAAAAAGCCTAGAGGCTGCTGTTAGAGACAGGGTATGGCCAAGAGCTTCAAAAGAACCAGCCTTTAATACCTTGACTCATTCCCACTGCTGCCCTTAACCTCCTTCCACTTTCCCTTCTCCTTGAGCATGGCCAGAGAGATCACAGCCTCTCGTGGCTGACTACCCTTCTAACCATACTTGGAACGAGAGAGCCTGCCAACAACTATGGAGCATTCACTTTACATAGGGGAGCTTACCAAACAGCCCAGACCAGAGCATTCTGGATGGAGCCAGGGTGAGTTCAGTGGCTGTGACTCCACAGCCCTCTCCCTGAATTCTGGGTCGGCCTCCATTAGAGAGGGTATTGTAGGAGAGGAAAAACAGTTATCTTCTACCCATCTTAGGTTCATTGGCTGGGGGCCTATAAATTAGATTGACAAAAGTCAGATCAATAAGAGAAAAACAGAATTTATTAACATGTACATGGTACATACACATGGGACCACTCAGTGATGAGTGACTTAAAGGGTTGCTTAGAACATGGGCTTATATATCATCTTAACAACAGAACAATTAAATCGTAGAGAGGTGATAAGACAAAGGAAAAGGACTTTTCATTCATAGGGTGGCAAATGCTGCCAAGGTAAATATATAAGGAAAGGAATGGAAGATAAGAGCTTGTCAGCAAAGCTTGTTGTGTAGATGCCTGTGGTGCCTTTGTCAGGCTGATAAGCATCCAAAATTGTCTCTGGTAATCAGAGACATCACTTTCTGGTAGAGAGGGGAGGGAGGACAAATTTATGTCCCGTTTTTAGGTAAATAGGAAGGGATCGAGAGCTTTTCTTGTATCTACTTTTTTTCGGTTGTCTCAGCTCCAAATAATCCTTATGCCAGAGTGATATATTCTGATACCCTTTTGTAGACTCCTGGCTATGTGTTTCTTGAAGCTGAAAGCAGTCACGGCTTCGTTGAATTCTGGCCTCTACCACTTTCTCCCTCTCTTTATAATCATCAACCTTCTGAACCATAAAATCCTTGGGGCAGCTTTTTAAATTTCATTTTATTTGTGTCTTGTGTTTCTTACATTACCTGCCACATAGCTGGATATATAGTAGGTTTTTAAAAAGCAGTAAGTATTATAACTACTGTGAATATGATCAAAAAGCAATATCATTGAGTGTGTACTGTGTTCCATGTGCTATGCTAGCCATTTTACACATGCATTCTTTCTAATTTCATTGCTATTTTTGGCTCAGTTATTTATTTATTTGAGGTGACTTATCATAATAAGCAACTTTCCAGAATTCACACGGTCAACAAGTTAATGTAATTTAATTTCATTCTTTCCACTTTACCCATCTGCCAGATGAATAATTTGCTATACTGTATGTAGTTCTCCACCTCTATGTGACCAAATGTACATAAAAAGATAGTAACCTGGAAGGATGAACATTTAATCTCTAGTTATCTTGACAGCTTGGAATTGTAGGCCAATTATCATGTTTATAGGTGTCTATAACTTCTCCAAAGATGGAATTCTGTCAGGTGCAATAGTGCAAGCCTGTAGTCCCAGCTACTTGGGAGGCTGAGGTAGGAGGATGACTTGAGGCCAGGAGTTTGAGACCAGCCTGGAAAAAATAGCAAGACTGTCTCTAAAAATAATAATAATAATAAGATGGGGTGCACATTAAATTTTGACCAGCCCTAGTGGCTTTGTTTTGTACAACTTAGTTCTGCACATTTTAGCTCTTAAGTTTCTTGGAACCAGAGCTACTACAAGCAGAAAACTTCAAAGCTAAGCATTTACTCCATGGTGATTTCCTAGCCAACTTGTTAAACTCAAATGTGGTCCTTTGATGTTTACCCTAGACTTGCTGGTTTTTATGTAAATGATCCAATGAATTCTTCCACCATTTAATACCTTTATTTTTCCTCTTTCAACTGAGGTCTTGGTGTGATTATCATCGGCTTAGCCGTGACAGTGACTGGTATCACTGGTTTATCCACCTCTGCTATTGCCACAAATGGATGTGTCAGAGGAGGTAATTAAACTTGTGACCCGCACCATCATTTGTAAGGTAAAGGCAACACAGGCTCTAACAGTTCACCACTGACCTTTCTGGAGTGTTTTCAAAGGTAATGCAAGTTGGTTTCTTTTCCCCCATCAGGCAAAGAGATGCAAGAAAAATGGGGAAGGATTTAACCTTTGTCAAACCCCCAACTTTCTCATTCCAGTTCCTTCAAGCAAGAAAGAAGGTCAAATGTCATGTTTTCTCTTTTCACAGCCAGGATAGTTTCTCTCCCAGGACACCAGCATAAGTCAACTTTTCCTTTCCAAGTCTGCACTTTCGATTGTGTTTACTTTTGGAAACCATCCTTCATCATAATGAGCAGTTCTCTGACTTGGTCTTTATGCCAGGCAAACCAGTTTCTCCTTAGCACAAAGAAACCCCGTTGGAGCCCGAGGCATGGACCTGAAAACTTAAGTTAAAGGCAGTGTAGTTTGCAGCAATAGGGAATCCAAGGAAGAAAAGTAAAATGCAATATCTTCTATCTTTCATTGCTAACAGGTCTTGGAGTTCTCATAATTCTTCTTTCCACCATGGTAACTTCTATTACTGGGTTGTCAACTTCTGCGATAGCAACTAACGGGTTTGTTCGTGGAGGTAAAATCTCTAAGATATCTAATGCCCTCATCACTTGCTACGGGTAGGCGAACAATTTTTTATACTTCTTTTTGATGGGAACAAGGAAGTAGCCCGATGTTCTTGAAGCCTGGCTATTTGGAGGAGCTGGATGCCAAAGAAAACCTAAGGTACGATGAGAATAGTCCAGGTCTACTCTGGTCTCTTTTCTAATGGATCTCTCTGGCACATTGTAGGTTATGCCTTACAGATGTGCACCTTCCTTAGGTAAACTTTTTCTTTTTCAGGCTAGTCTGCACACCTCTAGCTGATGTTCCTTGGAAACTGATTCCAGATTTGGCTTCTGTTTTAACGTTTAGTACATTTCAGGTGCTTCCTAGACCTTCATGAAATGGGATCTTTTAGAACATTTCAGGTTTTCACAGGGAGGTGGATCTTTCTGTGACAAGATTCAGACTGCTGCCTCCTGAAGTACTGGTGACTTCTCTCAGTACTGGAACCAAACACCTTTCTTGGGGGATTTTGCAGGTCTTGGAGTCATCATCATTGGCCTAAGTGTGGTAGTAACGACACTCACAGGTATTTCTATGTCTGCTATTTGCACGAATGGAGTAGTAAGAGGAGGTAAGCCAATTAATTTACTTATGACTAGAGGCTTGGTTACTAGTAATGTCTGGAGTTAATTTACTATTGGAAGTGAAAGTAACATATTGCTAATTAGTCCCCAGTGTCCTAAACAAAATAACCCAAAATTTAAACAGCAAAGCAAAATTTTTCTCAACTAAAATTGGAATATCTTCATTGACATGACCCATTTCTTGTAACAAAACATGTTTATAAAGTGGAGAGTGACTATGTGTCTAGTAAGAAGGTATGGAATATTATAGCAAAATATATGGTTTCTTTGTACCTTGGATGAGACCCACTGGCTCTCTCGCAGGTCCTCTCAGCATGGGTCTTCTCCAATGCCCCAGATGGCATTGCTGATGATTGCCACTCAGTAAACCACTCCTGCACCCAGGCCTCGGGGCTCACCCCAAACGCTGTGCTCCCAATGACCAACAGGCAAGGGAAGATCATTAGAAGGGAATAAACAAATAAATAAGCAAAGAGTTACTTTCAAATAATCTAGGAGTAGGCAGGCCTAGGCAGAAAGTGAAATGGATGAAATGTATTGTTGTTCTGTCTTCCTTTGTTCCCCCTCCCCTTCCCCTTTGGTTTCTCTGGTTCTCTACTTCGGCACCTTATCCAGGTCTTCCTACTCAGGGCCTTCTAAAACATCCTGCCCACAACACACTTCCACTCTCAACTTCTGCCTGTCTCTCATGTTGATCCAGCCCACCTAGGTAACTGACTAGCTCATTTGTTTAAGGTGATCTGTATAAAGGAAATAATGGGGATTTGCTCCACCCAGACAATATGCTACATTTTTAGACAGGACTTTGACCCCTGAGCCCAAAAGAGTTACTATAGTGAAAGAAATTTCTCTCAGCAAAAAGTAATTTTGTTTTGTCTTTAGGTATGTTGGTTTGTCATTGCTGTGCCAACTCTGCCTACCTCCAAAGCCAGCTCTGTATAGGAAGTCATAATCTTACTATGGTCTGTGATAATCAGACCTCCTAACATCTAGTGCTTTTCACCTTCAATAAGCTGCCCTAGGTACCCTTTTGGCATTTGACCAATCTAGTTCAATCCTTCATATGCACAGAAGTATGCAACTATATATAATTAATAGAACTATTTTTTCAATGTCCAAGGGAGAAGTAATTGTTCCAGACCCTCCCCACTTTTCTTCCCACTTGCAACTCCCAAACACTGTGCTCTCAGTGGCCAACAGGCAAGGGACCTACTTGTCACACCCATACATATATGGGTATTTAGGAATAATCGTGCCTTCTTGAGCTAAAAACATAGAAAACCAAGTTTGATTTATCGAATGAATAATACATCATACTCTATAGATATCTTGTTTTATGCAGCACATATATATCAGAAAATTTTACGTATGTACCTATATATGTTTTGTATATATATGTTTATATATATATATCATGCCTTCTTTCACTAAAAACATAGAAAAGCAAGTTTGATTTAAAGAATGGATAATACAGATATCTTATTTTATGCAGCACATATATATTAGGAAATTGTATATATGTACATATATCTATATATGTGTAAATATATATTTTACATATATACACAACAGAAAGGAAGTTAGAAAAACAAAGATAAACTTCAACTACTTCATTTTCTACCTAGACTTTCCTACTCCTGGAAATTTTTTATATAAAATTTTACTTCAGTTGCATTATTAATTTGAATACTCCAATGATATTTTTATAAAGACAACGCATTTTTTGTAAATTTTGCTGTGTTCTTTTTTGTAGCTTTTTTACATTTATGTTTTAATAGAGTGGGCTTTATTAAGTCAGGATACTTCTATTGTAGATTAAGTACAGAGTACCAAGAAGGGCTAAGTTATTCACTGGGTAACACAGGATTCCTAAAATTACTGGGAAGTTGTAATACTGTTATTGAAATAATTCACACTGTAAATGTTCTCAGATAGTCACAATCGTTTGGTTATATAAACTAGCAGTTCCTCAATGTGAAGTATGTTCATTTCTTGTTTCAGGTGGGGCCTACTATCTTATTTCCAGAAGTTTAGGGCCCGAGTTCGGTGGGTCAATAGGCCTGATCTTTGCTTTTGCTAATGCAGTGGCTGTTGCTATGTATGTGGTGGGATTTGCTGAGACTGTAGTAGATCTTCTTAAGGTAATTAAAAGCTTTTCTTTTTTTCTGCCAAGCAGCATAATTTAGTTTAGTTTGCCTTCTCAGGGCACTAAGGGATATCATTACAGCTAAATGAGAGGAAAAAAGTTAAATATAGTGGAAGGAGCCTGGGCTTGGCATCAGAAGATCTGGCTTTGAGTCCAGGTTCTCGCACTTACCAGCCAAGAAAGTTTGGATTAGTTCCTCTATTCTTCCGAACTTTGTTTTCCAAATCTATAATATGGGCTAATAATACTGTTATATGTATTTCACAGAAGTGTGGCACAGATCAAATGAAATAATGTACACAAAATATTGTGTAAAATATGCAACATCAGATAAATAATGGATATTGCTGTCAACAGTAGTACTATGATTATGGTTATAGATTTCTAAAAGGAAAGAAAGTTTAAAAATTAAAATAATTCACTCCAGAAAACTAGCCATTTCCTAGTTTAGGTGCCTAGTCTAGGATGTCGCATGTGCAAGCACATTCATTAGCTGATATATCAACTAATTTCTAGTCCTTTTCTCATAGTAATGATAGCATTCACTGAATTCAATTGGTAAAAGTACTTCTATTTAAAAATTAGATAAATAAATGAGCTTACAGTTCACAAGGTATATTACCTTCAAGAGATGCATTATCAGGTTTGTGTCATCTGGTCTTACATAGGACACCACTTAACTTTCAGGATTTACATTGTAAACCATCCGTTTTTATTCTGCTAGGATTCCCCTTGACACACAGAAATAACTAGTCATTCTTCTGAAATAAAACACAATATGTATATGTATACATATTTTCACTTAATACTACAACAACTTCAAAAGCTAGAATGAATCTCTAAAATGTCTAACTCCTAACCTTGACTATCAAAGGCCTATTATCACAGAAAAAAATGCTAGGTTTTTTATCTTCATAAATGTATGAATACTCCATTTTTCTATTATCCTATATGGCCCCAGGTGTAATTGTATAGTATCTCTTTTTACTGTTAAATGCTGCAATAAGACTCACATGCAAAAAGCTGTATCTCTAAGCACTTAATAATTTGTTTCCCCAGGAGAGTGATTCGATGATGGTGGATCCAACCAATGACATCCGGATTATAGGCTCCATCACAGTGGTGATTCTTCTAGGAATTTCAGTAGCTGGAATGGAATGGGAGGCAAAGGTAAATTTCTCAAAAATGATATTATCAACAGTGGCTGGTCAGGTCCTGAACAAATTGCAGGAGTAGAGGGAACTCCATATTCAAAAGGAATTGCTGTTATTACCTGCTATGGTGAAATGAGCAGGCAAGTGCTAGGTGGAACACCAAGCCTGCAAAGCACGAAGCCCAGGCAGTCATGATTCAGGGCTCACGAGTCACATGACTGCCGTATTTTGTCTCTCTGTGCTGTCACCAAGGCGGCTGCCTTATGCACAGACCCCTTATGATCATAGCAGTGGTGCACGCTGGAAGCCTGGGTCTCTCAATCACAAACCCTGGTTCCTCTTTCAAGCTGCCTGTGGGTGCAAAAGCCCAAGAGAAATGGCAAGTGTGTTGAGAACATAAGAGAGGCAAAAACTATCATTCTCATCTGAAAGCCAGTACTTCACCAGCAAATTTAGGCACATCATAGGCTTTAGAACCAGAAAATCTCTGAGTTTAACTAGTGATAAAATGGATAGTAAATTTCCGAATGATGGGAAACATGTCTTTTGCCTCCTTTGTAATTCCCTCAAGTGACTGGTGCAATTGAAAATATTCCTACGAGCCTGTGGATGAAGTAACTAGATCTCAAGCAGTCATGAGATGTGGAAAGACAGCCAAAGCCTCCCACCTATAAGTCAATAGAAAACATTCCTACATGGCATTTATTTGTAGATTATGCATTCACACATTCAACAAAAATTAAGTTAGTGCCTACCACATGTTGAGCATTCTTCTAGGCACTGATATTCACCTGTGACCAAAACAGGCCTAATCCCTATATATGGTCTATGAAGAGATCAATAATAAGCAAGCAAATAAAGAAATAAATATAAAAAGAGAATTTGTGAAAATTAGTATCAACAGGACACTGTGATGAAAAAACACAGAACCCTACTTTAGATAACTTTATTCCCTGAGTGAGGCAATGAAGTTTAGTTAGCAGTAGAGGGTAGCATTTAAAGCTCCAGCTCTGTAGTTAGAGTGCCTGAATTTGAATCCAGCTTATATCTCTGCAGCCTTTAGTAAATTATTTAACCTCTCGGTGCTTCAGTGTCTTTACCTTTAAAATGAGGATAATAATATTGCCTACTCCATAAGGTTGTCAGTTTGTTGGTGGTATTATTTACCTAAAAGAATGCAGGGAAAGTAAATCTGCAACTGCTCTATTGTAAGCCCTCAGTGAACAGATAGCTGTTATTATTTAAATGGGCCAGGCACGGTGGCACATACCTGTAATCCCAGCACTTTGGGAGGCTGAGGCGGGCAGATCACGAGGTCAGGAGTTCGAGGCCAGCCTGGCCAACATGGTCAAACCCTGTCTCTATTAAAAATATAAAATTAGCCAGGGTGGCGTATGCCTGTAATCCCAGCTACTCAGGAGGCTGAGGCAGGAGAATTGCTTGAACCCAGGAGGTGGAGGTTGCAGTGAGCCGAGATCGTGCCATTGCATTCCAGCCTGGGCGACAGAGTGAGACTCCATCTTGGGAAAACAAAATAAAATAAAAAAACATAAAAGATTAAATTTTCAAGAAAGGCCCTCTGAGGAGGTAACTAAGACTTAAAGGATGAAAAGAAGGAAATAGCTATGCAAGAAGTAGAGTGAAGTGCTTTCCAGGTAAAGGAAACAGCATATGGCAACACCAAGCCATAAACACCTTGCAGCATTGGAGGGGCTGAAGGAAGACCATCTGACCAGTCAACTTTGCAGACTGCTTGTGCTGAGCACACAGCGGCAGCCTGACGTCAAGTGCACTGGGAATCACAGGAATTGTATTCATCATTCTGCATTCTCGAACTGCTGCAGTTAGCACTGGGAACAGAAACAACCCATAAGTGCTCTGCTGAAAACAAACAAACAAAACCCCCCTCAAGTTTATCAGTGTTAAAACTTTTGGCTTCCTTTACATTCCTGGGACAATGGTGGAAGTTACCCATCTGCTACTTAGAATGTTACAGAAATGTCACGTTCAACTGCCCAAACACGTGTGCCATTAAAAATGTGGCATATACATCCAAGTAGAATAAGACCTATTTGCATGCCATTCTAATAAGGATGCATGTATTACCTACTCTGGGTAGCAGAGACTTAACTGAAATATCAGATAGAGTCTTTCTGCAGTGGACACTTCTAACTTTTATAATTATGTAAAAAGTTGTTAAATAAATCTGATTTGGTTTCCTTTTACCTTTCCATTCCAGGCCCAAGTCATTCTTCTGGTCATTCTTCTAATTGCTATTGCAAACTTCTTCATTGGAACTGTCATTCCATCCAACAATGAGAAAAAGTCCAGAGGTTTCTTTAATTACCAAGGTACATGGAATAAATTGGTTGCTTTTCATTAAATACTTCTCCATTGCCCTCCTCATCACCATCCCCATCAACCCAACCCCAGCCTTCGGAATGCCTGGCTCCCCTTTCAAGTTACTTGTGGATGCGGAAGCCCAAAAGAAATGGGAAGTACGTTGGGGAAACATAATAGAGGCAAAAACTATCATTCTCTTCTGAAACCCAGTACTTCACCAGCAAATTTGGGCACACCATAGGTTTTAGAACCAGAAAATATATGAGTTTAACTAGTGATAACTAACTAGTGATAAAATGGATAGTACATTTCTCCAGGAAAGAGCCTGGAGTTGGATTCAGGAGACCCAAGGTTGGATCTCAACTCTGCCACTTAACAGCTGGACAGAACACCTAATGTGACTGGGTCTCAGATTTTCCTGCCAAAATGTGGGTGACAATAAGAACTTCCTGAGGGAATTTTGAGAAACAAATAAGACAGTGGATGTGAAAGTGCTTTGTAAACCTTTTGTTGTTGCTGTCAAATAGTAGAAACAGAGACACAGCTCAATTTGTTCAACCACTGCAGAGCACTAAAGTCAAACATAGTCATTTCTCTCTTCCTGCTAGACTTGTTTGCACCTTGCTTTCCCACAGCATTACCTAGTTAAGCATCACTGTCAGGCTTTCAGGCAGAAAAGACTGTAGGAGTTACTCAGTGTAGCATCCTGTGATAACATCACAGAGCATGAAATTTGACTTCTTTCTCTCCTTATTTTACTCCTTCTATCTGTTCTTGCCTTTCTTTTCCCTCTAGCTTACTCAAGAATCCACTGCTGAGTTTTTCAATGTTTCCCTTTATTATTTACTCAGTTGTCAGTATTTATTTCTTTTTGATATCACATACCTCTTTCTTCCTGATTCCTTTTCTTCATAAAGACTTTCTGGTTTGCTTTGCATGTTAATATCCTTTTCCCTTCTATTATTTTCCCTCCCTTCCCATTCCTACCATATTTTTTCTTTAAGCCTTTTTTCCTATTTTTTCATCCCAGATTCTTTTGTTCACATTTTTTTCCTCTCCTTTTCTCTTTTTTCCTTCTGTTTTTCTTCTAGGTTGTTTCCTTTTTATTTAATAATTTGGTGGCAATGTGTGGGATGGTATTATTTTATTAACAAAACTTCTCATCATAATATTCTCCCATACTGAGGATTTGGTATAAGCAGCTAAGATCTAATATCTAGGAGTAAAAAGTAAAGAGATTCATGCATTAGTAGCAAAATTGTAAAGTAGACTCACACACAAGGTTCTTCAACTACCAAAAAAGGCATAGAAAACCAGTGTGTTGATTGTTTATGGTATTTATGCATGTGAGAATGTAGTTGTGTGTGTGTGTGAATGTGTGTGGTGGTGCATTTGTGGGTATGCCAGTGTGATCATGAGAGAATTCATCTCCTCCTCTTTCAACCTTTTCTAGATGCAAAAAAGTCAGGCAGCCTGGATCTCTTTTGGCACAAAAATTGATTTTTCAGAGCTATGTCATAGAGATCTAAAACCTTATGATATATATTTTGACTTTTGGCAAATATTAACATAAAGCTCCTCAGGAGTACACCACATCTTCAAGTTCATTCCATTTAGAATATAGGAATGTGGCCGGGCGCGGTAGCTCACGCCTGTAATCCCAGCCCTTTGGGAGGTCGAGGCAGGTGGATCACCTGAGGTCAGGAGTTTGAGACCAGCCTGGCCCACATGGTGAAACCCCATCTCTACTAAAAATACAAAAAATTAGCCAGGTGTGGTGGCGGGCGCCTGTAATCCCAGCTACTTGCGGGGGCCGAGGCAGGAGAATTGCTTGGTTGCTTGAACCTGGGAGGCAGAGGTTGCAGTGAGCTGAGATCGTGCCATTGCACTCCAGCCTGGGCAACAGAGTGAGACTCTGTCTCAAAAAAAAAAAAATTAGAATATAGGAATGTATTTTCATTTAGGACTAGGGAAGCCAATGGTAACTTAATCTCCTGTACTGTGAAAAATGTCTACATCATAATTTTCTTATAATTTATGTTGCAGCATCAATATTTGCAGAAAACTTTGGGCCACGCTTCACAAAGGGTGAAGGCTTCTTCTCTGTCTTTGCCATTTTTTTCCCAGCAGCTACTGGGATTCTTGCTGGTGCCAATATCTCAGGAGATTTGGAGGTACGTTGTTTGCTCTGCTTTGCAGTCCTGGGAGTGGTGGTACACTTGGTGGGTAGCACAAGGAGCTAGAGAGGTTAGATGTGACCATATTACCCTACAGATTCAAACTGTAGGTTTCTGCAAGATTTCCTGATGATTTAAAAGTTCTCTCTTTTAATGCCAAATTTGGATTTATATTCCAGATAATTCTTCCAAAAGTCTTATTCAGTGATATCAGAAGAACAGGGTAGTGTGATAGTGTGTCATATTTCCCCAAAATAAATGTAGTTCAGTGAAAAAAATACCAGAACCACCCTTTCTCTTTTAAACCCAAATGAATAGGAATATTTTCCTGTAAAAGTAAAAAAAAAACAAAACAAAACAAAGGAAAATAATCACATTTTCACTTAGCTTCCCACTTAATTATTCTGTGTGAAGTACTGCAAAGAGCATGGTATGAGTTAGGATATGGGAATGTTATAAAAGACCAGCAATAGTGGCCTAAACAAGATGCAGGTTTTAATGCACAAAATCTAGCTCAGCTGGGCACAGTGCCACATGTCTATAGTCCCAGACACTTGGGAGGCTGAGGTGGGAGGATTGCTTGAACCCAGGAGTTTGAGGCCGGCCTGGGCAACACAGCAAGACCCTGATCTCTTTAAAAAACAAAAATAAATAAAATGTATGTATATTTCTTGATAAGTCTTGATATACTCATAAATAAATAAATAAAAATTTTATGTTAAATCATCCCGTAGGCCATCCAGTGGAATAAGAAAAGTCTGCTCCAAAAGGTAGCCCAGAAACCCAGATAACCTCTTTGTTTCACCGTTACTTTGGGGCTTGCCCTCCATCTGCAAGGTCACATTCCAGTCCATGGGAAGGGGGATAAGCATGTAGAGGGCAAGCAATTCCTAGAACTTGCATGTATCGCTCCTGCTGACATTCCATAGGCCAGAATTTAGCCTTGTGGCCTTACCTGGTTGCAAAGGAGGGCGGGAAATGTAGTCTGTATCTGGGCAGCCACATGCCCAGATAAAATTTTAGGGGGTCCTAGTATTAAAAGGAGGAAAGTGAGGACATATATCGGGGACAATAAGCCATTTCTAACACACACACACACACACACACACACACACACACACACACACGCAAAGTAGAAGACACAGGTTTTACCACAACAAATTATTATCAACTTTGGAAGACAAGAAATATTTTCAAGACTCATTAAGAAATATACATACATGAAAAACATATGCATTGTCCAGCGGGAAGTGAAATGAAAATACTGAACAAATAATTGTTAAGTTAATCAGGGATGATTTTCTCAAGGAAATAATTTTTGAACCTGAGCATAAAGCAAAGTCTGGATGCTGGCTATTAATGAAGAAATATAGAGTATTCCAGGCAGAGAGGATAGTCAGGCATAGGGAAACTGGGGACAGTGAGAAGTCTCTTACAGTTCAACTGGAGAAACCCTGATGGGGCTCAATCACCTTGAAGGCAAAGGGAAACGGCTGTTAGAGGGACTTGAGCCAGAGGTGCTTGCCCTAGAATATAACTCCATGAAAGTAGAGAGTTTGCCTTTGATTTTGTTCATTGCTGTATCCTCAAAGCTAGTAAGGCCTCAATAAATACTAATTGAGTAAATAAATAAAGGCATTTAGATTTTTATATTAGGGGCCACAGTGCTATGGTAAATTCTCCAGCAGAAATATGGCATAAAAATATTATGCTGAAGTGCAGAAAAGTTAAGAAACTTGTTCAAAATGATTCAAATAGTATCACTGCTGAATGAAATTTAGCTGTGGATGTTGAACTTCTGGTTTGTCAGCTCTGGAAGAGTATCAGAGGTCACTGATTTAAATTTCTGCAAATTATAAGCACACCTTTAAATTAAAGAATATTGCTCTTTCTTTAGACTCCTTAAAAACAAGTTTGTATCAGATGTATAGCAGTCAGTTCCGCTTAGCTGGCCCTCACTGAGTGCCTGTTCACACCAGGCACTGAGGAAACAAGGAGCTTCACCTCTCCCTCAAGGAGCTCAGAGTCGAAGGAGGAGACAGACTTCCCTTATATGAATTAGAACAAGCAAGAGTAGAATCAAGTGCAAAGGAAAGAGGAAGCAGAAATTGCCTGTCCCCTCAAAAAGTAAAGGAAGACTTTCAGAAGAGGGGACACTCAATCCAGGTTTTGAGGGATGAACAGGAGTTTGCCGACAGGACAAAGAAGAGACGGACATTTGAAACAGAAGGAATGGGATGTAAGAAGGCACCAAGAAAGATGCTGCTAATGAGAATTATTTTAAGTGCAGAGTAGTGTATGTAATCCTTCATTAATATATTAATAAACATATTTATAAATAATTTTCTATGTGTCCTAAGTACTCTGGGAGTAAGCAAAGGAAGAGAATATATTATTTCTGTCTGAAAAGACGAGACTTAAAATTCCTCCCCCTTCAAAATAAGTGTTAACTTGATTTAGGGTTGTTATGTTAGTGAAGAAGTTTTTATTTATTTAGCAGCCTCTACTGAGAAATCCCTGATGCTGAGTTCACATGTAAAGAAACTACAAACAATGGCCTGTTAAGATTTTGGGGGCATACATGGTCATAATATTATTGTAGAATGTTGCATTCTTTTTATTTAAAAATACTTTTATGATTTTATAATTAGGCTTAACTTTTAACACATACACTACTATATACTATATACTTTTACTATATACAGAACTCAGGGGTCCTTTTAACTACAGACAATAGAGTTTGGATATTATCCCCAAACTAGCTAGAGACTCTACGGAGGTTAGACAAAGGAATAACATGATTAAATATGTGTGTTAGAGAGAGCCTGCTAACAGCTTGTGGAGGGTGGTTTGGAAGGTGGGAAAATGGTGTAATAGGTAGGAAGACTGGAGGCAGAAAGATCAATTAGAAAATACCATAATAATCTGGACAAGAGATGGCATGGGCCTGATTTAAGGCCATGCAGAGGAGAAGAACCAAAGATATCAGCTTTTGTTAGAATTAGGAGAAGAAATAGAAAAAAAAATGTTTTTTACTATGATCCACGGTAAGAAAACATTATACATCACAACCAAGTGCACACTTAGAAAATTGTCCCCAAATGATTCTCTACTTTATTACAAGCAATGCCTTCTGATATTCTCACATCAGTTCTATTCTATTGGATTCTTTTAACGCTGGTTGTAACCTGTCGAATTGATTCCACAGTATAGTAGATGAGGAAAGGAAGCTCACATTTGTCTATTGAGGTTGAAATGGCAGAAGGACATGGGGTGGCGATGTCTAGTGAGTGGGTAGCTAGATGTATGAGTCTGGAGCTCTGAAAGGAGCTAGGGCAGGACTGGCAGCCTTGACATGGATGAGTTAATGCAGGTATGTGCAAAAGGGAAGACAGAAGAGGTTTGAGGCAGCGTTCAGGCAGACACAGACCTTCAAAGTATTAATGGTAAAAAGCAAGTCCATGAAGAAAAAAGAGACAGAGCTAAGAAGCAGGAGAAATCAAAAGACAGTGGGGCCATGAAAATCAAGAGAGGAGAATGCCTTGAGAAGTAGTAACGTGGTCACAAGCCGGAGGGGCCAACCATGTTAAGTTCTGGGAGGTGACAATATGTTGGGAAATGGGGAGGAAACTTCAGTACTTGTAGATATTATTTCTCTTTGAAAGTGAACCTAGAAATATAACATAATGGATTCGGTCAGTTTAGAAAACATTTACTGTTTACACACTATAGGATAGGAAAGATCCTGATCTCCGCTCACAGCCTCAGAATCCTCCTCTGGAAGGAAGCTCACAGACACAAAGGCATGTTACAAAGTTCCCATCCAGAACCTTACATTTGCTAATAATGCACTAACAGATGATCTGTAAATATGTACCTGGGAGAAGATTTAGAAAATACCCAAGTCTAATCAAGAAAGCTAAGAAGTGATTTCAGAGAAGCAAAATTGGGATGTGGTTGACATACCCAGAAAGCAGGCATCTAATAGTGCTTGCATTCTGTCCTAAGGAAAAATATAATGTCTAATGAAAAAAGGTAAAGAAGTTTAGGTTTTGGGTTACTGCGTGTGGATAGAAACTACATTTCAAGTGAAAACCAATAATTTGTCAAAGTCCTCCTGAACCCTTTCTAAGAGAAAGCTAGCCAGACCAGACAATGTGAATATCTAATCATACATTAATATATTGGCATCCAGATTTCTATGTTAATGTCTTAGGATCATGGCTGGGCATGGTGGCTCATGCTTATAATCGCAGCACTTTGGGAGGCCCAGGTGGGTGATTGCTTGAGCCCAGGAGTTTGAGACCAGCCTGAGCAACATGGCAAAACCGTGTCTCTACAAAACACACACAAAAAACTAGCTGGGCGTGGTGGCACACACCTATCATCCCACCTACTTGGAAGGCTGAGGTGGGAGGATCACTTGAGCATGGGAAGGTTGAGGCTGCAGTGAATCACAATTGAGCCACTGCACTCCAGCCTGGGCAACAGAACAAGAACCCATCTCAAAATAAATAAATAAATAAATAAATAAATAAATAATAATGTCTTAGAGTCATGATGGAATCTCATGTGACTCCTGTTAAGCCATTTGAGAGCTTGTAGCAGACAGTTGCAAATAAAAACTAAGTTTTTGGGGTGTTTGTTTGTTGGTTTGTTTTGAGACAGTGTCTCACTCTGTCACCCTGGCTGGAGTGCGGTGGCACAATCTCGGCTCACTGCAACCTTCGCCTCCCAGGTTCAAGTGATTCTCGTGCCTCAGTCTCCCGAGCAGCTGGGATTACAGGCACATACCACCATGCACAGCTGATTTTTGTATTTTTAGTAGAGATGGGGTTTCGCCATGTTGGCTAGGCTGCTCTCTAACTCCTGACCTCAGGTGATCTGCCCGCCTTGGCCTCCCAAAGTGCTGGGATTACAGGCGTGAGCCACTGCACCTGGCCAAAAACTAAGTTTTTGTGTTTTAGGTATAAGACTGCCTTCCATCTTCACATCTGTTATCCATATATATATATATATATCCATATATATATATATATATCCATATATATATATATATATATCCATATATATATATATATATCCATATATATATATATATATCCATATATATATATATAATATGCATAAATTTTATATATACATATATATTTCTGTTCTTCCCACTGTCAGTTCTTTACATTTTACTCAGATCTCAAGAAATTCTTCATCAATCAAATAAATTTTGGAACATAACATGAATTAGGGGATTCAGTAGGCCCCATCACAGTCATGACTGCCTTCTTTTTCCTTCTGTGTGCTGCCCCATTGCATACACCTGCCACACTGACGACGACAATAGTTTGGAAGGAAGAGACTCAGTATGTACATGTCAGAACAAACCCTGTGTACAGATACTCCTAGAAGAGTGGGGAGAAATTAATGATCACAGAGTGGTCCCATAGGGCTGGCTTACTGCCATGTGGGGCAGGTTTGCTTGATTCAGTTGTGACTTCCAGTCATCAAGTTGAGTCTACATTTTCACTATGCATGACCTTTTTGATGGACTTTTTCAGCATATTTATGTTTTCTTTTTAAAGCACAAACTTTGTTTGACTGCAGTGATTGCTTATTTGTATTGATGAGTCTAATGTGCTCTGGTGGGGGGACTCATACCTGCTGAGATTGTACCTTCTTCAATTCAATATTTATTGACTCCTCTATGCCAGGCCCTGTCCTGTATAAGTGAAGACATTAAAATTTATATTTAATAATCCCTATTAAGTTGAATTGAATACAATTCAATATGCTACTTAAGAATTGATTTTATATGATTTATCCCCCCCAATAGGATATACAATGGTAAATTAAGTATGATGTGAACTCAACTTAGTGAATGTATATACATTTATAAGCAAGAGAAAAGCCCATTTTCTGGTTTAAGCTTGAATTTGCCTCTTTCTTTATGTCTGCTTATGGAAATTAAATATCTCCCATTGCAGATATTTCTGAACTAGATTTCAAATAGGGGATTTAAGGGATTGAAAAATTTAGTAAGTAGATCATCCTTTTTACTCAGTCAAAAGTGATTTTTTTAAAGGCAAGCTTAAGCTCAGTATAAAAAAAATACACCCAGAGATATTATCCACATGCCAGATATGTTTGTATATTTTCCCCTACAAATTCAAGATGTGATACATCTAAATGAAATTCATAGGAGATAAAGAGAAGGATGAGGCCTTGGTGAGTGAACTACCTACTATACTTTTCTAAAGACACTTCCTTCTGGACAGTTAGAGATCTCTTCTGTTCAGCTGAAAGTTTTACAGATTTCTTTATTCACTCTGCACACCTTGTCTTTGTCCAAAATAAAGCTCAAGCTCATCAACTTGCTGTTTGCTTGATCTTTTCTTAGAACTTGCCTCAGGAAGGGTAGCCTAAAAATCTGAAAATATGAAAATAACTCCAAGTGATCTATGGTTCTTATTCTGCTCTGTATTCTTCTACCTCCACATTATTTTTTTAAAGGATCCCCAAGATGCCATCCCCAGAGGAACCATGCTGGCCATTTTCATCACCACTGTTGCCTACTTAGGGGTTGCAATTTGTGTAGGTAAGTGGTACGTCTCCAGTGTCAGAATGTCAGAATTACGAGGGGTCCAGTTGTTCACGTCTAGTGAGCTTTCAATGCAGCATAAATACAGAGTTTTTTAAAAGGCAACAATTTTAATTCCGTTCTTGGTACCTTAATGTTAATGATGTGGATACTTTAGGGATTTGAAGGCAATTAAGCTGTACTACAGACATCTCTGGGTCAGGGCTAGAGTAAAGCTAATCAGGTTGTCATTCTACCTGAACACAAAGAGGGTCCCATTTTACCACCCTTGATGATAATCCCACTGCTAAGGAGGCCACCACTTCTGGCATACACTTCCCTTGTTCTAGGAGGCAGGAGAGAAACAGAGTAGAGAAAAGAAGTGAAAAACAAAACCCTTCAAACCTAAAAACAGCCTTAGGAAAGTATGAAAGATGTGGAATTTGTGACTGTGTCTCATCCTTGTACTGCTATCCTTAATATGGAAATGTCACTGTCACCAATTGGCAGGATATCAGAACAAGACCCAGCTGCTGGCAGTGTAGGTGGCCAGCCCCTACATTGTTCAGTGAACAGAAAATATGTGTACTCACCTGCTGTTCCTGAGACTGACTTTGGTTCTACCTGCTGCCTGCAGCCACACCTCCTCCTGGTTGGGGGTTGCCTCATACTTTTTCCATAGTAGGAAAGGAAGAGGTTTCCCAACATTTAGAGAAGAAAACCATCTTCTATGTACAACAGGGAAAACAGCTCCAGGCTGGACCACCATGGAAGCCAAAGGGTACATCCCAGTCCTCTTCTGCTTATAAGAGAAATTGAGAAGGTACATGTACCTACAGTTGGTTTCTGGAGATAAAAGAAAAAATGAACTTAAATCCTTCCCTGTCTCATTGTCTCTAATTTGAGGAAATTTGATAACTTTGTTAAGAGTATTGTTGCGGCTGGGCACAGTAGCTCATGCCTGTAATCCCACTAATTTGGGGGGCTGAGGCCAGAGGATTGCTTAAGCCCAGGAGTTCAAGACTAGCTGGGAAAACATAGAGAGACCCCATTCCTACAAAAAATAAAAAATTAGCCGGGCGTGGCGGCACACACCTATGATCCCAGCGACTTGGAAGGGTGAGGTGGGAGGATTGCTTAAGCCTGGAAGGTCAAGGGTGCAGTGAGCTGTGATCACAGCACTGCACTCCAGCCTGGGCAACAGAGTGAGACCATGTGTCAAAAATAAATAAATAGGTAGATAAATGTATTGTTGGGGCATGTCCAAGTTTAGTTACATGTAAAGAGATTTTTTTTGTTTCAGTGCTTTAGGAAATCAACACATTTTTAAATGACTTTGAAACCACTAAAGTTAAATTTCCCGAGTGGTTTTCTTTTTTCTACAGTTAAAGTGAGAGAATGAGTAAAGGTATAGACCTGATTTCAGAGCTTCTTCTAGTTTTGCCCCTAAAGGGTGGGAAAATATACATTTCTACACTTTCCTAGTATAGGAGAAGGACAGTCGTGGAGTCAATGCCCTGTCATTAGTACAAATAATGGCTCTTGGCCTGGCTTCATGGGAATTTGAGAGATCTGTTATGCAGAGGTTAAAATACATGATTCAAAGAGTTCAGTTCAACATAAATGAACAATGCAAACAGGTAAAATATGAAAGAATAGTTTGACTTGGTAATTGACATCCATAATTTCAAGCATTCAAGCAGAGGCTGGCAGGCTACCTCTCAGTACTATGATTAAAAGGATCCCTGCACTGATTATTTAAAATGGCTCTTTCAGATAAAAGAGTCTATAATTGGCCAGGTGCAGTGGCTCACGCCTGTAATCCCAGCACTTTGGGAGGGGGAGACAGGTGGATCACGAGGTCAGGAGTTCAAGACCAGCCTGCCCAAGAGGGTGAAACCCCATCTCTACTAAAAATACAAAAATTATCCGGGCATGGTGGCAGGCACCTGTAATCCCAGATACTCGGGTGGCTGAGGCAGAGAATTGCTTGAACGCAGGAGGCGGAGGTTGCAGTGAGCCAAGATCGTGCACTGCACTCCAGCCTGGGTGACAGAGCGAGACTCTGTCTCAAAAACAAAAACAAACAAACAAACAAAAAGAGTCTATAATTTTTAAGTCTCCCAAATTCAAGGAATGTGGATTCCATGGCTAAGATTAAGGAAACACATTTATTCCTGTCACTGGGACCTGTCTTAAAGGTATTATTAGCAAGGCATGAGAATCCACCCTGGGTAGAGTTTGAAATCCAAAGCAGTTTTATTGGTTGGTATTTAGTTTGTAAAGTATTTATCCTTCATGTAGTTCAGAAAAGTTTATATATACTTCACACGTATATTCATATATTTCAAAAATCCTATCAAATACATGGCAAAGATTAGTTAGAAAAAATCCTAAGGGAATGCCAGTGATTAAAATATATATCAAGAGTCTTCTAAATGACCATAATTCTATTTTTAAGAATCTATCCTAGAAGAAAAAGTTTATGCACAAAGACGTTCATCATAGAATGCTATAGTAGAAAATGACAGATACACTCAAATGTATGAAAATAATGGAATAGATCAGCTGAGATAGATACCTGATCAATATAATTTGACCATGGCCTAGGAAATCTGAGTATTTTATCCTAAAACATTTCCTTCATTGTTTAAACCATTAAAACCGCATATAATGTAGAACTGTAACTCTGTTTGATAACTTATGCAAGGAATATCATTAGTTGAAAAGAGGGGCTGCGTTCTCTTAATCACTATAATAGAATTCCATAATGCCACCCCTTGGCTCTCTTGCAGATGAGGAAATAAATCCTTCTACTTGAAAAACATCCAGTTGGTAGTACTAAGCCAGACATATATATTGAGTATGTGTTATGTACCAAGCACTGCCATGCAAGTTTTAAGAGATAAGAAATTAAGACTGAGTGTCAACTCCCAAGTCTCTTACCACTCAAATCTAAGTCACACAGGGAGTTGAAATGGCAGCCTGTTACAGAAAACGGGAAACCCCAGGACTCAGCAGATGGGAGCCTCCAGTTATCAAGAACTACTCACAGTGAACAGAGGCTAAGAAATGGACCTTTTCAGTCTCAAAGTAAACTACGTTTTCAGTAGAAAACCGTAAGGGACCAGAACTTTATAAAGAAATAACAAGCCACGGTTGTTTCCACAGGGGCCTGTGTGGTCCGAGATGCCACCGGGAACATGAATGACACCATCATTTCTGGGATGAACTGCAATGGTTCAGCAGCATGTGGGTTGGGCTATGACTTCTCAAGATGTCGACATGAACCATGTCAGTACGGGCTGATGAACAATTTCCAGGTTTGAAGCAAAATTCAAAAATGTTCACTGCTATTATTTTCATTTTTTGAATGTCACATAGAGTAAGATTTCTGAATCTGCAACTGATTGATTATTGGCTGATAAGAATCCAGCATGGAATGATTCATGTGGAAATGAAAGGAGTCATACAGTCATTACATGGCAGTAAATCCTATGGTTACATTTCCTGTAGTCAGAGACAATAGGCAGTGGTATGAATTGCATCATCAGGGAGAGATCATCTCCTGGCACTATGTGTGTTCCGATCAGTTGTGCAAGATTTCATGGTGGAAAGGAACCTAGATTAGTTAGCACTTGTTATGTATTTCTTTCTTTTATAATTTTAGTTTTTATTCCAGATTCAGGGAGTATCCTCTATGTGCAGGTTTGTTACATGAGTGTATTGTGTGATTCTGAGATTTGGGGGTATTACAACAAGTAGCCTCTGTTCACTGTGAGTAGTTCACTCAGGTACTAAGCATAGTACCCAACAGCTAGTTTTCAACCCTTGCCTTCCTCTATCCCCTCTCTGGTCGCCCCCAGTGTCCCTTGTTGCCACTCTATGTTCATGAGTACTCAATGTTTAGCTCCCACTTGTAAGTGAGAATATGTGGTATTTGGTTTTCCGTTCCTGTGTTAATTTGCTTAGGATAATGGCCTCTAGCTGCATCCACGTTGCTGCAAAGGACACGATTTTATTCTTTTTGTGGCTGTGTAGTATTGCATGGTGTATGTGTACCACATTTTCTTTATCCAGTCCACCATTGATGGGCATCTAGATTGATTCCATGTCTTTGCTATTGTGAATAGTGCTGCAATAGACATACAGATGCCTGGATCTTTTTGGTTGAATGATATATTTTCTTTTGGATATATACCCAGTAAAGAGATTGCTCGGTCAAATGACAGTCCTGTTTTAAGTTCGTTGAGAAATCTTGGAATGCATTTCATACATGGCCTTCAGCTTAGACAAAGCCTTTGAGGTGGCCCTGGAAAGCCTAGAAGACAAAGCTAAGAGAGAAATTGTGAGTGCCAGAGGGAACGTAAATAAGGGGGAAGGAAAAATGGAAGTTAGGAAAACTGTAGGACTTTAAACATATTAATTTGTCTGCATGATTGGTGAGCAGAGGGAGAAGTAAATTTGTCGCGAAAGCTTCATTCTTCTGTTTTAACAACTCACAAAGAGAAATTAACTCAGCTGAAGTCATTATTCCAAAATATGACTTAAATTGATAGAATCACATCATGTCTCAGATCTAAAATTATGTTTAATGAGCACAGAAATAGCAAAGGTCTGAAAAGCCTCTGTGTGCAGGAAGAAGAAAGGTTAATGGCTGTAAAAAAGACTAGTAAACAGCTGAGTCCCTCCCCAAACCTTATTAAAATACTACTTTCTGCTGGATAGAATTCCCCATCATCAAAGAAACATATGGCCACAAAGAACAGAGGGGAAAATGTCAAAATCCTTGAAACCATTTCCTTCTTTATTCTTTCCAATATCTTCTGGATATATTGCGGGTGAGCATTTATTATCTTATAAATAACCAAAAAGGCCATTTCTATTTTTAAAAAATAAAATTAAGAATGTGAGAATGGCCAAGTGCGGTGGCTCACGACTATAATCCCAGCCCTTTGAGAGGCTGAGGTGGGCGGATCACTTGAGGTCAGGAGTTCAAGACCAGCCTGGCCAACATGGTGAAACCCCGTCTCTACTAGAAATACAAAAATTAGCGAGGCGTGGTAGCAGGTGCCTGTAATCCCAGCTACTCGGTAGGCTAAGGTACAAGAATCGCTTGAACCGGGAGGCAGCGGTTGCAGTGAGCCAAGATCGTGCCACTGCACTCCAGCCTGGGCGATAGAGCGAGACTGTCTCAAACAAACAACAACAACAAGAAAAGGAATGTGAGAATGAAGCAGGGGGAAAAAATGTAGTTGAAAGCCGTTTGCTTATGAAACAGATTCCAAATCACAGAAAGTCTCCTTACTTGTACCTCTCTTCTCAAGGTCATGAGCATGGTATCAGGGTTCGGCCCCCTCATCACTGCGGGAATCTTTTCTGCAACACTCTCCTCCGCCCTGGCCTCCCTTGTCAGCGCACCCAAAGTGTTCCAGGTAATACAAGCACAACAGCTTGTGCTTCTCCCTATTGCTATTTCCACAGAATGTGAATCAAGCTGAAATATTCGTTCTCACTGGCAATCATTTTCCATCATTTTCTGAAACAGTTAATGTTTGCATCTGGCTCAAGTTCTATGTCTGCCACATAGTCAAGATCGATTCAAATAATATAAAGAATGATAAACTGCAGTGTTAACTTGTGCCTCATCTTGTGTATCACTTAATCTTTCCCCAAATCTTCTTGTTTGAATCACCTAGAGAAAATGACTGTGCATAGCTATAAATGACAAATTTCTTCTCTTCTTTTCCATTAGGCTCTGTGCAAGGACAACATCTACAAAGCCCTGCAGTTTTTTGCAAAGGGATATGGGAAAAACAATGAACCCCTGAGAGGATATATTCTCACTTTTCTTATAGCCATGGCATTTATTCTTATTGGTTTGTAAAGTTTTCTTGTTTTTATTGAAAACCAAAGAATTCTTCTGATTATTCATAGGGCTTTCCTTTTAGTTTGAAAAATTACTCGTTTTATGTTTAGGATCCCATTTGGGAATATTGGCATCTAAGAAGGAAATGAGAAATCCTTGTGTGTAGAGGGCCTTTGAGGAACTCGAGGTAGACTTTGAATTTTAATCTATTCTTTGAATCTTGAGTGTTCGAAATCCATCCAACCACATGACGCTGAATCCTTCCTCCCACCTGCCTGAAACTGTCTAAATCTACAGTCTCCCCCAGCTGCCATATCTACTGACCTGATGGCTAGCAGAATTGAATTGCCTGTTAGTGTTTCTGGAAATGTGGTCCACTGACCATCTATATCGCAATCACCTGGGGTGTTTGGGAAAGTGTGGAGACTTCAGGCCCAATTCCAGAGTAACTGAGTCAGACTCACTGAGGGTAAGGAGTCTACATTTCACAAGCTACTCAAGAGATTCGTAGACCACTGGCATTTGAGAATCACTTACCTAGACTATAATCTTGGCTTCCTCTCCCCAGGTGATATGGAAACAGCTACATAATCTTGGAGAGGCACATTCATCAACTTAAACTTGCACATTTCTCTCTCCTCCCTAAGGCCCCACTTTTGCTGATGAGCATATCAGAGGAAAAGAAGCAGAAGGCAGAGGACATTGGGAGCCACACATAGGCGGGCAGAGACTTCCTCAGCACAGCAGTGCCAAGCAATGAGGGCTCCTCATCATTACATATTGAACTCAGGAAGGGACTATAATTCATGAATCCTCATAGCATTTGTATGAGGCTGAAGAGGGGAATTTGTAACTCTCTGTGTTTGTTAGATTTTTAAAAATTAAATTAAAACTGATTTCATATAGAGATGTTTCAATTATGTAATTTAGCCTCTAAGATCTCAAATCATTGCCCTGTGCTGCATTTAAGCGAATAAGCAACCAAAGTTTTTAAAGTCTTGTATACATTAGATAATATCCTTTAAAATCATTCTTTCAGAACAAGTGCATTGGCTCCACCCATAAGCTTCATGGCAGCTGTTATGCCTACTTTCTTGTTGGTATCCATGTTCCAGAATCACACCCAGCTGCCTGCATTTGCATCATTGCATCATTTGCATCATTGCATCATTTGCATCATTGAGGGTGATAGATGTCTGACCTTCAGATAAAGGATGACGTCTCTATATTTTTTCTTACATTGCCCAGTAAAAAATCCAGCTGGAATTAAATCATACCAGATATTTACTCCTGAGGCAAAAGTATTTTGGGGCCAGGCACGGTGGCTTACGCCTGTTCATCCTGGCACTTTGGGAGGCTGACGTGGGCAGATCACTGGAGGTCAGGAGTTCAAGACCAGTGCAGCCTGCATAGTGAAACCTTGTCTCTACTAAAACTACAAAAATTACCTGGGCATGGTGGTGGGTGCCTATAGTCCCAGCTACTAGGGAGGCTGAGGCAGGAGAATCGCTTGAACCCGGGAGGCAGAGGTTGCAGTGAGCCGAGATTGTGCCATTGCACTCCAGGGTGACAAGAGCTAGACTCTATCTCAAAATAATAATAATAATAATATTTTGGCTAGCCTTCAGAGGTAGAACTCTCTAGAGATGTGAAAAAGGTATGAATGACAAAGAGTCCTGAAAATCAGAGAACACATATTGGGCCTATGCAGGGAGATTTCAACTGGGGAGTTTTCGGTGCACTGCTGTTTAACTAATATCCTGCAGAGCCTACTTATTGCATACATAACAGTTATAGAACACAGGATTAGATGCCTCCAGAAAAGCTACAGGGAGTTAATTGTATGCCCAGTCGCACATCTACCCATTGCCACTTGAACTTTTTGTAGTAGAGGTCTCGATTGTCTATTTTCTGATTGGTAGGCTTTTTTATTACTTACTTTATGGAAACCCTAGCTAAGAGTAAATATGTATCCCCAAAGAAAAATGACTAACTTCTTAAACTTTGACAGATGCTCGCTATGTTTTCAATTTCCAAATAAATTCAAGCTTCGAGGCTATAACAGCTGTTCAGCCCCTGGTCTCATCACTCATACGTACATGTTCAATTCTGTTACTTTTACAGCGGAACTGAACACCATTGCTCCCATCATCTCCAACTTTTTCCTGGCCTCATATGCACTTATTAATTTCTCCTGCTTCCATGCCTCTTATGCCAAATCTCCAGGTAAGCTGACTTCCAAACTAAAATATGCCTAAGCAAACAGTTAGTTTGTCTCAATAAAACGAAATAAATCAGTGAAAAGTGTTCAATCTGTGTTTATATGTTTCCTTATATCCTAGTGGGAAGCGTAATCCACTTTATTTTGGTGAGTTTGGGGATGAGTTTTGAAATAGAAAAAGAATCATTTGAGCAATGGCCTTTTTGACCAACCAGAAAGTCAATTTTCTCCTGTGGCAATAAATTATTCATTGCAAGAGAAACCACACTTATTTCAGCAGTAGAAAAACACCACTATTTATTTCCAGGGTGAAAGTGACCACAGAAGTGGAATTAATCTATATATTTGAAACTTCCTTACTATCAAATTTGTTTCCTGCCCATGGTGCAGAAGAGAAGGATGAGTAGTTCCCATAATTACCTGCTGAGTGGAGGCAATGTAGACAGGCTGCATTGATGCTGGTGGCATCAGTGCACCCTTTGGGCTGTGGTTTAAAGCTGTTCAAAATTTCACACCAAAGAACCTTCCCCTTTCTAGTCACTCCTCACCTCTTCTTTGCTTTCATTGTCCACTACAGTTTCTTCTGCCTTTCTACCAGAATAGAGAGTTGTCATTATCTACCTTCAGAAAGTTCTCCACCTTGAGAACTTTTACCGGATATATAAACACATTTCCACTCATTGAGGGCCTGACAAGATATTAAGCCTCCTTTGGAAAAACTTGCTGCCAATAAGACAAAATATAGATGGCAGACCAATCTTAATCTAACGAATACTAGGCTACAGAAAGTAGCAGAGTATTTTTGTTTCTTTGTGTGTTTTGTTAACACAGAAATGTGTGACTCCATGCCATGTTATGGCCACTTTTGAAAAATAAGGTGAAATAATAGAGGCAGCCAGGGAAAAGAGTAAAAAAGAGAACGGGAAAGAAGGAGAGAGACAGGAAAATATAGAACAGCATATAGAGGAAGACACATGGATACACAAACCCAGAAAATGTCTGCCTCACACACACACACACACACACACACACACACGGACGGGAAGCCAGACTCAGAGAAAAATAAGACTATTTTCAATGATGTTCTTGAAGTGCTATGTCCATCTTGTGGCCATTTAGGAAATTGCTCCCAAACACTTAAAAGTTCTGCTGTGTTTTGGCAACTCCTAATTTAAAACATACCCCATTCATTAACAAAAGGTGCCCTTCGTATCAGAGCTTTTCCCTCCTGTCCATACTGTCTTCCAGTTGCTTCCATTTCAGGGAACTAAAAGAACACAGAAAACTCCCACGCACGTGCGCACTGTGAGAAATATTTTCATTGCAAAATGCATGACACATTAACACATTGGGTTTAAGAAGCCTTTGCTAGCCCTTAAGTTTAAAAAGCCATTTCTCCATCTTTTTTCATCAGTTATTATTTCTGAAAGGGCAAGCACTGTCCTCTTAGGGTAATGGAAGCTACCAGGAAGTCAAGCAGATTGACCCTTGATGACTACTCCACCTTCTCCAAGGGAGCAAAAAGCCCATTGTTTTCTCTTTTTCTTTCTCTGACAACCAAGAAGTTTCTCCTCCCCACCTGGTAGATCCCACTCTTTCCATTCCTCCTGCCTCTTTTCAGCTCCTGATGGCATAGATACTAGATGCTTAAGGTTTGGAAGTTTGGGAAGACAGTCGGGAGCACGGAGTATGGAGGGTCCTGAATGGCATATTTTTCAGATGCTTAACATTTCCTAAACTTTACAGCATTCTATTTGGTGTAAGTACCATCTTCATAGACCAGGGACCCAAGACCATAGGAAAATAATCACAGATTCTGGAACTTGGCCTAAAAGTTCTGATTCTTTATGTCAGGAAAAAGGCATGTTACCTGCATTCTTCTAATATTCAGTGCCATGATCATAGTAGAGTGGAAGTTTTCCTTCTGCATATTTTGTTTTCAGGATGGAGACCTGCGTATGGAATTTACAACATGTGGGTATCTCTTTTTGGAGCTGTTTTGTGCTGTGCAGTCATGTTTGTCATCAACTGGTGGGCAGCTGTCATCACCTATGTCATTGAATTCTTCCTTTACGTCTATGTGACTTGTAAGAAGCCAGGTAAGATAATGACTGTCTGGAATAGCGTTTCCAAATCTCTCTCTAACTACTCATTTATTAAGCATTTATTGAGCAGCTTCTATGGGCTTAGGTGAGGCATATGTAAGGTGGATATTAATAATATCGTGCAATATAATAGTAACAATAGTTGGGGCCGGGTGCAGTGGCTCACACCTGTAATCCCAGCACTTTAGGAGGCTGAGGTAGGCAGATCACAAGGTCAGGAGTTCAAGACCAGCCTGGCCAACATGGTGAAACCCCATCTCTACTAAAAATACAAAAATTAGCTGGGTGTGGTGGCGGGCCCCTGTAATCTCAGCTACTCAGGAGGCTGAGGCAGGAGAATCACTTGAAACCGGAAGGCGGAGGTTGCAGTGAGCCGAGATCACACCACTGCACTCCAACCTGGGCAACAAGAGCGAAACTCTGTCTCAAAAAATAAGAATAAGAATAAGAATAACAATAGTTAACCTTGTTGAGCACCTATTATATACCATGCACTCATTCAATCATCACAATACTATTAGTCCCATTTTACAGATGAAGAAACTGGGGTTCAAAGAGTTGACTACTTGCCAAAGTAATAATCAAGATGTGATGGAGCTGACCATATAACCAGAATGTGTATGATACCAAACCAACCTGACAAGCTTTCCATTACATCACTTTCTGTTTCTGATGTCCTGATAAATTAGATATAGTCCCTGTCCTCAAGGAGTTCACAGAGTCACACTTAAGGAATTAATTATGATACAATATAGTAACCACTATGAGAGTAATATGAGCAAATTGCTGAGAAAAGGGGAGGGAAGGATTAACTTTGGAATTATCCAGGAAAACTTTTTGGTTCCTAACTTATGTTCACAGAGTCAAACACTCAGTGGACATTTAACAAATATTTTTTAAATGAATAAATAAATGAGGGGTTTTTTAAATTAAAAAAAAAAGCAAGCAACTGGGGTTTGGTTAATCAGAGTCAGGGAATGGTATTTTGGGCAGAAGGTGAAGCATGAATGACATTAAGGACACATGCAAGTGCGGGGCAGCATATTTGGGAAGGCTCAAGGCCTTCAACACACAGAAAGTTCCTGAGTGATGGGGAGAAGGATCACAGGGAGAGCCTGGAAGAGTTGGTGGGGGCCAGATAAATAAGAAACATAAAGGTCATGCCAAAGATTCTGATGTTGTGAGCAATAGGAAGATGCCACAGGCTAATCAATTGGATAAACAATTGGATCTGAACTTTGGGTGTTGACTTTAGTACCATGTATATTAAATTTAAGAGGGGCTGCAGTCAGTGCAGTGCAGGGTAACCCAGAGCCACCCTCACATTCTCCTTTCCCTTACTCTGCCAGTAAAGCAGAGCTTGTAGTAACTACCTTGGAGGGGTCTGTTTAGCTTTTATGACTTTACCTATTGTTAACATCACATATAACTTACATATGGCAAAATTCAGCCCTTTTAAATGTGCTGTCTATATGTTTTGACAAACTCGTACAGTGCTGTAACCGTCATCAAGATACAGGATATTTCCATCATCCTCACAAGTTCCATTATACCCCTGTGTAGTCAATCTCCACCCTCCAACTTAGCCTCAGGCAGCTGCTTTTCTGACGTCTGATCCTGTAGCTTTGCCTTTTCCAAAATACCACATAAATAGAAACATACACGATATAGCCTTTGAGAAGACTTCCTTTCACTTAGCAGAATGCTTTTAGATTTATCCATGCTGTTGCATATGTAAGTGGTTTATTCTTTGGTATCACTGAGTAGTATTCTATTGTATGAATACATCACATATATTTTTAAATTCTGTTCACCAGTTGATGGTCATCTGAGTTGTTTTCAGTTTAGGTCCACAGCACTTTATGTGGACTTATGTTTTCATTTTCCCTTGGGTAAATATCTAGTAGTGGGATTTATGATTAATAGTAAGTGTATATATAACTTTATACGAAACTGCCAAACTGTTTTCTGTGGTAGCAGTATTATTTTCCATTCCTACAAGCCATGAATGAGAGTCCTAGATGCTCCACGTGTTTGTCAGCATGTATTATTGCCAGATGATTTTTTAAAAGCCATTCTAATAGATGTGTAGTGCCACCTCATTGTGGTTTAATTTGCATTTTCCCAATGATTAACGATGTTGAACATCTTATTTGCCATCCATATATCTTTTTTAGCCAAGTGTCTGTTTAAATCTTTCGCTCATTTTTTAGTTGTTTTATTATTATTCAGTAATGAGAGTTCTTTATCTATTCTGGATGCAAATCCTTTAGTATATGTGTTTTGCAAATATTTTCTCTGGATCTGTGGTTTCTCTATTTTCCTTACAGTTTGTTTTGAAGAGTAAAAGTTCTAAGTTTTTGTGAAGTCTAATTTATCTTTTTTTTTTAATGGCTTACCATATTGCATCTGATCTAAGGTATCTTTTTCTTATCCAGAGTCACAAACTTCTAGAAGTTTTAATGCTT
The DNA here is from genome assembly GCF_000001405.40 of Homo sapiens. Classification (NCBI taxonomy): domain Eukaryota; kingdom Metazoa; phylum Chordata; class Mammalia; order Primates; family Hominidae; genus Homo; species Homo sapiens. Next base: position 48,254,245 of record NC_000015.10, read on the forward strand.
TGGAAAGTATATTTAGGTCTATTATCCATTTTGAGTTAATTTTTGTATATGATGTGAGGTATTGTTCAAGGTTCACTTTTTACATACAAACGTCCAATTGACAAGTAGAGTTTTTATCCCTATAAAAATAAACAGCCTAAGGTATGCTTAATGCCTGATGCACAATCAACACTTAATCAATATTGATCTTCTTTATCTCCAGATAATCATTGTTCACCCATTTCCCTGGCTTTCTAGAACAAGGCTAAGGAGAATAGGTTCTGTTTGTCATCTGGGGTGTATCTGTACATTCTTGTCAGGGACTTCCTCTCATAAACCTTGGAAGATCCATTTAATACTTAAATTCGTAAAAAAAAAAAAAAAAAAAAAAAAAAAAAAAAAAAAAACCCAAAAAAGACCGGGCACGGTGGCTCACGCCTGTAATCCCAGCACTTTGGGAGGGTGAGGCGGGTGGATCACGATGTCAGGAGATGGAGACCATCCTGGCTAACACGGTGAAACTCCGTCTCTACTTAAAAAAATACAAAAAATTAGCCGGGCGTGGTGGCGGGCGCCTGTAGTCCCAGCTACTCGGGAGGCTGAGGCAGAAGAATGGCGTGAACCCGGGATGTGGAGCTTGCAGTAAGCCCAGATCGCGCCACTGCACTCCAGCCTGGGCGACAGAGCCAGACTCCGTCTCAAACAAAAAGAAAAAGCGGAGGAGGGGGAAGGGGAGGGATGGTAGAGCTGACCTCCCTTATGATGAAGATTAGGGATTAGGTTCTCAAAGATCCATCTAAAATGTTTGCTAAAGAATCTTGACCCTCTTCATAGAATTCCCATGCTATTCAGTTTTACTATTCAAAATATAAAGATTACTGCACACTATCTGTGTATACAGAAATGCTGCTTCTCCTTCCAGTTTAAGAATTTGGGCCAGGCGCGGTGGCTCACGCCTGTAATCCCAGCACTCTGAGAGACCGAGATGGGTGGATCACAAAGTCAAGAGTTTGAGACCAGTCTGGCCAATATGGTGAAACCCCGTCTCTACTAAAAATACAAAAATTATCCAGACATGTTGGCGGGTGCCTGTAGTCACAGCTACTCAGGAGGCTGAGGCAGGAAAATCTCTTGAACCCGGGAGGTGGAGGTTGCAGTGAGCCAAGATCGTGCCACTGCACTCCAGCCTGCTGACAGAGTGAAACTCCATCTCAAAAAAAAAAAAAAAAAGAAGAATTTGTGAAGACGCTTTGAATTTATTCAGGGACTGACCAGTTTCCCAAGTCTATATGCCTGCAATGTGGTTATCGCACAGCCTCTCCCACCAAGCAAGATTTCTAGGACTGCAGTTGTACAGTCTGATCCTTTGCTGGAATGAAGCCTTAGCTTCTGAAGATTCACGTAGTATTCATAGAAGGATACAAAGTGCTTTTTAGGAAATCCCACACTATATTTTCTCTAATTTGGGCACTCATCTTTGCTGGCATAGCCAAGGAAAATCATAGAAGGGAATGACTTGTAAAATTATTCATGGTGCACAGAGGAAAGGTCAGTGTTTTTTATGCCAATTTCCTCCTTTATCCACAGATGTGAACTGGGGCTCCTCCACACAGGCTCTTTCCTACGTGAGTGCTTTAGACAATGCTCTGGAATTAACCACAGTGGAAGACCACGTAAAAAACTTCAGGTAAAGCTGGTGTCTCAGGCATCCTGGTGTTTTTCCACCCTAGAAGTGGCTCTCCTTTATAAGAGACAAGGGCATTCAAGTAGTTATAAGCTTTAGGGGTACATTCTAAAAATAAGCAGTCATACAAAACTGCCACATTTTCATGACAGCACCTCCTGTAAGTGAGTGCTTCTTTCCTTCCACACTGAGCTATGCCCATCCCAAACTACAGCCCCTCATAGTGCCAGGTGTCACCTTCCATGCGTGGAGATAGCAAGGTGGACTAGGTAATGTGACTTCAGAGAGATGATCCTAAATCCCCACACACATTACTCTGCTATTGTTTCCATTCTGCTTAAGGCTTTAGGGCTTACTGAATTCTCTTAAAAGTAATCCTTTTAGCTTTTCATTAGTTGTATCTTATTTTGAATAAAACCTCAAGCGCAAGCTTGTATGAAGAATGAAAGAAAGTAACATAAAAATCTTGCTTGGAGAGGAACAGATTGCCTTGGGATTTGGGGTAAGTGGCTAGAGGAAAAAGGACAGGGGGACTGTATTAGTCCATTTTCATACTGCTATGAAGAAATACCCAAGACTGGGTAATTTATAATTTTAAAAAAAGAGGCTTAATGGACTCACCATTCCACATTGCTGAGGAGGCCTCACAATCATAGCAGAAGGCAAAGGAGGAGCAAAGGCATGTCTTACATGGCGGCAGGCAAGGGAGTGTGTGCAGGGGAACTGCCCTTTATAAAACCATCAGTTCTTGGGAGACTTATTCACTGTCATGAGAACAGCACAGGAAAAACCCACCCCCATGATTCAATTACCTCCCACTGGGTCCCTCCCACAACACATGGGGATTATGGGAACTATAATTCAAGATGAGATTTAGGTGGGGACACAGCCCAAACCATATCATTCCATCCCTGGCCCCCCCCCCCAAATTTCTTGTCCTCACATTTCAAAACTAATCATGCCTTCCCAACAGTCCCCCAAAGTCTTAACTCATTTCAGCATTAACTCAAAAGTCCACAGTCCAAAGTCTCATCTGAGACAAGGCATGTCCCTTCTGCCTATGAGTCTGTAAAATCAAAAGCAAGTTAGTTACTTCCTAGATACAATGGGGATACAGGCATTTGGTAAATACACCTGTTCCAAATGGGAGAAATTGGCCAAAACAAAGGGGCTACATGCCCCATGCAAGTCCGAAATCCAGTGGGGCAGTAAAATCTTAAAGCTCCAAAATGATCTCCTTTGACTCCATGTCTCATATCCAGGTCATGTTGATGCAAGGTGGGTTCCCAAGGTGTTGAGCAGCTCTGCCCCTGTGGCTTTGCAGGGTACAGCCTCCCTCCTGGCTGCTTTCACTGGCTGGTGTTGAGTGTCTGCAGCTTTTCCAGGTGCACAGTGCAAACTGTCGGTGGATCTACCATTCTGGGGTCTAGAGGACTGTGGTCCTCTTCTTACAGATCTACTAGGCAGTGCCCCAGTGGGGAGTCTGTCTGGGGGCTCCGACCCCACATTTTCCTTCTGCACTACCCTAGCAGAGGTTCTCCATGAGTGCTCTGCCCCTGCAGCACACCTCTGCCTGGATATCCAGGCATTTCCATACATCCTCTGACATCTAGGAGGAGGTTCTCAAACCTCAATTCTAGTCTTCTATGCACCCACAGGACCAACACCACATGAAAGCTGCCAAGGCTTGGGACTTTCACCTTCTGAAGCCACCATCCAAGCTATACCTTGGCCCCTTTTAGCCATGGCTGGAGCAGCTAGGACAAAGGGCACCAAGTCCCTAGGCTGCACACAGCAGGGGGACCCTGGACCATGCCCAGGAAACGATATTTCCCTCCTGGGCCTCCAGGCCTGTGATGAGAGAGGCTGCTGTGAAGTTCTCTGACATGCCCCGGAAATATTTTCCCCATTGTCTTGGTGATTAGCATTTGCCTCCTTGTTACCTATGCAAATTTCTGCAGCCAGCTTAAATTTCTCCCCAGAACATGGTTTTTTCCTTTCTACTGCAAATTTTTCCAACTTTTTTGCTCTGTTTCCTCTTGAACACTTTGCTGCTTAGAAATTTCTTCTGCCAGATACCTAAATCATCTCTCTCAAGTTCAAAGTTTCACAGATTTCTAGGGCAGAGGCAAAATGCTGCCAGTCTCTTTGCACAGCAAGAGTGACCTTTACGGCCGGGCGCGGTGGCTCACGCCTGTAATCCCAGCACTTTGGGAGGCCGAGGCGGGCGGATCACGAGGTCAGGAGATCGAGACCATCCCGGCTAAAACGGTGAAACCCCGTCTCTACTAAAAATACAAAAAATTAGCCGGGCGTAGTGGCGGGCGCCTGTAGTCCCAGCTACTTGGGAGGCTGAGGCAGGAGAATGGCGTGAACCCGGGAGGCGGAGCTTGCAGTGAGCCGAGATCCCGCCACTGCACTCCAGCCTGGGCGACAGAGCGAGACTCCGTCTCAAAAAAAAAAAAAAAAAAAAAAAAAAGAGTGACCTTTACTCCAGTTCCCAAGGAGTTCTTCATCTCCATCTGAGACCACCTCAGCCTGAACTTTATTGTCCATATCACTATCAGCATTTTGGTCAAAGCCATTCAATGAGTCTCTATGAAATTCCAAACTTTTACGCATCTTCCTTTCTTCTGAGCCCTCCAAGTCTCTAGGAAGTTCCAAACTTTCCCACATTTTTCTGTCTTCTTCTGGGCCCTCCAAACTGTTCCAGCCTCTGCCTGTTATATCCAGTTCCAAAGTCACTTTCACATTTTTGGGTATCTTTACAGCAGCACCCCACTCTACCAGTACGAATTTTAGTCCATTTTCATGATGCTATGAAGAAATATCCAAGACTGGGTAATTTTTCAAGAAAAAGAGATTTAATAGACTCACAGTTCCACATGGCTGAGGAGGCCTCACAATCATGGTGGAGGGTGAATGAGAACAGCATGGGAACATCTGTCCCCATGATTCAATTACCTCCCACTGGGTCCCTCTCACAATACGTGGCAATTATGGAAGCTACAATTCAAGATGAGATTTGGGTGGGAACACAGCCAAACCATATCAGGACCATAAGACCACTTTTTCCTTACTTCACACTTTTGCTAGGACTAACTGAACTGAGAACACAAACATGTCAAGACAGGCAGGATGATTCAAGAATACTGGTGCGAAACCCAAAAAATAGATAGGGGAGAGGTTGCCCCATTTTTCCAAGCCTCTGTACCTGTCATCCCACTGGAATGGTTCTAAGGTTACAGGCTTCTTGCAGGGGCTCATTTTCACATCTTTTTTTTACTTCCAGGCCCCAGTGCATTGTCTTAACAGGGGGACCCATGACAAGACCTGCTCTCCTGGACATAACTCACGCCTTTACCAAGAACAGTGGCCTTTGCATCTGCTGTGAAGTCTTTGTGGTAAGAGCCACTTCACCCCAGGGAAGTCCTTTTTCCTCCCTGCTTATCTTGGATTATTTTGGGTGAGGAGAAAAGGTACATGCAGTGACAGGAAAATAGCAAAAAAACAGTTTATAGGAGAGCCCTCTACCTTGATTCATAGAGCAAGGACAAGCAAGAGCCCGTGATCCTGAATTTAAACAGGTAGATGTAAAGCGTTTCAGATTTCATAAGAGACCAACTAAAAGTGACAAATATTTCCAAATGATGGCCTTTGAGTCAAGAAAAAGATAGCTGGCTCAGAAATAAAATGAAGGCATTTGGGGTGATAACTGTCTACAGAAATATAAAAAGATGGAATGAGCCAAATAGAGCACTATTATAGAGATTAACTGATGAGGAAAGAACCAGACATAATGGCCTTAAATGACAGCACATAGAATTTAGATTAAATATTTGGATAAGTTTGATGACATTGCAGATACTCTAAAAACTAAACCAAGTTTTTCATGCCTTAGATAAACATTCAGAGCTAAATGAATTATTTTTGCCCAGGAAATACATGGTAGACTAATAATAACTTATTGGTGAGTTTCCTAAGAGGTATTCAAAACTGGTGCTAGTAATTTAATCATAACTGTTGACCAATTTCTCAAGTGTGGAGAAAGCATTAAAATAATAATAAAATAATAAGCCAAAGGGTGCAGTGGCTCATGCCTGTAATCCCAGCGCTTTGGGAGGCCAAGGTGGGCGGATCACCTGAGGTCAGGAGTTCGAGACCATGACGATCATGGCAAAACCCTCTCTCTACTAAAAATACAAAAATTAGCCAGGCATGGTGATGCATGCCTGTAATCCCAGCTACTCAGGAGGCTGAGGCAGGAGAATCGCTTGAACCTGGGAGGTGGAGGTTATGGTGAGTCAAGATCACACCACTGCATTCCAGCCTGGGCTACAGAGCAAGACTCCATAATAATAATAATAATAATAATAATAAAGTCTAAGTCCTCCACACTAGCCCACCTCTACTTGTATTCCCTCTCTCTCTCTCTCTCTATCACACACACACACACACACACACACACACACACACCACTGAAAATTCTCAGCTATCAATGCATTTTTATAGTACTTAAGTACTTACGTATTCTTCAAACCATTTTTCTTCAAAGCATTTTTCTACAGTTTTTCTTATTGGAGCCACACAATAGCCTAGTGAAGCAGGAAAGAAAAGTAGCCCTGTTCCCATTTTAGTGATTGGGAAAGTGAGATTCAGGAAAATTAAATTATTGCACTGGATCACATGACAAGAAAGTGGCAGAGCCAAGATATCAGTCCAGGCCACACAAGTGTGCTAAGTGTCACGCCTTGAGGAGAAAGCCTTAGCACACTTGCATCCTTGGGAGTACTATTGAAATCCAGCACCACTACTTAAATCTCCAATACCTGCCAAGGAATAGGGCTGTCAGGAAGTCAGGTGACTTTAGAACCAGTCAACTCTGCCATGATGCTGGGGGCTAATTTACCACATGTCATCATGATCAGCACTTAAGCATTTCTTTACACTTGGCAATATTCTAAATGCTTTATGAAGCAGTTGTTCATATTCTCTTTCCTCTCAGTGCTTATATGACAGTAATTCAAACAATATAACTTAATGCAATTATCTGGTAGGAGATGGAGAGACTCCTACTGAGTACTTGTGAGATTGACAGGTTAAGTAATGACCAACTGTGACTCCAGAGAATTTTTTAAAATCTTATCAAGCACCCCTCTCTCATATTATCAACTCTGGTGCCCTGGATTGGTGGATTTCATTTTGGCCAATATAATATAGGAGCCAGTTTTGATGAAATAAGCAGTTTGGGGTGTTTTTCTTCTCCAGCAATTTAGAGAAAACTAAGTTTAGCAGGCAATAAAATATCTTTAGGACTGAAGAAATAAACTGGGAGTATAAACAGTCATCTATTGGCAAAGGAGAAAGGGTCGCCTCAGAAACAAAAGAGATTGCTTTTAATTAACCATTTGCTGCTTTAACTATAATACAGGAGGATAGTGCTGGAATATCATTTCATTTGAAGTAGGCACCTCAGTCTGTGCCACCAATGGCCCTGTTTGTTTGACACATATGTTGGGCTGCATTATACATTACTATACTGGTCTCTCCATGCAGGGCCCAAGAGTCCTGCTCCAAGGTGCCAAGGTTCTCTTGGGGACAGAAAATAGTTACTGCATCAGTTAATGACTTTCCAGTTAGTTACTTTGTATGAGCTCCTGGGGCTGCAGATGTTGACAGCATTTTTAGACTCTAGGCTCAGTCGTCAATCATCTTTGCAAAGAAACAGATGGAAGGGGATATAGGGGGAGTAAGTATGCCATTAGAAATTTTTTTCCAAAAGGACAATGGTTGATGGTTAGGCCAACCTTGTGGAAAATGTTAAATAGTGATGATAATAAGAGAAAGACAATTTAGTTTTTAAGTCTAGAAAGATGGTGCTCATGGGCTTTTGAGAATAACAGTCAAGTTTCAAATCATTATTTTGCCACCTATTAGCCGTGAGTCCCTTAGGCACATAATTTCATCTCTCTGTGCCTTAATTTTCTCAGTTGTAAAATGAAAATAATGAAAATAGCACCTATGTTATAGAGTTGCTATTTGAATTATAGAAGATAAGCTTTCTAATGCTGAGTATGGTGTCCCTCAAAGAGTAAATGCTCAATTAACTTTCATTGTTATTGTGATATTGTTATTGTCAATATCATTATTTTTGGTATGCTATAGTTGCCATTTTTATTCCAGAAATATATTACCTTCAATAAAAACCTAAAGCATGCCTTCTTAGAAAAATGAGGTCCAGACACTGGATTTTGAACTTTTTAAGTGTGCAGCAGTTTGATCATGATGTAACAGTGAGATATGTGCTTCCACCCACTAATCACAAGACAGCAGGCTCTGGGCTCCATCCTTCTGGTGGCCTGCAGCTATTGAAGTACTTGCTTTAAGTGCTGTTACATTACCAGAAAGGAGCAAGACGTAGAACTCATTGGCATTTTGATGTGGGTGGGTAGAGGGAAAATGTGTGGCCACAGCTGTCATTTCCTGCAACTGCAGCATGGTAAATCATTATTTGATTTGAAATTAATTTCAAATAATCATTATTTGAAATTAAGAGAGCTGTACTCTTTGCTGGGCCCCAAGCACCCGCTGTGGCCTTCCAACTATCCAGCTAACTCTTAACACTCTCCGCAGGCCTCTTCCTCTCTCTTGCTTTTTTACTATTCAGCTTAAAGATTTCAAGTGAGCAACTCTTCATCAGGGTAAATTTGGGGACCCATTCTAAAGAATCCAGCTCAGTAATTTAAAAAATACTGTCTATTCTTCTCTTTTGAACTAACAAAATAAATAAATGACATATTTCTATCCCAATAGGCTTTATATTAAATATGTGGGTCATTTGTTCTTTTGTACCTATCATTTTTATCACCATAGGAAGACAGAGGGAGGAAAACTCCACCTTGTAGCATCCCCCTCATATTTCTAAGCATAGCCAAGTTCAACAGGTTCAGCAAAAGGTAAGTTATTAGTTAAAAGTTGCAAGTTGCATCCTCCACCAGTTTTACCCTATGTATCCTGACACATATAAGCACTGCCTTTGTCAATGAGTTTCCTCACTTATGTCATTCATAGTAGATGCAGAGATATCCAAACCAATCATCCCAGATAACTTAATTTGAATTTATGTACCTGTAATTCTCTGGGCACACTATGTTCAGTTCTAGAAGTCTTATGGGATCAGTTGACACTTACCTTTCCCAGGTGCAAAGGCATCATACTGCAGCAGTTCCTTATTCATATACTTCTCAATTTTACATTTAAAAATAGGAATTTTTTTATTAAAATGAATAAACAGATATACATTTAAGGATCAAAAGTTAATTGAATTGAAAGTCGATTCCATTGACCTGGGATTTGGAACACAAATCAGATAAAGTCATTATTGTCCAAAAACACGCCACTTACCTCTTTTCTCAATTTTGCTTGTCTTACCTTGCAAAAGGCTTTCAGGTTTACAGTGGCATCTTTTATCAAGTACATTATGTTGTGCTGGTGGCTGAAGAAATAAGAATTTTTTAAAAAGATTGATTCTGTTTTTAAATTTTGAAACACTAAAAAAATTAATTAGGTTGAATCATATAAAATTTGCATTTTTATAGATCAAAATCGTTTGATACTGGCAGTTTCATATGGCTCACTATATAAAATTAAATGAGACCTTTAATTTATATTCTACTTTTCCTAATTAATGACTGTTAACATTTTGGGCCAGATGCAGTGAGTCCCTGCCTAAAAAAAGAAAAAAAATTGGTTATAGAAGCTTCTACTCACTTTATTTTTATTTATTTATTTATTTATTTATTTGAGACAGAGTCTCCCTCTGTCACTTAAGCTGGAGTACAATGGCGCAATCATAGCTCACTGCAGCCTTGAGCTCCCAGGCTCAAGCAATCCTCCCACCTCAGCCTTCCCAGTGTCCGGGACTACAGGCATGTGCCACCACACCCAGCTAATTTTTGTATTTTTTGTAGAGACAGGGTTTTGCCATGTTGCCCAGGCTGGTCTCCAACTCCTGGGCTCAAGCGATTTGCCCTCCTCGACCTCCCAAAGTCCATTATAGGTATGAGCCATTGCACTCGGCCCTCCACTCACTTTTTAAATGAAATAAGCCATTACAGATCAAGTTAAAGCCCCTTTTAATACCACTCCAGACCCCTGGTTCTCTCTGTTCCCAGAGGCAATGTTATCTGAATTTTATGGGTATTCTTCTCATCATTTCACACACGGATACCAAAATGTAAATCTATTTTCATTCATGTTTTTCTTATTCATTAATGTTACTTTAAACCTGATTGTCCTCTCCTGTAAAGGAGGAAAGGGATGGACTTTGACCGGCTCTTAGACTTTTACCCTGTTTCTTTTTCTCGTTTTTTTTCTAAAAAATTATAAAATATCTTAAGAAAACCTAAGGCTCTCTTTGAATTCTCTGTTTGAGGAGTTCTCAATAAATCTCACAGAAGACACCTACCTCTTAACTCTTGAACTGCATAAGGAAGGCAGTTCAAGCCCTTATAACCCAGGGAAAACTAAATTCTCATTTCTTCTTCTATCTTTCAGCCTCCTCTTAATCTCAAATTTCACATCCACCAAGGAAAAAATGTATTCTTTCTAGATGCATCTTATTTTTTTTATCAGTGAGCCTCTGTTATGATGTTAATAAAATAGTGACATGACCAAATATTGAAAGAATGAAATGACCTATGAATGGGCACTAGCATGTATGGTAAGATAATATGGACCAAATCAGAAAGGGAAAAATTTTCTTTCCCACAATTCCAACCAAAGCATCCATGAAAACAAAGACAGACTAATAAGACTTTCAATGTTAAAAAAAAGAAAAAAGTTGGAAGGAATACTGCACTTGGTGAATTCCTCTGTTTGATCCGAATGGGGTTGGAACCCCTTTACAAACTCTTTTTCATGATAGTCACGTATTTAAAGTAACATCACATCAACTTCTCCACACTACATAATTAGAAATGCTTTACCCCTTTCTCAATTAATATCAAAGTTATAATATATACAAGATTTTTAAAGCTTCTTTGTTTGAATCCTGAATTAATTTATATACTCATATTTTGGATCCCAACTGAAGCTAATCTCTATAATATTATAATGGGGTAGTAAAATTCATTTTTGTAACTATGGCATATTTGAATGTTGAATAATTGTATTCCAGTATGTCTTTTCTCTTTGCTAGTTTGCTTTATTCTTACCACATTTGTATTGCAGCCTTCCTTGCTTCACATTAATAAGTGTGCTACAATGATGTTATAATCGTTTTTAGCAAAGAGAGATTCTGCATGAAACATTTTTATGACTTCTCAATATGGCAAGTTTAGGCATTAAAGTAAATCTCTCTGTCACAATTAATGTTTAATCTGGATTTTTATAATACTAACAGACATACATTAGACTGTGTTTATTTAAATAAATGCCATTCTCCCCAGGGGTTCACAGTCACTGTGGTACAACTCACTACACTGATGGTTCAAAGTATTTCCTGTTTGTTATTCTTCTATCTAATGGCTGCTGTAACCACTGAACTTCCTTGAATAAAATATTCTTTCTTTTTTTTGCAGTTGATGAAGTTTAGAATGCTCAAAGAAGGACTAGTGATTCAAAATGCATTGACAATCTGGAAACCTGAGCTAAATTGATCCATAATGGCATATCTTTCCTTAGACTAGGTCATCTAGTTTAGTAACTACCCTGCCAATCTCTCTATCTTTTCTATCTTCATGGAAGTTTCTTGTTTTTAAATTTTCCTTTAATGGGAAGTCAACCAAACTGTTTTGAAAAGTTGGCAGGTTCTAGGAAATATGCTGGAAAAAATAAGAATATAAAGAGTCTGATCCAATTTAAATAGAATATTAAAATGGAAGGGACCCCAGAGATTGAATGTTGTGTAATAGAAATATATTATGTGCCATATATGTAATTTAAAATTTTCTAGTAGCCAATTAAAAAGGAAAAAGAAATAGGTAAAGTTATTTTTAATAATATTGTATTAACCCAGTGTGTCCAAAATATTGTAATTTCAATATAGAATCAATACAGAAACATTAATGAGATATTTTACATTCTTTTTTGTAGTAGGACTTTGAAATCCAGTGTGTAGTTTATGCATCCAGCATATCTCAATGTGAACCAGCCACATTTCAAATGTTCAATAGCAGCATGGACATACAGGCTATCATATTGGGCAGTGATGACCTAGGCAATTGCCTGAGTTTTATCAATGTAGAACATACCTCAAGAGAGGACAAATGGCAGACCCAGGGTGTCAGCCAGTCAGTGCCAGATCTCAACCCAACATTCTGACTCACAGTTCAGTGTTCCTGCAAGCACAGTGGTAAAATCACATCCGGGGCTTTGATGACATTGCACTAGGTACTTTATTATTACTACTTAAAGCAACCTTGCACGAGCAAGAGTTTATCCTCATTTTAAGGATAAGATACAAAAGCTCAGAGATAAGGAATTACCTCCTCAGGCTTAGATCTGAGACCTGTTTTGTCTGACCGCAAAGCCTGGGCTTTTTTTTTTTTTTCATGCATCCCAATGTCCTTTCTCTCCAATCTAAGACCCTTTAAGACCGTGACTCCAAGTGTGGTCTGTCTAAGGAGCAGCAGCATCTGTTGCCTCCAGGAGCTTGTTAGAAATGCAAAATATTGAGCCCTGCTTCAATACCCACAAGGCTGCATTTTATCAAGATCCCAAGTGATTCATGTAAAATCTAAGCCATCTCAACAAAATACAAATCTCTCTATAAATTAAAAGAATTTCCTGGGAAAATGGATTTGTACCCTGTCAGACATATGGCAGATAATCAGAAATAACTTTTGGATTGAATTACATCATGAGAAGAAAAGAACTAGCTTGGACATTTAAGGAAGGAGAAATAAAAATAGAATTTTTCATTAAAAATGTGTTTCCAGAACTAAATCTTGAAATTATAAAATGCCTTATCAACCATCACAACACCTGTCTTCTTCCCTCTTAATCTCTTCCACTCTTCTTAGGTCATAGGTACGTAAACCTTTGTTCCCACCAAATTCATTGAATGACAAGGAAATGTTAATGTATTTGAATGGAAGTGTGGCAACATTACACAGGGAAAAGTGGTATAAGGGTATTTTTGCCACACGAAAAAGCAACGCATCAGCCAAATAGAATTGACAAGATGTGCAGTTCATGGCAGGATTTGCAGGTCACCATGTTCTACCTCCCATGGAGCTCTGTCCATTTCTTGAAATTAGGCTCCAGCTGAGATTTCTTTCGTGTTCCTGAAAGTGGCTCTCGCTAATGAGTCAAAGGTTGATTGTGTATTTATCCTAAGCCTCTTCAGTCACATTTTCAGTATTTTCCTTGTGTCATGTTGCCCTCAACTCTTCCTTTCATTCAGTGTCAGGCAGTAAATTAAGCAGATGTTAATCAGTCTAGATGTTTTGGGTAGAAAATGAATGGTGTGAATACCGCAGGTCATCTCCAAAAGGCTGAATCTGTGGAACCCTGTTCAGTGAGGTGTTTTTCCCTCTTTCCCATTTCTTAACTCAATGGGGCATTGCTGGCTATTTTTGTCCTTTAGAAAACAACAGCAATGTGATATATAATAGCAGGGTTCTAACCAATATTTCATTGTGTCACACAGGGACCGCGCAAACTGTGTGTTAAGGAGATGAACAGTGGCATGGCGAAAAAACAGGCCTGGCTTATAAAGAACAAAATCAAGGCTTTTTATGCTGCAGTGGCGGCAGACTGTTTCAGGGATGGTGTCCGAAGTCTTCTTCAGGTAAGGCTGCATTGAGGGAATGAGCACAGAGGCAAAAGACAATTAGTGCTCCATGTTAATAAGGCTCCCAAAGTGAACAGCTGTAGTTAGGCAGCCAAGCATCAGAGATCAGTGCAGATGGTTAAGGGATTATTTTGAATTCCTGGGTATAGGCAAAGCTAGAACAAAAGCAGAGAAGTTCTATTACAATGAACTATGAATGATACACTGGAAACGGAAAATGAGGTTGCCTTTGGCCACCAGCATACATTCTGCCCCCGTACTTATTGAAATGCAAATTTGTTCTGGTGGTTGACGACATTCAGGATCCTATTGAAACTTCAAACTATTTTTATATCTCATACTGCATATAGCAATGCTCAAGTCAGGCATTCTTTTCCTTTTTTCTTTTGCAAATGGTGTTAGGGCAGCTGCTAGACCAACTAAATTAATGCATGGTGATCTGGGCATAAAATCTCCCTATCCTCCTGAATTATTTCCAGAATGTTGAATAAAATGTAATAATCTCTACAGCTCAACCTTAAATCCCATAGTTCTCACATCTTTTTTCCCTTATTTTTTCCTTTTTCCTTCATCTCTGCTATAGTAAGTACATAAAATCTTTTCCTAGTTCTGATCGTCATAATTTAGAGTGACAAAGAATCCTTAAAACAATCCAAGAGACCCTCAGAAATTGTAGAGCTTGGCTTTCCGAGCATTTTGGGTTTAATATGGTTGAAAACCCTAATTATATATATATGAAATGGTGCATTTGGCTTTCAGAGTTACTGTATTTCAGAGTGTCAGAAGTCAGAACTGCATCCAGGTAACTCAGATGCGCATGCAGGCAGGAAAGAAAAAATATTGGTTAAGCTTAATTGGTAATATTTTGGAGCTTAAGAGTATTTGATGCAATCCTGTGCCTAATTTCCCTTAAGAACACTTGCGAAGTAGATGCACGTACAGAGAAACAATTTCTGCAAAACCTATTACCCACAATGAGCCTCTTTTCATCTGTTATTAATTTGCTAAACCATGGAAATAGGTGTTATTGCAAGATGCTGATTTTTCTTTCAGTACCAAGTTAGTTTTCAATAGCTCTTTGGTTAAATATGTTGTCACTATTAGTCATTTATTATAAAATTATCATACAAGATTTTAAAATAATATTTTCAACTAGGAATGGGAATATGGACATAAAATAAGAGCAGGGAAAGAAAAGACACAAGTATGAAAAAGAATTATTAGAATCCAGAAGAAATGGTAGAAAATTTGAACATGCATACATTCATATGAATTTCTTCACATAAAAAGTGAAGTACAGGAGAACCATGGCAAAAGGACAAGACATAGCACTATGCAATTCATAGGTGCTTAGTAATATTGTTGAATTAAATTTGATTAACTGGAAGCTGTATGCTGTCATCTAATGAAGGGAAACAACACTTCTGATATGGAAGATGGCTATTAATGATACTGTCACATAAAAGAATTAGGTTTTGGAAACATAATTCAGTCACTCTTCAATAAATAACATAAGTAGAGATTTTAGTGATCCTTGTACATAAGAATTTTCCAAACATGGATTTTATTGCTAATGACATTATGGATATAACAGGTGGAATTGAGCTTTGAACCACTAAGTTACAACATGCATACCAACAGTTAAGCTGACCCTCACTTGATTTTAAATTATTGAACCATTTTAATGACTGTGTCAGAAGAAATGCAAATGACTGCTAATTTAGAAAAGCTACATTTCTGTCATCTAAAATCCATTTATAGCTGGGATGATTTAGAATTAATCTTTCCATTTTATGCTTGGGTACGGGCATGAAGGACATGCACTAAAATGTAATCTAATCTTCAGGATCTTCAGAACATTACTTCAGTGCTCCTTTAGACATTATTTTTCATTTGTGATGGTAGTTTCCCAGTACGGTAAGGATTGCCCACATTTTTATGTCCTCTGTTTAGGCCTCAGGCTTAGGAAGAATGAAACCAAACACTCTGGTGATTGGATATAAGAAAAACTGGAGGAAAGCTCCCTTGACAGAGATTGAGAACTACGTGGGAATCATACAGTAAGTGATGGCTTTCAAGACGTGTTCTTGTTTATAAAGCACTAAGCAGGGCAGTACATAACTTGTACTGCACATAACACTGTTGTGTCAGATTAAATTGCCTGAGAAGAGTACATTCCCCTGGTACTCTGACTTCTTTTCCAAGGTGAAAAAAACACCACCAATAATAGAGTTTGAGGGAATCAGAGTGTCAGAGGAGGCAGGGTGAGAGAAACGCCCGTGTCAGAGAAAAAAGTAAATGTTTAGAGTTACAACCTTAAAATCTATTTACAAGATTAAAAGGAAAGCACAGCTAAGCAAGGAGAAATTTTTCTTTCAAAACACCTGGAATCTTGGGTTGGCTGGTGTCTCCAATTCAGTCATTGTCTTCTTCTGAGCCTCTGATAATTCGTTCACTATCCCAGAGCCCTATATCTCCCTCTGCTAAGAGGCTCCCATATGCCAGGTGCTTCTGCTACCAGGTGGAGCATCATTGGCTTGTGCACAGAATGTGAGTTTCCGGTGGTACATAACCTCTAATAGCTAAATATTTGAGGAGACTTAGGATGTAAGTAATAATGATAGATCTTAAAGGACTAGCAGGCTGCAGGCTAATGTCTTTAACATGTATTATCTCATTTAATTCTCATAAGAAGATTTCGAAGGAAGTACTAATATTTTTTCCCATTCTACAAGTGGAGAAAAAGACATTAAAAATTAAGTAGCATGCTGAAAAATCTCAGCATTTAGTGACAGAGCTGGAATTCCAACCCAGGACTATCCAAATTCAAAGTTGAAACTCATGACTATAACGCTATGCTTTCTCTATATATTATATACTCCAAAACAAGTATTATATATTTTATACTATATATATTATATATTACATACTCCAAAGTATTTCATATATATATTATATACTCCAAGTATATATATATTATTTATATATATACACATACACACAATTGTGGAGTATATAATATATAATACTTATGTGTGTATGTGTGTATATATATATATATATATATATATATATATATATACACACACACACACATAATACTTGGAGTATATAATATGTAATATTTGGAGTATACATATATACTTCAAGTATTACCTGGCTTGGTTTCTTCCTTTGAATAAGAGAAAACAAATTCTACACATACAGAGAGAAACACTGTAGAAAGTTGAGCCTTTCAACCAGGCATGGTGGCTCACCCCTGTAATCCCAGCATTTTGGGAGGCCGAGGCGGGTGGATTACCTGAGGTCAGGAGTTCCAGACCAGCCTGGCCAACATGGTGAAACCCCGTCTCTACTAAAAATACAAAAATTAGCTGGGCATGGTGGTGGGCGCCTACTTGGGAGGCTGAGGCAGGAGAATTACTTGAACCTGGGAGGTGAAGGTTGCAGTGAGCTGAGATTGCGCCACTGCACTCCAGCCTGGGCAACAAGATTAAAACTCTGCCTCAAGAAAAAAAAGAAAAGAAAGTTGAGCATTTCTTCTAGGCTTGAAAATACTTAATCAGACTCCAGAGCGGCAATGTTAGCTATGCCCAAAAGCCATCTTTTGTGTCAACATCTCTGGAAATGGAAGGTTTCCTGTGTCTGGGATCTGGCTGCACTTTGATTTCAGACTACAGGGTACATGACATACCCTGAGAGATACAGCTGCACTTCAAAGTTCATCCTATCCAAGGAAAACAAGTATACGCTTAACACTTCTTAAAGCAGGCTATTTCTTCTACCCCTTGTTATTATAATCATAACATTTATCATTATATTTATGCAACATATTAACAAAAGTACTCTTAGTTCTACTGAAAGGAAGCATAAGAAAATAACTTTTATCTTCTGAATGTACAGGCATTACTGAACAAACAGAAATTCACTCAACAGTCTTTCTAATGTGAGGAACCTATATATTAAGTGCATTGTGTTTCCCAAACATATAAAGCCTGGGGCCACGTACTGTCATCTGGCTCCTGCTGGTGTTATAAGTTCAGTAAGTTAAGGCTAAACCAGGTGATCGGGATCAGAATTTTACCAGCCTCAGCAAACAGTATTTTGATATATTTAGAATCATAGTCAGTTGCTGATCAGACATTCTTGGAAATTGACCAGATCTGTCCTCTGTTACCCAGATTCTTCAGTAAAATTTCATCTTCACCTTGGGGAACAAAAGGGATGGAGGAGGGGAAAAAGAGCAAATAGGAAGTAACGTGTAAATCTTCAATGAAATAGTCCATTATTTGATATAGAATTACCTTGGACTGTCTTCCAACCTCTCTACCATCCCAAACATTCTAGAAATCCAAAGGGAGCAAAATAATCAAACCCAGTAATACTGAACCAAGGAGGCCTCTGGCTTTTATGACAAATTAATAATAGATCTCCTTGGTAATAAAGTTCAATATTAGGGTGACCCAGATTTGTACTAGTATAAAACCTAGCTGGACTGGTAAAGTTAAATGACTTTTCTAGCACAGCAATGGGGCTAATAATGACAATCATGTATCCATATTACATTTCCCTTTCCAATTTTTGTGGCTTTATGACTTAAATCACAGTATTATTGTTAACACAGGGCTATTATTATAAGACTATAGTATTTTACCATTTTTCTTTGAATAAAAGATTTTAAATGTCTGTAATATTCTTAAGTATGGTTTAGTTTTTTGTTTGTTTGTTTGTTTGTTTTTTAAGACAGAGTCTCGCTCTGTTGCCCAGGCTGAAGTGCAGTGGCACAATCTTGGCTCACTGCAACCTCCAGCTCCCAGGTTCAAGCGACTCTCCTGTCTCAGCCTACCAAGTAACCAGGACTACAGGTGCACACCACCATGCCCAGCTAATTTTTATATTTTTTAGTAGAGATGGGGTTTCACCATGTTGGCCAGGTTAGTCTTGAACTCCTGACCTCAGGTGATCCACCGCCTTGGCCTCCCAGAGTGTTTGGATTACAGACATGAGCCATCTTGCCCAGCCAAGTATGGTTTAATTTTAATTAGAATTTGTATATATTAGTTTTCAATGGCTGCCAATAACAAATTACCTCAAAATTTAGTGGCTTAAAACAATACTTTAGGCTGGGCGCAGTGGCTCATGCCTATAATCCCAGCACTTTGGGAGGCCAAGGTGGGCAGATCACTTGAGGTCTCGAGTTTGAGACGAACCTGGTCAAGATGATGAAACCCAACCTCTACTAAAAATACAAAAATTAGCCTGGCGTGGTGGTGCACACCTGTAATTCCAGCTACTCAGCAGGTTGAGGCAGAATTGCTTGAACCTGGGAGACGGAGGTTGCAGTGAGCCAATATCACACCACTGTGCTCCAGCCTGGGTGGCAGAGTCAGACTGTCAAAAAAAAAAAAAAAAAAAACCTACACTTGATTATCTTACAGTTCTGTCGATTAGTCTGGCACGTGTGGGCCAGGCTGCATTCCCTTCCGGAGGCTCTAGGATAAATTTCTGACCTTGCCTTTTCCAGCTTCCAGAAGCTCCCCTCATGTGGGTGTGGCTCAGGAATGCCTTTCTCAATCTTCAAAGCCAGCGATGGCTGGTCAAGTTCCTCTCACACCACATTACTGTGACCTCCTTTTATGCCTCCTAATTTCACTTTTAAGTACTCTTGTGATTACTCTTGTCCCATCCAGGTAATCTAGGATAATCTCCCCATCTCAAAGTCCTTAACCTAATCACATCTGCCAAGTCCCTTTTGCCATGTAAGGAAGTACACTCACAGGTTCCAGGAATTAGGATACTTTGAGGGTGCATTATTCTACCTAACATAGAATCCAAATTTTTTTGTGGAGCACATTGTCTACTTTTTATAATTGAGGACAATCAGAAACAAGATTTGTTTATGAGGAATTTACTTTGTGACAGCTTGTGCCAGAATAGAACTATTCTGTTAAGTAAAGATTACTTATGGTTTGGATTTTGAGTGGATATTCATATTGCACCAAACTTATGTATACCAAATGAAAATTCAGACTTACCTAGGCCATTGGAAACCGTTTGCATATGGTGGGACAATTGTTTCTGGGGTAGGATGACCTAATGGCAAGAAGTCATTAAGTTTTAGATCCATAGAAGTATAAACAAAGGACCTCCCAATGAAAAAAATTTAAATGACTCAAAGTATTAATTGACTTGCTTCCATATTTAGCACCAGAGAAAACATTTATCTCTTAAACTTTAATCTCTTCAAACAGAGATAAAAGAAAGACAGACTTTATTTCTCTTCTAGGTAATTTAATTCCTTTGGGTTGAATACAGAGAAAACACAAGAGCCAGTATGTAGAGTTGCCATGAAAAAGCATTGCTCCAAATGACCGGTTTAGAGTCAATTCTGAAAATTCTATAGAGGAACTGGAGAAATTTCTAACCATGAACTTGATGTCAGAAATGTTACAGGAGTCCTTCTGGGAGGCGGCCAGGTTGGGGGTGGTGGCTAATCATTTCAAAGAGTCTTTGCAGTCTGTAAACTCTCTGTTCTAAATATACCAGTGATTGTTTTGCTCACTGTATAAAAGATTCGATTATTTTTAAAAGATGCAACAAGCTCTTAATCAAAATTCTGATTTATAGTATTATTTGAACAAATTGGCTAAAGTGAATAATTTAGTTACCTCTACCCAAAATATACTTTAAAAACGCATAGGGGAAGAACAAACAAACAAACAAATGCATCAGCTCTTGGCTATATTCTAAGGTGGATTTTAATAGTTTCATTATATCAAAATCCTAGAAGCAAGTGTAATACTAGTCCAAAGCTTGAGGATTAAAAGAGCCATTTAAAACGCTGACTGCTTTGCTTCCTCTTTCAGTGATGCATTTGATTTTGAGATTGGCGTGGTTATAGTCAGAATCAGCCAAGGATTTGACATCTCTCAGGTTCTTCAGGTGCAAGGTATGTACTTTCTTTATTCAACCAACAAGTATTTATTGAGCACCTACTTTGTGCCTGACATTGTTATGGGATACAGCAGGGCACAATATAGACAAAACTCCTTGACAGTGGAGCTTACATTCTAGTGCTACTCGTAGTGCATATAGTTCCCCCAGTATTTTCTTCAATGCTAAGACAAGTAGCCTTTGCCCTGCTAACCAGAAATATAGAGGAATTCAAGGTAGTCATCAATTATTTTTCTTATCACAAAACCACAAAGCCAGCATCAAGGAAAATAAACACCTTCGGTAAAATAACCTGCCAAATTAATTTCTGCAAGATGTCTCAGAAAATGAAGATTAATTCTTTCCTTGGAAAAACACGTATTTTGCTTTTGAGAGTCTATGAACTGGTTTGTAGCTAACATGGAAATGAGCCTGAATGTATCATGCTGTGAATCACTAATCTAAGTCAGAGGCAGAAACACTAATTCAGATGAGTGACTCTTTGTTTTTTCCCTGTAGAGAATTTGGTATATTTGCTTAGTCTTAGAATTTAAACATACTCTTTTGTGTATGAAATAAAGAACATATTGATATACTTACTGAAAAATTAGCACAAGACATGAATTCATGATTTCCCTCTTCCGCTGAGCTTCACGACAGAGTCCACTTACAACACAACATTAAGAAAAAACAATGCTTTTCTGGTGCCTGTTATGTACCAGGCATAGTGTAGGTGCAAGTGGTGCTGGGTAGACCAAGATTAATAAATTCTGTCGTGCCCTCAAGAGACACACAACCTAGTAAGGGAAGTAGATCAATTATTAGCATTATAATAGGTATAAATAAGGAATTATGGGAAAGAAAGAAGGGGCACCTAACTCACTCCAAAAAGGCATTCTGGCAAAAATTACCTTTGATTTGCGATGCACTGGATGAGTAGGAGTTAACCAGACAAAGTTGAGGGAGAGAAAAGTAAGGAGACAGTTTGGAGAATGCATTCCTGACAAAGAGGAAAGCATTTGTAAAGGTGAGGACATGAGAATAGAGAGGAATGGAATATGTAGACAACCAAAAGCAGATTCATGTTACTGAATTGAAAAGTAGGAAGCCGACAATAGTAAAATATGGGGCTGCCACTATAAGGAGGATCTAGACTGTAAAAGCCTCATTTGTCATATTAAAAAGATGGATCACATTCTGTAGGTAATGAGGAACCATCAGAGAGATTCAAATGAGGGAATAAGGTGGTCAAACTTGGGTTTTAGATATCATGCTCTTTCGGTTATATGGGGCATGGACTCAGGACTAGAATGGAAATAGATAAATCAAAGAGTTCTACAATAATCAAACAAGACAAGGTGACAGCTTGAACTAGGGCAGCCTCAGTAGGGATGGAGAGAAAAGAACAGAATTGAAAAGTATTTTGCAGGTACAAAGAGCAGCGTTTGGGAGTTGATTGAATGTGTGGGATATGGGAAAGGGAGGAGTAAAGAAAAACTCCCTGGCTGACTGGATGAGCCAATGGAAATGGGAAATGCAAGAGGAAGTATAGGTTTAATGAGGAGATGCCTGGCTCAATTTCAAACAATCTCCTCTGGGAAATCCTACGGGAAATGTCTAATAGGCAGTTAGACAGTCCTCATCATAAAAGAGAAATCTGAGCTGGAAATACAGATTTAGGAGATGTTATGGGCTGAACTGTGTCTCCCCCACCAAATTCATATGTTGAAGTGCTAACCCCCAGGACCTCGGAATGTGACTGTATTTGGAGACAGGGTCTTTAAAGAGGTAATTAAGGTAAAATTAGGTTATTTGGGTGGGCCCTAATCCAATATTACTGATGTCCTTATAAGAAGAGATTAGGATACAGACTGAGGGGTGATCATGTGAAGACATGGTGAGAAGGCAGCTATCTTCAAGCCAAGGAATGAGGCCTCAGAATAAAATCAATCCTACCGATGCCTTGACCTTGGACTTCCGGCCTCCAGAATTGTGAGGAAATAAATTTTTATTGCTTATGACACCCTGTCTGTGACACTTGTTATGGCAGCCTGGGCGGACTAATACAGGAGACATCATGGCTAATGTGGATTGAAACCACCACCCTAGAAAATAGAACTCAAAGACTGCATGTAGCCAAGGACTCGAAAGTGTAGGAAAAAGGCCCCAAAGAAGAGAAGGAGAAGTCAGAAAGGTGAAGAAACCAGAAGTCTGGGGTCAGGTAAACCATGGGAGTA